>NC_000009.12:71970552-72595552 GCF_000001405.40 Homo sapiens
CCTATATACGTCTATTCTTATGTCAGTACTACACAGTCTGGGTTACTGTAGGTTTGTAGTGTGTTTTGAAATCAATACATGTGAATCCTCACATTTTATTGTTCCTTTTCAAGATTGTTTTGGCTATCCTGGGTGCCTAGAATTTCTGTATGAACTTTAGGATTAGCTTGTCAATTTCTGCAAAAAAAGCCAGCTGGAATTTTAATAGAGAGTTCATTGAGTCTGTAGATCAGTTTGGGGAGTATTGCTATCTTCTCAATATTCTCAATATTAAGTCTTTTTTTTTTTTTTCCTGAGATGGAGTCCCACTCTTGCCCAGGCTGAAGTACTGTGGCACATCTCCCAGGCATGCCACCACACCCAGCTAAATTTGTGTATTTTTAGTAGAGATGGGGTTTCACCATGTTGGCCAGACTGGTCTCAAACTCCTGATCTCAGGTGATCTGCCCGCCTCAGCCTCCCAAACTGGTGGGATTACAGGCCTGAGCACTACTCCCGGCCTACAATATTAAGTCTTTTCATATAAAATATGGGATGTCTTTCCGTATAGTTAGGTCTTTAGTTTCTTTCAGTGATGTTTTGTAATTTTCAGTGTATTGGTCTTGCACTTCTTTTATTGGATTTATTCCTTTATTCTTTGGTAGATTGTTTCTTGGTAGTGTATAGAAATACAGTTGAGTTTTGTATATTGATCTTGTTTTAACACATTTTTAATGACACTTTAAAAAATTTTAAGAGTGGATAAATATCCAGCAGTTTTATTCTGCAGCTGTAAACTGTTATTTAGAAATGTGATATAATTAATTTAGAGTGACATAAGATAAACACCTGAAATTGAAACCTAGGAATTTTGATTTCTTAGGCTTTTTAACTATACATTTAGACACATCTTATTTTATCAAATAAGTCTGAAATAAACATAAATAAGTTAACATTTTATTTTTTATTTTAGTGTTAAATGTTTACAAAAGACAGTGAAGGATTCTTATCACATAATGTGCAGGCCATGTGCCTGTGAACTTGAAGTTTGCGCAAAATGTGGAAAGAAAGAAGACATTGTTATTCCGTGAGTGTTTCCTTTTATGTTTGAATTTTACTCTTAGTGATTGATACATGAATTTCTTTTAAGAGATGATCCTTGCTAGGCGCAGTGGCTCACGCCTGTAATCCCAGTACTTTGGGAGGCCAAGGCAGGTGGATCACGAGGTCAGGAGTTCAAGACCAGACTGGCCAAGATGGTGAAACCTCATCTCTACTAAAAATACAAAAAAATTAGCCGGGCACAGTGGCAGGCGCCTGTAATCCCAATTACTCGGGAGTCTAAGGCAGGAGAATCGCTTGAACTTGGGGGGCAGAGGTTGCAGTAAGCTGAGATGGTGCCACTGCACTCCAGCCTGGGTAACATATAGTGGGACTCCATCTCAAAAAAAAAAAAAAAAAAAAGAGATGATCCGTGATCCATAACCCTTAGACTTAAGTTGTATGTCAAACTAATATAGACTTTTAAAATTATTTTTCTATCATTACAATAAAAGTGAAACTATATTTTTAAGAAAATAAAATATTTATGTGTGAGATTCATATTCATTACAAAAGAATTACACATTATTTAACAACTTTTCTTTTAATAGACATCATATATTAATTTATTTGAGCCTACTTTAGTGACAATAGTATTATAATTGGTTGGATCTCAAGTTAGCGTTCAATGATTTTTTTTTTTTGAGAAGGAGTTTCGCTCTTGTTGTCCAGGCTAGAGTGCAATGGCACGATCTTGGCTCACTGCAACCTCCGCCTCCCAAGTTCAAGCGATTCTCCTGCCTCAGCCTCCCAAGTAGTTGGGATTACAGGCTTGCACCACCACACCCAGCTAATTTTGTATTTTTAGTAGAGACGGGGTTTTGCCACGTTGGCCAGGCTGGTTTCGAACCCCTGGCCTCAGGTGATCTGCACGCCTTGGTCTCCCAAAGTGCTGGGATTACAGGCATGAGCCACCACTCCCAGGTGGATCTTTTTCTTTATACTTACTTCATTAGGTTTCTGTTATTCAAGAAGTGTAGTGGTAAAAGTCTTTTCAATCTACATGGTTAAATAATGATAGCCTGGGAAATAAATAGAAATTTTTTCTTTCATCTTTAGGTTGAATAAAGAAACAGAAAAAATAGAACATACTGAAAATAATCTAAGTTCCAACCATAGAAGAAGCTGCAGAAGAAATGAAGAAAGTGATGATGATTTAGATTTTGATATTGATTTAGAAGACACAGGAGGAGACCATCAAATGAATTAATATCACTGTATTAAAAGTCTGCCGGGCACAGTGGCTCACGCCTGTAATCCCAACACTTTGGGAGGCCAAGGAGGGTGGATCACCTGAGGTCAGGAGTTCGAGACCAGCCTGGCCAACATGGCGGAACCCCATCTCCACTAAAAGTACAAAAAATTAGCTGGGCGTGGTGGCTCATGCCTGTAATCCCAGCTACTCAGGAGGCTGAGGCAGGAGGATTGCTTGAACCCTGGAGGCGGAGATTGAAGTGAGCTGAGTTCGTGCCATTACACTCCAGCCTGGGTGACAGAGTGAGACTCTGTCTCAAAAAAAATAAAATAAAAAGTCAATTTAGAATGTGAAATTCTGACCACCTTTTGGCTTTGAGTATTTTCCAAAAGATATTTGAAATCCTAATGAGGAAATCAGAAAAAGCTATGGAAAAATAGACAAATTTCATACATGAACAATATAAATTGTGTATATTACTTAACATCAAACTAAACAAGATTCAGAATTGATGGTTGTATAAGAACTAGCTCATGTAAAAATAAAATAACATTATTACATTGCCTCAAAAATTGGTCCTCGGTAAGTGCCTTTTGATAAATGATCTCAAATAAATGACTCATAGCAAAAGCCCTGTCGCTTATGTTTAATTTTTACAAAGTAAAAGCAATTTTTTCCAAATAATAATGTTTAACAAGCGTATAGCAATTCTGCTTTGTATTTTTATATATTTCATCACATTTTAACTTTTTTCTCGTGAAATGTACATACAGAAAAAGTGCATATAATTTATACACTTTATAAGTGTATGCATTTTTTATAATAATTATAAAGGAAAGTTCATGCATTTACACACCTCGGTGAGGAAACTGCCAGCATCAGGACACCCCAGTGAGGCTCTCCCTCAGCAAAAGTTCATCTTTCTTCCCATAGTTGGCACTATTCTGAATTTTGATCATTATTGTCTTAATTTTTTTACTACCCATGTTTGTACTCCTAAACAATATAAATTAGCTTGGTCTGGGTTTTGTTGTTTTTTTTTTTTAACTCTTCTTTTTTTATTACGTTTCTTATTTTATTTCTTTAATTTTATTTATTTTATTAATTTATTTTTCTGAGACAGAGTTTCACTCTTGTTGCACAGGCTGGAGTGCAATGGCGCAATCTCAGCTCACTGCAACCTCCACCTCCTGGGTTCAAGCGATTCTCCTGCCTCAGCCTCCCAAGTAGCTGAGATTACAGGTGCCCGCCACCACGCCCAGCTGATCTTTGTCTTTTTAGTAGAGACGGGGTTTCACCATGTTGGCCAGGCTGGTCTTGAACTCCTGACCTCAGGTGATCCACCTGCCTCGGCCTCCCACAGTGCTGGGATTACAGGTGTGAGCCACCATGCCAGGCCATATTTTTTATTTTTTATTTTACTTTTTTTTTTTTTGAGATGGAGTCTCGCTCTGTTGCCCAGGTAGAGTGCAGTGGCATGATCTCGGTTCACTGCAGCCTCCACCTCCCGGGTTCAAGTGATTCTCCTGCCTTAGCCTCCCTAGTAGCGGGGACTGCAGGCCTGCACCACCACACCTGGGTAATTTTTGTATTTTTAGTAGAGACGAAGTTTCACCATGTTGGCCAGGTGGTCTCGAACTCCTGGCCTCAAGCGATCCACCCACCTTGGCCTCCCGAAATGCTGGAATTACAGACATGAGCCTCCACATCTGGCCCATAGTTTGTTTTTTCTAACATTGAGAGACATTTGAGTTATCTCACATTTTTCCTGTTACATCAATACTAGCATGAGCATTGTTACATGTGTCTGTTGGTAGACCTGTGCATTTCTGTTAGGTATGTATCTAGCAGTGGTAGAGGGAATCAGGTCGATGCATCTTCACTTTTGCTATGTAAAACAAAACTTTGCCGGAGAGATTTTATCCCCTTGTTCATAGAAATGGATTAGAATTTCAGCACTCTGCATCTTCTAATACTTGGTATCAGACTTTTAAATTTCTGCCAGTTGAATATGTGTGCAATAGTATCTCTTTGTCTTAATAATTGTATTTCTAATTACAAATAAGCTTGAGCCCCTTTTTGTGTTTATTGGCTATTTCACTTTTGATAATAGGTGATATTAGGGAATAATTTAAGTGGAATGTTATTTTAGAAATCCATACTGAAATACTTAAGGATGTAATACTAATTTACTGTAAAATATTTCAGCATAAAAAAAGTGCAGACATAGATAACATTTCACTGACATCAGAAAATATTACCTGGGAATACATCAAAAAGTATTCAAGAACTCTGTCAACAAAAATATAAAATCTTATCAAGACATTAAAGAAAGTGGAGGCTGGGTGAGTTGGCTCATGCCTGTAATCCCAGCACTTTGGGAGGCCAAGGCAGGCAGATCACCTGAGGTCAGGAGTTTGAGACCAACCTGCCCAACATGGTGAAACCCTACTAAAAATAACAAAAACTAGCCGGGTGTGGTAGGTGCCTGCAATCCCAGCTACTCCGGAGGCTGAGGCAGGAGAATCGCTTGAACCCGGTAAGCAAAGGTTGCAGTGAGCCAAGATCGCGCCATTGCACTACAGCCTGGGTGACAAGAGCAAGACTCCATCTCAAAAAAAAAAAAAAAACGTGGAGACAAAAATGAATAGAAATACTATCTTCACAATTTGAAAGTCTCAGTATTCTAAACATATAGCCTGACTGAAAGAAATGTTCTGTCCCGCTGGGCGTGTTGCCTCACGCCTGTAATCCTAGCACTTT
This sequence comes from Homo sapiens, assembly GCF_000001405.40. NCBI lineage: Eukaryota > Metazoa > Chordata > Mammalia > Primates > Hominidae > Homo > Homo sapiens. Next base: position 71,975,591 of record NC_000009.12, read on the forward strand.
TGGAGGCCAAGGCGGACGGATCACCTGAGGTCGGGAGTTCGAGACCAGCCTGACCAACACAGAGAAACCCCATCTCTACTAAAAACACAAAATTAACCACGCCTGGTGGCGCATCCCTGTAATCCCAGCTAGTCCGGAGGCTGAGGCAGGAGAATCACTTCAACCCAAGAGGCAGAGGTTGTGGTGAGCCAAGATAGCGCTATTGCACTCCAGCCTGGGGAACAAGAGTGAAACTCTGTCTCAAAAGAAATAAATTTTCTGTCCATAAATTTGTGTGGCTTTCCTTTTTTGCATATAAACTTCTTTTCTGGACTATTTAACTTTTGTGATTAAGGAGCCAACTAAAGTCTTACTGGACCTACCATAAATTCTTTCCCATGTGAATGAATACTAATTCCTCAGATGACTTTACCAGGAAAAAAATTTAACAAAGAGCATCACCTAGTGACATATATTAATAGCTGCATTTCATTCCTTAGTGCTAAGAAAGATTGTTTTGTATTTTAAGCAGACTTTATTATATTTAGTTCCTCTACATATATTTTTAGGAATTAACCCTTCTAGTCCAAAAGCTGTTTGTATCATAACATACAGAAATGAGATGAAGGCTTTGTTTTGTTTTAATGAAATGAATCACTTTAATGTAGTGCATTAATTTGTTGCACCTTGATATCTGGCAGGAGGATATCAAGACTGCATTCACATATTCTGAAATATTACAGTGCTTTATTATAGAAGTGCCAAAGCTCTGATCATAAAACTTATATGAGGAGCTTTTAAGAAAATTATTGGCCGGGCACGGTGGCTCATGCCTGTAATCCCAGTACTTTGGGAGGCCGAGGCGGGTGGATCACGAGGTCAGGAGATCGAGACCATCCTGGCTAACGTGGTGAAACCCCGTCTCTACTAAAAATACAAAAAATTAGCCGGGCGTGGTGGCGGGCGCCTGTAGTCCCAGCTACTTGCGAGGCTGAGGCAGGAGAATGGCATGAACCCGGGAGGCGGAGCTTACAGTGAGCCGAGATCGCGCCACTGCACTCCAGCCTGGGACACAGAGCGAGACTCCATCTCAAAAAAAAAAAAAAAATTCTTATTCCTGGGATATTGTGGTTCATTTGGTCTGGAATATAGCCCAGGATTTTTTTTTTTTCAACTCCTCAGGTGATTCTGATCAACTGTAACAAATACAATTAGCTGCATATGGCAAAAAGCCATTCCCATGCCTATTTACTTCTCTACATACTAGAATATAGTACCCCCGTTGTCCCGTTTTCTCTTTCAAAGCCTCTCTTGCAACTAGGAGTATCCAGCATATGAGGGGAATCTGCTGAGACAATCTGGGAAAGACTTACCTCACTGACAAGAAGAAAGCACTTTTCAAAACAGGCTGTTTCTACCTGAATATGATTGTGAGGAAGCATGATGTCTAGAGCTTGCAGCCATGATAGGGGTACCAAACGAGCTGCAGAGACAGTGATCCAGAGCCCTGACATTGTGAAGCTGCTGAACTAACCAGCCCTGGGCTCACCCACCTCTAGAATTCTTGTAAGATAATTACATGTCCAGAGCTTTTTCAAGCACCCATATCTGTAAAAAAAAGTTTTTAAATAAAGTTTCTTTTGTTGTAAAAAAAAAAAAAAGTTAATTACACGTCTCATTAGACATTTAATGCATAAGCTGTTGCTAATTAGAAATTCTGTTACTTTCAGTCAAATGCATTCCCAGCTGATACCTCAGCAAGTTTTATAACCCTATTTTATAGCACTTACGTGCTATGGCAAAAAGAGAAAGATCAGTGTATCAAAAAATGATTCATTAGTAGTGAAGGCTTATCAATTTGGTTGTTTGATTACATTCTGCAAAAGAAGAATTGATATACCATGTATACAAGATTATATATGTAAGACCTAAATCTTATATAAGATAGATCTTATACACATTATACATTTATAATGTAAAATTAAAACTGATAGATGTCACATTTATGCAAAGTTATAAATATTCCATGATCCTAAACTTTTTTCTTAAGTGAAATATATAACAATATTAACCTTTAACACATCTTTGTCCCTTCCTTTTACCCCTCTTTCTAGGTCTTTTCCTTTCCTTGTAACATTAATCCTGTATTGAATGATTGCCCTGTAATTGTGGCATAGAATTTTTTTCTCTCGTATTGTTCAGATTTGTCAGCAATACTGAATGTTACAGGACCACTTTCCACAATTTTTACTGGCTACACTGATGGAATCTAGGGGGTTAGAATTGCTTACTCATCTCTATGCTAGTGAGTCCCACAATTTTGTCAATCATCATACCTACTGAAAAAAATCATACCTTTCCAAATCTCATACATGAAACTTTAATGTGGTTGCACCTTTAAACTAAGTGGTACAAGTGGTACAGTATTTCATCAAAACTTGGTTTAAACATTTCTATAACCTCTAGCAATGTTAATTTGAAGTATATGGATTAAATTTTAATAGTAAACATTTATATGTAAATCATTTAAATATTTTAAATGAACTTTTTAATTTTTTGAGACGGAGTCTCACTGTGTCACCCAGGCTGGAGTGCAGTGGCGCGATCTCAGCTCACTGAAATCTCTGCCTCCCGGTTTCAAGAGATTCTCTGGCTTCAGCCTCTCAAGTAGCTGGGATTACAGGTGCCCGCCACCATGCCCAGCTAATTTTTGTATTTTTTATGGAGACAGCGTTTTGCAATGTTGGCCAGGCTGGTCTCAAACTCCTGACCTTAGGTGATTTGCCTGCCTCAGCCTCCCAAAGTGCTGAGATTACAGGCATGAGCCACTGCGCCCGGTCACTTTTTTTCATTTTTAAAGTAGATCAAATGTCTTTGAATTCAACATAAGTTGTAACTAACATTTTTTAAAATATAGTTTTTTTTACAGATACCTTGAGCAAAAGAATCCAGACACAAGGTATTATATACTTTATGGGCCGCATTATGCAAAGTTCAGAAATCGTTTTAAGTAACTTATGGTGATAGACATCAGAATAGTGGTTATCTTTGGGGAGGTGGTATTGACTGGGAATGTGTATAAGAGGGGAACTTCTGGAATGCTGGAATCATCTGTATCTTGATCCAGGTGGTAGCTACACAGGTACAGAAACATAAAATTCAGCACTTAAAATTTGTTTATTTTGACTGGGCATGGTGGTGCAGGCCTGTAATCCCAGCACTTTGGGAGGCCAAGGTGGGTGGGTCACAAGGTCAAGAGATCTAGACCTTCCTGGCCAACATGGTGAAACCCCGTCTCTACTAAAAATACAAAAAATTAGCCGGGCGTGGAGGCGGGTGCCTGTAGTCCCAGCTACTTGGGAGGCTGAGGCAGGAGAATTGCTTGAACCCAGGAGGTGGAAGTTGCAGTGATCTGAGGTTGCATCGCTGCACTCCAGCCTGGCAACAGAGTGAGACTCCGTCTCAAGAAAAAAAAATGTTTTTTTGCTTATTTAGTTGTATGTCAGTTTTACCTCAATTAAAAACTAATAACACTTTTAAAAATAAATTAGTAGTAATGTATTGTTGTGAAATCCATGCCTTAAAATGAAACAACATAAATCTTGACTTAAACAAGAGTAGTAGATAAAACCACTCTGAGGCAGAATGATCTGAATCTCACCGCTGTGACACTGTTCTCATTTCTTTACCTTCGTGACGTTATGTTATGTGTGCCTTTCTTTGAAAAATGAGGGCTGTAATTTCTACAGTGTAAACTTATTGTGAGTATTAAATATGTAGAAAACACTTATCATAGTAGGGACTCTCTTCATGATGTTTATAAATATTACTTGATACTTTTTGGTTGAGACATTCCTTTCAAATCATCCTAGGGGGTTTTGTGGGCGTAGGAAGCAGGTAATCTTGAAACTCTTGGATGGAGGTAAAAGAAAGAAACCTGGAGACGGAATTCCTATTACACTGAAAGGGCAGAAGCAAACCCCTCCAATGAAAACATTTATACAGGAAAGTCAGGCTTGCTATTCACAGTTTTTAATACTTGTTGAGTTATAGACCCTTAAATAATACCACCCATAAAGGTGTGAGTGCAATAGCAAGCTTTAGAAAAAATATTGACAGTAACAACTTTATAAACTGTCCATTATTTCTTTGTCAAAACTATAACTATTGCTAATTATAATTGATATCACACACACACCAAGGAACTTGAGTAAATCAAGTGATCAAAAAATTGATATTTTAAAATTACAAAATTGAACTAAAAATAGAAAGTGAATTAGAAAAACATACTCCATTACACTGAACTTTTATTCAAATTCTAAATTTGCATTTTAAATTACAAATAAATTTTTAGCATAATTCAGTATGACCTTATGTATTCCACTTTTTATTTTTACTTGTTTAATATAGTTACAAATTTATTGTGACAAATTCTTTTTCTTTTTTCTTTTTTTTTTTTTTTGAGATGGAGTCTCACTCTGTCACCCAGGCTAGAGTGCAGTGGCACAATCTCGGCTCACTGCAACCTCCACCTCCCGGGTTCAAGCGATTCTCCTGCCTCAGCCTTCAGGGTAGCTAGGATCACAGGTGCGCGCCACCATGCCCGGCTAATTTTTGTACTTTTAGTAGAGACAGGGTTTCACCATTTTGGCCAGGCTGGTCTCGAACTCCTGACTGCAAGTGATCCACCCATCTCAGCCTTCCAAAGTGCTGGGATTACAGGTGTAAGCCATTACACCTGGCCTATATTTTTTCTTTAATCTGTAAGAGTTATTTATTTCTTTTGCCATTATGAAGAAAAATCATAACATGGGAACAATGACCTAAATAACTGAAAAAGGAAATGAATTGGCCCTGGGGAAATTGCCGTGACCAGCTGAGGTTAGAAAAGATGGTCTAGAACAGGACAAAACTGACATCCCTTAGCAGAGGATATTACAACATGTCCGCAAAGTCAGGAAACATAAGATAAAATGATTTTTAAAACTATATTATTTACACTTCCCAACAGTGTACTGTACTCGATATGTTTTCTGGCTAAGTACTCTAAATTTAAAGCAATAGGTCCAACTGTGACTCTGGAAAAACATATAATGAGTAATCTGGAAACACAGGGAGAATAGTATATTATATACTTCACCCAAAAACATTCTGAGCTCACTATTTAGAAGTGTAACTAAACAGTTACACACTGTTTAAAAATAAGTTTCTCCTATGTTTCTCGTCTCTGCAACACTTGTGGCTGCCAGCTGACACAAGGCAGGTGCAGTGTGAGTGGCTGCCAGTGGACAGTGACAAAAACAAGACTTACTGAAACAAACAAGTGTTTCATAAATAATTTGGAAACAATTTTGGAATCCCTTTCTTGGTCATGGTAATAGTACACTTCAGATCCTATTAAGTGATTTATGTGTGGGAAATCCTCAACTGGTAATGCTGGAAATGCTTAATGATGCTATACTACTGTCCGTAAATGTGAGAGGATATCCAACAGAAAATGAAAATCCCAGAGGAAGCAAGCCACAGTGAGGGGCCAGGCTGTCTCTGCAAGGTCATGAACATCTGATATAAAGTTTGCATTGTAGCTGTGTGGTTACACAAGCAGGTACAACTGAAATGGGCCCTAGGGGATAGATTAGAGACAAATCAGGAATCCACAAAACAGCTCCATAGTATGCTTGGACCAGCATCTAACCAGTCAACCTCTGTATATTTTTCCAGTCATACAGCATCCTCTTTTTCTATGATCCACTTGTCAAGTAAATTTTGCCCACACATGGGACATGCTTCTAGTCCGAAAAATAAATCATGTTCTTCCCAGCTGTAAACTAATTGCAGAGATGACTAAAAACATCATGGAATTGAACTTAAAGCAGCAATTTTTCTTTTCTTGGTTCACTGCTGCATTAAGGAGTTGGAAGCTTTAGAAGGAGTTTCAACTCAGGAGTCACTGTCCCTTGAGTGAGACCCCACCTGTATGGAGGAGCTGGTGATTCTATATCTGCACTTAACATTGTTAGTAGACTGACTACTATATCTTGCTATTTATATTCTATTTTTATATGTAGTAGATGTGATTAGTTAAGTCCAAATTCAATTAAAATTATCACAGTATTCCTGAAATTATGTATTTCCTCAATTTATGCTTAAGGTTCAATTTAACTATTGTGGGGCTATGATTTTTTTGCTGTTAAAAAGGAATTCTTGGCCTGGAAATGGTTGGGAATTACTGAGAAAAATACCAGCCTTCATTGTGCTGTAAAGTCAGTTAAATTGTATGAAAGCTTTTCTCATAGTGATAATTGTCTCTATATTTTTAAAATGCTTTATCGAGGCATAATTTACATGTGTAAGACTCACCAATTTTAAGTGTATAATTTAACGATTTGGTAAATAGACAAGCATTGTGCATTTATCACCACAATCCAGTTTTAGAACATTTCCATCATCCCAAAATGATCCCTCATGCTCATTTGTAGCCACTCCCCATTCCCACTCCCCAGCCCCAAGCAACTTAATCTTTTGTGTGTCCATAAAATTGCCTTTTATGAACCTTTCATATAAATGACATCATAAAATATGTAGTCTTTGAGTCTAGCTCCATTCACCTTACATGACATTTTTGAGGTAGAGCCATGTTAAAACATGTACCGATAGTTCATCATTTTTTTTTTTTCTGAATAGCATTCCATTGTATGGACATACTAATTTTGTTTACCCCTTCAAATTTGGATTGTTTCCACTTTGGGCTATTATGAATGATACTGTTGTGAACACTTGCATGCAAACTCTTTGTGTGGACATATGTTTTCATTTTTCGTGGATATATATACCTAAGAGGGAGATTAGATTGCTGGATTGTGTGGTAAATTCATATTTAGTTTTTAAGGAACCACCAAACTTGTGGTAATAGCTGCACCCTTTTACAATCCTAGAGCTTTGTGAGGACTCCACACTGAGGAGGCTCAAGATCCTCGCCAACACTTGTAATTGTCAGTGCATTTTGATTTATTGTCATTCTAGTGTGTGTGAAGTCTCACTGTGGTTTTAATTTGTATATTTCTTTTTTTTTTTTTTTTTTTTTCAGATGGAGTCTCCCTCTGTTGCCCAGGCTGGAGTGCAGTGGCAGGATCTTGGCTCACCACAACCTCCGCCTCCCTTGTTCAAGTGATTCTCCTGCCTCAGCCTCTCGAGTAGCTGGGACTACAGGCGCACACCACCATGCCCAGCTAATCTTTGTATTTTTAGTAGAGATGGGGTTTCACTATGTTGGCCAGGCCGGTCTCGAACTCCTGACCTCATGATCTGCCTGCCTCAACCTCCCAAAGTGCTGGAATTACAGGTGTGAGCCATCATGCCTGGCCTAATTTGTATATTTCTAATGACTCATGATGTTGACTGAGCATCTTTTCTTTTCTTTTCTTTTTTTTTTTCCTTGTTTTTTGAGATGGAGTCTTGCTCTATAGCCCGGGCTGGAGTGCAGTGGCACCATTTCAGCTCAATGCAACCTCTGCCTCCTAGGTTCAAGTGATTCTCCTGCCTCAGCCTCCCGAGTAGCTGGGATTACAGGCACACACCACCATGCCCAGCTAATTTTTGTATTTTTAGTAGAAACAGGTTTTCACAATGTTGGCCAGGATGGTCTCCATCTACTGACCTTGTGATCCGCCCCCCTAGGCCTCCCAAAGTGCTGGGCTTACAGGCATGAGCCACTGCACCCAGCCGACTGAACATCTTTTCATGTGTTTATTAGCCAATCCTATATCTTCACTGGTGAAATGTCTATTCAGATGTGTTGCCCATTTTAAAAATTGGGTTGTTTTCTTACCATTGAGTTATGAGTCTTTTATATATATTCTAGATACAAGTCCTTTATCAGATATAATTTGGAAATATTTTCTCGCTGTCTGTAATGTGTTATACATCAATTTTGAGATATCCTTCACATTAAGAAACTAACGGTGTGGATAATAATCCTGGTATTGACAGAGGTTTGGACTCCTGAAGCCTGAAAGTCTATCTGCTGCCACGCCTGGGCACATACTGCATCATTTACAAAACTGTAGAGCACCTGTTGTGTGTGCAGTTGTGATTTCTTATAGATTTTTAGAATTGGAAGGCATGTAAAGAACACGTAATCTGGTACATTGCTTCAGTAGGTAAGTCAGTATGAACTTCTAAGAATTTTTGTTTTCTTCTGTATTGGGTCTATTGTGGGTATGTCCAACGTGACAGGGGAGGTAAGGGAAGTGGCATCCCCTGAGATAGTGACTGAAATGGCTTTCATCATCTTTAAGTCAAAGTGAGATGCCAGTAATAGGATATATGTATGTATGTACTTGTGTCTCTGTATGTATGTAAATAAACAAACATGCTGGAAGGAGGAGGTGATTCAATCAGGGACTTTGTGAAAGAAAAAAAGAATAACTGGACCTTCCTTTAATGATGAAAACTGTTTATACAGCAAACCATCAAAGCCAAAATGTGAATTTTGGTATTAGCCCGATTTTTCCTAAGAAACTGTTGATGTAACCACTGTAGTTGCAGAGATCGTTTTGGTATATTCTAGACCCTCTTTGTTTTGTTCTGTTTGGGGTTTCTTCCCCCTCAAGTTGCTCTTGTCCACCACTAGACTGGCTGCCTTTTATTCCATAGCAGACAGTCCTTAAGTCTTTGCATATGTCCTTATTCAAAAATTAATCTTCATCAGTTTTTTTCTGCAGAAAACAGTTTTTTAAATATCTTACATGAGAATGCTCTGCACCTGCAATCTCTGGTTGATGCAGTTTCCTTTCTCTCTTCTCTGTTCCCATTGGTAGAATAAATCTGCTCCTTCTTAAATCCTGAGCTGAAAATGTCCACACTTCCCAGAAGTGTACTTTAGAATCACCTGTAACATGTATTTAAAATACAGATTCCCCAGCTCCACGGGCAAAGCTCTCCTGCCATGTGACACCCTGATACAGTTCAGGGAGCCACTAAGGCAGGCCAAAATGGCTCAGCAGGCAAAGGTCCAAGCTGCCAGGGTAGTGTGTCATTACAGCATGCTTAGCATAGCTAGGAGGACAGGCTCACACCCAGCCCCACAGCTGTTGCGCTACAGACTCAGGCACAGGGCTGTCTAACTGGCAGATGTGGGCCACAACTGTTGGAGACAAGCCAGCCATATTTGGGAAAATCTTATTGTAAGGGGCAAGTGTGAGTGAGATTTAGGAGTCATGGGAAAATACACCAACACAGTAAATCTTGTGTTATAGGAGAGATGTGGAAGAAAGAGATAAACTACTGGCCAGGGTGTCTCCTGACTGGGTGACTTGCCACCACATGGGCCAGGCAGGTTGCGGCAGCTCTGCCTTTGGGAGGTGGCTGGAGGAGGGGAGGAGAGAGAGGCATGATGAAGACAGATGCACCCTTTCCTGAGCAGGGGTTAACATTCAGGGTGCCGAAAGGAATTCCACAGCCTGTTTCCCATCTCTCTTGTCCTCATCAAGTACTGGTCCTCGTGTATGTGTTCTGCTTCCGCTTTCTCAGGATGTTTACGTTTTTGCAAATACGTTTATGGAAAAGAGTTACCTCACCCACCTCTCCAAACATCTATTTGTTTTACATTTTTATTGCGGGGGAGTGATCTCTTTACATAGCTTCAAATGGCATAACATTCAGCAGTATCCAAGCTTAGATATATCTGATGAGAGGAAAGTAATTGTGAGGCCTTTGTTCTAGTTACAACTTTGTCACTATCTGACTCCATGACTCCAGCAAATTGCTTCAACTGTCTGGCCTGCAGTTTTTTTCTTGCGTTAAATAACAGACTTAGTCTAGATCGGTGGTTCTTATCATGTGGTTTCTGGACTAGCAGCATCAATATTACCTGGGAAACTTGTTAGAAATGCAAATTCTTGGGCTCTGCCCTAGACCTACTGAAACATACTCTGTGGGCGGGGCCCAGCAATCTGTGTTTGAAACGCGATTCTGATTATTTGACAAAAGTTTGCAAACCACTGGTCTAGATAAGTAGCTCTTAGCCTTGGCTGCACATTAAAATCATCTGGGCAACTTTTATAACCTACCAATCCTGGCCTCTTCCTCCAAAGATTCTGACTTAAATGGTTTCAGATGGGGACCATTGTTATGCGGTTATAGCCGACGCCTAGGTGCTACCTGAGGTCTTCAAAGCTAAAGGTCAGTGTTTCCCAGCCGTAAATGCATACCTCTAGACCTGGCCTTCTCAAGCCACTAGGTGTTGCTATAATAGAGAAGAAAAGGCATTTTCAGAACCGTCTTTGGATATGGATGAGGAGGAGGAAAATGTATTTCTTAGCTTCTGATAAGAGATTATTTTGTTATTTTAATCTGAGTGCAATTTGCTAAATATTCATTTGCAACTTGTTAAATTTATTCAAAGAAATTAAATGCCCATAAGTGACAGAAAGAATAAAGAATTGTGATATATATTTACAATAAAATACTCTTTAGCAATAAAAAGAAATAAACTAGTGATGTGCATTATAACATGGCTGAATCTCACAACATAATGAACCAAAAAGAACTGGACACAAAAGAAGTAATATCGTATCATTCCTTTAAGTGAAAATCAAACACAGGTGAAACTAATCTATGGTGATTGAGGTCAGGATAGTGATTACCCTTGGGGGTAGGGTGGTAATAATTAGAAGAGAGCACAAGGGAACCTTCCAGAGTGCTAGAAATGTTCTACTTCTCGATCTGATGATAGTTAAGTACATATACACACACTGCACATAAATATATATATACACTGAGCCATACTCTTAAATTTGCACACTTTACTGTATATGCGTTACTTGTTAGTAGTAAAGATTTACAAAAAATAAAATGTAATCCTCAGGTGGAGTAACCGGTACCCCAGCCCACCATCGCTTGGTATATTTGGCATCTACCTTGGTATTTGTACCATCTGTGGTCACTAAAAGATGAACATAGCCCTTTGATTTCATGTTGATATTAAGTTAAAATGTATATATCAATGTCTATCGTCCCAAATTGAGAAGGTAATGGCATGGTCTCTATTTATTTAAAGGTTTAGTTTGTTTTGAATATTTGCGTGCCTGCAGGACCCACATTCTGCAGCAGTACCCATGGGTGATTGAATCTCTTCAAAACCATCTGCTGTCTCTTCCTTACTCCTCAAATCTTGTAAAAGGATCTGAGAAATAAAACTGCCTGCTCTTTACTGTCTGCAGAAGAAGACCTCACCCCTTCTCCTGTCAGTGACAGGAGGTCAAATGCATCCTAACAAATCAAGGTGATATTAAAAAAAAAAAATCATTCTGTAGCAGGCAGAAACAAGTCCCTGAAAATTTCAATAAGCCACTGACTATTTAAACAAGGCATATCAGAAAGGCATTCAGGGAAGAAAAATGTGTTAGGGAAATGAAAACCAGAGTCACTTAGCAGAATGCAGAAAAATCCTTTGGAAAGGGAGTCTTATCATAATAGATGGGAAATTACCATCCATCACTCAGCTATCACTTTAAAGCCACAGGCTGGGTGATCTCACTTCAGGGAGCACATCTTAAGCACTGTGCATCAAAAACACGGGCTGGACTGGCTGATGTCTACCTATGAAATCATTCAAAGAGAGCCGAAATCTTTGTTCAGCTGGTGCTGTATTAAATGCTGTCAGTTTTACCTGATACCGTCTTTTGAAATGCTGTGCTCTGTGCCATTATGTTCCAGTTACTTTGATGTCATTCTGTTGGAGTTGGGTAGAACACGTAGGGCAGCTATTTTTTTTTTTTTAGATAAAAAAAGGTTTTTTAAGAGATGGGGTTTTGCTATGTTGCCCAGGCTGGACTTGAACTCCTAATTTGTGGGCTCAAGGGATCCTCCCACCTCAGCCTCCATGAGTAGCTGAGACCACAGGCACATGCCACCTGTTAACTTAAAAAAAAATCACAAATCTACAAGTTTGGAAAGGTGAGGAGACTTTATTTCTTATAAGGAGTTATAGCTTGCAAGGTGGCATCCTGCAGGCTGGGAAGCACAGCCTCCAGGCAAGACCAGAGACAGGCACTTCGAAGGAGGAGGGGTTAGGGTAAGAGCTTTATGATGAATGGGTTGGCTAAACATACATATTCAACAGGTTACAGGAGGATTATAAATATTCATGAAGGTGGTCCTGACGCATGCATATTGAACAAGCATGCATGTTATATACAACCCATGTTCACCTTGGGGTGGAGACTTAATATTTAAATGTTAGGCCCTATACGTAACATTTAAAAATTAGGTCCTGCACATCAGAAGGTCTTTTCAGGACATGAACGCATATAAATGCACAACCTCCATAAACCAGCCAGAACCAGTCCGTAATCGGTGGTCTTATCAGGGGAAAGTTATTGAAACCAGTCTCTTGTCCAATCAAGGCTATAGTTGTGGCTGGTGCAACAGGGGTTCAGTTAGTCACGGTTGGCATGAGCTGCAACGTTTTTTTACTATTGCTTATCTCAAGACTAGCATTTCTTTAGCTGCTAGAGAAAAAGAAAACCCTTGTGGCAGTTAGAGCACAGTTTATCCTTTAAGTGTAGGAGTGCATGACTTAACGCTTGCCTGGCATAGCCTAGGTCCTGTTTATAATTTGGTATCTTATTGCCACAAAGAGTCTGTTCTATCAATCTTATGATCTTTATTTTAACATTAATGCTGAGTGGTAATGGTGCCATGCTGTTACTAGCCCCAGGGTACGGTACCATGCTTAGCGAATTCCCTATGCCCTACTCATATCCTTGTAAATAGTGCCTTTATTAAACTCTCTTTAAGCTATCCAGAGTATGTCATCTATTTCTCTCTGGAATTTTTTTTCTTTTTTTTTTTTTTTTTGAGATGGAGTCTCGCTCTGTCACCAGGATGGAGTGCAGTGGCGTGATCTCAGCTCACTGCAACCTCCGACTCCCTGGTTCAAGCAATTCTCCTGCCTCAGCCTCCCAAGTAGCTGGAATTACAGACATGCATCACCACGCCCAGCTAATTTTTGTATTTTTAGTAGAGACAGTGTTTCACCATGTTGGCCAGGATAGTCTCGATCTCCTGACCTTGTGATCCGCCCACTTCGGCCTCCCAAAGTGCTGGGATTACAGGCGTGAGTCACCACGCCTGGCCTTTCTTTTCTTTTCTTTTCTTTTTTGATGGAGTCTCACTCTGTTGCCCAGGCTGGAGTGCAGTGGTGCGATCTCGGCTCACTGTAACCTCTGCTACTTGAGTTCAAGCAATTCTCTTTCCTCAGCCTCCCAAGTAGCTGGGATTACAGGCGCCTGCCACCATGCCTGGCAAATTTTTGTATCTTTAGTAGAGATAGGGTTTCACCATCTTAGCCAGGCTGGTCTTGAACTCCTGACGTCGTGATCCACCTGTCTCGGCCTCCCAAAATGCTGGGATTACAGGTGTGAGCCACCGCATCTAGCCTCTGTGGGATCTTGACTGACATAGAAATTGCTACTACAGGTGGCCCCAGGAGAAAGACACTCAGATTGGGAATCTTGGTTTGGATAGTGCATTTACTTACTTGCCAGTGGTAAATGCGACACAGATAACCCCTGTCATAGGGCAGCATCATGGTTATTCACATTATCACTGTGTGGGCATGAGATGAAGAGCAGGAAGAGGGCAAGGCATTGGAAGATCAAGTACTGTGGCACTGACATTATGGTGATTAGTAATGATTATATAGACCATGGGACCACCTGGCTTCTTTTGACAGTGCTAGAAAGTATATGAAGAATAAAGGAAAAATGAAACTGTGAGTTTGCAGTTGAGATTGTAAGTGGATAATCAGAAAGCCTGGGTGGCAGCTTTTGAAGGATGAAGTGGCAGCTTTTGAAGGATGAAGTGTCTCCTATACTCACAGAGCAGATGACACCGTGGGCCACGTCCAGTTCCTAATGCTGAGCATTATAACAACATTTAATTGGGTTGCACACCAACTTCACTAGGCCTTTTCTGCCAAGGTGAGGGCACTGGTAGAGGAGTGGAGCTTAAAACAGGGGCTGGATCAATGTGGGTAAAGCAGAATTTTGAAACTCCAGACTCCCTTGGACTTCCCTAGCTATGCGAGGGAGCTCTGCCTCCACTATTTGAGAGAAGCAGTTCTTACCTACATAAAAATTTTTCAATACCTGCACCTGGGGCAGTTGTCACACAAGCTGAGGCCAGTGCCCCTCAGGACCTCCCTCCACCCAACACCTGCCCCTCATTACTACTAGGCCTTTACTGAAAGGAATTGCTAGTCCTGAAGTGAGTAGTGATAGCCTGTACACAGAAAGAAGTTTAGATCGGGATTGTACGAAACTGTATTGTCAGGAGCCTAGGGAGCCCTTAAGGGGTAGTGAATCCTAAGGATCTTAGACCAAGGAGAAAAAATACATGGCTTTATTGAGCCACACTCACAGAGATGGGTTGGGATTTAATGTATTGCATGGGCCACCCAAGAGTGACATTAATGATCTGCTAATTGAGCTTGAACTCATGGCCTTGGTTAATTGAGCTTGAACTCATGGCCTGGAGCCTTGAAACTCAGTGTGGTCTGTGGATCGGCAGCAGTGGCATCACCTGGGAGCTGAATGGAATCCTAGAATCTCAGAATCCACCCCAGACCTACTGAAGCAAAACTCTGTATTTTACAAGCCTCGCAGGTGATTTGTGTGCATATTAAAGGTTGAGAAAAACTTCTCTAGGCCTCTGATATAATGAGGTTGAAATATCGAACAGTGGCTTCCACACTGTGTTCCCAAACAACAGGGTTGGCATCATCTGGGAACTCAGAAATGCAAATTCTCAGACCCCACCCAAGACCTCCCGAATCAGAGTTATGGGGTAGGGGGCAGGAATCTGTGTTTTCACAAGCTTTCCAGGGGATTCTGATGCACAATCTTGTTTGAGTCAGTTTCATGACCTGCTTATGGCCTATAGTTAATTAGGTCAAAATGTTGGAACTTCCCTGGCATACCAAAGAGCAGTGCTTCTCTATTACAAACAACTACTCAGCCACCCTCTCATCTGCTTGTCACCAAAGCCGCAGGAAGTGCATCAGTGGGAAGATACCAGCCTGCTTGAAAAGGTGATGACTCTCCTTGAGAGGCCAGAGATAACCTTGGGGGAAATTGCAAAAGGACTGGGTTTTCTGATCTCATGGGACTATGGGATCCCAGAGGCCTGAGGCCAAATGGCAGCATTTAACTGTCAAAGACAGTTGAGTACACCAGCTACAGTAAGCCACAGAGACAGAGGTAATTAGAGATTTTTGGCCCACAGGCATCTGTGGCAATAACTAAATGATTATAGGATCTCTTGAAATGAAATCTGTGGTCACTACTGAAGTTCTTCTTGATATATACAGGTGAAAAAATTGGGGCTATACTGGGAAAACCTCAAATCTACATAATGGGAAATCTTGGCCTCTTAGGTCCCAGATCTTAGCCAAAGCCCCTCAACAGAGGGAAAGGGTGGATCCTTTGAGGACGGATGCTATAGTAGAGGCATAGCTGTTTATCATGAATGATCCATCTCCTCTTCCCTGGAAGAACTTACTGCCATTTACTTAAGAAACTATACATAGAGCAAAGAGAAATAACACACCCTCTCAGGAGTTACTAGATACTTACTCTGAACTGACATTTATCCTAGGAGACCTGAAAAATGCCAGTGGGGTCCACCATTCAGATAACTGGTGGAGTCTGGGCCCAGGTTCATCTTACGGTTGGTCCAGTAGGACCTTGGATCCACATTGTGGTTATTTCCCAGCCTTAAAATATACAGTGGGGCTACATATACTTAGTAACAGGCAGATGCCCATATTTGTTACCTATTTATGGAGCGAGAGTTACTATGGTAGAAAGGGCCAAGTGAAGACCCTGGAACCGCACCACCACCCTCCTTCATGATGGTAAGCTGAAAGCAATTCCCCATCCTTAGGGGAGTTGCAGAGGTTGGTGCCACCATTGAACACTTAAAAGATGCAGTGCTTTGATCCTTATCACATGCTCATTCAACTTACCTGTTTGGCCAGTGTAAGAGTCAGACAGGTAATGGAAAATGATTGTGTATCACTGCAAACTTAAACAGATGGTGATGGCAAAAATAACAATGATCTGGATGTAGTATCTTTACTGGAACAAATCAATACGGCCCTAGTGTCCATTTACAGTCGTTGACCTGTCATATTCCTTTCTCCCCCATTTCCATAATTAACAAAAATCAGAAGAAGTTCGTATTTTCAAGGCAGGGCAACATTATACCTTTACTTAGTTGTCTCCAGGCCACATGAACTCTCCTGGTCTCTGTTATAAAACAGTCCAAAGGGCCTGTAATCAACTTGATACCCTACATCGTGTCACTCTCATCTTTTACAATGATGACATAATGCTAACTGGAACTGGGGAACAGAAAGTAGCAAGTATCCTAGAAGTCTTAGTAAGTCACATTCATGCCAGAGGATAGGAGATAGAGTCCATGAACATTCAGGAGCCTGCTGTATGTGTAATGTTTTGAGGGGTGCAATAGCCTGGGGTAAGTCTCTCACTTTCTAAGAGTGAGAAGTAACTTGCCCTGCTTTGCACTGATCACAAGGGGGCACAACATTTTTGGGGCTTCTTTAGATTTTGGAGGCAACAAGCCACATTTGTGCATACTACTTGAACCCATCACCTAGGAAGCTGCGAAGCTGACAGTTTGGAGTGGGATAGAGAGCACGAAAGGGTTCTGAGGCAGATCCAGGCTGTGGTACCAGCTGTCTTGTCACTTGAGCCTTCTGACCCCACAGATTCAATGATACTCAAAATACCTTTGACCAACAGAGGTGTCTTATGGAGCCTCTGGCAATCCTCAATAGGAAACTTATGACCTGCTGGTGATTATTATCGTTGGAAGGTGGCTCTGGCTTGCTCCTGCACCCTGGTAGAGCCTGAAAGCCTTATCATGGGCTGCCCTATGTTTGTATGACCCAGACTACCTACCATGCATGGGAATATCCACTGAACCATAAAGCTGTTTACATGTGCAGCAGCATTCCATTTGTTAAAGCAAACTAAATACGGCCTGAGAAGGACTCCGTACTTCTATATTTGAGTCCTTGTGGATGAACTGTAACCTAGCTTAATAGTCAGACAAAATTGAAAACCTAACTTAAGAGTATGCGCCTGTAACAATAACTGAGTCTTGGCCAATTCCAGCAGCCATACTTCAACCACTCATAGACTGCTAAGTGTTCAAACTGTGTTCAAATAAGGCAAACACCAACCTGTAACCAATCCAGCTATTTCTGTACCTCACTGCTGATTTCTGTATGTCATTTCCCTTTTTTTGTCTATAAATCTTCTTCCACCATGTGGCTGCACTGAAGTCTCTGTGAATCTGCTGTGATTCTGGGGGTTGCCCGATTCGCCAGTTGTTCATTGCTCAATTGAACTTCTTTAAATTGAATTTGGCTGAAATTTTTCTTTTATTACATTTCACATGGAAGTGGGATACATGCAATCAACCTGCTTGTGCAGTTTACTTGGCTCCCGAACCTACATGAGTGAAGCAAACTGCACAAGCAAGAGGCCTGGCCTCCTGCATTGCCTGGTCCTCTGCTTCACTGCCCTCCCTCACCTCATACACATGGCCCCAGGGGAAGATTTCTGTGACCACTTGATGGAGGAAAATGGGTCTAGTTTACTGACAGGTCTTCCAGGTATGCTGGCTTCTGTAGCATAGATTCATTCAGGGATAGCCGTGAAAAACCATAGCAAACGGAAATCCTCCCAATGGGCAGAACTTTGAATGGTACTTCCGATTGTCCACTTTGTGTGAAAGAAGAGATGGCTCAGATCTCGAATGATTTATAAACAGTAGGAAGCAGATATTCCAGATTGTTAGGGACTTGGAGAAAACAATTGAGGAAAATTGGTGTCATGAAGGCTTGGGAGAAAAGCATGAGAAGGGATATTTCAGAACAGATGGTGGACAAGATAACCTGTCCCGTGGATGTCAGGTAATCTCTTTCTCCAGTCACTCTAGTGTTTTCTCAATGAGCCTATGCACAAAGTGGCCATAGTGGCAGGAATAGAGCCAGTGATGAACTCAGAGATGTAGACTTCCCCTCATTTTGTCACCATCACTGCTGAGTGCCCCACCTGCCCACAGCAAAGGCCAAATCTGAGCCTCTGATATGATACCATTCCCAGGGCCAGCAGCCAGCCATCGGGTGATACATTGATTACATTGGGATTCTTTCATTATGGAGGGAATAGTGGTTTGTCCCCCACAAGATCTGACACATATTCTGAATAGTGATTTCTCTTCCTTGCTTCCAGCACTTCTATCAGAATCACTGTCTTTGGACTTGGAGAATTCCTGATTTGTAGCCACCATACTTACACAACATTGTCTCTAATCAAGGGACTCATGTTGTGGCAAGGAAAGTAAATCAGTTTGCGGCCGGGCGCGGTGGCTCACGCCTGTAATCCCAGCACTTTGGGAGGCCGAGGCGAGCGGATCACGAGGTCAGGAGATCGAGGCCATCCTGGCTAACACGGTGAAACCCCGTCTCTACTAAAAAATACAAAAAAGTAGCCGGGCTTGGCGGCAGGCGCCTGTAGTCCCCGGGGGGCTGAGGCAGGAGAATGGCGTGAACCCGGGAGGCGGAGCTTGCAGTGAGCCTAGATCGCGCCATCACACTCCAGCCTGGGCGACAGAGCGAGACTCCATCTCAAAAAAAAAAAAGAAAGAAATCTGTTTGCACTCATGGAATTCATTGATTTAACATGTGCCCCATTACCTAGAATAACGTGGCTTGATAAACGGTAGAATGTCTAGACTACTGTAGATTCAATCAATGGAACCAACTCTGTAAGTTTGGGTTGCTGTCTTTTTTTTTTTTTTTTTTTTTTTTGAGACATAGTCTCACTCTGTCACCCAGACTGGAGCACAGTTGTGCAATCTCGACTCACTGCAACCTCTGCCTCCCGGGTTCAAGCGATTCTCCTGCCTCAGCCTCCCAAGTAGCTGGGACTACAAGCATGTGCCACCACGCCCAGCTAGTTTTTTGTATTTTTAGTAGAGACAGGGTTTCACCATGTTAGCCAGGATGGTCTGAATCTCCTGACCTCAGGTGATCCTCCGCCTTGGCCTCCCAAAGTGCTGGGATTACAGGCGTGAGCCACCATGCCCGTCCTGGGTTGCTGTCTTACCAGTATATGCTTTAAATCATCAGTGAACGTTAAGAGGCCCTTTTCCCCAGAGCCAGAATGCATAGGAAACAAGAGGTGGATGTGGGAGTACCTTCTCACAGCTGTACCGAACAGCCCTTTTAAGATTTTGCTTCCTTTCCCCACTATCCTGAGTTCAAAGGATTTGAAGATGCTAGAACCTGTAGAAGTTTCTCCACCAGGAAATATGGTGATGATTCCAATTACTTGGTAGCCCTGACCATTTTAGGCTTCTCATGCCTCTGAGCAAACAGGCAGAGAAGAGAGCTATCCTACTGGCCAGAGTGACTGATCCTGATACCAGAAGAAATTAGGTTGTTACTTCACAATAAAGGAAAAGAGAACCACAGCTGGAATGCAGAGGATTCACGGGGGCATCTCTTTAGTTCTCGCTTACCTAATAGTCTTACTCAGTAGAAAACATGGCCATCCAATAAAACAAGACCACTAAGAACTCAGACTCACCAGGAATCAATGATAGAGCTACCCCACAAGATAAAGAATCCCAACCAGCTGAGTTCTGACAGAAAACACGAAACAGGTGACAGAGGAAAACAGAGACTGGGCACGGTAGCTCACGCCTGTAATCTCAGCACTTTGGGAGGCTGAGGCAGGTGGATCACTTGAGCCCAGGAGTTTAACACCAGTCTGGGCAACATGGTAAAACTTGAGCCCAGGAGTTTAAGACCAGTCTGGGCAACACGGTATTTTTCTCTATGAAAAATACCAAAAAATTAGCCGGGCGTGGTGGCGTGCTTCTGTGGCCGCAGCTACTCAGGGGGCTGGGGAGGGAAGATCCCTTGAGTCTGGGACGTCAAGGCTGCAGTGAACTATGTTCGCACCACTGTACTCTAGCCTGGGCAACAGGAGTGAGACCCTGCCTTGAAAAAAAAAAAAAAAAAGACTGAATTGACATCGCCAGAAGATGATACAATTACTGGTGAGCCTTTGCATATCTCTTATGTCGGGGACATGAATTTTTCACTTGGAGGACAGGAGTGGATGCTTAAGGGAAGAGAGGAGAGATTGTAATGAAAGTTTCCTTTTGGCCTTGCAGATACACACTGTCCCCTTCTCCTCCAGTGCTATTCCCAAAGAGGTTGACATTTAGGGGCCACAGCAACCCGCCTTCTATGATTTCTGATTTCCTGTGGGTTTGGTCTTTGGGAAGCATCCACAGGGAACTGGAGGAAGGAGAGGTTAGAGGATTTACTCCCTTGTCTCCCTGCATTAAAGGTGGCTGCAGGCTGGTAGTGTCCCTCAACTGAAGCCCCTCTCCACACAATTGTCTAAGTTTCTGGGTTCTAGTAATCACTAGAAACCACTCTTTCCCTCTCTCCTTTAGGCCTAGGCAGGACTAGTCTTGGGGTATTGTCCTATCTCTTATGAGTTCCCTGTACCCTATACTGACCTTCTAAATTGTGTATTTACTTAAATTTTTCAAATTACCCAATTTGAGTGGGCCATCTGCTTGTCAGATTCCTTATAGACACCTTATGTGGACATTTGTGTAAAACATGAAAGTCATTAATTTTTTTTTTTTTGAGACGGAGTCTTGCTCTGTCACCCAGGCTGGAGTGCAGTGGCGCGATCTCGGGTCACTGCAAGCTCCGCCTCCCAGGTTCATGCAATTCTCCCACCTCAGCCTCCTGAGTAGCTGGGACTACAGGCGCCCGCCACCACACCCGGCTAATTTTTTGTATTTTTGTAATAGAGACGGGGTTTCACTGTGTTAGCCAGGATGATCTCAATCTCCTGACCTCGTGATCTGCCCACCCTGGCCTCCCAAAGTGCTGGGATTACAGGCGTGAGCCACCGCGCCCAGCGAAAGTCATTAAATTTTTAAAAGCAAATGAGGGCTGGGTGCAGTGGCTCATGCCTGTAATTCCAGCAGTTTGGGAGAGTGAGGCAGGTGGATCACTTGAGCCCAGAAGTTCAAGACTGGCCTGGGCAATATAGTGAGACCCCTCTCTACAAAAAATACAAAAAAAAAAAAACAACTAGCCAGGTGTGGTGGTGTACCCAGCTACTCAGGAGTCTGAGGTGGGAGGATTGCTTGAGCCTGAGAGGCAGAGGTTGTATGGAGCAGTGATTCCAGCCTGGGCAGCAAAGCAAGACCCTGTCTCAAAAAAAAAAAAAAAAAAAAAAAAAAAAAAGGCTGGGGCGCAGTGGCTCACACCTGTAATATCAGCACTTTGAGAGGCTGAGGTGGGTGGATCACCCAAGGTCAGGAGTTTGAGACCAGCCTGGCCGACATGGTGAAACCCCGTCTCTAATAAAAATGCAAAAATTAGCTGGGCATGGTGGCATGCCCTTATTATCCTAGCTACTCAAGAGGCTGAGGTGACAGAATTACTTGAACCCAGGAGGCAGAGGCCGCAGTGAGCCAAGATCGCACCACTGCACTCCAGCCTGGGTGACAGAGTGAGACCCCCTCTCAAAAAAAAAAAAGTAGTTAATAAGCCTAGCTTTCTCTCCTTATCTTTTCTTCTATCAATCAGACCAGGGCTTAGAGGGAATCATAGCTCAGGGGGTATGGTACTTAGGTTCAGAAGTCCTAAAGTTGCAGCTTGGGGCTTAGGAGTCTCAGGCTTAGAAATTCTATTTTAAAATCTGTTAAAAAATCAATTAATACGAGCACTAATTCAGCTACCGGTAACCACTTGCCTTTCGCTGGTGTGTCAGTTGCAGGGCAATATTTCTAGGAGAAATGTATCTTGTGTTCAAAGTAACCGACCCATGAACCTTGCAATATATTAATACATATAAACACACATACATATATTAAATATCCTAGCATGGCTAAAACTAAAAAGACTGACCATGTCAAGTGTTGGCAATAATGAGTAGTTACTAAATGTTCATACGTTGCTCATGGGGATGTAAAATAGGACAACCACTTTGGAAAACACTTTGAAAAGTTAAACATTCAATTATCTGGGTGTGGTGGTGGGCGCCTGTAGTCCCAGCTACTCCAGAGGCTGAGGCAGGAGAATGGCGTGAACCCGGGAGGCGGAGATTGCAGTGAGCCAAGATCACGCCACTGCACTCCAGCCTGGGCGATAGCAAGACTCCGTCTCAAAAAAAAAAAAAAAAAAAAAAAAAAAGTTAAACATTCATCTACCATATAGTCCAGTCATTCTACTCCTAGTCATTTCCTCAAGATAAATGAAAGCATATGTCCACCCAAAGTTGTTCATGACAATTTTATTTACAAAAGTTCAAAGCCGAGGGGTGGGGAAAGCTAAATGTCTATACATAGATGAATGGATAAACAGATTGTAGTATTTTCATGCAGTAGAATACTACTCAGGAATAAAAAGGAATAAATGATTTTTTTTTTTTTTTGAGACAGAGTCTTACTCTGTCACCCAGGCATGAGCGCAGTGGCACCATCTTGGCTCACTGTAACCTCATCTCCCAGGCTCAACTGATTCTCCTGCCTCTGCCTTATGACTAGCTGGGATTACAAGTGCACGCCACCATGCCCAGCTAATTTTTGTATTTTTAGTACCGATGGGGTTTCACCATGTTGCCCAGGCTAGTCTCCAACTCCTGACCTCAATTGATCTGCCTGCCTCAGCCTCTCAAAGTGTTGGGATTATAGGCATGGGCTACCGTGCCTGGCCAGAACAAACTATTAATGTATACAGCATGATGAATAAATGAATCTCAAATTAATTATGCTAAATGAAAGATGTGATAAACAAGAGTATATACTGTATGATTTCATTTATATACAATTTTTGAAAATGCAAACTAGCCAATAGTGACAGAAAGCAGATCAGTGCTTATCCAGGGAAGGAGGCATGGGGAGTGGGAGGATTGAGAGAGGCATTATAAAGGAACACAAAGAAACTTTTGAGGGTGATAGGTATATCTAGTATCTTGATTGTGGCAATAGTTTCATATCTCTCAGCATTTGCTTGTAAAGGATTTTATGTCTTCTTCACTTATGAAGCTTAGTTTGGCTGGATATGAAATTCTGGGTTGAAAATTCTTTTCTTTAAGAATGTTGAATATTGGCCCCCACTCTCTTCTGGCTTGTAGGGTTTCTGCCAAGAGATCCACTGTTAGTCTGATGGGCTTCCCTTTGTGGGTAACTCAACCTTTCTCTCTGGCTGCCCTTAGCATTTTTTCCTTCATTTCAACCTTGGTGAATCTGACAATTATGTGTCTTAGGGTTGCTCTTCTCGAGGAGTATCTTTGTGGTGTTCTCTGTATTTCCTGAATTTGAATGTTGGCCTGCCTTGCTAGGTTGGGGAAGTTCTCCTGGATAATATCCTGAAGAGTGTTTTCCAGCTGGTTCCATTCTGCCCATCACTTTCAGGTATACCAATCAAATGTAGATTTGGTCTTTTCACACAGTCCCATATTTCTTGGAGTCTTTGTTCATTTCCTTTTACTCTTTTTCCTCTAAACTTCTTGCTTCATTTCATTCATTTGATCTTCAATCACTGATACCCTTTCTTCCAGTTGATCGAATCAGCTACTGAGGCTTGTGCATGCGTCACATAGTTCTCGTGCCGTGGTTTTCAGCTCCATCAGGTCATTTAAGGTCTTCTCTATACTGTTTATTCTAGTTAGCCATTCGTCTAATCTTTTTTCGAGGTTTTTAGCTTCCTTGCAATGGGTTCAAACGTCCTCCTTTAGCTGGGAGAAGTTTGTTATTACCAATTTTCTGAAGCCTACTTCTGTCAACTCATCAAAGTCATTCTCCATCCTGCTTTGTTCCGTTGCTGGCGAGGAGCTGCCATCCTTTGGAGGAGAAGGGGTGCTCTGGTTTTTAGAATTTTCAGCTTTTCTGCTCTGGTTTCTCCCCATCTTTGTGATTTTTATCTACCTTTGGTCTTTGATGATGGTGACCTACAGATGGGGTTTTGGTGTGGATGCCCTTTATGTTGCTGTTGATGCTATTCCTTTCTGTTTGTTAGTTTTCTTTCTAACAGTCAGGTCCCTCAGCTGCAGGTCTGTTGGAGTTTGCTGGAGGTCCACTCCAGACCCTGTCTGCCTGGGTTTCACCAGCGGAGGCTGCAGAACAGCAAATATTGCTGCTTGATCCTTCGTCTGGAAGCTTCATCTCAGAGGGGCACCCAGCTGTATGAGGTGTCTGTCAGCCCCTACTGAGAGGTGTCTCCAAGTTAGGTTACACGGGGGTCAGGGACCCACTTGAGGAGGCTGGCTGGCTGTTCTCCGAGCTCAAACACTGTGCTGGGAGAACCACTGCTGTCTTCAGAGCTGTCAGACAGGGACGTTGAAGTCTGCAGAAGTTTCTGCTGCCTTTTGTTCAGCTATGCCCTGCCCCCAGAGGTGGAGTCTACAGAGGCAGGTGGGTCTCCTTGAGCTGAGGTGGGCTCCATCCAGTTTGAGCTTCCCAGCTGCTTTGTTTACCTACTCAATCCTCAGCAATGGCGGACACCCCTCCCCCAGCCAGGCGTGCTGCCTCACAGTGTGATCTCGGACTAGCAGTGAGCAAGGTTCCGTGGGCATGGGACCCACTGATCCAGGCATGGGATATAATCTTCTGGTGTGCCGTTTGCTAAGACCATTGGAAAAGAGCAGTGTTTAGGTGGCAGTGTCCCGATTTTACTGGTACAGTCTGTCACAGCTTCCCTTGGCTAGGAAAAGGAAATCCCCCAACCCCTTGCACTTCCTGGGTGAGGCTATGCCCTGCCCTGCTTTGGCTCACCCTCCATGGGCCGCACCCACTTTCCGACCAGTCCCAATGAGATGAACCAGATACCTCAGTTGGAAATGCAGAAATCACCCCTCTTCTGCATCGATCACGCTGGGAGCTGCAGACCGGAGCTGTTCCTATTTGGTCATCTTGGAACAGACCCAAATTATATCTTTAAATAGGTGCAATCTATAGTATGTCAATTATCCTTCAATAAAGCTGTTTATTTATATTTATTTTATTTTATTTTATTTTATTTTATTTATGTATTTTTCTTCAAATGGATTCTCACTCTGTCACCCAGGCTGGAGTGCAGTGGCGCAATCCCGGCTCACTGCAACCTGCACCTCCTGAATTCAAGCAATTGTCCTTCCTCAGCCTCCCTAGTAGCTGGGATTACAGGCACCTGCCACCACGCCCAGCTAATTTTTGTATTTTAGTAGAGACAGGGTTTCACCATGTTGGCCAGGCTGGTCTAGAACTCCTGACCTCAAGCAATCCCCCTTCCTTGGCCTCCCAAAGTGCTGAGATTACAGGCATGAGTCACCACACCCGGCCCTATATTTATTTATATTTTTAACCCAATCCAGGAAAAGATTGCCTGGGCTTGATTAAACACATAGTATAGGAGTTGCAGCAGAGAAATAGATCACTGAAAGCTTGCACCCTTAGGAAGCAGTGACAAGGGAAAGGAAGAAATTTGTTTATGTGCCAGATACTTTACTAGGGTTTTTTGCTTTGTACTCTGTCTCAGTGGTCCCCAACTTTTTGGTATGAGGGGTTTTTCCACGTATTGGGTTAAGGGGTGGGCAGGTGGGGGAAGGGGATGCAGAAGGAGGATGGTTTCCAGATGAAACTCTTTCACCTCAGATCATCAGGCATTAGATTTTCATAAGGAGTGTGCAACCTACATCCCTCGCATGTGCAGTTCACAATAGTGTTCACACACCTATGAGAACCTAGTGCTGCCACTGATAGGACAAGAGGCAGAGCTCAGGTGGCAATGCTCACTCACCTTCTGCTGTGCAGCCAGGTTCCTAACAGGCCACAGACCACTACCAGTCTGTAGCTCAGGGATTGGTTGGGGACCCTGCTTTATCTCAGGTAATCCTCATGACAATCCTAACAGAAGGGTACTATTATCCTGAAAATAGAAATGAGAAATTTAAAAATGAGAAAACTTTAGTTCAGAGAGGAAAAGTAACTCATTCAAGACAGAGCAGGGATTTAACCTTATTTAAATCTACTTCATGTGTTCTGCCTGTACCATTCTGTCTCTCTCTGCGTGTGTGTGTGTGCGTGCGCGTGTGTGTGTGTGTGCGTGTGCGCATGTGTGTGTGTGTCTCACCAGAAATTGAACTGGGCCCCATATGACAGATGTAAGAATTTGGGGAAGGAGATTCCAAAAGGAGAGAAACAACTCTAATAATGGTAGCAGGAACAACTGTGTTGGAGAAACAGGAGTCAGGCCAGCCCAACAGAGGAAAAGCATCCTTTTGGGAAAGGAGAGTCAATAAGACTTACAAGGCAAGTGGCAGTCAGATTTTGAAGGCAACGAGTTTTCTATTTTTCAGGATAGAAAGTTAGGACTTTGTTCCACAGACTGTAGATCTCAGTGAACAGTGAGACTGGTGGAGGAACAGGGGTGACTTATCCATTAGGCAGAGTAGGTCCAGTGTCTAGGACCCAGGATATTTTCAGGAGCCCATAAAAATGTTTAAATTTTAATTTATCTCAAAAGAAGAAAAAATGAGTATAGTAATAATAATGAATATATAAAATGAATACAGTCTGGATCAGATCCATCTTTATACCTACACTGTTGTAAAATACAATTGTGGGCTGGGCACGGTGGCTCATGCCTGCAATCCCAGCACTTTGGGAGGCTGAGGCAGGCAGATCACCTGAGGTCAGGAGTTAGAGACCAGCCTGGCCAACATGGTGAAACCACGTCTCTACTAAAAATACAAAAATTAGCCAGGTGTGATGGCAGGCACCTGTAATCCCTGCTACTCAGGAGGGGGTAAGGCAGGAGAATCACTTGAACCCAGGAGGCGGAGAATTGCTTGAACCCAGGAGGCAGAGAATCGCTTGAACTTCAGTGAGCCGAGAGGATATATTGTTCGCAAATAAACACATGAAAAGATGTTCAACATCATTACCCAGTAGGAAACTGCAAATGAAAACCACAATAAGATATCATTACACATCTATTATAACAGCTAAAATAGAAAATAGTAACAATACCAAATAGTGATAACTTAATATTTCATACATTTCTGGTGGGAATATCAAATGATACAGCCTTTCTGGAAAATACTTTGACAGTTTCTTAAAGAACTAAGCACACCTTAACATATGACCTATAGTCATACTTCTGGGCATTTACCCCAGAGAAATAAAAATTCATGTCCACACAAAAATCCGTGCAGGAATGTTCATAGAAGTTTTATTTGTAATAGCCCTAAACTGCAAAAAACCCAAATGCCTTTTTTTTGAAAGAGAGGATCTCACTCTGTTGCCCAGGCGGCAGTGTAGCGGCACGATCATAACTCACTGCAGCCTGGACCTCTGGGGCTCAAGCAACCCTTGCGCCTCAGCCGTCCAAGTAGCTGGGACTACAGGCATGTGCCAGCATGCCGGGCTTTTGTTGTTATTGTTGCTGTTGTAGAGACATGATCTCACTACGTTGCCCAGGCTGGTTGATCTCACACTCTTGAGCTCTAGAGATTCTTCCACCTCAGCCTCTCAAAGTATTGGGATTACAAGTGTGAGCCATCACACTCAGCCTTTAAATGACTCTTGCTATGTGATTGGTTAAACCAATTGTTGTACATTGATACTATGGAATATTACTGAGTAATAAAAAGGAACAGACTGTTGATACATGCAACAACATGGATCTCAAGGGCATTGTGTTATGTGGGAAAAAGCCAATCTCAAAAGGCCACATACTATATAATTCCATTGATATAACATTCTTGAAATGACAAAATCATAGATATGGAAAACAAATTAGGGATCGCCAGGAGTTAAGGATGGTGAGGGTGAGGGGTGGGTGTGACTGTAAAGGAATAGCACAAGGGAGGTTTTTGTGGTGATGAGATAGTTTTGTATCCTAACTTCAGTAGGTTTACATGAATCTACACACATCATAAAGTGGCATAGGACTATATGCACACACATCATATCAATGTCAATTTCCTGATTTTGATCTTGTGCTAGAGTTACATAAGATGTAACCATTGAGGAAGACTGAAGGCTACAGGGGACTTGTCTCTACTATTTTTTGCAATTCCCCATGAATATATGATTATTTTCAAAGTGAAAAGTGTATAAGGGCTGGGTGCTGTGGCTCACACCTGTAATCCCAGCACTTTGGGAGGCCAAGGTGGGCAGATCACGAGGTCAGGAGTTCGAGACCAGCTTGGCCAACATGGTGAAACCCTGTCTCTACCAAAAATGCAAAAAATTAGCTCGGCATGGTGGCGCGTGCCTCTAATCCCAGCTACTGGGGAGGCTGAGGCAGGAGAATCGCTTGAACCCAGGAGGTGGAGGTTACAGTGAGCCAAGATCACGCTACTACACTCCAGCGTGGGTGACAGAGCAATACTCTATCTCAACAAAAAGAAAAGTTAATAAAAACATACATGTTAAAATTTTAGAGTATGCAATAGATTCACAGGATTCAGAAACTAAAAAGTGTAAAGCAGTACACAATGAAAAAAATCTCCATTTTATTTCTGCATTCCATCAGCTCAATAGCTGAATCAGTCAAAGGCCCAGCAGGAAATAGATGGCAAGCTCAAATGGGGCAGCTGAGAAAAATTTAATAGAGGGACTATTTATAACGTTTTGTGTATAGTTAAGGAAAAGCAACAAAGATGATCAAGCATATCAGGACTAGCAAAAGCAGGGCTGTGGGGAAAATGTATAGGTGCTAGGGCTCAAGGGGAAAGAGGAGGGAGCAGTTGTTAGAACTAGACAGTTTTAGGAGTGTTGCCCAGCAGTAGCTGTGGCTGTAAGTAGAGAAACAGCTACTGCAGGCGGTGGCTCACACCTGTAATCCCAGCACTTCGGGAGCCCCAGGAGGGCAGATCACCTGAGGTCAGAAGTTTGAGACCAGCCTGGCCAACATGATGAAACTCTATCTCTACTAAAAATACAAAAATTAGCCAGGCATGGTGGTACACACCTGTAGTCCCGGGTACTCAGGGGGCTGAGGCTGGAGAATATCTTGAATCTGGGAGGTGGAGGTTGCAGTGAGCCGAGATCGTACTACTGCACTCCAGCCTGGGTGACAGAGTGAGACTCTGTCTCAAACAAAACAAAACAAAACAAAACAAAACAAAACAAAACAGAAAAACAGCCACTGCCAACTTGCAGCTGACCTACTGAGGGAAAACCTGCCAAATGAATACCACTGATCACACTCTCCCAAGCTCCGCCTCCTACTTTACCTCCCATCTTCCCAATCCAGCCCAAGCTGAGAGGGCATCCCTGAAGCATAGCACTCAGCCTGCTGGGGAAGAGGGAAACGGAAAGTTGAAGATTTGAACTAAAGGAAAATACATTAAGAATATCCAGCACAGGCCGAGCGTGGGCCACCGTGCCCGGCCTGACATTTTCAAATTGCTTCAAGAATAATTCCCCATTTGGCCAGTCGTGGTGGCAGACACCTGTAATCCCAGCACTTTGGGAGGCCAAGGTGAGTGGATCCCTTGAGCTCAGGAGTTTGAGACCAGCATGGGCAACATGGCGAAACCCCATCTATTAAAAAAAACACAAAAATTAGCTGGGCATGGTGGTGCATGCCTGTAGTCTCAGTTACTCAGGAGGCTGAGGTGGGAGGATCAACTGAGCCCAAGAGGTCAAGGCTGCAGTAAGCCACAATCATGCCACTGCCCTCCAGTTTGGGAAACAGAACAAGACCCTCATCTATTATTGATGTTTGTGTCTGATCTTTTGCTGTCACATTAATACAATGAATAGTCTTGTATACACATGTCATTTTAAGAATATACACTTGTGGATGCACAACAAATTCTCAGAAATGGGATTGCTGAGTTAAAGAGATTTGCATTCATAATTTTGATAGGGACAAGTGGCCTTCCACTGGAGTTCTATTTATTTAAACTCCTACCAGCAATGTGTGAAAAGTGCCTGTCTTCCCATTGCTTTGTCAGCAGAATTTATTATTACTGTTTTGCATTTTTGTCAATCTAATACAAGGGAAAATAGTATTGTAGGTTAGTTTTAATTGCAATTATTTTATAATGAGTAAGGCTAAGCAACTCTTCATAAATTTGCAGTCATTTGTACTTCCTTTTCTGTGAACAGTGTCTTCATATTTGCCCATTTTTCTACAGGTTTGTTGGTATTTCTTTTTTTGATTTTGTAAACAAAAAACAAAATTCTAAGGCCCACCAGCCATCTGAATGGACCCCTTCTCTCAGCCAAGGACATTCCAAAGTTAGCTCAAAAAACTAGTTCAGGCCATGATAAGAAGGGGGAGCCAGACATGCCTCATTTGGCCCTATTGGGTGTAATTCCTTTAGGAATTACTGATAGAACAAACTATTTAAGTATGATAAGAAACATTTATAAGGCTGGGTTCAGTGGCTCATGCCTGTAATCCCAGCACTTTGGGAGGCAGAGGCAGGCAGATTGCTCAGGAGTTTGAGATCAGCCTGGGCAACATGGTGAGACCCTGGCTCTGCAAAAAATACTAAAATTAGCCAGGCTTGGTGGCACATGCCTGTTAGGTCAGCTACTTGGGAGGCTGAGGTGGGAGAATCGCTTGAGTCTGGGGGGTGGAGACTTCAGTGAGCTGTGACCACGCCACTACACTCCAGCCTTGGCAACAGAGAAAGACCTTGTCTCACAAAAAAGAAAAAAAAAATAAAAAGAAAGAAATATGTATAATCTATTCCCTGTAAAGCCTGCTACCTGGATGCTTCATTTGCATGATAAAACCCTGGTCTTCACAACCCCTTATAACTCAGACATTACTTTCTGTTGAAAATAAACCCTTTAAAACAATTGCCAATCAGAAAATGTTTGAATGTGCCTACGACTTCGAAGCCCCTGTTCTGGCTGTCCTGCCTTTTCAGACTGAGCCAATGTGCATCTTCCATGTGTTGATTGGTGTCTCACGTCTCCCTAAAACACATAAAAGCAAGCTGTACACCAACCATCCGAGGCATATGCACTCAGGAGCTTCTGAGGGCTGAGTCATGGGCCATTGGTCACCCATATTTGGCTCAGAATAAATCTCCTTGAATATTTTACAAAGTCTGACTTTCTCCAGCCACAATTTCTAGGAGCTCTTTAAATACTGGGGGAGATAAACTGTTCTTTTGTGATATTCGTTGCCAAGATTTTTCCAGAGGGTCACTGATTTTCATTGACTTGGCTTACAATGTCTCCCACTCCACCTCATGAGGAAGCTTTCCTTTGTTTGTATTTATGTACTGGAATTTAGCAATTAGCCATTTTTTGGTTTTTGTTATTTCTTTTCTTGTTTATTTCCGCAATTAGCCGTTTTTTTAATGGCTATTAAACATAACTAGTAAGGTCTTCACTTTAAAGTTATAAAAGAATTTCTGAATTTCTATATGTTTTCTTTTTAGAAGTTGTATGCCTTCATATTTTACATTTAAATCATTGATCCACTTGATATTTTCTGGGAGTAAGATGTAAGATATGGTTCCAACTTAATTTTTTCCCAGACATTAACTAGTTATTCTAACACTGTTTATTGAATAATCATTACCCTGCTCCCGGATTTGAGATGCATCACTTGCTAACGTAAAAATTTGCATGTATTTAAATCTATTTATAAACTTTCTAATCTCTTCTGCAGGTCTATCTGTTATACTGTTTTAATTACTGAAGCTTTTTCGTATGCTTCAATATTTCTTACAGTTAGTTCCCGCTTACTGCTCTTCTTTTTTTTTTTTAGACAGAGTCTTGCTCTGTCACCCAGGCTTGAGTGCAGTGGCGTGATCTTGGCTTACTGCAACCTCCGCCTCCCAGTTTCAAGCGATTCTCCTGCCTCAGCCTCTTGAGTAGCTGGGACTACAGGCACCAGCCATCACGCCCAGCTAATTTTTTGTATTTTTAGTAGAGACACGGTTTCGCCATGTTGGCCAGGTTCGTCTTGAGTTCCTGACCTCAGGTGATCTGCCCGCCTCGGCCTCCCAAAGTGCTGGGATTACAGGCATGAGCCATCGCACCGGCCTGCTCTTCTTTTAAAAAAGTTTTTCTATCTTTTTTTTGTTTTTTTTGGTGGTTGCTTCGAACTTTATTTGAGAAAAACAGAAGATAAACGTATCAAAAGAACACACAGGTGGGTGCGGGGGAGGCACAGCCAGTGGCGGCAGCAGGGGTGGGCATCCGGGCTAAGGCTTTACTTGGCGGCAGTCTCGTCGGATTTTGCAGCTTCTGGGCCCCCAAGCTGGGCCCGCGACTCGAAGGTGACTGGGATGGTGATCTCGTTGGACTGCGTGGCTAGCTTGGGCATGGGGGCCTCCACGGTCAGTGTGCCCTCAGGGGACAGGGAGGAGGAGACCTGAGTGGGGTCCACACCGGTGGGGCAGCGTGTATTTCCGCGTGAAGCACCGGGAGATGTAGCCATGCTCGTCCTGCTGCTCCTCGTACTTGCCTTTGTAGGTAAGAGCTTTTTTAAGTATACACTTAAGGATTTATCTAGTCCTTACCCTCCAGCCCCTGCCCGGAAAAAAACAACCCTCTTCGTTAGACAAAGAGGAGATTAAATTTATAAATTCCCTTGGGAGAAAATTAACACCTTTGATGTTATCTTCCAGTTTAAGAACATTGTATGTCTTTCACTTGCTCAAGTCTTCCTTTATGCCCTTCAATAATGTTTCAAGATTTTCTTCCTACAGACCTGGTATATTACTTATTAGGCTTATTCCTAGGCTTTTTTTTCCTATTAAAATTGGGGATTTTTCTTCCATCGTGTCCGAATGTTGGTTAAGTAAAAGCTATTTATATTGTATATTACTTTATACTATATCACCTTGCATAATTTAATTTTTATTTATAGTATTTTTCAGTTGATTGCTTTGTATTTTCTAGCATAGAACCATATCATTTGCAACCAGCAAACGTTATGTCTTTTTCTTTCTTTTACGTGTTTTTTTCACCAAATCTTTTGGATAATATCTCTGATACAATGTTTAATAAAAATAATGATAATGAGCATATTTTTCTTTTTCCTGAATATAGGGGGAGTGTTTCTAGTGTTTCCCCATTAAACATAACACTGGTTATTTATTGGCTGAGATAGATACATTTTGTTATGTTAAAGATATCAACTAGCTCAAGTTTGTTAATAGTGTTGCTCAAATACTCTTTATTCTTACTGGTTTTCGGCCTGCTTTTCCTAAAAGTTATTGAGAGAGGTATTTGAGTGGGGGCAAAGATTTATTAAGTAGGACACAAAAATCACTAACATAAAGGAAAAGTTTGATAAATTGGACTAAAATAAATTTAAAAATTCTGTTAATCCTAAGACATCACTAAGAGAGTAAAAGGCAAGTCACAAGATATTTGCAATGCCTATATCTGAATATAAAAAGGAACACATAAAAAGCTTGATAAATATAGCTCACCAACATAAAAATGGGCAAAAGAACAGTCAATTCACAAAAAAGGATGTTGAAATACCAATAAATATATGAAAAGATGCTCATTAGCCTTTAGGGAAATTTATGATTAAAACTACAATGACAATCCACTGGTATAGCTAAAATTAAACAGACATCAATATAAAGTATTGGTGTGGCTGGACCTGGTGGCTCATGCCTGTAATCCCAGCACTTTGGGAAGCTGAGGCAGGAAGATCCCTTGAGGTTAGGAGTTTCAGAGCAGCTTGGCCAACATGGTGAAATCCCATCTCTCCTAAAAATACAAAAATTAGCTACACTTGGTGGCAGGCACCTGTAATCCCAGCTACTCAGGAGGGTGAGGCACGAGAATCCCTTGAACCTGGGAGGCAGAGATTGCAGTGAGCCGAGACCGCACTACTGCACTCCAGTCTGGGCAACAGCAAGACTCTGTCTCAAAAAAAAAAAAAAAAAAGTATTGATGTGAATGTATAGCAAGTAGAATTCTCATCCATTGCTGATAGGAGTATAAACTATTTATATCCACTTTGCAAATATGTATGGCAGTGTCTTCTAAAGCTGAACACCACATTCTGCATAGATGTAGAATTCTACTCCTGAGTATGAAATAGACACAGAAATATATGCCAAAAGAAAAGACAGGTACAAGAATGTTTATATCACAACCATTCACAACATCCCCAAACTGGAAACAATCCAGATGTCTGCCAAAATTTAAAAAAACATAAATGTGATATATTCTGTAAACAAAAAGGTATCTGAGACAGGCCACAGTCAACTTAGAAAGTTTATTTTGGCAAGGTTAAGGACGCACCCATGACACTGCCTCGAGGTTCTGATGACATGTGCCCAAGGCGGTTGGGATACAGCTTGCTTTTATACATTTTAGGGAGACATGAGACATCAGTCAATATGTGTAATGTAAATTGGTTTGGTTTGGTAAGGTGGGACAACCTGAGAAGCCAGAGCTTCCAGGTCATAAGTAGATAAGAGACAAAACATTGCATTCTTTTGAGTCCTTGATCAGCTTTCCACTGAATATGAAATGGGAAAAGTTCCCCTTATCCCCCTCACAGGGCATGCGATGGGGTGTGGCTTGCTTCTTCAGTGCCTGGCTATTCAAACCCCTAAGGGGAGCAGGCAGACACACAGGTTGTGGGGCTCCAACCCCACAGCAGTGTCTAGGGGTGAATGTTTACAGCTCCTGAGGCCCCAGAGGGCGTGTGTTACAGGGTGTTCTTTTAGTTTAGCTGTCTGTAGGTGGCTTGTGTTAGTCTGCTCGATTAGACCCCCTGCCTTATCGCAAGGACAGAGGGCTTTCTGTATCTGAGAGTTTCTTTCCTTGATGTACCAGAAAAACTGAATCACCTATGGGCTTGGAGAGTGAGTGCAAGGTTTTATTGAGTCGAAGTAGCTCTCAGCAGATGGGGATGCCAGAAGGGGATGGAGTGGGAAGGTGGTTTTGCCCTGGAGTCAGGCCGCTCAGCAGCCCAGGCTCTGCTCTGACCACCCTGGCCAAACTCCACATTGTTCCATAGGTCGATGGCCTGCCGGCTTGCCAGCATCTGTCCGTGTGCTCTTACACCGGTGTGTTCCTCTCGACGTCCAGCTGCTTGTGTGCATATCCGCTAGGATCCTGGGGGTTTTTATACCCGCAGGATGGCGGCATGGCAGGCCAGGGTGGTCTTGGGAAATGCAATATTTGGTCACAGAGGCAAGGGTGCCTGTCCTCATCTAGGTCCATGGGCACAGGCCTGGGGGTGGAGCCCTCACCAGGGACCTGCCTACTCCTCCCAGCACTTCCCTGCCCCCTTCCATATCAAATACACAATTTAATCTGGCTCAGTGAATCTGCATTTTAACATAAACAATGGGCAGAGGAAGCAATCAAATATGTGTTTGTCTCAGGTGAACCTCAGAGGGATGACTGAGTTCTTTCTGACCTTTCTCCACAAGGAATTTCCATGTGGGAAAATTGTGAGGGAGGTATGTAGCTTTTTATCTTTGTAGCTATCTTATTTAGTAATAAAATGGGAGGCAGGTTTGCCTGACATAGATCCCAGCTTGATTTTTCCTTTGGCTTAGTGATTTGGGGGTCCTGAGATTTATTTTCCTTTCACAATTCATACAGTAGAATATTAGACAGCAATGAAAACGTGTATACTACGGTTATTTGAAAACATGGATGAATCCGAAGGAACATGTTGAATGAAAGAAATCAGACACAAACTTATCTGCTGAATAATTATATTTACAAAATCTTCAGAAACAGGTACAACTAATCTGTTATCAGAAGGGGGGATAAGGCGAGGCATGGTGGCTCACGCCTGTAATCCCAGCACTTCGGGAGGCCAAGGCGGGTGGATCACCTGAGGTCAAGAGTTCAAGACCAGCCTGGCCAACATGGTGAAACCCCATTTCTACTAAAAATACAAAAATTAGCCGGTCGTGGTGGCATGCACCTGTAGTCCCAGCTACTCAGGAGGCTGGGGCAGGAGAATCACTTGAACCTGGAAAGCAGAAGTTGCAGTGAGCCAAGAACGTGCCACTGCACTCCAACCTGGGGGACAGAGCGAGACTCTGTCTCAAAAAAAAAGAAAAAAAGAAGTGAGGATAGTGATGATCTTTGGAGAAATAGGAAGGACATGGCAGGTACTTCTGGGATAATGCTTATGTTCTTGATCTCAGGTAGTTGTTATATAGGATGTTTATTTTGTGATAATCCATGAAGACATACACTTGTGATTTGTGCACTTTTCTATGTTATACTTAAATTGTATTAAAGAGAAGATGATTCACTTTCTTTCAAGGGTGTGTGAAAATAATTCAAATTTGTGAGTTTCCATCTCTAGAAGCGTGGGGTGCTCCACTGTCGTGTTTTATGCTTACCTCCTCCAGCAAGACTCACTCCCAAAATCTTCCAGTCAGGATTCGTGCACCAGTCCTTGTTGCCCCAAAATTTGAGGCAGGGGGAGATTCTGGTTTTCTAAACTGTTCTCTCGAAGTCCTCTTTGCTTAGGTTGGAGTGGAACAAGCACTTTTTTTTTTTGAGACAGAGTCTCACTCTGTCACCCAGGCTGGAGTGCAGTGGCGCAATCTCGGCTCACTGCAAACTCTGCCTTCCAGCTTCAAGCGATTCTCCTGCCTCAGCCTCCTGAGTAGCTGGGATTACAGGTGTGTGCCACCATGCCCAGCTAATTTTTGTGTTTTTAGTAGGGACTGGGTTTCACCATGTTGGCCAGGTTGGTCTTGAACTCCTGACCTCAAGTGATCCATCCACTTTGGCCACCCAAAGTGCTGGGCATGAGCCACTGTGCCCGGCCAACTTCTTGAATGTCTAGGACTTGTAGACTCAGAATGGATTGAAAGGAAGTAATAGTTGGGTTTATTGATATGGCAGAGGCCCCAACTGCCCCAGAAGAGATTCCATGATTTTGGGTGGCCCACTTCTTTGGTTTATCCTGTCTCTTCCAGGTAGGTAGGAAAGTGGGAATAGAAGAAGTTAGTATGACATTTGTCTCTCTTATGCTCGCACCTTTGTACACATAGCAGGCATTGGCAACTGGCCTCTGTGCTGATGGATCTGTGACCACGTGCTACAAGTGGTTAAATATTTTTATTGTTCACCTCCTTACCCCCAGCCCATCCCCAGTCTCAGTGAAGGCTTTGTTCTACTTTCTTTCTTTTGGCTACAAAGTTCAGTTTCGGGGTCAGGAATTTGTACTAGCTGGTGATGTGTTCTCAACCACGTGACATTTACTGAAAATTAGAGTCTGCCTACCTGTTGATGAATATTTTTATTTTGAAGTCCTGTTGGGGATTCTTATCTTTTGATACAGTGTCCCCAGGGGTTTCTTAAGGCCAAGCCAAGGAGATGACTCAGCCAGGGTTCTATAGCTCCTCTCTTAACTAGGAAGAACTTAGAAGCAGGTTTTAGAACTGAACTCTAGAAGTTATATCCATTTTTTGATCGACTTTTCTGAAAGTTGGTAGGCTAATACCACTCATTGTTTTATCTATGTTGTAAATAATTTAACAATTTGTTTCTTGGATTGTTATTTTTGTGAGTTTTTTTAAAAAGCAATGGGCATAGGAGAATCAGATAATGGGATGTACCATCTCCCTGAGATTTTGATCTGCTATTAATAGCACAGTGATTCTTAACTGAGGGTGGATCAGAACCACCTATGATGTTTGCTAAAAGTCCCAATACCTTATTCTTACAGCTTATAGCCTGGTCTTCCTGGCAGTGGGTTCTTGAGAAAGTGGGGTTGATATTTGACAACGGACTGAGGAGGACTTGTCTGCTTAACCCATTTCCTGTTTGCCCTGAGGAGACTGCACTGGCAGCAAGCTGAACTTTTTTTTTTTTTTCCTAAATGGGAAATGGGTTTATCTACTTCCTTGGTTTTTCATTAATCTTAAAGTAGAAACCAGATTCTTTACCAAGGTACTCAGGCCTGTGTGATCTGTGGCCTGTCCAACCCCTCCCTCATTTGATAGGCTCCTTCCCTTTACTTGTAGTGTTTTAGCCACACCAGCCTTTGCTGGCCTCAAAGCTCATTCCCATTTGAGGAACTGCATGAACAGTGAACTGTGCCTGGGTTGCTGTCCCCCAACTCTTTGGCTTCTTAATCTACAGGTTTCAACTCAAATATTCCTTTTTCAGAGAGATCATCCCTGACCACCTTATCTGAAGTGTCCTTCCCCAGAAACTACATTTTGGCATCTTGTTTTTTCTTTAGGGAATTTGTAAAATCATGTAATTTTCTTTAGGATCTCACTGACCTTCTCATGAACTAGGCTATAGGCTCCACAAGGGCAGGGAGTGAGTTTGTTTAGGTCCCCACTCCACCCTGAGTGCCTGGCATAGGGTCTGGCATATACTGGGCCCTTGGTAAATGTGAAATGGAAAGAATGGATGAACTCTCAAAGATGAGATGTGATCCTTTTGGAAACTGAATGGCAGGAACTGTGACAAATATATAATAAAGTAATAATGGTGTACATGGCAGGGAACCATTAACCTCAAGCCACTGGGAGAAATGGATCCCTAACCCAGGGTGTCTCATTAAACATGTCAAAGAGAACTCATAGGAGCTTACACCCATCGTTGTCTCATCTCACCAGAGCTGTTTTATATGCGATGATGTTGCTTTACTTTTCATTATCTTTGAAATAGAGTTAAGTGAATTGATCATGCTTTCCTGACTTAAAAAAAGAGAGGGAGGGCCGGGTGCGGTGGCTCACACCTGTAATCCCAGCACTTTGGGAGGCTGAGGCGGGCAGACCACGAGGTCAGGAGATTGAGACCATCCTGGCTAACATGGTGAAACCCCATCTCTATTAAAAATACAAAAAATTAGCCGTCCCAGCTACTCAGGAGGCAGAGACAGGAGAATCACTTGAACCTGGGAGGTGGAGGTGGCAGTGAGATGAGATTGCACCACTGCACCCCAGCCTGGCGACAGAGCGAGACTCCATCTCAAAAAAAGAGAGAGAGAATCCAATTTATTCACCTATTTTTAATTAGAAGTAGAAATTTCTGGGCCAGGCATGGTGGCTCATGCCTGTAATCCCAGCACTTTGGGAGGCTGAGGTGGGTGGATCACCTGAGGTCAAGAGTCTTTAGACCTGGAACCCAGGAATCAGTATTTTGGTAAATCTCCACAGGTCATTCCTATCAGCAGCCATGTAGGTGTTGGTGTACAAAGTTCTAGACTCAGTGCCAAACCCGCTGTATTCATTTGCTAAGGCTGCCATAACGAAGTACCATAACTGGGTGGTTTAAACAGCAGAAACATATCATCTCATAATTCTGGAGGCCAGAAGTGTAAGATGAAAGGTATTGTAGGGGTTGATTCCTTCTGAGGGCTGTGAGGGAAGGATCTGTTCCAAGCCTCTCTCCTTGG
Source organism: Homo sapiens (assembly GCF_000001405.40). NCBI lineage: Eukaryota > Metazoa > Chordata > Mammalia > Primates > Hominidae > Homo > Homo sapiens. The sequence goes on from NC_000009.12 coordinate 72,015,036, forward strand.
CTTGTGGATGGCTGCCTGTCTTTCCACTACATCTCTTCACCTCATCATCTGTCTGTGCCTGTGTGTCTCTGTGTCCAAATTTCCCCTTTTTATAAGCACACCAGTCATATTGGATGAGTCTCACCCTAATGACCTCATTTTAAGTTGATTATCTCGGTAAAGCCCCTAAACCTCTGATAAGGTCACAGTCTGAGGTACCGGGGGTAAGGACTCCAACATATGAATTTTGGGGGAACACGATTCAGCCCATAATAGCCACCAAATCAGACCTCCAGAGAAAAGGCCTGGGAAATTGTATATTTATCAAGCACTACCGAAGAGTCTAGAAAACATGGATCTAGGGCAGAAGAAGAAAACAAAAATGCTGGCAGGGGCCAGACAGGCAAAGAACTGGAGCTGATTGGCAGGAACTTCAGCCCCTGAAGGGCAGAAACTCCAGTCTAGCATGTGTTGTCATTCAAGAATGAGGGGCCCAGTGTCCTGGCCTTAGTGTTTTTGTTTTGTTTTGTTTTGTTTTGTTTTAAAGAAACTGAAAACTTGGATTTTAATTTAAAATTTTTCAATAAATAAAGTGCTCTTCAGGCCAAACAAAATAGATCAGTAAGCCTGATGCAGCCCGTATTTTACATATCTTAGGGTGAGAAAACCAGTGAGTTTTAATATCTCTCTCAAAATCCTTTGCTGGCCATGGCTCAGTGTGGGAAGAAGGGTACGGGGATTTGGGGGCTGGGGGGTGGTAGGTGTTGGGAGGGAAATGCAAGAAGAAAGAGAAAGGCCAATCTGACCCAGTTATTCTGAGCTGATTGCCTCAATTAATTAATCATTTCATTCATTAATTAAATCAGTTGTTCAACAATTGCCTTGGGAGGATTTTCTAGTTGTTAATAGCTGAGGTGTGCTTTAAGTTGTGAACCCAGAAAATCTGAGACAGATCTCCATTAATTTAGAAAGTTTATTTTGCCAAGGTTGAGGACGCACCCATGACACAGCCTCAGAAGATCCTGATGACATGTGCCCAAGGTGGTCATGGCACAGCTTAGTTTTATACATTTTAGGGAGACATGAGACATCAATCAATATATGCATCTTTCTCTGGATCAGAGGGGTGAAATAGAACCTGAGGCAGGTTGGTCCTGAGCAGTTCCCAGCTTGACTTTTCTCTTTAGCTTAGTGATTTGGGGGCCCCATGATTTCTTTTCCTTTCACAAAGTCCTGACGATGAGCTTTGAATTACTGCAGGACTGCTCTTCTCTTTGAGCTGTTGTTTCTCTACTCTTATTACCCTATCAATCTGAGGACCCCCAATATTTTTAGTCCACCAATTTGAATTTCTTTTTTGTTGTTGTTTCTGGAGCTGTAAAGAGTTCATTCGTAGGCCAGGCGTGATGGCTCACGCCTGTAATCCCAGCACTTTGGGAGGCCGAGGCGGGAGAATCACCTGAGGTCAGGAGTTTGAGACCAGCCTGGCCAACATGCTGAAACCCCGTCTCTACTAAAAATACAAAAATTAGCCGGGCATGGTAGCACACACCTGTAATCCCAGCTACTTGGGAGGCTGAGGCAGGAGAATTGCTTAAACCTAGGGTATGGAGGTTACAGTGAGCTGAGATCACGCCACTGCACTCCAGCCTGAGTGACAGAGCAAGACTCTGTCTCAAAAAAAAAAAAAAAAAAAAGAGTTCATTCATTTACAAATATTTCTTCCGCCATTACAGTGGGATTTTGAACGGGATTGTGAGTAGATACATGTTCTCATTTCTTTATCTTTTGAAAACACATTATGAAATATAAAGAAAGATATAATGAACAACAATGTACATGAGAGTGACTTAGTACATAAAATGTTTCAATTAGTACTCAGAGTCCTCCAGTTGTTTCTAAAATAGCTTTTACTGCTGCTTGGTGTGAACTAGCATCCAATTTTGGTCTATATGTCATTTTTGGTCATCATGTTTTATGTCTCTTAAACTTCTTGGAGTCTAGAATATCTCTTCTTTCCTTTCCTTTTTATGATATTGCCTAATTGTATAGACCAGGTCAATTGTCTTGTAGAAGGTCTCAAATTCTAGATTTGCCTGATGGCTTCCTTGTAGTGTTATTTAACCTATTTTTCTAACCCCTGTATCTCATGTAAACTGGAAATGAGAGCTAAAGTGTTGATTAGATTCAACTTAAACATTTTGGCCAAGAATATATCATAGATATTGCAGTTTACTTCACATTGCATTACTTCGGGATGCACATAGTGTCCTGTTCCACTTAATAGTGATGCTAATATTCATCACTGGGTTCAGATGAGCTAAGCCCGATGTCTTCATTGCAATGTTTAGATTCACAAGTAATTGGCAAGGTGATACTTTGTTACTTTTTGTTTGTTTGTTTTTGAGATGGAGTCTCACTCTGTCACCAGACTGGTGTGCAGTGGTGCTATGTCGGCTCACTGCAACCTCAGCCTCCCAGGTTCAAGCGATTCTCCTGCCTCAGCCTGCCGAGTAGCTGGGATTACAGGTGCGCGCCACCACACCCAGCTAATTTTTGTATTTTTAGTAGAGACAGGATTTCACCATGTTGGCCAGGATGGTCTCGATCTCTTGATCTCATGATCCACCTGCCTCGGCCTCCCAAAGTGCTGGGATTACAGGTGTGAGCCACCGCTCCCGGCCCCACTTGTTCTTTTTTTTTATTTTGAGATAAGTTTTGTTCTTGTCACCCAGGCTGGAGTGCAATGGCACGATCTTGGCTCACTGAAACCTCTGCCTCACAGTTTCAAGCCATTCTCCTGCCTCAGCCTCCCAAGTAGCTGGGATTACAGGCACCCACCACCATGCCCAGCTAGTTTTTTGTATTTTCAGTAGAGATGAGTACTCACCATGTTGGCCAGGCTATCTTCGAACTCCTGACCTCAGGTGATCTGCCCGCCTCAGTCTCCCAAAGTGTTGGGATTACAAGCATGAGCCACCGCGCCTGGCCTTACTTTGTTACTTTGTAAACATGAGATGTTCTTCAACTTTTCATCTATAATGGTTTTAGCACCTTTTGGTACTCATTTTTCTTCATTAGGAGGGAACAAACTGGGGACTTTCTAATTGTTTATTTCTTCTGCATGCATTAGCTGGAATTCTTCGATAAGGAATAGCTTTCCTTTTGGCTATGGCTCTTTGGTTACTCTTAAGTACAGTTCTTACTTCAAATAAAGCATGAAGTTTCAGTTATTTCCTTTTAACCCTTAAAAGCTTAATATGTGGCCGGGTGCGGTAGCTTACGCCTGTAATCCCAGCACTTTGGGAGGCTGAGGCGGGCAGATCACGAGATCAGGAGATCGAGACTATCCTGGCTAACAAACGGTGAAACCCCATTTCTAGTAAAAATACAAAGAATTAGCTGGGCATGGTGGCAGGTGCCTGTAGTCCCAGCTACTCAGGAGGCCGAGGCAGGAGAATGGTGTGAGCTTGCAGTGAGCTGAGATTGTGCCACTGCACTCCAGCCTGGGCGGCAGAGCAAGACTCTGTCTCAAAAAAAAAAAAAAGCTTAATATGTGTACTTAATACTTATCTAAGTTATTCAGTATCTCTACTCTCCTCCACCTAAATTCAAGGACCTTGGAATGTCTCCATTTGTCTTGAACATTATTATTATTATTATTATTATTTATTTATTTATTTATTTATTTTGAAACGGAGTTTCACTCTTGTTGCCCAGGCTAGAGTGCAGTGGCACTCGGCTCACTACAACCTCCGCCTCCTGGGTTCAAGTGACTCTCCTACCTCAGCCTCCCAAGTAGCTGGGATTACGGGAGTGTGCCACCCCACCCAGCTAATTTTTTTGTATTTTCAGTAGAGATGGGGTTTCACCATGTTGGCCAGCTAGTCTCAAACTCCAGACCTCAGGTGATCCACCTCCCTCGGCCTCCCAAATTGCTGGGATTACAGGCATCAGCCACCGCGCCCAGCCCTCTTGCACATTATTGTTGTCAGGGTTTTAGCTCTATCTTCTTCTCTTTTTTTCCCTAAAGTTAGACTTCATTATTACTGATTTATACAGCCAGTCTCTATGTGTTTGCACTTATTTAACACCAGCATGTGAGCTCACTCCCCACCACTCTCACTCAATCTCCTTCTGTCTTTTATGAATATTTTCCATCTTCAGGACTGTCTTTTAATGTTTGTTTAGAGAGGTTATTTTGATGACAAAAAATTTTAGTCTTTGTTTCTCTGAAAAAGCAAAGAGTTTTACCGAGTATGTGATTCTAGATTAATTAGTATGTGTTCCATCCTCTTGTTCCATTCGGGGACTGAGTAGGCCTCGAGCCCATCGCTCAATTCTGAGATTTCCCTTTGCTGCTGCCCTGTGTAGGTTCTGTTTTCTGTATCTCATGCTGCCTTGGGTTTTTCTGGTTTTTGGTTTTTGGGTTTTTTTGTTTTTTTGTTTTTTTGTTTTGGTTATAATTCCTTTATTTTGCTGAAGCATATTCTTCAATGGTTTCCTTAAGGACACATGAGGTAAATTTTTAGAGCCCGTGGATGTCTATAAGTGTCCTTATTTAATCTTCACATTTGATTTGTAATTTGATATAGGATTTGGCAGGCATGGTTCCTTAAAGATTTTGAAGTAATTGTCCTAACACCTCTCAGTGTTGCTGTTGAGCATTAAATGTCCTTTCGGTTCCCCCACCCTTTGTGTGTGACCTGTTTTTCCTTTCCGAAAGTGACTTTAGAATCTTTTATTCACTTTGTTTCTCTAAAATTTATTTTCGTTTGTTTAAATTGGACTGTTGGTGACCTCCTTCCAAGTGGAGACTTACATTCTTGTACTCTGGATTGCTTTTTGTTGGGAGGTATTAGTCCTTGATAATTTGATTCCTTTCAACTTATCTGTTTACTTTTTCTAGAATTACTTTGATTTCTCCTCTAAGTCTCTTGTCCTTTTATTTCTATCTCTTTGTCTATTATTGTTTTACCTTCTGGAAGACTTACTTAATTTTCATTGTCCAACTCTTCTATTGAATTTTAAATTTTGTTAGTCATACTTTGTGTTTTAAAGAACTTTTCATTTTTCTCAATGTCTTTTTTATAGCATCCTGTTTACTTTTTATGGGTGGAATATCTTGTGTCTTGCTAAAAGTAGTGACAGTTACTTATAAAATAACTGAATAAAAGAGAACAGAATAAAATAAAACAGAATAAAATAAGATGTATATTTTATTCTGTTTCTTGCATTACAGTGGTTTTCCTCTGAGGGTGTGTAGGTGTGTGTGCACCCACCTGTTTTTTCTACTTGAAGATTTCCACAAATATCTAACTATTCTTGATTCAAAACCAATAAAACATCCTATAAAGAAAGATTGAGAAGAAGTTATAGTATAAAAAGTATTTGCTTTGGCTAATTGTTTTTGAACTAAACATCTAGTTATTGAGTGTCATCTTTCTTTCACCTTCACATGTTATTGTCTTTGTAGGGAGAAAATCCAAGCACCCTTATTTTTTTTTTCCAATAATAAGACTGTTTTCTATAGGTGAATATAAATTTAGATGTAACCTTCTGGGGGGATTTTGAATGGTATGATTATATGTCTTAAGTTTTATGAAGGTCAACAGTTTGCCCATATGTACTTGTAAGCATACTAGGCTGTAAGTTAGAAGGACTGGGCTCTATCTAGTTACAGGTTCTTGTTGTGTAATTATAGGTGTATCATCTACCTTGTCTGAACTTCAGTTTCTTTATGCATAAAATGAAACCCATTTTCTCACTAAAGTATTACGGGTATCCAATGACATGTTTATTTATTTTTATTTTATTCTTTATTTTAATTTTAATTAAAAAAATTTTTTTTTGAATTTTTTTTAAAAGCCGGATGCAGCAACTCATGCCTGTAATCCCAGTACTTTGGGAGGCAAAGGCAGGTGGGTCATTTGAGGTCAGGAGTTCGAGAGCAGCCTGACCAACATGGTGAAAACCCTGTCTCTACTAAAAATACAAAATTAGCCAGGCGTGGTGGCACACGCCTGTTATCCCAGCTACTTGGGAGGCTGAGGCAGGAGAATTGCCTTGAACCCAGGAGGCAGAGGTTACAGTGAGCCAAGATTGTGCCACAGCACTCCAGCCTGGGCAACAAGAGCAAAACTCCATTTCAAAAAAAAAATTTTTTTTTTACATTTTTATTTTTTACTTTTTAATTTATTTTTATTTGTATTTTTTTCACTCTGTTGCCCAGGCTGGAGTACAGTGACACAATCTCGGTTCACTATAAACTCCGCCTCCTGGGCTCAAGTGATTCTCCTTCCTCAGCCTCCTGAGTAGCTGAGATTACAGGTGGCTGCCACCACGCCTGGCTAATTTTTGTATTTTTAGTAGAGATGGGGATTCACCATGTTGGCCAGGCTGGTCTCGAACTCCTGACCTCAGGTGATCCACCTGCCCTGGCCTCCCAAAGTGCTGGGATTACAGGCGTGAACCGCCATGTCTGACCTAGTTTTTTTTTTTTTTTTTTTTTTTTTTTTGAGATGAAGTCTCACTCTTGTCCCCCAGGCTGGAGTACAACGGTGTGACCTTGGCTCACTGCACCCTCTGCCTCCTGGGTTCAAGCGATTCTCCTACCTCAGCCTCCTGAGTAGCTAGGATTACAGGTAACTGCCACCACATTCGGCTAATTTTTGTATGTTTAGTAGAGACGGGGTTTCACTATGTTGGCCAGGCTGGTCTCAAACTCCTGACCACAGGTAATCCGCCCGCCTCGGCCTCCTAAAGTGCTGGGATTACAGGCATGAGCCACCGCGCCCGGCCTACCTATTCTCTCTTATTTTTGTACCGTGTCTCCCTTGGATCATTATCTTGCCAAAGATCATAAACTACAGCTTAGAAACCTGTGCTTAATTATTAGTTTCATGTTTATTTCAGTGCCAGGGCTTGTGAAGACCATAGGTTGCTTTTGAAAGAAAAATAGGCATAAAACTTCTCCCTTAAAGCTATACAATTACCAGTTACCCTTTGACATTATCTATGATCCTCTTATGTGTTCCTTCTTATTTATTTATTGTTGTTGTCTTCCCCATGCAGATAGAGGACCAGCAAAGCTCCCTCATATTTCCAAAGGCCCAGGGATCCTCAAAACATAGACTAAAGCATGCATAGGAAGATATGAGGGTGGATGACAGGAGATGACAGTAGTGTCTAGATGCCCGTGAAAGCTTCTCTGTGAACCTGTTTGGAGTCCAAATAGGGCAGGACAGGACAGCAGGTGGAATGGGTGGAGGAGTAACAATGGGGACTCAGATCAAGTCCCACCAGGGGTGGCCTTGGGCTCACCACTTCTTTTCCCTCCCCTGCTGATATGGTTTGGGTCTGTGTCCCCATCCAAATTTCATGTCCAATTATAATCCCCAATATGGGAGGTGAAGCCTGGTGGGAAGTGATTGGATGATGGGGGTGGGTTTCCCATTTGGTGCTGTTCTCGTGATAATGAATGAGTTATCATGATATCTGTTGTTTAAACGTGTGTGGCACCTCCCCACTCTCTCTCTTCCTCCTGCTGTAGCCATGTAAAGATGTGCCTGCTTCCCCTTCACCTTCTGCCATGATTATAAGTTTCCTGAGGCCTCCCCAGCTATGCTTCCTGCACAGCATGTAGAACCATGAGTCAATTAAACCTCTTCTCTTTATAAATTATCCAGTTTCAGGTATTTCTTTATAGCAGTGTCAGAATAGACTAACACACCTGCTCTGTCATGTCTCAGGCAAAAGCCTCGCACTAGTTCTTAAAAAGGGGTGCCAGAAAGAAACAGGAGTCAAAGCAGGCCTGAGAGAGAGAAAGAGTTGTTCTAGAAAGCGTGAGAACAAGAGCAAATGTGTGAGAATGAGAAGAAGAGAGCATGAGAGAAAAAAGAGAAAAAGACAAAGAGAGCGAGAGACAGAGGCTCTTCCAGAAAGATGAATCACTATTTTAACCAAGCTACACACACACACACACACACACACACACCCCTCACAAGTTCCTCATCCTAGAAGTCCAAGCCTCTCCAGGCTGACTCACCATCCAAACCCTATATAAACTGCTTGACCTAGTTCTGAAGAGGATTACTTTTAGCCTCAATCACTCATGGATTATTCCTTTATATATGCAGTGTCTACCCGTCTTATCCACCCCAGGTGACTAATGAACTAAATTTCTCTTTCATGACATCAAATTTGTGACATGAACTTCATGCAGCCATGTTTGTGTTTAAAAGACCATTCAGAAGCTGAGTCTAATAGAATGTGGCCTTGGGATTCTCATCCAGGAATAAAACCATTGAAAATATTTCCTTGTTCCTAGACCAGGTGAGAGAAACAAAAACAAATAAATTAGAAAAAAATAAAAATTGAGTAGCTGTTTGCAAACTTTGAGAGGCCAAGGCGGGCAGATCACCTGAGGTCAGGAGTTCGAGACCGCCTGGCCAACATGGTGAAACCCCGTCTCTACTAAAAATACAAAAATTAGCCGGGTGTAGTGGCGCATGCCTGGAATCCCAGCACTTGGTAGGCTGAGGCAAGAGAATCACTTGAACCCGAGAGGTGGAGGTTGCAGTGAGCCGAGACTGTGCCATTGCACCCCAGCCTGGGGTACAAGAGTGAAACTCCATCTCAAAAAAAAAAAAAAAAAAAAAAGAAAGAAAGAATGAATGGGTATTTATTAAGCTGTGCTATCTGGGAAGCTGTAGCAATGTTAAAAGTAATAAACGATTCAAAGTTCATCAGATAAATATAGGTAGATGAGAACAAACGAGTAACATCAATAAAGTAGGTTGTGTTTCTATGCATGAAGAAATGTTGCGTCTTATAATTCAATTCACTTTAGACATTTATTAGGCACTCATCAGGTACAAACTCTGCCCTAGGAATTGGTGGGTGCTACAAAATAAATGAAACACTGTTGTATTTGGCCATTCTTGCACTGCTATAAAGAAACTGGATAATTTATAAGAAAAGAGGTATAATTGACTCATGGTCTGCAGGCTGTACAGGAAGCATAGTGGCATCTGCTTCTGGGGAGGCCTCTAGAAGCTTCTAATCATGGTGGAAGGCAAAGTGGGAGCAGGCACATTGCCTGGTGAGAACAGGAGCAAGAGAGAGAGAGAGAGAGACAGGTGCCTCACTTTTAAACAGCCAGATCTTGCGAGAAATCACTATGATGAGGATGGGACCAAGAGGATGTTGCTAAACTATTCCTGAGAAATCCACCCCCGTGATCCGATCACCTCCCACCAGGTCCCACCTCCAACACTGGAGATTACACTTCAATGTGAGATTAGGGTGGGGCCAGCATCCAAACTATATCAACTGTTAAGGAAATAAAAGCTTTCTGCTATTTTATATGTATGTTCCTCATTCAGGTTACACAGTTCTTGTGTTGTATTCTGTGTAACGCTCTCACTGGCTTTGTTCCTGTGAAGGCCAGTGGATAAAACCTCTTATGTTATTCATGAGGGGTATTCATCTGCCCTAAAGCAGGGAGCTGGGGAAGAGGGGCCAATTCTCAATCAGAAAACCAGAGCTCAGGTGATTCTCAGAGCTCAGAGGCACAAAGAATAAGCAATATTATATGATTGGGTCTAGCTCTGTTGTGTGTGTGTTTTTTTCCAAATGTGTATGTGTGTGTGTGTATATATATATACACACACACACATACACATTTGGAAAAAAACACTTGGAAAAAAACACACACACAACAGAGCTAGACCCAATCAATATATGGGTCTATGTATATATACATACACACATATATATTATATATTTTATAATATATAAAAATAATGAGAATATATATTATATATTTTATAATATATAAAAATAATGAGGATATATATATATCCTCATTATTTTTAGTAAGGTTTCCTTTTAAAGTTCTGGCCCTGCTCCTGAAGACATAAAGAAGGGCCTTAGATCCTTGGGAGCAGGGTTCTTACAGTGTGGTCTCAGGGCCAGCAGCAGCAGCAGCAGCATCTCCCTGGGGACTCGGGAGTAATGCAGGTTCCTGTGTGTCACCCACATCTACTGATCAGGAACTCTGGTGTGAGACCGAATGATGAAAGCCGTCCAGGGGATTCCGATGCTGCTCAGGGTTAAAAACCACAGCTTGATCTGAAGAGCTGCAGGGGACAGCGCCCTCTGGAGGCCACGTGATCACAGCAGCCATAGAAAAGCAGCTGCATCCAGAGAAAGGAGCAAGAGTCTAGGTTTCCGAGTCCTGTTGTCCCTTCTCATGCAAAGAGACTTCTATGGTGGTCAACTTTAGAGATCCTGACTTGATTTAATTAAAGGATATTGCTGGTTTTTTTTTTTCTTTTTTTTTTTTTTTGAGACAGGGCATCGCTCTGTCACCAGGCTGGAATGCAGTGGTGTGATCTCGGCTCACAGCAACCTACACCTCCCGGGTTCAAGCGATTCGCCTGTCTCAGCCTCCCAGCAAATTTTTGTATTTTTAGTAGAGACGGGGTTTCACCATGTTGGCCAGGCTGGTCTCGAACTCCTGACCTCAAATGATCCACCCAGCTTGGCCTCCCAAAGTGCTGGGATTATAGGCGTGAGCCACCGCACCCGGCCTTGTTTTCTTTATAATAGTCCAGGCTCTCAGCATGGGTGAATATGGGTGTGTTCTAAAATAAATACTGTTCTATTTGCTTTTTCCAGTTCAAGTGTTCATATCATTCCCCTATTCAAAACGTTTTTACTGGTTCTTCATTAAACAGTCATCTCAGCCTAGTCTTTAAGGCCTCTGCAATGGGTCCAGCCCTCATTCTCAGCTCTCTCTCTCTTCCTCCCTGCATGAAAAATGCTGCTTGCTTGCTTTTGTGTTCATGTGGCATAGCTCATGCAACAGCGGCAGGCCACACAGTGTTGACAACTATGTCTCTCCTCTAAACCAAGCTTTTAAGGGCAGGCACCACATTCTGTTCCTGCTTATCCCAGCATTTAGCACAGTGCCTGTTAATCATAGCTGGTTGGAAATTGTTTTAAAAATGAGTAAGTGGCTGAATATTATGCGTGGTCTAGCTGTGTTGAACTATTTGCTGTTCTTGGAACTTTCTACCTCTGTCTTCCTTTGTGCAGTTCCTTTCAATGTGAGATGCCCTTACATGTCCATCTCTAGCCTCTCAAAACCCCACCCATGCTTTAAGATTTACTCATAGTGGCTGCTTAATAAACACGTGGGAGTTGAACTGTATAGAACGTGCCCTTGATGGAACAGAGTCATCAGCTGGTAAGTTCATTAAGTCACACTGTTCCTAGGGCAAAGTGCACTTGAAAAAAGTGGCACAAATAATAATAATGACATTTATCTATAATATCAATCAGTTGTATTGCTTGAGATCTTATCATGTGCCAAACCTTGCACTAAGCTTTTTACATATTATATTTTATTTAATTCTTAAATCAGTTTATGGAGAAAGTATTGTTATTTGTAAAAATTTAGAATGAGGAAATGGAGGCACAGAGGGGTTAAATAATTTGCCCAAGGTTATTTATTTTATTTTATTTTGAGATGGAGTCTCACTCTGTCACCCAGGCTGGAGTGCAGTGGCACGATCTCGGCTCACTCTAAGCTCTGCCTCCCCGGTTCACACCATTATCCTACCTCAGCCTCCCGAGTAGCTGGACAGGCGCCCACCACCACGCCTGGCTAAGTTTTTTGTATTTTTTTAGTAGAGATGGGGTTTTACCGTGTTAACCAGGATCATCTCGATCTTCTGACTCGTGATCCACCCGCCTCGGTCTCCCAAAGTGCTGGGATTTCAGGTGTGAGCCACCGCGCCCGGCTTGCCCAAGGTTATATAGCTAAAAATGTCAAAGACAAGGTTTCACTATGTTGCCCAGGCTGGTCTTGAACTCTTAGGATCAAGCAATCCTCCCTCCTCAGCCTCCCAAATAGCTGGGACTATAGTCATGCCACCATACCTGGCTGAAGCCAATATTAAAATGTAGGTCTGGGCCATGCACAGTGGCCTACACCTGTAATCCCAGCACTTTGGAAGGCTGAGGTGGGCAGATCACAAGGTTAGGAGATCGAGACCATCCTGGCCAATATGGTGAAATCTCGTCTCTACTAAAAATACAAAAATTAGCTGGGCATGGTGGTGTGTGACTGTAATCCCAGCTACTCAGGAGGCTGAGGCAGGAGAATCACCTGAACCTGGGAGGCGGAGGTTGCGGTGAGCTGAGATCGCGCCACTGCACTCCAGCCTAGGTGACACAGTGAGATTCCATCTAAAAATAAATAAATAAATAAATATAAAATGTAGGTCTGGTAGACACCAAAGTCAATGCTCTTAACTTGAAGCTAAATAGATTATTGATAAAGTATATAGATATTAGAGATCTTGACAAAACAGAATTGCAAATCTAAACAGACAAGCAAGAAACCTGAACTCATATGCCAGTCGATGAATAAATTAATATTTATTGAGCAGCTACTATGGGTCAGGCATTGTTCTAGGAGCAGGATGATAGAGCGGATGAATAGGCAAGGTCTCTGCTCTCAGGGAATTTACTTTCCAGTGAGATAATCTGTTTAGGAGATAACATTTGAGCCAATCCCTGGATGATGAGAAGGAGCCGTCATTTAAAGATTTGGGAAGAGCCTGTCTCAGGCAAAAGGAAGGAAGAGGAAGTGCAAAGGTCCTGAGGCTAGGAAGACCAACAGAGGAGCCAATATGCAGAAACCATCGAGTGGAATTGACCCTGGATCAAGCTGTGCTTTCTGGACACAGCTTCCATAAAAGAAGGAACAAAACCCAGGTGTGAGTGGCCCAAAACAGGTGAATCAATTACCATATCTAGGAAGCAGGATCAAGTTGAAAGAAGATTCTCTTACCCCTTTAAATATTTTCATCTGTGCCACTATTGCAGTGTCTGAAAATGAATCAAGTTTGTAGATGACTTTGGGGGTGAAAGCAAGCGTCATCATTAAATAATATCATCAAACCATTCCCCAAAAAGTCAATAAAGTGAGTAACACAGTCTAGGAAGGACTTGCTTCTCAAAGGGTTCTGTTTACCAGATATCCCCTATATTGTTGCCTTTTCAGAGTAATTTTGTAAGAACCAAGTCACGGTCTCAGTAATGGCACTCTTACAGTGGGAAAATCCAATACCCAGGTGCTTTATGGACATATCAAGAATCATGAGTAAGGTCCGGGTGAGAGTGAATCTGTTGATAAAAACATGCCAGGGAATATTTTGTTTCCAATTGAGTGGTCTAAGAAAATGGGGAATGGGGAAGAAGGGTGAACCCTAGATATAGGCAATAGAAGCTGCCTGTCTGTAGAAAATTTAGCAATAATAATAAAGCTGATTAAAAGTCAAGTGATAAGGCCGGGCGTGGTGGCTCACGCCTGTAATCCCAGCTCTTTGGGAGGCTGAGGCAGGAGAATGGCATGAACTTGGGAGGCAGAACTTGCAGTGAGCTGAGATCGCGCCACTGCACTCCAGGCTGGGCAACACAGCGAGACTCCGTCTCAAAAAAAAAAAAAAAAAAAAGTCAAGTAATAAAAAGCAGACAAACAAACCCTTTCCTGCAGGGGCGGGGCAGACCCTTCCCACAGCAAATCCCCCTGGTAGGTGGCTGTTAACAATGTCAAATCCAATTTGCAATACCTTTTTGTTCCTTCTTTGAACCTATACTTGATGTCTTCCACATGGTCTCCCCTGGGTCTGTTTTCTCTGTCAAGTAGTTGCTGTCTCTTTATGGGTGCTATGAAGGGCTCTCTTCCTTGTTTTGAGGTTCACAGCTCTTCTCTTCATGAGAGAACTTTTCCATACCCAGCTATTCACCTGCTTTTTCAGAGGTGTTCAAACCTGAGTGACTCCCTCTTGAATAGGGGCTGGATAAAATAAGGCTGAGACTGACTGGGCTGAATTCCCAGGAGGTCAGACATTCTTAGTCCAGGATGGGATAGGAAGTCAGCAGGACTGGTATCACAAGATACAGGTCACAAAGACCCTGCTGATAAAACAGGATGCAGTAAAGAAGCCGGCCAAAACCCACTAAAACCAAGATGGCAACAAAAGTGACTTCTGGTCATCCTCACTGCCCACTATACACTAATTATAATGCATTAGCATGCTAAAAGACAGTCCCACCAGCACCATGACAGTTTACAAATGCCATGGCAATGTCAGAAAGTTACCCTATATGGTCTAAAAGGTGGAGGAACCCTTAGTTCTGGGAATTGACTGCCCTTTCCCGGCAAACTCATGAATAATCCACCCCTTGTTTAGCATATAATCAAGAAAGAACTATAAGTATACTCTGTTGAGTAGCCCATGCCTCTGCTCTGCCTATGGAGTAGCCATTCTTTTCTTCCTTTACTTTCTTAATAAAGTTGCTTACACTTCACTCTATGAACTCGCCCCAAGTTCTTGACTGAGGTCCAAGAACCCTCTTTTGGGGCCTGGATGGGGGCTCCTTTCTGGTAACATTTTTATCTGAAGTGATACTTCCTTCTAGGCATCCCTAAGAAGGAAGGTGTCTGTAACTTGTAGAGCTGCTGTCCTCTCTTGGCGACAGCCAGTCCCTGTAATACATCCTTCAGTATACCTGCCTTCTTATGTAAGCACACTTATTACCAAAAAAGTACACTTAAGCACAAATATTTAGTGAGGCCCATAGGCCAGGCACTGTCTGGACATTGGGAAGAGAGCAGTAAACCAACAGACATGGTCCCTGCCTTCAGAGTGAATTGTTTTAAAAAAATAAGTAAACAAAATAAATTCAGATGTTCATAAGTACAGTGAGGAAAACAGAAGAGGACTATGTGATGGAAGCAACTGAGGATAACACCACTTAACCAGACAGGCAAGGGAAGCCTCTCTGAAGATGCGTATTTGACCAGATACCTGAGTACACAAGGCAAACCACCCACCCACCCAGCCAACCAACTGATCAACCAACCAGCCAATCACTTGCCCACCCAACCAGCCAACCAACCACTCACCCACCTGCCCAACCAACCAGCCAACCAACCAACCATCCACCCGCCCAATCAATCAGCCAACTAACCAACCATCCACCCACCCAACCAACAAACCAACCAATCAACCAACCAGCCAATTTTGAAACCATCCAGAGGAAGACTATTACAGGTAGAAGAAAATGCAAGAGGAAATTCCTGGGCTGTGAGTAAACTTGGTGTGTTTGAGGAAGAGAAAGATGTCAATGTACTTACAGTGGAGGGAGTGGGAGGGAATAGGTGGGTGAGGTCCCTCAGGCCAAGGCCATGATAAGGAGCTGAGATTTTATTCCAAGGATAAAGGAGAGCCATTGAACAGGTGAGTGACTCAATATGATTTACATTTATAAAAACTATATTACTTATTTAATCCTCTAAACAAATAGTGGGGTAATTAGTACTTAAAGATAAAGAAAAGAAGATCCTGAAAATTTATGTGATGGATTCAAGGGTCACCTAGTAAGGGTCTGAGCAGAGCCTGAAAGCTGGATCTTCAAAGTCCCAAGGTGCTTTTTTTCCTGTATACCAGCCCAGAGCAAAGTAAGATTCATGGTAAGAATGAGAGATGGATGGGTTATTTTATTTGTAAATATTCTAAGTGCATGATAGAGTTGGAGTGCACATGTGGGTGTGTCCTGGAGAAACAGATTTCTTAGTGGATCTGTATATGCAGCAGGAATTCAGCTAGCTTTGGGGGTTAAGAGATAATGGTGACTACTGCAATAGCTCAAGCTTATGGAGAGCTTACTATGTGCCAGACACTGTTCTAAATGTTTTACAAACCAACCAACCAACCAACCAACTAACCAACCAACCAACCAACCAACCAAACCAATAAGCAAACAAAACGGTCTTTAAGAGAGCATTACAGGCAGAGGAAAGAACAAAGTTCCTGAGATAAAAAGAAGCTTGGTATGTCTGATGAATAGAAAGAGGTCAATGTACTTACAGCTGGAAGGTATTGTCATTATTCCAGCTTTACAGATAAGGAAACTGAGGCTTAGAGAGGTTAATAATTTGCCAAAGATTATACAACCAGTAAGTAGCAAGAACTCTAGAGCACACAATTTCAACCATATAATAGGCTGCTATTTATTAAGTGGCTCATGTACAGGAGTGCTATACAAATTATTTATGACCCAGCCGGACAATGTGCCCATTATTAGCCTCCTCATATGTTAGTTAATAGAATTTATACTCTTTAGAGAGTATAAATAACTTTCCCAAGGAGGCCAGGCGTGGTGGCCCACACCTGTAATCCCAGCACTTTGGGAGGCCGAGGCAGGCAGATCATGATCATGGTCAAGACCGAGACCATCCTGGCTAACAAGGTGAAACACTGTCTCTACTAAAAATAGAAAAAAAAAAATAGCTGGGCATGGTGGCAGTTGCCTGTAGTCCCAGCTACTCGGGAGGCTGAGGCAGGAGAATGGCGTGAACCTGGGAGGCGGAGCTTGCAGTGAGCTGAGATGGCACCACTGCACTTCAGCCTGGGTGACACAGTGAGATTCCATCTCAAAACAAAAACAAAAAGAAAAAAAACTGCCCCAAGGCTGCTCAGAGAGCTGGGAATCCAATCCAGATGGGCCCAGTGGCCAAATTCATGCTCTTTGCTTTACATTCTGCCACCTCTTAGGACCTTCAAAAAGATACTGTCTGGGCCAGGAGCAGTGGCTCATGCCTGTAATCCCAGCACTTTGGGAGGCCGAGGCAGGCAGATCACCTGAGGTCGGGAGTTCAAGACTAGCCTGACCAACATGGAGAAAACCCGTCTCTACTAAAAATACAAAATTAACCGGGCATGGTGGCACCTGCCTGTAATCCCAGCTACTCAGGAGGATAAGGCAGGAGAATTGCTTAAACCTAGGAGGTGGAGGTTCAGGTGAGCCAAGATTGTGCCATTGCACTCCAGCCTGGGCAACAAGAGTGAAACTCCGTCTCAAAAAAAAAAAAAAGAAAACAAAAAACAAGATCCTATCTATTAAATTGGACAAAATAGCAGGCCTTTTACCAACCCGAAGTGAAATGCCCAAACCTAAGGTCAGCAGCATCTTAGGTGTTCTTGTTATTAATCCACTAAAATGCTTAAATTGAAAAAATAAAAAAAAAAAGCAGCTCTGGAGTCTTGCCAAGAGGAGAGTTATAGCATTTAAGGGGCAGGACCCTTCCAGAGGACCATGGCCAAAGATGTGGTTTCAAAAGCCTAAAGCTACAATTTTCTCCACAAGGAAGAGATGGGTATAGTGGCAACCACTAGAGAACTGGGAAGGGATATGAATTTACCTCAGGGGGAACCTATCCCTGTACCCATAGCGTCAAACCTGTTAGCCAGCTAGTCTTGTGTTTTTCATATTTTCCCAATGATTTGATGCACTTAATACTTCTTGCCTTTCATAACGACCTCAAGGCAGGCATATAGTGACTTTGGTTTCTAACCAAGAGAATTTCATGATCATGTATGTATACAAATGCTTCATCTCTTTCTTCTATGAATACTATCACATTTCTCATTAGTCTTAAATAGTTCTTATGGTTGTTTTCCTTTTATCCTTTTCTTTTATTTTTTTAAATTTGAGACAGAGTCTCGTTCTTGTTGCCCAGGCTGGAGTGCAGTGGCGTAATCTTGGCTCACTACAACCTCCGCCTCCCTGCCTCAGCCTCCCGAATAGCTGGGATTACAGGCACCCACCACCATGCCTGGCCAATTTTTGCACTTTTAGGAGAGATGGGGTTTCACCATGTTGGCCAGGCTGGTCTCAAACTCCTGACCTCAACTGCTCCACTCACCTCTGCCTCCCAAAGTTCTGGGATTACAGGTGTGAGCCACCACACCTGGCCCTTATGACTGTTTTCTAACAGTCAAATCCTTCCAAATATATTATTAGTTGTAATTGTGTGTTGAAGAGAGTGTTTATAGTGACTACTGCCTGCTCATGTTGGATTTTTACTGTAGCATTTAATAACCATGAAATTAATATAGAAACAGCTGAAATATAGAAACACTGAAATCTTGAGTTCAGTGCCAAGATAATTGACATTTTAGACAATAAGGTTAAAGAATAAAAGACCTATTGAAATCTTAGTTAAATTGTTATCTATCTTTAATCTTGTGAAACATTCACTGAAAGTTTCTACTGCTGTTTTTCTGGGGCTTTTCAGTCTTATGAAAAGAACTGAAAAGAAACTTTAAAAAGGTCCATTTTATTGAATCCATGTAGTCAACAGGTCATGTGGCCGTGAGTAAATCTTAGACAACAAAACTTAAAACCTTCATGAATGTCTCTACTAAAAATACAAAAAATTAGCTGGGTGTGGTGGTGGGTGCCTGTAGTCCCAGCTAATCGGGAGGCTGAGGCAGGGAGGTGGAGTTTGCAGTGAGCCAAGATCGCGCCACTGCACTCCAGCCTGGGTGACAGAGTGAGACTCTGTCTCAAAAAAAAAAAAACAAAGAAAAAACCTTCATGAATATTATCTATAAGCATATGATTATGTAGGTCTTTTGGGTTAAAGAAAGGACTTGTGTCCAAGGGGCTGAAGACTCATGAGTTTTTACTATTTCTGTAGATTATTAATTAATATTGAAAGGCGACTTTGCCAAATGTAGCCTGCAAGTGAGGGGAGTTAATGGCCCTAAGGGATGTCCTCAACCAAATGCTCTGGCTGTCCACCTCCTAGACGGACAATTCTAGGAGGCATTTTGTACACTTTTCAAGAGGTGCCAGAGGAATCGAGATAGGAGGTAGGAGCAATCTTGCTGATGCACTTTTTTTTTTTTTTGACAGATAGTCTCCCGCTGTCACCCAGGCTGGAGTGCAGTGGTGCAATCTCAGCTCACTGCAACTTCTGCCTCCCAGGTTCAAGCAATTCTCATGCCTCAGCCTCCCCAGTAGCTGGGATTACAAGTGCGTTCCACCAAGCCCAGTTAATTTTTGTATTTTTAGTAGAGATGAGGTTTCACCATATTGGTCAGGCTGGTCTCAAACTCCTGACCTCAAGTAATCTGCCTGCCTCAGCCTCCCAAGGTGCTCAGATTACAGGTGTGAGCCACCGTGCCTGGTCTGACTCACTCCTTTTTTTTTTTTTTTTTTTGAGATGGACTCTTGCTGTGTCGCCCAGGCTGGAGTGCAGTGGTGCAATCTCGGCTCGCTGCAACCTCAGCTCGCTGCAACCTCAGCCTCCCAGGTTCAAGCGATTCTCCTGCCTCAGCCTCTCGAGTAGCTGGGAGTACAACCCAGCTAATTTTTGCATTTTTAGTAGAGACATGGTTTCACCATGTTGGACAGGCTGGTCTCCAACTCCTGACCTCGAGTGATCTGTCCATCTCGGCCTCCCAAAGTGCTGACATTACAGGCATGAGTCATTATGCCTGGCCAGGTCAGCCAACTATTAACTTAAGGGAATCTATAAGAGCCAGACAGCTTCCCTGGAAGCATATAAAGAGAATCTTGTCTCTTGCAGCTGTGGGACAGCCTGGGCTATAGATCAGGCCTAGGAATTAATAATAAGGTGACCAAGCTGCAAGAACAAGTGAATGTGTAGCCTCCACTTCTCTTCTGTGTTAGGCTGCCAGCTTGAAAAAGTTTGCATGGATGTGTCTGAGAACCTTGAACTTTTTGCTGTATTCCTTTGACCCCTCTTGGCTGGCAGAAATAACAGTTCTTACTAAAAGGGAAGAGCCTCCGTTTGCCTGAAGACCAAGAAAGACCTCACCTGAAGCGGTTGTGTCAAAAGATGGTGGTCAAAGGCTGGTGTGGTGGCTCAAGCTTGTAATCGCAGCACTTTGGGAGGCTGAGGCAGGAGGATTGCTTGAGCTCAGGAGTTTGAGACCAGCCTGGGTGCCATAGCAAGTCCTCATCTGTACTAAAAAAAAAAAAAAAAAAAAAAAAAATCGCTGGGCATGCTGGTGCATGCTTCTAGTCCCAGCTACTTGGGGGGCTGAGGTGGGAGGATCACTTGCCAGGAGGTTGAGACTGAAGTAAGCCATGATTGTACCACTGTGCTCCAGCCTGGGCAACAGAGGGAGACCCTGTCTCAAAAAAAAAATAATAATAATAATAATAGTAAATAAATAAATAAAATGAAAGATAATGGTTGTTCTCGTGATCTGACACTCTCAACCCCACCCTCCAGCTCATTGCCTCCAGACCAATAACTATGGTCAGGTCTCAGCATAACCCAAAAAGGAAGGTTTAATATCTGCTATAGTAGAAATAGGTATTCACCAAAATAACTACAGAACTTGGCATGCAAAATATGTACTGTCTGGAACCAGCGGAGCATGTGCAGGAATGGTTTTGAGAGTACTGGGTTAGGGGAGGGTGGAAGAGCAAAATATAAAGCTGATTAGGGGAGAGTGAAATAACACTGGAATGCTCTTTCATGATTCAGGATTAAATGTTCTAGCAAGGAAACATGAAGCTGGTCCAACGTGCTGCTGGGATGGCTCCTTGAAGCTTGAACATGATGACCTTCAGCAAAGGAGGTGGAGATGTACAGAGGAGGAGGTTAGTAGGCTCAGAGAAGACGGCGTGATAGAATGGATTTATTGCATAAGACTACTTATTGCCGACTAGGTTTTCAAAGAGGGCCCAGGGGTACTCTTTTTATCAAAGAGATAAGGAATGTGCTGGTGAGGGGCGCCAGAATCACTGACAGCTCAGGGGTGTCTGTCCTCTGTAGGTTAGGGCTGATAATCTTAGGTGGTATTGCAAAACTGATCTCTTTTCTGGTGTCAATGGGAACAGTAAGATTTCAGAATGACAGAGACCAGTGGCAGTGCTTAAGCATCTGCATCAGATGCATGGAGACAAAATTATCATAATTAACAGTAAGCGTGGAGTGTCAAGTAGAGCACCTTGACCTGCAAGAGTCTATAATGATGGTTCACAGAGTTTGGTGTTCTTAGAGGTGAGGCAGATGGGTAGCCAACTAGGGTGATGCTTGAGTTATAGCCAGAAAAAAAAAAAAAGAAATGATGAGAGAAAGACTGATGTTAGTTACCACTATAAATTCTCTCTATCCTTGTTTTCATATTCGAGTAATTTTCAGACCCAAAGTCCACTTAGAAGGGACTATGGGGCTGGGCGCGGTGGCTCACGCCTGTAATCCCAGCACTTTGGGAGGCCAAGGCGGGCAGATCACGAGGTCAGGAGATTGAGACCATCCTGGCTAACACGGTGAAACCCCGTCTCTACTAAAAATACAAAAAATTAGCTGGGCATGGTGGCGGGCGCCTGTACTCCCAGCTACTCGGGAGGCTGAGGCAGGAGAATGGCGTGAACCTGGGAGGCAGAGTTTGCAGTGAGCCGAGATCGTGCCACTGCACTCCAGCCTGGGCGACAGCATGAGACTCCATCTCAAAAAAAAAAAAAAAAAAAAAAAAAGGACTGTGGGTCCTTGGAGGGAGGATTCTACAGCTCTCCAGCAAGTATATATAATACGTGGTCCTCTAATTCTCCCCCAAACAGAACTACATGCTGGGGAAGTTTCTATTGTGAACCCTGTCTAGGGCTGTTGGATACAGGATTTCAGCTGCAAAGTTTAAAGGAGAGCCATCATATCCCTGTTCAATTCAATTGCACGACCCCTGTAAAAACCAAATGGGCTGTAGCAATAAAGGTGGACTACCATAGATTTATACAAATGGCCCCAATTATAGCTGCTCCACTATATGTGGCATCTTTACTGTAACAGGTCTGGTACTTGGTATTTGGTTATTAACCTGGAGAATACTTTTCCCCCCATTCTGTCAGTAAAGGTGAGCAAAAGAGTTCACATTAATGTGGGAAGTATAGTAATGTACCTTCACTGAATTGGATCAAGGTTGTATTAAGCATCCTAATTTCTGAAATAAAATAGTCTTCATGATCCTTGATCATCTTGACATTTTGCAGCATATCATGATGGTCTGTTACCTCATTGATATTATGTTAATTGGATCTGGGGAACAGAAAGTAGCAAAGACTGTGGATGTTCTAGTTAGACATATGGGGTCCAAGATAAAATGAAAAAGATTCAGGGGGCTGCTGTATTGGTGAAGTTATTAGGGGCCCAGTTGTTAGAGATATGCTGGGACACCCACATATCTCCAGGAGAGAAAGAAATCATAGCATCGTGTACCCTCCACCACAAAGAGGATTAGTGGTTGTTCAGCATCTTTGGATTTCAGATGCAGCCAATTTTGAGTGGAGACCAGGGCAAGAAAGGACTTTATAGCAGGTTAGAGTCGTGCTGCAGTCTGCCCTGAGTCTTGTGCTAAATGACCCAGCAGGCCTAATGGTGCTAGAGGTACCCATGGTGGAAAGGATGCTGCTCAGTCTCCGGCAAGCTCCAATAGGGGAGGCACAGCAGAGACCCACAGTATTCTGGATACAGTCATGCCTTCTGAAGCAGAGAACCATGCACTATAGGAAAAGAAGCTCGATGAGGGTTATTGTGCCATTGTAGAGACTGAGTATCTAACTATAGGTTGTCAAGTGGCGATGAGAATGGAGATGCTCACCACGGATGGGGCATCGTCATAACCACTGAATCATAAGGAACTTTCGTAATTTATTGTATGATGAAAAATCGTTCATAAGGATCAGGCCCAAGCAGCTCCAGAGGGTATGTCACTTTTGTGGCACTAATGCCTCTTCCTCAGTTCACACACATGGCCTTACAACAGCTTCTGGATGATCCAGTGGTGGAAGAGGAAAACTCTTGCATCTGGTTCACAGATGGTTTGGCTTAGCATATGAAGGGAAGGAGAAAATGGACAGTTGCCACATTATAGTCTCATTCAGTATTGACCTTAAGGACAGAGTGTGGGGGAAATCCTCTCAGTGGACAGAGCTGCAACCGGCACACTTGGTTGTTCACTGTGTATGGAAGAAGTGGCCCGAGATTCAGATATGCATAGACTTCCGGCTAGGGGAGGATGGCATGGTTTGTTGACCAAGGGTGTGAAACTAGCAATATTAGAAGATTGGTGACATGTGGATTGCTATAGTACAGATGTTTGTGTCTCCTGAAAATTCACATGTTAAAACCCAGCGTCCAAGGTCATGGTATGAGAAGGTGGGGCCTTTGGGAAGTGATTAGGTAATGAAGGGGATTAGTGCCTTTATAAAAGAGACCCCAGAGAACTGGCTAGCCCTTTCTATCATGTGAGGACACAGTAAGAAGCCAACATCTGTGAACCAGGCAGCAAGTCCTCACAAGAAACGAGTTCCTGGGTTAGGTGTTTTCCATAAGGTACTTTTTTTTTTTTTTTTATAGAGTCTCACTCTGTTGCCCAGGCTGGGGTACAGTGGCATAATCTCGGCTCACTGCAACCTCCGTCTCCCAGGTTCAAGCAATCCTCCCAACTCAACCTCCCAAGTAGCCAGGATTACAAGCATGCACCACCACACCTGGCTAATTTATTTTTATTTTCATTTTTAGTAGACACAGGGTTTCACCAGTTTGGCCAGGCTTGTCTCCAACTCCTGACCTCAAGTGATCCGCCGGCTTTGGTCTCCCAAAGTGCTGGGATTACAGGCATGAGCCAACGCGTCTGGCCTTTCATAAGGCATTTTATTTAATTATCAGAACAATTACATGAGTAAATATTACAATCACAACAATGTTGATGAGAGAAGTTAGGCAACTTGCCAAGCTAGTCAGCTGGGTGGCTAGGATAGAATCCAGCTGTGGTCCTCAACAGTGCAAACACAATTCCCACTTGTTTTTTGAACTTAAGAGCTATGTAGCCTACTGGGTCAGGTGAATTTACTAGGACTCAGGAATCATCTTCCCTCATCTTCACTCCTTATTTTTTAACCTACATTTTACACTTTGTCCTCCTCAGTCAGACTGCTAACCTCCTTCACAGGCCGTGTTATTGAGTAGCTAGGATTACAAGCGCTCACCTCCATGCCCAGCTAAATTTTGTTTTTTGGTAGAGATGGGATCTCGCTATGTTGCCCAGGCTGGTCTCGAACTCCTGGGCTCAAGCGATCCTCCCGCCTCAGCCTCCCAAAGTGCTGGGATTACAGGACTTAAAGAGACAGTAAGTAGAACATCTTGGCCTGATAGGTCCAGGAAAAGAGCCAGGGCAACTATCAGCTTGGACTGTAGAGTGCAGTTACCACAATTGGCCACCAGATGGCAGAAGCACTCAGGGAATCGCGTCGGGAAGGCAAAGGATGTGCTGAAGGGCTTAGGGGAAGCCTCAGGCCCGAGATCCAGAGGTTAGCGCGTTCTCAGCAGGGAGGGCCAGTTGTTCAGGTAAATATAATTCAGACAGCTAGAATATGGGATGCGCTGGTGAGATTCAAACAGGCCCACTTTGGTTCTACCAGAAAGAGAAATAGGGAGAGTGAGCTGGAGATGGGATCATTGCAACAGAACGTTTCAAATGCTCAAGATCAAAACACAACATAAATAAGCTGGGAAACAGGCTGGATGCGCTCTGCAGGCAGGATGAGAACGAGAACGGGTGATTGGCATTCGAAGACAAGGTTGAGCTGTGAGTGAAATTCAGGGTAGGCTGAGCATCCAGAAGGGAGTGAACCTTGGTTATGCCTGGGACCATCTGCCCCATAGATGACCGTGTAGCGGACCGTATTTCATAGAAATGGCCCTAAACACATTTTGGGTCATATGTTTCCCAGAAGCTTAGTACTTCCCCGACAAGGGGTAGAGTCTAGGTACTCTCCCTGTGAGCCTGGGCAGGGCTTCCTGACTGCCTCAACTAACAGAGCACAGTGAAAGTGACATATATGACTTTCAAGACTCAGTCATAAACACGGTGCAGTTTCTGTACGGCTTCCTCTCTCTCAGGACCCTCACTTAAAAACCCCGAGCTACCATGTGAGGAGCCAGGCTACCTGGAAGCTGCCATGTTAGAAACGATGTGGAAGGATCACATATGTTGGGGCTCAGAAAATAATACCCCAAAATGGAGACCTCAGAAGCAGAAGTTTTTCTCTGTCACTCTCCTGCCCTCCTATCTCTCAGTCACATTCTCCCCTGAGGCCAGCCAAGGAAACGAACATCCCTCTTCCCCAACATGGGTTACAGCAGCGGTCCCCAGTCTTTTTGGCACCAGGGACCGGGACTAGTTTCATGGAAGACAATTTTCCCACGGAGTGAGGTGGGGATGGTTTCAGGATGAAACTGTTCCATCTCAGACTATTAGGCATTATGTAGATTCTCATAAGGAGCACGCGACCTAGATCCCTCCCATGTGCAGTTCACAATAGGGTTTGGCCTCCTGCGACAATCTAATGCCACCACTGATCTGACAAGAGGCAGAGCTCAGGCGCTAATGCCTGATCACCCACACTCACCTCCTGCTGTGTGGCCCGGTTCCTAACAGGCCATGGACCAGTATCGGTCAGTGGCCCTGGCATTGGGGACCCCTGGGTTATGTGAAACCAGAACTCCTTTTCCCTAAAGCTAGTCATAAAACCTAAAAATATTACTCTAATCTACCCCTCTGCCTTTCTGTATAAAAACTGGCCATAAAGAAATTATTTGGCTTATCTTGTTTGACTCTTGGTCATAAGACCCCCATTTCAGAGATGATCCTGCCCCATATACAGAAGGAAAGAATACTGCACAGAGAAGCCAAGAAGAATCTAGACAGACAGGCCTTACTCAGTCTATCGGCATTAGATCATTCCATTTTTGTCTAATCATATTTCCACATAGTCCATACTGTATTGGACCTAAGCAATAAAATGGACAATGTCCCCTGTATTTTTGAATCTTCATTCTAAAGGCTCCCACTATAATAATAGTCCTATACATAAAATAGTATGTATATGATTACCAAGAAATATAAAAATATTTTTAAAAGATATAATACATGTGCTTCTTTAATAATGTATTAAATAAGATAAAGTGTTGCCTATAATAACTACTGTAACTTTCAAGTGTTGGTGAGCATAAATGATATTTGGAGGTATCTGCACAACTGTGATAAAACAAACTTATTGGCCGGGTGTGGTGGCTCACACCTGTAATCCCAGCACTTTAGGAGGCTGAGGCGGGCAGACCACGAGGTCAGCAGATCGAGACCATCCTGGCTAACACAGTGAAACCCCGTCTCTACTAAAAATGCAAAAAATTAGCTGGGCATGGTGGCGGGTGCCTGTAGTCCCAGCTACTCGGGAGGCTGAGGCAGGAGAATGGCGTGAACCAGGGAGGTGGAGCTTGCAGTGAGCCGAGATTGCACCACTGCACTCCAGCCTGGGCTACAGAGCGAGACTCTGTCTCAACAACAAACAAAAACCCAAAAACAAACTTATTGCTATTTTTTTGGTAACAAAGTCACAGGTACTTCTAATATTTTCATGGCTTGCTGCTTTTATGCATTATGGAAGGAAAAGCTATGTTTCAGTTAGAAATGGGCGAAAATAAAGGAATAGTATTTTTTTTTCCCATCAAAGTTCATGGACAACTTCCCCTACATTCCCCAACTCCCACTGTTGAGAACCATGGGAAGCGGGTGCTTGCAAGGATCTCAGGGAATATTAACCAAGCCTGTCTTTGCAGACGGTGGAAGGGAAGGGAGTGACATTTGGTCCTTGCCCAAGGTCACATGGCTCTTTGGTGGCAAGGCATTTCCCTAAGTGTTCCCCTGCTCCTTTCCATTGTCTTTTCATTCTCCTTCCAGTACATCTGTCTGCTTCTCTCTTTCTCCATGGCTTTTTCTTCTTCTATGACTCTTCCTAGTCATAAAATGAAATGGAGATCTTTAAAACCAAAGCCATGTGTACACTCACTGCTTTCTCATTCTTATCCACAATTCCAGAGTTTTTTTATTGGGCCTCATTGTTCTCATTTACATCCTGTGACTTTTCACATGAGCCCTCTGCTTAGATCATAAATCCGTGTACATTCCTATATCTCACCCCAAGAACACGCTGCACTCTTGGTGGTGCACTCTTTTTTTTTTTCCATGTGTCTACATTAGCGTCTCTTTCACGTGCGGTCTGAGAACTACTTTTAGCAGAATCACCTGGCCCTCTGCCCAGCCTCATGACTACATGGGGGTGGGTGTTGAAAACTTGCATTTTATTAAGCTTCACTGACTGGTCTAATGGCTCTGAATGTTTGCGAAACACAGACCTGAGTCCTGCCCTTCCTGAAGGGCCACACTAGTTCCACCGACACTAGTTATTCTTTTTTTTTTTTTTTTTGAGACAGAGTCTCGCTCTGTCACCCAGGCTGGAGTGCAGTAGCGCGATCTTGGCTCACTGCAAGCTCTGCCTCCCGAGTTCACCCCATTCTCCTGCCTCAGCCTCCCAAGCAGCTGGGACTACAGGCACCTGCCACCACACCCAGCTACTTTTTTTGTATTTTTAGTAGAGACAGGGTTTCACCATGTTAGCCAGGATGGTCTCGATCTCCTGACCTTGTGATCCGCACACCTTGGCCTCCCAAAATGCTGGGATTACACACATGAGCCACCGCGCCCGGCCGATATAGCCTCTTCTAACCACAAGAGCCTCACTCCCCCTGGAGACTCCTACTTTTAGTATTGCTGCTTCTTGTATCCTATCCTGTTAGCATGATTCAAACGTTAAAGCCAAGAGGAAGAAGGAAGAGAATGAGGTGATGAATACTGGTCATGTACCGGATATTCTGCAAGGCTCAGTGACGCACTGTTGACCATGTTTCACAAGTAAGAAAATTAAAGTTTAAAATGTTGGGTAATGTGTTCAGGGTCACACAGTTAATAAACGGTGGAATTAAACTGCTAGCCTTGGTCTTTTTTTTTGTTTGTGCTCCAGTGCCTCTGTTCTCATGACACAGACTTTATTCAACATATCCTCAGGGTTGAGGCATAGCATCTTTGCATTTGCTGCATCTCAAAATATGTTCCTTTTTTTGCAATCATCTGGAATTGATCCTTCACAGATTTCTTTCTCATTTTCTACCCACTCCCTTTAATGTATGTCCTGCTAAAAGTTCTGTCGTGGTCTCTTCTCTTTTCTCACTCTTCATTCTAACCTCATTTTTTGCACCTATGTGCCAGATGCCTGAATCTATCTCAAGCCAGGATTTCCCTGTTGAGCTTCAAACCCATATGCCCCAATGCCTAGTGTCAGTTCCATAGGGACTAAAATCCAACTAGCCGGACTTTGTTCCTTGGCCTCACTTCCAAGCACCTTTTCTTACCAACCACTTCAGCTGCGGTAGCAGATTCTGTGGGAAGCCTCTTTCAACATGTTCTCCAGCCTGTATTTGGTGGACCTCCCCAGTGCAGAGGCTCCCATGATCCTTTTCTATTCTACCCCTTAATTTCTCAGGGCCCCAGGGCTTAGTCCTAATCCCTCTTTCCTTCACTCATTCCTTAGGTGGTCTCATTGAGTTTAAAGGCGTTTTCAAGCGTAGATTTTACTGATGGATCTCAAATATCTCTCTCTCCAGCCAGATCTCTCCCCTGGGCTTCAAACTTGCATATCCTATCACACATTAGCCATCTTCATAGGGGCGTCTAATCAGTGTTGCACACTTAATATGTCCAAAGAGAATACTGAGGTCCCTGCTGCCTGCTGTGCTCACCTTGCATGTGGTGCTTGACTGACCCTCCCAGCCCTTTCAGGTTTCTGCTCATAGACGCCTTGCTCTGCCCACCTGTCTCAAATAGACACCCACCATCACCCTAACCCACTTAATTTTATTTCCATAACATTTGCTTTCTGAAATTAGGTGATTTATGGTTTCTTGTCTCATTCTTCCACTGTAAGATCTCTGAGAGCAAGGACATGTTCACTGCTGCCCCCTGGTACCTAGCAGGGTTCTTGTACATAGGAAGCGCAAGCAGTATTTCTTACTTTTTGATGCTCACTGCCACTTTTCTAGCACAGGCCATTATTTCTCACCTGGCTTGCTGCAAAAGTCTAAATGCTTTCTTTGCTCCAGTTCCAATTATTTTCCAAGCTGAAGCCCATGTGATCTTTTGAAAACACAGAACTGTTTGTCTGCTGCCCTTTTCAGACCTTTCAGGGAGGTTCTGTCTTAGTTTGGTTGGACCTTCTGTCTCAAGCAACAGAAATGCCTGAGCTTGCTCAGGCAATATGAATTTTCTTTTTCAGCTCAGCATGGTCTTGGTCTCTCCCTGTGGTCACCAGACATGCCACGATTCTCTTGTACCTCAAAGGCCCTGGCGTACGTGGACCTCTCTATTTAGAAGCTGTATTATTCAGGGTTCTCCAGGGAGATAAGACTGATAGATGTGTGTGCATATATAGAGAGAGGGAGAGATATTTATTCTAAGGACTTGGCTCACATGATTGTGGAGGATGGGAAGTCCAAAGTCTGCAGGGTAGGCAGACAGGTTGGAGACGCAGAGAAGCACTGCAGTTTAAGTCTGAAGGCAGTCAGCTGGCAGAATTCCTTCTTTCTCAGGGAGGCAGTCATTTTTCTCTTAAGGCTTTCAACTGAATGAGGTCTCCCACCTTATGATGGGTAATTGGCTTTACTCAAAGTCTACTCATTTAAATGTTAATCTCATCTAAAAAATATCTTCACAGAGACATCTAGAATAATGTTTGACCAGACCTGGATATTGTGGCCTAGTCAAGTTGACACATCAGAAAACCTTTTCCCTCCAACCTCCGAACTCTTCTGGTTAATTTCTTTCAGATATTGGCTTAGATACCTCCTTTGAGAGCCTTTTATGACAACATGGGGGTAGGTGTCTCTTTTTTTTTTTTTTTTTTTTTGAGATGGAGTTTCACTCTTGTTGCCGAGGCTGGAGTGCAGTGGTGTGAGCTCAGCTCACTGCAACCTCCACCTCCCGGGTTCAAGTGATTCTCCTGCCTCAACCTCTTGAGTAGTTGGGATTACAAGCATGCACCACCATGCCTCGCTAATTTTTGTATTTTTAGTAGAGACAAGGTTTCACCATTTGGTCAGGCTGGTCTTGAACTCCTGACCTCAAGTGATCCACCTGCCTCGGCCTCCCAAAGTGTTGGGATTACAGGTGTGAGCTACCCCCCTTTTAAATAGTTTTACCAGCTTCTTAGTCCTTTTAGTCTTTTCTTCCTGTTCTCTCTTTTGAGCCCCATGGACTCCTCATACTTAAATCGCACAGATTTATTTTACTATATTACAAAACACCACCTTCTGTGTTCTTATTCCCCACACCAGAAGCTTGCTTCGTGAACATCTAAATTGTTCACTATTGTATCCTCCTTACCTCCATAGTACCTGACATGTAAGAACTGCTCAATAAATATTAATTGAATGAATGACTTCCATGTTCTTCAAAATTTTCCCATCATTGCCTACTTCTTTCTCTCTCTTCTCTCTCCATAATCAGAGCTGTAACTAGGGCTCTGAAATTTACAGTGTGCCAGTTTTTTCTTTTTTTTTTCTTTTGAGACAGTCTAGCTCTGTCGCCTGGGCTGGAGTGCAGAGGCACGATCTCGCCTCACTGCAACCTCCACCTCCCAGGCTCAAGCAATTCTCCTGCCTCAGCCTCCCCAGTTGCTGGGATTACAGGTGCATGCCACCACACCGGCTAATTTTTGTATTTTAGTAGAGATGGGTTTTCACCATGTTGGCCAGGCTGTTCTCGAACTCCTGACCTCAGGTGATCCACCCACCTCAGCCTCCCAAAGTGCTGGGATTCCAGGCATGAGCCACTGCGCCCGGCCACAGTGTGCCAGTTTTTAAAATGATCGTGCAACTAATTCTATAGCACAAGCATGTAGTATCACTAAATTTAACAGCTAGTAAGTGAGAATAACTAGTTAAAATAGGAAGCTACCAGATGGAAAGGATTTTCAATAGCACCCATATGCAAGCTGAGACATGAATCACAAAGTCGATTTGATGGCTGTGTTTTATGCTTGCCCTGGCACCAAAATTGCTGGTTACAGCTGGACACTCCATTGTACACAATACTTTCTGGTGGCAGATCTATTAACTTCATTCAGTGTGTGGGGGGAAGGAAGGTGGAAAATATACTTACACCAGGAAGTTATGTGTAGGATAGAAGATAGACCTGCCTTGTTTTCTTTTCTTTTTTTTTTTTTTGAGATGGAGTCTCACTCTGTCACCCAGGCTGGATGGAGTGCAGTGGCATGATCTCGGCTCACTGCAACCTCCGCCTCCCGAGTTCAAGTGATTCTTCTGCCTCAGCCTCCCGAGTAGCTGGGACTGCAGGTGTATGCCACCACGCCCGACTAATTTTTGTATTTTAAGTAGAGATGGGGTTTCACCATATTGGCCAGGCTGATCTCAAACTCCTGACCTCGTGATCTGCCTGCCTCGACCTCTCAAAGTGTTGGGATTACAGGTGTGAGCCTCCTCGCCCAGCCTAGACCTGCCTTTTTGTATTTGTCCTGCTAATTGGAGAATTAGGATTTGAGGTTCAATCAAAGGAAGATACAGCATGACTTACAGGTGCTGATCTGCATGGGTCAATGAAATGTGCAAGATAATATGTGTCCATCAAGAGGTACAGCCACCTCCAATGCCTGCACTTCTAGGATTTGCACCCCCATGGAGCAGCCACTGGGAGAGAGAGAGGGAAGGACTTTAAACAGTCCGTACTGGGATGGCCCCACACCTCCTCAAAGATGGGGATGTTTTACTATGTTGCCAACATCATACATCAGCTAGCAGTTTTAGCCATAAAGATATTAGCATATGAATCCTTCACTGCAGAAAATCAAGAACTAAAAGATGGCTCCCTATTTACTTAGCTTGCAACCTTCAGTTCTTCAGACTATTTCTTTCTGTCCAAAGTCCTCAGTTAGATACAGAATTGTTTGTGGAGCTCTGGGGTCAATCATCAACCATCCTATGATTACAGTAGGTAGTCAGGCAGACATGAGCAGAGCAGGAGAGGGCCACCCCACCCCCTACTGGGAATGCCAGGTGACCATCAGGTGATGGTCAGGTGGTTGTTAACTGTTGTGCTAAAATACTAATTGGTTGCAGCTGGTACCAGGGACCGACATTCTTCCAATAGATAGAAAAACCTGAAACTGGTAAAACCTGAAACTGGTGATTAGCTTCCTGATGAGATCTCAGGAGTTGGGTGAGTGGGGTTGGGCATGCGCACTAAGAGGCAAAATGGTGACGTTTAACTGGTATATGATCTTCCTCTAGGAGCATTTGACTGGTAAGGGACGAAGGCCTCAAGTGAGCATGTGCAAACTCCAGTACTGTGCATGTGGCCCCTTGCAAGTGCTAGCAGACCACTGACCACTGCACATGCAGACAGCTCACCGCAAGGGAAGAATAAGGGGAGAAGTAATGCAAGACCCCGGAAGTATGTCAACATATAAAACCCCAAGTTAAAGGTCAAACCGTGCATTTAATCTCTCAAATTGCTCGCTTGGCCCTCTTCCAAATATACTTTACTTCTTTTCATTCCTACCCTAAAACTTTTTCTTTTTCTCTCTTTTTTTTGAGACAGAGTCTCACTCTGTTGCCCAGGCTGGAGTGTAGTGGTGTGATCTGGGCTCATTGCAACCTCTGCCTCCCAGGCTCAAGCAATTCTCATGCCTCAACCTCCCAAGTAGCTGGGACTACAGGTGTGCGCCACTGCACCCGGCTAATTTTTTAATTTTTAATAGAGACAGTTTTGCCATGTTGGCCAGGCTGGTCTTGAACTCCTGGCCTCAAGTGATCCGCCACCTCTGCCTCTCAGAGTGCTGGGATTACAGTCAGAGCTGCTGCACCTAGCCTGCCCTAAAACCTTTTAATGAGCTTTCACTCCTGCTCTAAAACTTGCCTCGGTCTGTCCTTCTGCCTTATGACCCCCAGTCGAATTCTTTCTTCTGAGGAGGCAAGAACTGAGGTTGCTGCAGACCCGTACAGATTTGCCGCCAGTAACATATTTTGGTGCCGTGTTACTTGATACGTTCTGCTGCTAACACTGTTTTCTTCTATTTCTTAGCTCTTGTGCTTCCTTTATTTTTTATTTTTGAGACGGAGTTTCACTACTGTTGCCCAGGCCAGAGTGCAGTGGCGTGATCTCGGCTCACTGCAACCTCCACCTCCTGGATTCGAGCAATTCTCCTGCCTCAGCCTCCCAAGTAGCTGAGATCACAGGCATGCACCACTACACCTGGCTAATTTTTGTATTTTTAATAGAGACGGGGTTTCACCATGTTGGTCAGGCTGATCTAGAACTCCTGAGCTCAGGTGATCCACCCGCCTCGGCCTCCCAAAGTACTGGGATTACAGGTGTGAGCCACTGTGCCCGGCCTCCTGTGCTTCCTTTAAAAGCCCCTATGTCTCATTTCTCAGAGGCCTGAAACATACACTGAAGAGTCAGAGTAGCAGCATCCCAGATGCTCAGCTTCTTGGCCCCCCACGTGGTTCTTTCAAAGGCTGGCATTTGAGGAGGAGTGAGGATCACTGCAAGTTCCTCTCAGCCACCTGTCAGCTCTGGAAGCTTCAGATTCCTTATCAGTACAGTGGGATAGCCGGTAATGGCTATCTCAGTTGTAAAAAGTGTGCTTCTTGGAACTTCAGAAGACGTAACTGAGTGCTCGCAGGCAAATGTTACATCTCTCCTTTGCTAATAGAATCATTTCAGTCTCTTCCGTGCCACATCCTCCAGATGCCCCTAATGTATTGACTGCAGAGACATTTAAATAAATTAGGAGGCATTAACCACTGACATTTCTATTTCAGTTGCAGGAAAAATGTAATCAACAAGGAAGCCAACCTAGTATTCAGAGGATCAAGGGA
Source organism: Homo sapiens (assembly GCF_000001405.40). Lineage (NCBI taxonomy): Eukaryota > Metazoa > Chordata > Mammalia > Primates > Hominidae > Homo > Homo sapiens. The sequence goes on from NC_000009.12 coordinate 72,048,709, forward strand.
GGTTCCTGGATCCACAGGCCCTTCGGGCTGATGTCTCATAAATAGATCACATTCAGGCTAATCTCATATCACGTTGTCTTTGGGTGTGAAGGACTTGAAAAAAATAAACTTGTTAGCTAAATAAATCCTGAATGGATAGGGGCTTGAGTGGGAGGTGTCAGCTGAAAAGATGTGATCCCATGTCTGTAGGCCATCTGTGTGTTTCGAGGGAAATTATGACTGAGAGGTTGTGAGAATGAAAGGAAGACCATATGACACCGAGGTGTCTCTCTTGAAATTAGATCCCACAAAAATCCAGTATGGCCTGTGTTAACCTTGCGGGAAGAGAAATGCCACACCACCCACTGCATGACCAAGCCATTTCCCGTAGCTGCGGTAACAAATGACCACGTCTAACGAAAGCAAATTCATTATCTTACGGTGCTGGAGGTCAGAAGTCTGAAATGTGTCAGCAGGGCTGCATTCCCACTGGAAACTCTCGGGAGACTCCGCTTCCTTGCCTTTTCCAGCTTCTAGAAGCCACCCAAATTCCTTGGCTGTGACCCCCTCCTCCCTCTTCAAAGTCAGCAGCATAGTACCTTCAAATCTGTGACCTCTGCCTCCATAAACACATCTCCTCTTTCTTCGGCTCTCCTCCATCCTTGTGATTATGTTGGGCCTACCCAAATAAGCCAGGATAATTACCTAATCTTAAATCCTTAAATTAAGTACATCCACAAACTTCCTTTTGTCAGGCTCCAGGGATTAGATTGTGGACATCTTTGGGGAACTATCATTCAGTCTACACACCAAAGTTGTCAAAGTTATTTTTGTTTCCATGGTGACTGCTGGGTCAAACTGGCATGCAGGTAAACTGCTTCTGTGATTGTCACTGCTCTGGTGGCTGGCATTTCTCCTCTGTTTTTCATAGATTATACAGAGCTGGGTGTGAAACTGACCCAGTAGTCCCATGGACTGTTCTTTTTGATAAACACAGAAATTGATCTTTCTGGTCTTAAAGTTTGAAACTTTTGTTTTATCTGAGTTCCTTCCTCAGGAAAGGACCTTCAGACCTCTGCAAAAGGGTGTCAAAGAACTGCAACTCACCAGAGCACCAGGGTCCTGACAATGAGATGCCAGACCCCTCATTCATCATGACTGCTTACTTGCCCCTCCCTAGTTCCTGTTTTCTTACATATCGTTACATTTCTTCCCTGCTATGTAAACCTTTCGTTTTAGTGGGTCAGGGAGAAGGGTTTGAGACTGAGCTCCCATCTCCTCAGCTGCAGCACCCTGCTAAAGCCTTCCTCCTTGGCAATACTCGTCTCAGTGATTGGCTTTCTGTGCGGTCAGTAGCAGGACCTGTACCAAACCTGGTGTTTTGGTAACAGGTGCACAATGGTCATTTAATCAGGGCCTATCTCAGGGGCTGTGTTCAGCACCAGGTCTTATTTTTAATCTAAGAAAACAAGAAAATGGTTTTATTCGATGTTGAGTCATAAAATGCTAGAATTTGAGGAAATGTAAGAGATGGTGTGATCCAAGAATGAGGTGCAGAGAGGCTGACGGGACTTGCCGAGGTCAACAGCTATAATACTTAGTGAACCAAAAAACTAGCACCTGCTCCCTAGTTCTCCTCTCATTACATCACCCAGATTGTGAATTAGGCTTGGGAAGCACTCTGGAATTAGTGATGGTGTATGTGATTTTGTCATTCCCCAGCACCGTGATATCAGGTAAATAATGTAACATTTAAAAAAAAACTAAAGCCAGCTGGTCGCGGTGGCTGACGCCTGTAATCCCAGCCCTTTGGGAGGCTGAGGCAGGAGGATCATGAGGTCAGGAGATCGAGACCATCCTGGCTAACACAGTGAAACCCTGTCTCTACTAAAAATACAAAAAGCCGGGCGTGGTGGCGGGCGCCTGTAGTCTCAGCTACTTGGGAGGCTGAGGCAGGAGAATGGCGTGAACCCGGGAGGCGGAGCCTGCAGTGAGCTGAGATAGCACCACTGCACTCTGGCCTGGATGAAAGAGCGAGACTCCATCTCAAAAAAAAAACAAAAACAAAACTAAGGCCCAGCACGGTAGCTCATGCCTGTAACCCCAGCACTTTGGGAGGCCAAGGTGGGTGGATTGCTTGAGCCCAGGAGTTTAAGACCAGCCTGAACAACATGGTGAAACTCTGTCTCTACAAAAATTAGCGGGGGCATGGTTGTGTGCACCTGTAGTCCCAGCTAGCCTGGAGGCTGAGGTGGGAGGATCACTTGAGCCTTGAGAGCTTGAGGCGGCAGTGAGCTGTGATTGTACCACTATACTCCAGCTTGGGTGACAGAGCAAGACCCAACCTCAAAAAATAAAATAAGATAAAATAAAAAACCCAAGAGAAAGAAAAGTTAGATTTTCATGAAGTTCACTGATCTAAGGTAACCATTCTTCATCAATGTGGCTATGGCAAAATATGACAGAATAAGGGGAGCTAGATTTCAGTCTCAGGATGGAGACTTTTTTTCTTAGTTTCAGAGATATGGTCTAAGGAATATCGTTGAAACGTGTCTGAAGGGAAAAAAATCTAGCTTTCCTGGACTTTAAAAAAAAATGCTTGTTTTTCTTCAAAGTTGATAGAGAAGCATTTGTCGAGGGCTCACTATGTGAATGTGGTCCTAAGTCCCGAGAAAAAGACAGACAAGATTTTATTGACATTTATTATTTATTTTTTGAATTTTCAAACTCCTGAAAATACAGAGAAAGACAGTTTTAAATTAAATTTTAAATTAAATTAAATTAATGCAGTACTCTTCATGCTGCCAAAGTAGGGCATTGTAATAGAAGACGTAATGATCGCAAAATGGGAAATGTAGTTCAAAGTACGTTCCTACTCCTTTTAAATTCCTTGTGGTTGGGAACTTACTTCTCTGCTTACCTTGAACTGCTTAATCTGCCAAAATTGAACAAGCCAAAGCATTTAGGCATGGTTAAGGTACGGAAAATTCAAAATTTGGATAAACTCTGAGGCAGATGGAAGAAATAAGTGCCAGCCCTACCACCTGCCTCAGCCCTTTCCTGTTTGGGTTCATACTTTTCCCGCAGGCCTGGCTTGCTGATTCATGGCTTATTTTTTCCCTATAGTATATGTTAAGTCAGTTTCTTCTATACCATAAATCACCCCAAAGGAGCAAGGCAGTTTGCTTTGGAAACCAAATGAATATTCTCAGGTCACTTGCTGTCTTGTGAAACATTTGTAACCATATTTTGGAGTATGGAATTATTGAGGGAAATGAAAGTAGTTAGAGGTGACATGCCTAGTTTGACTTGGAGAATCACTAACATTTTTCCTTCTTTGTAGCCTTGTGGTAGGAAGGTAAATTAAGCAGAAGGAGGAGAGGAGAGAAATGGTGTTGAAAGGGCTATTTCTCAGATGAGTTGGAGGTGGTGGGGGAGATATTGGGAATATTGAAAACCAAAGTCAATTTCAGATCAAAATTCCTTCTACCTACAAGGGTCTGAGGTTTCTGAAGTGGGCTAATTGACAATAGCCATCATTTTGTGATAGCCAGGTCAGGCTTCGAGACTGATTGATCTGCCAAGCATTTTAGATATGGGCCACTGACTCAGAAATTGCACAAAGAATGATTGCAGCAGTGAGTAGTTACAAGTTCATGCAGTTGCAGAATTCTCTTGACGAGAGTACTCTTGAAGCACTCTGATGTGTTCTTTGTGCAGCCTTTGACTGAATACCATTGAATGCCACCTGACGGAGAGAAAAGAGGTAAGGAAATTTCTTGGGAGGTACAACCTATGTGGCCTCAGATGCTAATAGGTTAAAAAGAATACTAAGCAAAACTTTAGTTTTATCAAGGTACGAATCTAGCATTTCCACCATTAAGAATGGTTCATTTCATTATTTTACCTTTAAGAACTCCCACTTAGACTATTGTAGTTGGGTACATTGCATACACAAGATTTGAAACTGTAAAACAAAAAAGCTTTCAAACTCAGATTGTAAAAGCCATGCAATTGCCATTGACTATGTAGAATTTCTGAAGTGCAAGCTGTTTTGAAGCTTCCTGATAATCATCCCCCAGTTTTATCCAGGTTGTGAGTTATTCAAAGGGCTGAATGTACAGAAGGATCCTTTAGATGTGTTAAGGGCCTCTCAGAAATGGAGGTGTATGTATGACCTCACTTAATTCCTTCCCTGATTAAAGAAGTAATGCATGATCACTGTAGAAAACACAAAAAATGCACACAAGAACAAAATAAGTGACAGTAACATCCTGTAATTCTACCACCCCAGTTTCAGTTGTAGGTAGGAGGACAAAAGGAGCTATTCCCCAAAGACAGCAAAATGTGATGACTGGAAACTTGGACAAAATGGTGGGTTTTCAGCTGGGGATGATTTTGCTCTCCCTTTCCCAGCACATCGGGTAATACCCAGAGACATTGTTATTGTCAGAACTGGTTGGGGCGGCAGGGTGGGGTTGGAGGTGCTCTTGGCATCTAGTGGGTAAAAGCTATGATGCTGCTGTACATCCTACAATACAAAAGACTGCCCTCCATTACAAAGAATTCACCTGCCCAAAATGTCAATAGTGCAAAAGTTGAGAAACCCTATTGATAAAACTATCAAAAGCATGAGGATCAGTTGTTTGTCTTGCATTAGTGTAAATGGCAAATTTCCCAAATTAGGAAACTGCTCTTCCGAACACTGTAGTCATTCCAGGCCTTCGACCCATCAAGAACTATTGTTAATATTTTGTTGAATAAGCTTCCAGGCTCTTTCTTATACATAGAGTATTTTAATCCTAATTCTGGAGTCCGTCTGGCTAGATGACTCTCTGGCCACATTCAGGAAGAGAAGAGCCAACATCTCATGGGCCCAGGGAGTCTGGATATGTTTCCCATTCCATAAAGAAGGGGCTGTGACTAGCAGAGGGGAGAACTGACCTTGGAGAGGGGACCTAAACTAGAAAGATTGAACAGAACCCAAGTAACCCTCTTAATACCAAAACGCCTTGCGACGTGACCCCATGATTCTCATCCTCTCTCCAAACTAATTTTGATCTCCTCTAATTTTTGTTCTTCCCTTCCAATTCCACAGAAAAATTTAGAGTTTTGTTTTGTGGATTGTTATTCATCAGTGGTATACTGAACGTACTTGTTGGCAACTGAATTTTTTCCCACTCAATATGTTTAGAGATTCCTCCATGTTAACAAGGGGATCTGGTTCATTTTGAGTGTTGCATAGCACTCCATGACCTGCATGTAACACAGTTGAATGAATAGTTCCCTATAGATGAACGTTTAGGTCATTTCTTTTTGTATTTTTTTGAGATGGTGTTTCGCTCTTGTTGCCCATGCTGGAGTGCAATGGCATGATCTTGGCTCACCGCAACCTCCACCTCCCGGGTTCAAGCGATTCTCCTGCCTCAGCTCCCCAGGTAGCTGGGATTACAGGCATGCGCCACCACACCCGGCTAATTTTGTATTTTTAGTAGAGATGGGAGTTCTCCATGTTGGTCAGACTGGTCTCGAACTCCCCACTTCAGGTGATCTGCCTGCCTTGGTTTCCCAAAGTGCTGGGATTATAGGCGTGAGCCACCGCGCCTAGCCTATTTAGGTCATTTATATTACTTTACTATTAAACGTAATGCTGCAATGATAACCTTGATACATGTGTTAAATATAAATATTTTTCTGCAGTAGATACCAAGAAATAGAATTGCTTTGTCGAAGGCTGTGTTTATTTAAAATTTTAATGGAAATTCACAAATTGTCTAAAAAGATGCTGAACCAATCTAAGCTGTCATTGAAAATGTCTGAGCGTTCCCATTTCCCCATACTAACTCCTGATATAATAAAACTTTTATGTTTTTTACCAATCTGATGGGTTAAAAATATTATATTGTTTTCATAATTTGCATTTCCTTGATTTTTACTAACAAGGTTGAGTAGGCTTTTATATTTGTAGGTTACTTATATTGATCCTTGTGGGAATTGCCTTCCTACTTCCTTTAATAAGGTATTTACTCTTGATTGTTGGTCTTTTTAAAATTGTTTTTGAAGTTTTTTATTCTGGATAAATATTAATGTTATCCATGTTTCTTATATTTTCACCCAGTTAATTCCTTATCTTTTACATTTTGGAATTATCACACATTTTATAAATGTTAAACTCTTCATATATTCAAATGTATTCATTATTTCCTTTACAACTTTGGGGTTTGGGATTTTTTTTTTTTTTTTTTTTTTGAGACAATGTCTTACTCTTGTCACCGAGGCTGCAGTGCAGTGGTTCAATCTCGGCTCCCTGCAGCCTCCGCCTCCTGGGCTCAAGCAAGTTTCCTGCCTCAGCCTCCATGCTGAGTAACTGGGAACATGGTGGTGCAAGCCACCATGCGCGACTAATTTTTATATATATATATTTTTTTTTGTAGAGACAGGGCTTCACCATGTTGCCCAGGTTGGTCTTGAACTCTTGAGTTCAAGCAATCCACGCACCTCTGCCTTCTAAAGTGCTAGGATTATAGGCATGAGTCACTGTGCCCGGTCTGGATTTTGGATGCTAAAAGAGCCTCCATTGTTTCCTGCCTTCCTTCCTGCCTTCCTGCCTTCCTTCCTTCCATCCTCTTTCTCTCTTTCTCTTTCCTTCCTTCCTTCCTTCATTCTTTCCCTCCCTCCCTCCCTCCCTCCTTCCTTCCTTCCTTCCTTCCTTCCTTCCTTCCTTCCTTCCTTCCTTCCTTCCTTCCTTCCTTTTCGAGACATGATCTCACTCCATTGTTCAGGCTAGAGTGTAGTGGTGTGATCACAGCTCACTGTGGCCTCAACCTCCTGGGCTCGGGTGATCCTCCCACCTGGCCTCCCCGGTAGCTGGGACTGCTACAGGTGTGTGCTACCATGCCTAGCTAACCTCCATTCTTTCAAACTTAAAATGTTTCCCAGTATTTTCTTCCAATGTTTCATTATTTGGATTTTTATGTTTTGGAGAAGGCCAGTTTCACAGGCATGCAACTGGTGCACAGGGCCCAAGTTTAGAAGGGCTCTGAAAATTGTGTATTACTTTTTTGTGAGTACGTGAGTGGTGTGAATGAGACAATATATAGATTATTAGGAATGTGTGCTCTGGAGTCAAAGTACTCACATTTGAATCTTGTCTATAAGACTCATTAGCTATGTGACTGTGCAAATTACTTAATCGTTCGTGTCTCAGCTATCTCATCTTTAAAATGGGGATAGTGACAGGATCCATCCAGCTCTTTTCATTGTTTTGTTGGTGTAATGTAGCCCTGGCAAAGCCCTTAGTGTAGCATCTGGTATATGAAAGTTTGTTGTGATAAGCATTTTCCCTGTGCTTATTTTAATTAAAATTTTTAAAGTGTCAAAACTTACCTTGAATGTGGACCTCTTCTTTACAGTACTGACCAGGTTCTGCCTGGCAGGTTCCCAGGTCTAAAAGACATCCATGGAAGGGCAGTGAAAGATTGCATGCTCTGCAAATCAAACCTCCAACATCTCCAAGTACAGGGGCAGAAAAATGAGAAAGTAGTGATAGATACGAGAGAGAAAACGAGGAAGGAAGAGAGATCAAAAAAATAAAGTAGTGATTTTTGACTTTATATATATATATTTATGTTATATATATATTTTATGTTATATATATTAAATATATATATTTTATTTTTTTTTATGTTTTGGAGAAGGCCAGTTTCACAGGCATGCAACTGGTGCACAGGGCCCAAGTTTAGAAGGGCTCTGAAAATTGTGTATTACTTTTTTGTGAGTACGTGAGTGGTGTGAATGAGAAAGTATATAGATTATTAGGAATGTGTGCTCTGGAGTCAAAGTACTCACATTTGAATCTTGTCTATAAGACTCATTAGCTATGTGACTGTGCAAATTACTTAATCGTTCGTGTCTCAGCTATCTCATCTTTAAAATGGGGATAGTGACAGGGTCCATCCAGCTCTTTTCATTGTTTTGTTGGTGTAATGTAGCCCTGGCAAAGCCCTTAGTGTAGCATCTGGCATATGAAAGTTTGTTGTGATAAGCATTTTCCCTGTGCTTATTTTAATTAAAATTTTTAAAGTGTCAAAACTTACCTTGAATGTGGACCTCTTCTTTCCAGTACTGACCAGGTTTTGTCTGGCAGGTTCCCAGGTCTAAAAGACATCCATGGAAGGGGATTGAAAGATTGCATGCTCTGCAAATGTATACATATATATGTATACTTTTTTTTTTTTTTGAGACAGGGTTGCACTCCTGTTACCCAGGCTGGAGTGCAGTGGCACAATCTCGGCTCACTGCAACCTCCGCTTCCCAGGCTCAAGTGAGTGATCCTCCCACTTCGGCCTCCCAAGTAGCTGGGACTACAGGCACACACCCACCGTGTCCAGCTTTTTGTATGTTTAGTGGGGAGGATGGGGTTTCGCTATGTTGCCCAGGCTGGTCTCTCTGCTTTGGCCTCCCAAAGTGCTGGGATTAAAGGTGTGGGCCATTGTGCCCAGGAAGTAAGCAATATTTTAAAAATTCTAAAACCTAACGTAAATTATTATTTTTTTTTGAGATGGAATTTCACTCGTTGCCCAGGCTGGAGAGCAATGGCATGATCTCGGCTCACTGCAACCTCCACCTCCCGGGTTCAAGCGATTCTCCTGCCTCAACCTCCTGAGTAGCTGGGATTACAGGTGCACACCACCAGGCCCGGCTAATATTTTGTATTTTTAGTAGAGATGGGGTTTCACCATATTGGCCAGGCTGGTCTCAAACTCCTAACTCAGGTGATCTACCCACCTCGGCCTCCCAGAGTGCTGGGATTACAGGTGTGAGCCATCGCACCAGGCTAAAATTATTTTTTATTTTGAGAGTTTAATGAGGGAAATTTCGAAGCGTATGCTGTATTTATGAATTGGAAGCACCTTGAACTGTGGTAATCAGTCAGGAGCCCAGGTGGTCTAAACAACTTAGTTGGTTAAAATTCATTCAGTTCCTCAGTGCTTAATTAAATCACCCCAAATTTATTTTACCAGAAAATTTAATTTCAGCCACATATTCACTGTTAGGGCTTAATTTCAGTGCCTAAGGTAGCATATTATATATAGTCGATTCTTCATGAATATTTATTGCTTCATTAATGTTTACATATTGGTTATCTTCCATACTCAAATTCAGTGGCTTGAAAATATTATTCATTTTGTTTATATAGAAATAGCCCAGAGATTCTTGAACTGGTCAATACTGGTAAGATTGGAAGACATTATCTAGAAGATTGTTTTCCAAATTCTACTGTGCATCAGATTTCTTTAAGCAGATTAAATAAACTCACAGATTCCCAGGGCCCCCAAAAACCTGAGTTAGAATCTATGGAAGGTGGGGCTTGAGAATTTGTATTTTAGATCTGCAGAAATAGCTGAGGGGATATGATTTAGCAATCAATGTCTAGACCAATGTTTGTGAATCGTTGATGCTTCCAATTCAGGGATCTTTCTTTTTTTTTAGAGACAGAGCCTTGCTCTTTTGTCCAGGTTGGAGTGCAGTGGTGCAATCTCATCTCACTGCAACCTCTGCCTCTCAGGTTGAAGCAATTCTCCAGCCTCAGCTTCCCGAGTAGCTGGGACTACAGGCACCCACCTCCAAGCCCAGCTAATTTTTTGTATTTTAGTAGAGATGGGGTTTCACCGTGTTGCCCAGGCTGGTCTTGAACTCCTGAGCTCAGGCAATCTACCTGCCTCAGCCTCCCAAAGTGCTAGGATTACAGGCGTGAGCCACCGCGGCCAGCCTTAGGGATCTTTCTTATAGCTTCTGCAGGGAGCTTTGGCCAGTGATAGAGAACTGATCACCATTAAAAACAGCTCAGATTGTTAAAAGATTCTTTTGAAACTGAGCCAGAATTTCTCTGAGTGCTCACAGTTTCCATCTTCCACTATATGATGACCACTGCCATGTCACTCCTATTCATTGATGGCCCCAAAGAAGGGTTTACCAGATGTTTTCTGCAATGTGTTTTATATCTCCCTCTGCCATATTGGGAGATAGAAGAGAACATTTTTAATAGAAAACAGTGTGGCTGATGAGGCTAATTAACCTTTGTTGATGATTTTCCCCAGGCTCAACCTCATCTAAAGACACTTGGGAAATTTCACATTGGTTCTGCCACTAAGCGTGACAGACTTTCCATTCATAATCAATGATCAATCAACAATTTTTTTTTTTTGAAACAGAGTTTCACTCTTGTTGCCCAGGCTGGAGTGCAATGGCATGATCTTGGCTCATCGCAACCTCTGCCTCCTGGGTTCAAGCAATTCTCCTGCCTCAGCCTCCCGAGTAGCTAGGTTTACAGGCATGCACCACCACGCCCAGCTAATTTTGTGTTTTTGGTAGAGACAGGGTTTCTCCATGTTGGTCAGGCTGGTCTTGAACTCCCGACCTCAGACCTGATCCACCCGCCTCAGCCTCCCAAAGTGCTGGGATTACAGGCGTGAGCCGCCACGCTCGGCCCTACAATTTCTTAATAATTTTCTATCCTTTTAACTTATGCTTTCCTAATGACTTACCACCTAAGCGGCCGAATAAGATAACACCTAAGAGGCGGAATAAGATAACACCTAAGAGGCGGAATAAGATAACACCAGCAAAAACAATCCTTCTCATTCTGATTTCCAAGCCGAAAAGGAGATGAAAGGAAAGACACGTCCCACTGATTTCTGGGGAAGCAATAAAGTTACACATTTATGTTAGCTATTTTAAAAACGGAAAGGACTGGTTAAGTTTTATTGATTTCATTAAGACAATATAAATAAGTTTATTTTGTGAAGGAGGAAAAATAAGGTACCTGTCTTTATAAAAAAGTCACCATATGGCTGGACGCAGTGGCTCACGCCTGTATTCCCAACGCTTTGGGAGGCCAAGGTGGGCAGATCGCCTGAGGTCAGGAGTTCAAGACCAGACTGCCCAACATGGTGAAACCCCGTCTCTACTAAAAATACAAAAATTAGCCAGGTGTGGTTGTGGGTGCCTGCAATCCCAGCTACTTGGGAGGCTGAGGCACAAGAATCGCTTGAACCCAGGATGCAAAGGTTGCAGTGAGCTGAGATCAGGCCACTGCACTCTAGCCTGGGGGACAGAGCGAGACTGTAAATAAATAAATAAATAAACCCATAAAACTTCTAGTTCCAGAACATTTTAAGTTATTTTATTACCAAATATCACCTTCTCTCTTCAGTTTTTCCTCAGAATTATAATGGTTTCATACAGAACTATGAAGTGAAATAGATGATATTTCTAGAATAATATCCTGTTAGAAATCCTTTTAACTATTGGCCAAAAGGAAAATACACATATTCATTCATGCTCCTTTATGAATTATTATTATTATTATTATTTTTGAGATGGAGTCTAACTCTGTTGCCAGACTGGAGTGCAATGGCGTGATCTCAGCTCACTGCAACTTCGGCCTCCCCGGTTCAAGCGATTTTCCTGCCTCAGCCTCCCGAGTAGCTGGGATTACAGGCGCATGCTGCAACACCCGGCTAATTTTTGTATTTTTAGTAAAGACGGGGTTTCACCATGTTGGCCAGGATGGTCTTGATCTCTGGACCTCATGATCCACCCACCTTGGTCTCCCAAAGTGCTGGGATTACAGGCGTGAGCCACCACGCCCGGCCTATGAATTATTAATAATACTTTCACTGCAAAAGACCTTATTTATGAGGGAAAAGCATTATGTGATAGTTAACGATAGTTAATACTTATTAAAATGAAGGGAAGAAATTGTAAGATTGGGTAAAGTATAATATTTCAGTTGTTCATGACCTACCTATCTTTTTCATTAAGGTACTATGGAAATTTTCCTGGGTCTGAACTTTCTTAAAAGGATGAGAACGAGTACAATTTGTGATGTGATGAAGTCCGTTACAACTGAAAGCGACACTCTGATCCACTAGATTCCAAACAGTTTAAACAGTAAAAACTGACCGAGTAAATGTGAATATTTTTTCACTTGAACACTCTGATCTGTTTGGAACTTAATTTCCTTACTCATGAAATTAATATAATAAGGCTAAGTTGGTCAGTAGTTAAACTAACTAAATTTGGCTGAAGATTGCTATGTTCACTATGCAAAGATTAGGTAATTCAGAAATAGATTGCCTTGTGGGCATACTATCTATTTATTATGTAAAGTACTTGGTCTTAATTTTTAAAAAAATTCCATATAGTCTTTAAAGCAGCACTTAGTGCATTCAGAAAGCAATTTGAATTTTAAAAAAGTTTATTTCCAAATTAATATATAGTACCAAATTAATATACATTATTTTTGAAAAAATGAAAGTATTAAGAATGTTAAAATCCCCTTTGACTATGTTCCCATCAAACCCAGTGAGTGTCTCCTCCAAATGTAACCACATTATCAATATGTTGGGTATCTTTTTTTTTTTTAATCATTTCCTAAAGTTTATTCAAGGGTACTTTTTCTTCTGTGCATTTTCATCATAACACTTATAACATAGGATTGTGTATAATAATACTTTCTCTTTTACTTTTACAAAATAATATAATACTCTACATATTATTTTCCCCCTTATATTTCATTCAAAAATATGTTAAAAATCTTCTTATGTCAGTCTTCTTATGAAAGTTTGAAAAAACTTTCATTATTTTTCATTGCTATATAATATTTTCTGGTATGGATACATCATATTTATCCATTTCCTGGTTGATGAGCACATACCTTCTTTTTTTTAAAATAACAAACAATGCTGTAATGTGTGTATATGGACTTGGGCACATATGCAAATTGTTTCTCTAAGACAGATCCCGAAAATTGGGATTGCTTTTCCCAAGGCCTATCAAATTGCCCCTGAAAGTAGCTATAGAAATTTTGCCATCCACTGGCCAGGCACGGTGGCTCACGCCTGTAATCCCAGCACTTTGGGAGGCTGAGGCAGGCAGATCACGAGCTCAAGAGTTCGAGACCAGCCTGGCCAGCATGGTGAAACCCCCTTTCTACTAAAAATACAAAAAAATTAGCCAGGCGTGGTGGCAGGCGCCTGTAATTCCCGCTACTCAGGAGGCTGAGGCAGGAGAATCGCTTGAAACCGGAAGGCAGAGGTTGCAGTGAGCCGAGATTGCGCCACTGCCCTCCAGCCCGGACAACAAGAGCGAAACCCCGTCTCAAAAAAAAAAAAAAAAAAAAAATAGAAATGTTTCTACCCACCAACAGAGGATGAATACTTTCCCCCATATCCTCATTAATATTGAATCAAAGATTTGCAAAATAATATTTATTAATAGCTAAAAGTCTAGATTAACATGATCTTTTGCCTAGCAAGTTGCAGAGATGAAGAAATAGATGTATTATTATTGACAAAGGGTGTTCTCAAGTATGCACTTTTAGTCAAATGGTGGGGAAATGTAAATGAGTGTGTGTGTGTGTGTGTGTGTATTAATACATATGTTAGTACCTATACTCAAATATACATACATACATAATTTGTATCACCCCATAGCTATAACTTTGTAGCCTGTTCTTTTTAAAACTTAACTTCATATTTTGAGTACTTATTTTGTCATTAAATATTTCTTTCTTTTCTTTTTTGAGACGAGTTTTGCTCTTGTTGCCCAGGCTGGAGTGCAATGGTGCGATCTCGGCTCACCGCAATCTCTGCCTCCCAGGTTAAAGCGATTCTACTGCCACCGCGCCCGGCCAAGAATACATTTTTAAAGCTCCTGTAATATTCAACCATATAGAGTTACTATAATTTATTTAATAATCCCCTCGTGTTTGGGGATCTTTCATTATAATTTTATTTGTGTTTAAAATTTTCTTTAGGGTAAGTTCATAGAAACGAAATTATCAGAACAAAAACATAAACCTTTTATATAAGTTGGCCGGGCGCAGTGGCTCACGCCTGTAATCCCAGCACTTTGGGAGGCTGAGGCGGGCGGGTCACCTGAGGTTGGAGTTCAAGACCAGCCTGACCAACATGGAGAAACCCCATCTCTACTAAAAATAAAAAATTAGCTGGGCGTGGTGGTGCATGCCTGTAATCCCAGCTACTCAGGAAGCTGAGGCAGGAGAATTGCTTGAACCCAGGAGGTGGGGGTTGCGATGAGCTAAGATCACGCCATTGCACTCCAGCCTGGGCAATGAGAGTGAAACTCCGTCTCAAAACAAAACAAAACAAAACCCTTTTATATAAGCCTTTTGATACACATTGGAAAATAGTTTTCTAGAAAGATAATACCAATTTAGAGCTACAGTGTGGCATGTTCATCTTCAAATTCATGACTAGACCATAATAACCCCTCAGTTAATGCTACTTTTGCTTCCATTCCTTCTTGAGATTTTCCTCTTGTTTAAATGTCTTCATTACAAGTTTTTCTTTGGCTCTAATGTGCCACTATTAAAAATTTATTTTCTTGAATGAAAGTGACATTATCTGATTAGTCGATCAACAAACATAATGTTCATACAAATATAAATTCGTAGGTATAATGATGATATTTTTCATGATATATATTATCTGTTTTTCCTTTCCTTCAGTGAAGATTGTTTTTCTGACACCTCCTAATTGATACCTGTAGGAAATAGGTTTTGGTAAAAACAAAGAAATCAATATGGAATATGGAGCCCTGAAAGTGGCCACTGGTATCTTGGAGTTATAGGTGGGCATTTCATCTGAGATGCTCTAGCAAAGCTACCTGGATACAAAACAGTAATACTCAAGTCAATAGGAGTATTTACTGTATGATTCCATTGAATGTATGAAGTTCAAGATAGGTGACACTTATGTGTAGTGATTAAAGATGGAGTAGTGGTTATCTCTGAGCAGGAGGACTGACATGAGAAGGGGCATAACAAAGCCTTCTAGGCTGATGAAAATGTCTTATATTTGATGGGGGAGGTGAGCACATGTGTTTTTGCAAATATAAAGTGTTACTGAGCTGCACATCTTAGATTTGGACATTTTACAGAATAATACCTTCAGGGGTATATTTGTTTTCATTTCCCTCCTCATTAGTGATAAATCAGTGGAAAAATATTGCAAGCACCTCTGTATGAGTTAGGAATTTACTGATTGGTGTTAAGCACAGGAGTGACATTATTTATTCAAAAAATATTTATTCTCTGTCTGCTATGTTCCAGACAGGCTGATTTCTTTTCTTTTCTTTTTTTCTTCTTTCTTTCTTCCTTTTTTTGTTTTGAGATGGAGTTTCGCTCTTGTTGCCCAGGCTGGAGTGCAGTGGCGCGATCTCAGCTCACTGCAACCTCTGCCTCATGGGTTCAGGCGATTCTCCTGCCTCAGCCTGCCAAGTAGCTGGGATTACAGGCATGCGCTACCATGCCTGGCTAATTTTGTATTTTTAGTAGAGACAGGGTTTCACTAGGCTGATCTCGAACTCCTGACCTCAAGTGATCTACCCACCTCGGCCTCCTAAAGTGCTGGGATTACAGGCATGAACTGCCGCGCCCAGCCGATTTCATTTTTTTTTTAAAGAAAATAATTCTGCCAGAAGAGTGAATTTTAGTTTGGCAAAGATGAAAAAGGATGCAGGGAAAAAGGTAGGTGATGCATGAAGGGATGGCAAGGAGGAAACAGGTGAGAGGAATACTGAGGGCTCAGTGTTCAGCATCTTAACTCTATTGGTCTGTGTTTGAGGGAAAAGCTTAGTCTTAATCTTCTCTACCTCTAGTACTCCACTTAACACCCTTTAAAGGAATGATCTCTTTATATTCTCTCTCACCAGACCGTTAGTTCCCTGAGTGAAGAGATGCTATCTTGGTATCTCCAGCTTCCAACCGGGGGCTTGGCACAGAATAGGGGCTTGGTAAATGTTTTCCAAATGAATGGGATGTCTGATGGAAAGAAGACAAGGTGAAGGAATTCCTGGGTAATATGGAGATGAGAATCTGTGAGAAGGGTAAGTGACATTGGGTGACAAAGATGAATGTGAGGTTGGATGAACTGCCCTTGGGCTGGTGCGGGCTTTGGTTCCAAGTGGTGTTTAAGACCTGAAGGGATGAGCTGGCATCAGTTTTTTCTAAAGATTGCTGAATGGTTTTGCTGCCTGTTAAGACGCTTCTCTTTTGGCGGTAGGAAGAAAGAATTAGCTGGTGTCTGGGATGTAACCTTCCCAGTGAAATCCTAGAATCCAAGTCAGCAAGGAGTTCAGAGTCGAATTTAAAGTTGGACAGGCTGGGGCAACTTGGGAGAGTCTCTCCGGGCAAATCAGAACCCAGTTGTCTGCCTTCCTGGGTAGTCACCTTTGTGTTAACACAAGGAACCCTGGTGATCTTAACTTACTCCATCATCCTGGGCTTCAGTGTACTCATTTCTATAATGAAGGTACTGGAATATAGTATTCTGTCGTTCCACTAACTCACAAAGAAGGCAGCTCTTTCTGTTTTATTCCACCAGTTTTTAGTGAGCAGAATGAGATATTCTAAAATCACAGTGTAGATAAGAACTCCTTCGTAGCAAGAAATGTCATTTTCAGTCTACGAACTTTAATTTCTCATTCACAAGTCAAAGTGTATTCGCAGATACATGTACTGATGCCTGTCGCGGTGGACACACAGACGCACACATTGCGGAACACCACCAGTGAGTCACATTTTGGATGCTTGCCCTTGTATTCTGGTAGATACTGTGATGGTAAAAAACATGAAGAACATAATTTGAATTTTATGCTGGTGAGGGTCAAAGCAGACTTCAAAAGCACTGTAATATTTATTGCAAGAGGAGCAACTTACCTGTGGAGTCACTGTCATCCTAGTCTCTGTTGACTGATAATGAATTATATTGCTTTAAAGCTGGAAAACATTGCCAGCAACTGGCTTGCATCTAGACCTGGCAAATTCTTTTCTTTTAAAGTTTTGGTGTAAAAATCTACCATGTCTTATGACTTTAATTTGTCTAGCTTAGATAGAAGTCCCCAATTTATCATTTCTCATTCCTAATCCTTCGAGATGTTTTGAATAAAAAAATGTTGCACTGACAGGTAAGTTTGGAAACAAGCTATATATGTTATTCTGTAATGAAAAACTTAAATGTGCTTTGGAATATTAAAAAGTCCTAAGAATTACTGACATAAAGAAACTTTGTTTAAACCTGGTCTTTCCTGAATTTACTTGACCAGCTGGCTATTTTTTTCCCTTTAACCCCCCACCCCCCACCTTTTTTTTTTTTTTTTTTTTGAGATGGAGTCTTGCTCTGTGGCCCAGGCTGGAGTGCAGTGACACACTCTGGGCTCACTGCAACCTCTGCCTCCCACGTTCAAGCGATTCTTGTGCCTCAGCCTCCTGAATAGCTGGGATTACAGGAGTGCACAACCACCCCCGGCTAATTTTTGTATATTTAGTAGAGACAGGGTTTTGCCATGTTGGCCAAGCTGCTCTTGAACTCCTGACCTCAAGTGATCCGCCCGTCTCAGTCTCCCAAAGTGCTGGGAGTACACGTGTGAGCCACTGCACCCAGCCTCCTTTAATGCTTTTTAATATCCTTAAAAACAAGTCCTGGTCCAAATGGTGTCCCACTAATAACTATAGTCACTATAATGATGATGATAGCTTGCAATTGTCTCTCACTTTACACTTTAAAAGCATGTTTGGCTTCATAATTACCTTTACAAAGCCTTCTGATATTAGAGATAGAAACTGTTTTTATTCCCATTTGAGGAATTCAGGCTTAGAGAGATTACAAGATTTCCTTGATATGACACAATGAGTCAATTGTAGATCTGGGGAAAAAGAAACAACCAAATGTCCTCATTTTTCACGATGTTGTTAGAAATAAGGTGTATCGGCCAGGCGAGGTGGTCACGCCTGTAATCCCAGCACTTTGGGAGGCCGAGGCGGGCGGATCACGAGGTCAGGAGATTGAGACCATCCTGGCTAACACGGTGAAACCCCGTCTCTACTAAAAATACAAAAAATTAGCCGGGCGTGGAGGCGGGTGCCTGTAGTCCCAGCTACTCGGGAGGCTGAAGCAGGAGAATGGCGTGAACCCGGGAGGCAGAGCTTGCAGTGAGCTGAGATGGCGCCACTGCACTCCAGCCTGGGTGACAGAGCGAGACTCTGTCTCAAAAAAAAAAAAAAAAAAGTAAGAAAAAAAAGGAAAAAAGAAATAAGGTGTATCTCTTCTAAACCATCAAGGGAAAAATTGAGGAGTGTGAAAAAATATCTAGTCAGTTTAAAATGTATAGAAAGGAGGAAAAAATGAATAGATCAACAAGGCAAAATTTGGTTCTTAGAAATAGTAATAAAATCAACAAACTCTTAGTACAATTATTAAGAAAAAGCATATGAAGAAAAAACCTCAAAACAACGATTCAAACGACTATTGATTTCTTACCAGAAAACCATAAAAGGTAAGAAGACAGTGAAGCAACGTAATTAAAGGACACAGAGAAACGAACGGCCAAGCCCGAATTCTACATCCAGCAAAGGAAAAGATTTTTTATAAATGCAGGCAACATAGTTGCATTCTCAGGTGAAGGAAAAGTAACAGTTTGTCACCATCAGACCTACTCTAAATTTAGAGTCTAAAAAACATGCTGTAGTTCTAAGTTCTTCAAACAGCAGGGAAATGACACCTGAGAGCCTGGGAATTTCAAGAAGAACAACAAAATAGACTACTTTTTTCTTAAGTTCTTTAAAATACATGTGATAGGCTGGGCGTGGTGGCTCACGCCTGTAATCCCAACACTTTGGGAGGCCGAGGTGGGTGGATCACGAGGTCAGGAGATGGAGACCATCCTGGCTAACACGGTGAAACCCCATCTCTACTAAAAATACAAAAATTAGCTGGGCATGGTGGCTGGCGCCTGTAGTCCCAGCTACTCGCCAGGCTGAGGGAGGAGAATGGCGTGAAACTCAGGAGGCGGAGCTTGCAGTGAGCCAAGATGGCGCCACTGCACTCCAGCCTGGGCGACAGAGCCAGACTCTGTCTCAAAATAAATAAATAAATAAATAATATAAAATACATGTGATAGTTGAAAGCAAAAATTATAACATTGCTTGGTGGGGTATTCGATGCAGTATAAACAACTATAACATAGGGGAGGAAAAAGGGGCCATTGTGGTTGAAAGGCCTTTATATTTTATTTGAGGTGGCAAAATACCAGCTCTAAGTAGACTGTGAAAGGTATGTATATTGTAACCCCCACAGCAGCTACGTAAAAAATAACACCAAGAGATACAGCCTCTTAGTAATCAGTAGAACAAGTAGGCAGAAAATTGGCAAGGATAGAGAAGACTTGGAATTCTTTTAAGTGTTCATGGAGTATTCACTAAGACAGACCATATAATGGTTCATATAACAAACCTTAAAGTTTTTAAAGAATAGAAATCATTTAAAGGAGTTTCTCTGACCATAATGAAAGCAAATAGACTTTCCTATCTATTTCATGTGGGTGACAGATTTTTGGCAAAAGTCAAGAAGAGGCATGTGTTCAACAAATAATGCTGAAACAATCACCTGTTCATGCCTTTTCCCTAAAAAATACACCTCAACTCTTATCTTACACTTTATACAAAAATTAATTAAAAATGCATCATAGAGTTAAATATAAAACATAAAACTATAAATTTTCCAGAATAAAACATAGGATAATTTAATTTTTTTTTGAGACAGAGACTTGCTTTGTCACACAAGCTGGTGCAATGGTGCAGTCACGGCTCACTGAAGCCTTGGCCTCCCGGCTCAAGCGATCCTCCCACCTGAGCCTCCTGAGTAGCTGGGACCACAGGTGCATACCATTGTGCCCAGCTCATTTTTAATTTTTTTTTTTTTTTATAGAGACAAGATCTCACATGTTGCCCAGGCTGGTCTCAAACCCCTGGGCTCAAGTGATCCTCCCACCTCAGCCTCTCAAAGTTCTGGGATTATAGGAATGAGCTTATAGGAGAATTTTTGTGAAAGCAGAGTTCTTAGACACCAAAAGCATGATTCATAAAAGTAAAAAAAAAAAAAAACAAAAAACAAACTAATAAATTGAACTTCATCCAAACTAAAAATATTTGTTCTCCAAAAGACATGAATGAAAGGACAAGCTATAGACTAGAAAAAAATATTTGTGGCTGGGCGTGATGGCTCACACCTGTAATCCCAGCACTTTGGGAGGCCGAGGTGGGTGGATCACAAAGTCAGGAGATCGAGACCATCCTGGCTAACACAGTGAAACCCCATCTCTACTAAAAATACAAAAAATTAGCTGGGCGTGGTGGTGGGCACCTGTAGTCCCAGCTACTTGGGAGGCTGAGGCAGGAGAATGGCGTGAACCCGGGAAGTGGAGCTTGCAGTGAGCTGAGATCACGCCACTGCACTCCAGCTTGGGAGACAAAGCGAGACACCGCCTAAAAGAAAAGAAAAAAAGTATTTGTAAATCATGTGTCTGATAAAGGCCTTATATTCAGAAAACATAAAAAAATTCCAATAATATGAAAACAACTCAATTAAAGAAAAATAAGCAAAGGGTCTAAACAGACATTTCCCCAAAGAGGATACATGGATGTCAGATAAGCATATAACAAAATGCTCAATATCATTAGTCATTAGCAAAATGCAAATTGAAATTATAATTAGATACCAATATATACCTATATTGAACGGCTTAAATAACTTAAAAAGAAACTTGACAATACCAGGTAATGGTGAGGATGCAAAACACTTGGAAATCTCATTTATTGCTGGTGAGAATGCAACATGGCACAGCCTCTTTGGAAAAGAATTTGGGAGATACCCAATAAAGATAGACATATACTTACCATGTAACTTAGGAATCTCATGCCTATGTATCTACTCTGGAGAAATGAAAGTGTACATTCACTCAAAAACCTGTATGTGAATGTTTACAGCAACTTTATTCATAATTGCCTCACACTGGAAATAGTCCAGATGCCCTTCAATTGATGAATGGATAAACAAATTGTGCTTTGTCCATACAATAGAATACTACTCAACAATGAAAAGTAATGAACTACTGATGCACAAACAACATAAATGGATCTCAATTTCATTATACTGAATGACAGAAGCCATACCAAAAAGGCTACATATTCTTGGATACCATTTACCTGACACTCTTGAAAAGGCAAAAACTTTTTCCTGGAGAGTGGTTGACAGGGGTTAAGGGTGAGAGGAAGGATTGACTATGAAAAGACAGCATGGCTGGGCATGGTGGCTCACGCCTGTAATCCCAGCACTTTGGGAGGCCAAGGTGGGCGGATCATGAGGTCAAGAGATCGAGACCATCCTGGCCAACATGGTGAAACCCTGTCTCTACGAAAAATACAAAAATTAGCTGGGCATGGTGGCACGTGCCTGTATTCCCAGCTACTCGGGAGGCTAAGGCAAGAGAATTGCTTGAACCCAGGAGGCGGAGGTTGCAGTGAGCCGAGATCATGGCACTGCACTCCAGCCTGATGACAGAGTGAGACTGTCTCAAAAAAAAAAAAAAGAAAGAAAGAAAAAAGAAAACCCTAAAGACTCATCCAAAAAGCTCCTAGATCTAATAAATGAATTAAGTTTCAGGATACAAAATCAATGTACACAAATCAGTAGCACTGCTATACACCAAGAATGACCAAGCTGAGAATCAAATCAAGAACTCAATCCCCTTTACAACAGCTGCAAAAAAAAAAAAAAAAAAAAAAGTTAGGAATAGACCTAACCAAGGAGGTGAGAGATTTCTGCAAAGAAAACTGCAAAACACTGCTGAAAGAAATCGTAGATGACACAAACAAATGGAAACACATCCCATGCTCATATATGGTTAGAATCAATATTGTAAAAATGAACATACTGCCAAAAGCAATCTAGAGATTCAATGCAATTTCTATCAAAGTACCATCATCATTCTTCATGGAAGTAAAAAAAAAATCCTAAAATTCACATGGAACCAAAAAAGTGCTCACATAGCCAAAGCAACACTAACATAAAAGAACAAATCTGGAGGCAGCACATTACCCAACTTCAAATTATACTACAAGCCTATAGTTATCAAAACAGTATGGTACTGGTATACAAATGGGCAGGTAGACCAATGGAACAGAATAGAGAACCCAGAAATAAAGTCAAATACTTACAGCCAACTGGTCTTCAACAAAACACACTAAAACATAAAATGGGGAAAGGACACCCTATTCAATAAATGGTGCTGGGATAATTGGCAAGCCAAATGTAGAAGAATGAAAGGGGACCCTCGTCTCTCACCTTATACAAAAATCAACTCAAGGCTGGGCATGGTGGCTCATGCCTGTAATCTCAGCACTTTGGGAGGCCAAGGCGGGTGGATCAGAAGGTCAGGAGATTGAGACCATCCTGGCTAACACGGTGAAACCCCGTCTTTACTAAAAATACAAAAAATTAGCTGGACGTGGTGGCGGGCGCTTGTAGTCCCAGCTACTCAGGAGGCTGAGGCAGGAGAATGGCGTGAACCCAGGAGGCGGAGCTTTCAGTGAGCCGAGATCACACCACCGCACTCCAGCCTGGGTGACAGAGCGAGACTCTGTCTCAAAAAAAACAACTCAAAATGATCTGAGACTTAAATCTAAGACCTGAAACCATAAACATTCTAGAAGATAACATTGGAAAAACTCTTCTAGACATTGGCTTAGGCAAAGAATTTATGACCAAGAACCCAAAAGCAAGTGCAACAAAAACAAAGATAAATAGATGGGACCTAATTAAACTAAAAAGCTTCTGCTCAGCAAAATAATAATGATAATAATCAGCAGAGTAAACAGACAACTCACAGAGTGGGAGAAAATCTTTGCAAGTTATGCATCTGCCAAAGGACTAATATCCAGAATCTATAAGAAACTGAAACAAGTCAGCAAGAAAAGAGCAATCCCATCAAAAAGAGGGCAAAGGACATGAATAGACAATATCTCAGAAGATTAAAAACAGCCAACACATGTGAAAAAACCCTCAACATCACTAATTATCAGAGAAATGCAAATTAAAACCACAGTGAGATACCACCTCACTCCTGCAAGAATGGCCATAATTAAAAAATCAAAAAATAATAAATATTGGCATGAATGTGGTGAAAAGGGAACACTTTTACACTGCTGGTGGGAATGTAAACTCGTACAACCACTATGGAAAACAGTGTGGAGATTCCTAAAGAACTAAAAGTAGAACTACCATTTGATCCAGCAATCCCACAACTGGGTATCTACCCAAAGGAAAAGAAGTCATTATATGAAAAAGACACTTGCACATACATGTTTATAGCTGAACGATTCACAATTGCAAAAATATGAAACCAGCCTAAATGCCCATCAACCAACAAGTTGATAAAGAAAATGTGTTATATATACACCGTAGAATACTACTCAGCCATAAAATGAAACAAAATAATGATCTTTGCAGTAGCTTGGATGGAGTTGGAGGCCATTATTCTAAGTGAAGTTAGCTCAGGAATGGAAAACCAAATATTGTATGCTTTCACTTATAAGTAAGAACTAAGCTATGAGGATGAAAAGGCATAAAAATTACATAATAGGAGGGGGGCTGGCTAGATGGCTGAATAGGAACAACTCTGGTCTGCAGCTCCCAGCAAGACCAATGCAGAAGGCAGGTGATTTGTGCATTTCCAACTGAGGTACTTGGTTCATCTCACTGGGACTGGTTACACAGTAAATGCAGCCCATGGAGGGCGAGCAGAAGCAGGGTGGGGCATTGCCTCACCCGGGAAGTGCAAGGGGTCAGGGAACTCTCTCCCCTAGCCAAGGGAAGCCGTGAGGGACTGTGCCATGAGGAATGGTGCACTCCAGCCCAGATGCTATGCTTTTCCCGTGGTCTTCACAACCCATAGACCAGGAGATTCCCTCGGGTGCCTACACACCCAGGGCGCTGAGTTTCAAGCACAAAAGTGGACGGCTGTTTGGACAGACACTGAGCTAGCTGCAGGAGTTGTTTCTCCTACCCCAGTGGCATCCAGAACACCAGTGAGACAGAACCATTCACTTACCTGAAAAGGGGGGCCGAAGCCAGGGAGCCAAGTATTCTAGCTCAGTGAATCCCACCCCCATGGAGCCCAACAGGTTAAGATCCACTGGGTTGAAATTCTTGCTGCCAGCACAGCAGTCTGAAGTCGACCTGGGACACTCGAGCTTAGTGTGGGGAGGGACATCCACCATTACTGAGGCTTGAGTAGGCAGTTTTTCCCTCACAGTGTAAACAAAGCTGCCAGGAAGTTCGAACTGGGTGAGGAACCCACTGCAGCACAGCCAAGTGGCTATAGCCAGACTGACTCTCTAGATTCTTCCTCTCTGGGCAGGGCATCTCTGAAAGAAAGGCAGCAGCCCCAGTCAGGGGCTTATAGATAAAACCCCCATCTCCTTGGGACAGAGCACCTGGGGAAAGGGGCGGCTGTGGGCACAGCTTCAGCAGACTTAAATGTTCCTGCCTACCAGCTCTGAAGAGAGCAGTGGATCTCCCAGCACAGCGCTTGAGCTCTGCTAAGGGACAGACTGCCTCCTCTAGTGGGTCCCCGACCCCAGTGCCTTTTGACAGGGAGATACCTCCCAGCAGGGGTCAACAGACACTTACAGGAGAGCTCCAGCTGGCATCTGGCAGGTGCCTCTCTGGGATGAAGCCTCCGAAGGAAGGAGCAGGCAGAGCAATCTTTGCTGTTCTGCAGCCTCCACTGGTGATACCCAGACAAATAGGTTCTGGAGTGAACCTCCAGCAAACTCCAGCAGACCTGCAGAAGAGGGGCCTGACTGTTAGAAGGAAAACTATCAAACAGAAAGCAATAGCATCAACATCAACAAAAAGGACTCCCACGCAAAAACCCCATTGGAAAGTTACCAACATCAAAGACCAAAGGTAGATAAATCCATGAAGATGAAGAAAAACCAGCACAAAATGGCTGAAAATTCCCAAAACCAGAATGCCTCTTCTCCTCCAAAGGATCACAACTCCTCGCCAGCAAGGGAACAAAACTGGACAGAAAATGAATTTGAGAAATTGACAGAAGTAGGCCTCAGAAGGTGGGTAATAACAAACTCCTCAGAGCTAAAGGAGCATGTTCTCACCCAATGCAAGGAAGTTAACGAGCTTGATAAAAGGTTACAGGAACTGCTAACTAGAATAGCCAGTTTAGAGAAAAACATAAATGACCTGATGGAGCAGAAAAACAGAGCACGAGAACTTTATAAAGCATACACCAGTATCAATAGCCAAATCAATCGTGGAAGAATCAAAAGTGGAAGAAAGGATAACAGAGATTGAAGATCAACTTAATGATATAAAACATGAAGACAAGATTAGAGAAAAAAGAATGAAAAGGAAAGAACAGAGACTCCAAGAAATATGAGACTATGTGAAAAGACCAAATCTATGTTTGATTGGTGTACCTGAAAGTGATGGGGAGAATGGAACTAAGTTGGAAAACACTCTTCAGGATATCATCCAGGAGAACTTCCCCAACCTAGCAAGACAGGCCAACATTCAAATTCTGGAAATACAGAGAATACCACAAAGATACTCCTCGAAAAGAGCAGCCCCAAGAGACATAATTGTCAGATTCACCAAGGTTGAAATGATGGAAAAAATGTTAAGGGCAGCCAGAGAGAAAGGTCAGGTTACCCACAAAGGGAAGCCCATCAGGCTAACAGTGGATCTCTCTGCAGAAACCCTACAAGCCAGAAGAGAGTGGGGGCCAATATTCAACATTCTTAAAGAAAATAATGTTCAACCCAGCATTTCATATCCAGCCAAACTAAGCTTCATAAGCAAAGGAGAAATAAAATCCTTTACAGACAAGCAAATGCTGAGGGATTTTGTCACCACCAGACCTGCCTTACAAGAGCTCCTGAAGGAAGCACTAAATATGGAAAGGAAAAACCAGTACCAGCCACTGCAAAAACATACCAAAATGTAAAGATCATTGACACTATGAAGAAATTGCATCAATTAATGGGCAAAATACTCAGCTAGCATCATATGACAGGATCAAATTCACACATAACCATATTGACCTTAAATGTAAATGAGCTAAATGCGCCAACTAAAAGACACAGACTGCAAATTGTATAAACAGTCAAGACCCATCGGTGTGCTGTATTCAGGAGACCATCTCATGTGCAAAGACACACATAGGCTCAAAATAAAGGGATGGAGGAATATTTACCAAGCAATTGGAAAGCAAACAAAGGCAGGGGTTGCAATCCTAGTCTCTGATAAAACAGACTTTAAACCAACAAAGATAAAAAAAGACAAAGAAGGACATTACATAATGGTAAAGGGATCAATGCAACAAAAAGAGCTAACTATCCTAAATACATATCCACCCAATACAGGAGCACCCAGATTCATAACACAAGTTCTTAGACTCCTAAAAAGAGACTTAGACTCCCACACAATAACAATGGGAGACTTTAACACCCCACTGTCAATATTAGACAGAGCAATGAGACAGAAAATTAACAAGGATATTCAGGGATTGAACTCAGCTCTGGACCAAGTGAACCTACTAGACATATACAGAACTCTCCATCCCAAATTAACAGAATGTACATTCTTCTCAGCACCACATAGCACTTATTCTAAAATTGACCACATAATTGGAAGTAAAACACTCCTCAGCAAATGCAAAAGAACAGAAGTCATAACAAACAGTCTCTCAGACCACAGTACAATCAAATTAGAACTCAGGATTAAGAAACTCACTCAAAACTGCACAACTACGTGGAAACTGAACAACCTGCTCCTGAATGACTACTGGGAAAATAATGAAATTAAGGCAGAAATAAGTAAGTTCTTTGAAACCGATGAGAACAAAGACACAACATGCCAGATTCTCTGGGACACCATTAAGCAGTGTTTAGAGGGAAATTGTTAGCACTAAATGCCCACAGGAGAAAGTGGAAAGATCTAAAGTCAACACCCTAACATCACAATGAAAAGAACTAGAGAAGCAAAAGCAAACAAATTCAAAAGCTAGCAGAAGACAAGAAATAACTAAGATCAGAGCAGAACTGAAGGAGATAGAGACACAAAAAACCCTTTAAAAAATCAATGAATCCAGGAGCTGTTTTTTGAAAAGGTTAACAAAATAGATAGACCACTAGCCAGACTAATAAAGAAGTAAGGAGAGAAGAATCAAATAGAGACAATAAAAAATGATAAAGGGGATATCACCACTGATCCCACAGAAATACAAACTACCATCAGAGAATACTATAAACATCTCTACGCAAACAAACTAGAAAATCTAGACGAAGTGGATAAATTCCTGGACACATACACCCTCCCAAGACTATACCAGGAAGAAGTCAAATCCCTGAATAGACCAATAACATGTTCTGAAATTGAGGCAGTAATTAGTAGCCTACCAACCAAAAAAAGTCCAGGACCAGATGGATTCACAGCTAAATTCTACCACAGGTACAAAGAAGAGCTGGTACCATTCCTTCTGAAACTATTCCAAACAATAGAAAAAGAGGGACTCCTCCATAACTCATTTTATGAGGCCAGCAGCATCCGGATACCAAAACCTGGCAGAGAAACAACATAAAAAGAAAATTTCAGACCAATATCCCTGATGAACATCGATGCGAAAATCCTCAATAAAATACTGGCAAACCGAATCCAGCAGCACATCAAAAATTTTATCCACCATGATCAAGTCAGCTTCATCTCTGGGATGCAAGGCTGGTTCAACATATGTAAATCAATAAACATAATCCATCACATAAACAGAACCAATGACAAAAACCACATGATTGTCTCAATAGATGCAGAAAAGGCCTTTGATAAAATTCAATACCCCTTTATGCTAAAAACACTCAATAAACTAAGTATTGATTAAACATATCTCAAAATAATAAGACCTATTTATGACAAACCCACAGCCAATATCATACTGAATGGGCAAAAGCTGGAAGCATTCTCTTTGAAAACTGGCACAAGACAAGTATGCCCTCTCTCACCATTCCTATTCAACAAGTTCTATGGGCAATCAGGCAACAGAAAGAAATAAATGGTATTCAAATAGGAAGAGAGGAAGTCAAATTGTCTCTGCAGACAACATTATTGTATATTTAGAAAACTCCATCATCAGCCAGGCATGGGGGCTCATACCTGTAATCCCAGCACTTTGGGAGGCTGAGGCAGGCAGATCACGAGGTCAGGAGATCAAGACTAGCCTGGCCAATATGGTGAAACCCTGTCTCTACTAAAAATACAAAAATTAGCCAGGTGTGGTGATGTGTGCCTGTAGTCCCAGCTACTCAGGAGGCTGAGGCAGAAGAATTGCTTGAACCCGGGATGCGGCGGCTGCAGTGAGCAGAGATCACACCACTGCACTCCAGCCTGGGCAACAAAGTGAGACTCAATCACAAAACAAACAAACAAACAAACAAAAAAAATCATTGACTCAGCTCCAAAACTCCTTAAGCTGATAAGCAACTTCAGCAAAGTGTCAGGATACAAAATCACTGTGCAATAATCACAAGCATCCTATACATCAATAGCAGACACACAGAGAGCCAAATCATGAGTGAACTCCCAATCACAATTACTACAAAGAGAATAAAATACCTATGAATACAACTTACAAGGGATGTGAAGGACTGCTTCAAGGGGAACTGCAAACCACTGCTCAAGGAAATAAGAGAGGACACAAATGAATGAAAAACATTCCATGCTCATGGATAGGAAGAATCAATATCTTGAAAGTGGCCATACTACCCAAATTAATTTATAGATTTCATGCTATTCCCATCAAACTACCATTGACTTTCTTCACAGAATTAGAAAAAACTACTTTAAATTTCATATGGAACCAAAAAAGAGCCCATATAGACAAGACAATCCTAAGCAAAAGAACAAAGCTAGAGGCATCACAATACGTGACTTCAAACTACACTACCAGGCTACAGTAAACAAAACAGCATGGTACTGCTACCAAAACAGATATATTGACAAATGGAACAGAACAGAGGCCTCAGAAATAACACCAAACATCTACAACCATCTGATCTTTGACAAACCTGACAAAAACAAGCAATGGGGAAAAGATTCCCTATTTAATAAATGGTGTTGGGAAAACTGGCTAGCCATATGCAGAAAACTAAAACTGGACCCCTTCCTTACACCTTATACAAATATTAACTCAAGATGGATTAAAGACTTAAATGTAAGACCTAAAACCATAAAAACCCTAGAAGAAAATCTAGGCAATACCATTCAGGACACAGGCATGGGCAAGGACTTCCTGACTAAAACACCAAAAGCAATGGCAACAAAAGCCAAAATTGACAAATGGGATCTAGTTAAACTAAAGAGCTTCTGCACAGCAAAAGAAACTGTCATCAGAGTGAATAGGCAAGCTACAGAACGGGAGAAAATGTTTGCAATCTATCCATCTGGAAAAAGGCTAATATCCAGAATCTACAAGGAACTTAAACAAATTTACAAGGAAAAAACAAACAGCTCCATCAAAGAGTGGACGAAGGATATGAACAGACACTTCTCAAAAGAAGATATTTATGCAGCCAACAAACATGAAAAAAAGCTCATCTTCACTGGTCATCAGAGAAATGCAAATCAAAACCACAATGAGATACCATCTCACACCAGTTAGAATGGTGATCATTAAAAAGTCAGGAAACAACAGAGGCTGGAGAGGATGTGGAGAAATAGGAATGCTTTTACATTGTTGGTGGGAGTATAAATTAGTTCAATCATTGTGGAAGACAGTGTGGTGATTCCTCAAGGATCTAGAACCAGAAATACCATTTGACCCAGCAATCCCATTACTGGTTATATAACCAAAGGATTATAAATCATTCTGTTATAAAGACACATGCACACTTATGTTTATTGCAGCACTATTCACAATAGCAAAGACTTGGAACCAACCCAAATGCCCATCAATGATAGACTGGATAAAGAAAATGTGGCACATATACACCATGGAATACTATGCAGCCATAAAAAAGGATGAGTTCATGTCCTTTGCAGGGACATGGATGAAGCTGGAAGCCATCATTCTCAGCAAACTAACACAGGAACAGAAAACCAAACACCACATGTTCTCACTCATAAGTGGGAATTGAACAATGAAAACATATGGACACAGGGAGGGGAAAAACACACACCAGGGCCTGTCAAGGGGTGGGGGACAAGGGGAGGGATAGCATTAGGAGAAATACCTAATGTGGATGACGGGTTGATGGGTGCAGCAAACCACCATGGCACATATATATCTATGTAACAAACCTGCACATTCTGCACATGTATCACAGAACTTAAAGTATAATTTAAAAAAAATTATTTAATTTAAAATAATTTAAAATTTAAATTTAAATAATTTTAAATAGTTAAAAAAAAAGACTTTGGGGACTCAGTGGGAAGGGTGGGAGGGAGGTGAGGCATAAAAGACTGCACATTGTGTACAGTGTACCCTGCTCAGGTGACGGGTGGATCAACATCTCAGAAATCACCACTAAAAAACTTATCCATGTAACCAAAAACCACCTGTTCCTCAAAAACTATTGAAATTAAATTAAAAAAAAAGAACTGATTACAAGGAAGACATCTAACCATAGACTGTACTTGATCCGAGGTTTGAAACACAAAAAGAATATAACAGTAAAGTAAGACAAGTCAAGACAGAGCAATTGCTCAAATGAATTCAGCATGCCATGTTGACAACCCAAAATGCTAAAAACAAAACCCAAACCGTTGATTGCTCAAAAATATAGCTTTTCATAATTTTGCATTGTAATTTATGTTTCATATGCATGAATGCACAATGTGTTTTCTTCTTACAGCTAGGCTATTATTAGGTGAGATTTCTGAAGGCACGGTCTAGGTGACTGAAAAGAAGTACACTTAGCAGGGAATTGTCTAGCTATTTACAGCAGCAGCTGCCTTGACCCAAAAGAATATTACCATTCTTGGAAAATGCCACGGTCTGTTTTTCCTCCTCCCTTACTGGCCTCTCCTGCTCAGCCTCCTTTGCTTGCAACATCTCCTCTTCTGGATTACTAAAATTTGGAGCCCCTCCAGAATTCTTTTCTTAGCCTTCTTTTCTTCTTTATTTTTTAAATTTAATTTTGAAAATTTGTAATATTGGGTACATTCAAAAGAATACTTATAAGAATTTTGCAAGTTACGAAGCATAATTGAAAAACCAGCCCATTCAGGGCCAGGACAAGGGTGAGGCAAGTCAGGTGCTTGTCTTGGGGGCAGAATGTAACAGGCCACCAAAAAACTCATAATCAAGATAAAGCACAGGTTAATACAATATTTTAAAAATCAAAATTAATATGAAAAAATCTGTGATGAACAAAATGTGACAATTTTAAATAAAGACAGAATCTGACTCTGTAGTTTTACACCCTTGACTTAATTGTCTTACTCTAACCCCAGCCTTGGTTCCTACATAGGAGAGGAAATTAATTCTTTTAATTCTTTTTTCGTTTGTTTGCTTTTTGTTTTTTTTTTTTTTTTTTTTTTTTGAGACAGGGTCTCCCTGTCACCCAGGCTGGAGTGCAGTGGTGTAGTCTCGGCTCACTGCAATCCACCTCCAGGGTTCAAGCGATTCTCCTGCCTCAGCCTCCCAAGTAGCTGGGATTACAGGCATGTGCCACCATGCCCAGCTAATTTTTTCTATTTTTAGTAGAGATAGGGTTTCACCATGTTGGCCAGGCTGGTCTTGAACTCCTAACCTCAGGTGATCCACCCACCTTGGCCTCCCAAAGTGCTGGGATTACAGGTGTGAGCCACTGTGCCCAGCCAATAAATTAATTCTTAATATATCACATGGCAACCACAATAATTTAGCAAAGCATATTAGTTTTCTGCCCTGAATTTATAAGTCTACCAAGAGTAAGAGGCTATAAAGAAACATGATTTATGGTGGGAGAGGGTAGAATTAAAATGTGTCCGTTTAATAGTTGCATTAATGTAATTCCATTTGTACTCATTCTTTTTTTTTGTCTTATTCCTTTAGTAAGAATATTGAGAATATCGAGAACACTTCAATATTCCAAACTTCAATGGAAATATACGTAGGTTTCACTTAACTATGGTCCTGATGGCTTTTTTGAAAAAGAAAGAAAGAAAAAATGTTTTCATCATATTAAGAAAATGTCTTAGTCTTAGTTCAGAGATTTCATCAGAAAATGATGTTGATTTATATAAAAGCTTTTTCATAGATATATCAAACCTATAGAAATTATAATGCATTTTTCTCCTCTTTTGATATATTGATACAATGCTGCAGATCTTCTAAGATTGAATGATCCTTGCATTACTGAAATAAGTATTGTCATAGTGTATTATCATTTTATTACAGTATGCATTTGATTTTTCTGGTGTTTTATTTTTGTCATTTCCGTCTATATAAAGTAAAATTAGTCTACATGGGGTATATGTGTGTGCATGTGCATGTGTGCATGTGTGTGTGTGTGTATTTGCTATTTTGGTCAGGTTTGCTATTAGCACTATGGAAGGTTATAAAATAAGTTGGACAGCTGTCTATTTTTTTTTAGATGCTGTAAAATTTCAAATTCATGCTCCACTTCTTATAAAAGGTATGACTTTGTGAAAGTTGCTTTGTTGTTAAATTTCTTTTGTCAAAATTAAATACTTGAGCTTTTCCCACTTTTGAGGTACATTTAAACATTTTATATTAATGAATTTTACATGTATATTTATAACTTATGTTTTCCTTTAAGAATTTTAAATATATAACCAGGTGCATATAAAAGATTTTAAAATAAATTATAATATCTGTCAAATCTATGGTTATAGATTCATAATTTTGCATATTTTGCTTTTTAAAAATATTTTCTTGTTTAGGCTTTCTAGTAGTTTGTATGACTGGTCTTTCTACAATCTAGCATTTAGGTTAATTTATCTAATATTTTCAGGTTCTCCAATATATTAATATTATATATTTATTTATTTTAAACTGACTCTGACAGTACTATTATACTCATATTGGATTGCCTGGATTTATTCTCCACAGCTCTTTTCCTTTGTCTTTTTTCTTTCTTTGTTTTCTTCCCCTAAATTCTAGGAGGATTGCTTGGAGCTTGGGTTCTAATTCATTGATTTGTTTGAAACTTGACAATAAAGTTTCCTATTTCCTCAGTATTTTCTCATCTCAGGTTTCCTTCTTTTTAATGACTACCTACTCTGTCGTCCAACATGTAAAATCCTGTTCAACTAATCAGAAAGTTTCTAAAATTTCATAAAGGAATATTTTTTGTCATTACTCAAATCATCACTCAGACTGGCATCTTTTTTGACTTGCACTGTCTTTTCTTATTTTCAGTCGTATACCGAATTAAAGATTGAGATTAGAGTTTGTCCAGTATTGGTTTAAGTTCTTTTAGAAATTGTGTGAGTTTGAAGTTCCAGACCACTCAAGATAAGGGGAAGGGGGAAATATTTCAACTTATTGTACTTTTACTTATTTGGTTCAGAAATCCAGCAGCTTAAGGGTAGAAGAAAGATAACAGGAGTCTGTCCCTTCGGCCAAAGAGTTTCTTTTCAAAGTTCGTGGTGGCAGCCTGATGTCAGCTGGGGAAGAAGCTCCATTCTTTTTCTGGCAGAACTGACTTCTTTGCGGGAGAGCTGTGGCAGCCCCTTTGCTTATTCCCAGCATGGAAAGACCACAAGATCCCTGCTCCTTATGGCTCTGGCATGCAATGCACTCCCTAGAGGGACCCCTTACAAGGCTACCAATAACCTATCAGCACCTCCAACTCTTACTACTGCACTGAAGGTTAGAGTCAGATTTTGATGATGTCTCTTTTCATTAAATTTCCAGACTACATAGAAACCTGGGGTGATAGGTCTTTCTTCATGCTTTTAGCTGTATGATCTTTAGCAAAAATTCCTTCAATTCTTAATGATCAGCATTGCTATAAGATGTTCCCTATTTATGACATCTGCAGATTATTTTGATGGAAAACTTGGACGGAATAAAAGGTAGTTAAATGCATCCTCAAGTTGCCATTTTTAACTGAAAGCCATCTCTGCTTTTATGAAATCTGGGACAGCTACCAAATTAACACCCACATGTACTAGTAATGGCTGGCAGAGTAGAGAATCGGGGGCAGAAAATCTATGCTGTGTTCTTAATCCATTTCTCAGTCATCACCTACAAGCAGATGTCTCCTACAAGAACATCAATTTAGTGGCCAAGAGTATCTTGGAAAGAGGAAGCCAAGATATTTTTCTAATGTGTGGCTTTCCAATATTTTTGACATCTAGAAGTCACCAGATCAATTAAATACTCAATCATGTTCTGCTGCTTCTTCCATTGTGCAGTGCCATTTGTCAGGGCCCTTCAGGAACACAGGCAGATACCTTTATGAAACCTCTGTTATCCCACTGTAAACTGTCTCACATTAATAAGATTTACCTTCAGGTGGAAGGAAATTCACATAATTCCTCCCATATGTGAGTTTCTTCTTCTAAGTTTATATGGTCAACATCTCATTGCACATGCCCATCAAACTAGACTAAGGAATTTTGACAAACATTCCTAGGTTGTAAAAGTTATATCAAAGTTTTCTTTTAAAATTCTACAAACACATAAATAGCCTATCATTTTATATTTAGGTTTTATTTCCCAGATAATTTCTTCTTTGGGTTCTGGCTGGATTTCCTCTTACCTCCCACTAACCACCTAGTGCTCAAATTCAGTAAATTCGGAGCAGAAATTTCAGAAGCTTAGCATTTGGCCAAAGCCTCTGAACTGCAGCAAGAGGAGAAAGTATGCAAAGATTTCAGTTATTTCTGAGAAGCACATGGGAGAAAGGGCACTTGATCAGAAAAGCCTGTTGATGACTGAGATTTGATACAGTACTGCTAGGAGAACTTAGTGCAGGAATACCTACATGGCATGACTCTGAATGTGGAGTACACAGTCTTACAGGTGAAGACTGTCTTACAGGTGAAGGCCATTGTATTGCCAACACCTCTGAACAAAATCAGAAACATTTTAATTTCATAGGTGATTGAATAAATTTGATCACAAAAATAGTGTTTTATACTGACGTTAAAAGTGGTTATCAGCTGGGTGCCATGGCTTACACCTGTAATCCTAGCACTTTGGGAGGTTGAGGCAAGCAGATTGCTTGAGTCCAGGAGTTCTAGACCAGCCTGGGTAACATGGTGAAACCCCATTTCTACAAAAAATACCAAAAAAAAAAAACAAATAAAAAAGTAGCCAGGTGTGGTAGCATGCACCTGTAGTCCCAACTAGTTGGGAATCTGAGGTGGGAGGATGGTTTGAGTCCGAGAAGTCAAGGCAGCAGAGAGCTATGACGGTGCCACTGCACTCTAGCCTGGGCGACAGAGTGAGATCTTATATCAAAAAAAGAGTGGTTATCATTTAATAAACACTTATTGAGTGACTACTATATGGCAGTCACTGTGCTAAGATTAAAGTATACCAAGATGCATAAGACCTCCTCACCAAATAGGGAATAATTTAGGGAAAAGATTATAGTAAAAGGAGGAGCTTAGGCCAGGCGTGGTGGCTCACACCTGTAATCCCAGCACTTTGGGAGGCCGAGGTAGGTGGATCACCTGAGATCATGAGTTTGAGACCAGCCTGGCCTACATGGTGAAACCCGGTCTCTACTAAAAAAGTACAAAAATTAGCTGGGCGTGGTGGCATGCACCTGTAATCCTAGCTACTCAGGAGGCTGAGGCACAAGAATCACTTGAACCTGGGAGATGGAGGTTGCAGTGAGCCGAGATCA
Organism: Homo sapiens; assembly: GCF_000001405.40. Taxonomy (NCBI): domain Eukaryota; kingdom Metazoa; phylum Chordata; class Mammalia; order Primates; family Hominidae; genus Homo; species Homo sapiens. The sequence goes on from NC_000009.12 coordinate 72,084,431, forward strand.
TGCCACTGCACTCCAGCCTGGGCCACAGAGTGAGACTTTATCTCAAAAAAAAAAAAAAAAAAAGCTTATAGAATTCTGTCATTCTACCAATGGTGTTTTATCTAGCTCCTTAATAAATATTGGTATTTTAAAATATTTATTTTAGGAAATTACAAACATATATAAAAGTAGAGAAAATAGTGTAATGAAACTAGTGTATTCATTACTCATCTTCAAAAATCATTAATACATTGTCGAGCTCTTTTTTATCTACATGCTCTTAACTCCCCCATCTTTGAGATTATTTTGAAGTAAATCCTGAGTATCATATCATATCCTCTGTGAATACTTCAGTGTATATCTGTAGGAAATAAGGACTCTGTTTTTTAAACACACCCGCAATACTATTGTTACCACATGTAGACAAATCTACAATAAATCATGAGTATCATCACATAAATATTCATGTTGAACTGATTGTTCTATTTAAGCAATTTTTATAGTTTTTTTAAAATTATAATTTAAATAAGGTCCATAGTGTGCCACTGGTTGATAAGCACGTGCAGTCTCTTTTAATCTGTAATATCCTACTCCATCTCTTTTTCTTGATTTTTTTGTTGCTTATTTTATACTTTCCCATAGTCTGGGTTTTGCTGATTGCATCCCCGATGGTATAGTTGAACATATTCCTTTATTTGCCATATTTTCTATAGATTGGCAGCTAGATTTAGAGGTTTGATCTGCTTCAAGTCAGATTTTTTTTTTCAACACTACTTCATAGGTGGTTTTTCCATCATAAAGAAAATGTTGTCTTAGTGTCTCTCTTTTTTGTGACATCATTAGAGGTTACAAAATGGTAATACTCAAGTGGGTGCGGTGGTTCACAACTATAATCTCAGCATTTTGGGAGGCAGTGGCAGGTGGATTGCTTGAGCCCAGGAGTTTGAGACCAGCCTGGGCAACATGGTGAAACCCTATGTCTACAAAAAATACAAAACAATTAGTCAGGTGTGATGGTGTGCACCTGTAGTCCCAGCTTCCTGGGAGGCTGAGACAGGAGGATCACCTGAGCCCGGGAGGTTGAGGCTACAGTGAGTCATGATTGTGCCACTGCATTCCAGCCTGGGTAACCGAGTGAGACTGTCTCAAACAAACAAATAAACCAAACAAAAATTGTAATACTCTAATTTTATAATTCCTTTTCATTTGGTATTAGAATACTTCTATACAAAAAAACCTTCCCCTCATAAATTATTTGGCAATTCTGAAATACAGACTGTAAAAGGCAGAAAAGGTACAATTCTTTCCCTTTATCATATTTCAAAATAATGAGATGCTCCCTTGACATCTTTCAAAGGTGACCTATTAGTTTAGTTTTAGTACAGTTATAAATTCATGGTTTTAAACATACTTGAAGCACTTCAATCCATTAAGGTTATTATGCTCTTTGGTGCTCAGATTTCCTCTTTTAACCCAGCAGAGGTTATTTAGGTTGTCTATTGAGTACTTTTGACACCACCCTGGTGGCCTTCAATAGCTTTCTTGATTTTTTTGAGTTACAAGGTGTTCCAGCATATCTTTTTTACATTCCTTGCCCTAGATCCAGAATTAATCATTTTTTTCAAAGCACCTTGGTTGCTTTAACAGGGAAATAACATTTAAGATCATAATCTGGACACTGGGGTGCTCATTCCTACTGGGTTGGTCATTGGTTCTTTGCCTTTTCAGTGGTTAGGGAATATATTTGTTTTATGTTGTTATTAAAATATTAATATTTAATATATTGTATACAGTATAACAACATATTAAATATATATTTAATATAATATTAACCTCATGAATGTATAATTATACTTCAGGTTTCAAGGTATGACTTGGCTTTTATTTAACTTCATCAATTATACACCTGTATTTCCTAGCAATCACAAAAAAACCCTCAGTTCTCTACGAGACCAGCCTAATCAGATATTTGGTTTTTCCCACAAATTGCACATAGCCATCTCAGAAAACAATACGAATGCTACTGCCACCAACATGATTTGGTTGAAAATGTCTGAAAAAAATTTTTGTACCTCTTTTTGTCTTTAGGAAATATCTCTAATGTACATCCCTAGAGATATATAGTTACTGTGTTTTAAAGTTCTTTGTTATAATTTCTCTTTCTCTGATTAGTCTACCAACTAGATATATAGGTAGGTTAATTTGTTTCCTATTACTTCAAATTCAGAGGTTGCTTTTATTATTTAATTTTGTTTTTATTTTTATGTAAAATATTTAGATATTTCTAAAGCTAAGTCTACAAAACAAGGTGTATTTAGAGAAGACTTATTCTATTTCTGCCCATCTACTGTGTTCCCTCTCTCTTCCTATAAGTAACCATTTAAATAATTGTTTATCTTTTCATTGTTTTTAAGATATTAGCAATATAAAAATACATATGAATATATAAAACTTTTTAATATATCAATATTTATAATAATAATAATTATTATTATTATCTATCTATCTATCTATCTATATTTTGAGACAGGGTCTTGTTCTGTCGCCCAGGCTAGAGTGCAGTGGCATGATCACAGTTCGCTGCAGCCTCTACCTCTTGGGCTCAAGAATCCTCCTGCCTCGGACCTAAGAGTAGCTTGAACTACAGACACTGTCACCACTTGCCTGGTTAATTTCTTTTTTTAATTTTTTTGTAGAGACGGGGCCTTGCTATGTGGCCCAGGCTGGTCTCAAACTCCTAGTTTCAAGCAATCCTCCTCACTCAGCCTCCCAAAAAGCTAGGATTACAAGCATGAGCCACCATGCCCGACCCATCAATATATATTTATTTGGACCTTTGAGCCCAACCCAGCTCCAGATAGATACAATTGAGTCAAAGACCCACATGGAGAAAACTACCCAGCTAACCCCTACCCAAATCCCTGTCTTACACAATCATGAGAACCAATAAATTATTGTTTTAAGTAATTATGTTTTGGAGTAATTTGTTATGTAGTAACAGATAACTGATACAACAATATATCCTGGCGTTCATGTGGTAACAGTATAGAGATAGTGGTATTTATTTATTTTAAAGACTTAAAATTTTAAAAGAGGTTTTAGATTCATGGCAAAATTGAGAGGAAGGTATTCCAGATACTTCCTGCCCTTCCACAGGAATAGCCTCCCCCATTTTCAATGTGTCAGATGTACAGAATAGTACATTTGTTACAATTGATGAACCTACACTGACACATCATAATCACCCAAAGTCCATAGTTTATATTAGGGTTCACTCTTGATATTGTCCTTTGGGTTTGCACAAATGTATAATGACATGTATCCTCCATTATAGTATCATACAGAATAGTTTCACTGCCCTTAATATTTTTTGTGCTCTATCTCTTCAACCCACACTCCCCTTAATTCCTGGCAACCATTGATATTTTTATTGTCTCCACAGTTTTTCCTTTTGCAGAATATTATTAGTTGACATCACACAGTGTTTTCAGATTAGCTTTGGTAACATGAATTTCAGGCTCCTCCATGTCTTTCCATGGCTTGATACCTCATTTCTTTTTTAGCACTGAATAATATTCCATTGCTTAGATGTACTACAGTTTATTTATCATCCATTCACCTACTAAAGGTGAATTGATTGCATCCAAGTTTTGGCAATTATGAATAGAGCTGCTTAAATGTTGTGTGCAGGTTTTTGTGTGGACATAAGTTTTCAACTCCTTTAGCAAATATCAAAGAGTATGATCACTGGATTATATGCTAAGAGTACATTTAGTTTTCTAAGAAACCACCATCTTCCAAAGTAGCCATACCATTTTGCATTCCAACTAGCAATGAATGAGAGTTCCTGTTGCTTCACATTCTCACCAGCATTTGGTGGTGTCAGTGTTCTGGATTTGGGCCATTCTAATATATGTGTAGTGGTATCCCATTGTTCTTTTAATTTGCATTTTCTTGGCCGGGTGCAGTGGCTCACGCCTGTAGTCCCAGCACTTTGGGAGGCCGAGGCGGGCGGATCGTGAGGTCAGGAGATCTAGACCATCCTGGCTAGCATGGTGAAACCCCGTCTTTACTAAAAATATAAAAAATTAGCCAGGCATGGTAGCAGGTGCCTGTAGTCCCAGCTACTCGAGAGGCTGAGGCAGGAGAATGGCATGAACCCAGGAGGCAGAGCTTGCAGTGAGCCGAGATCGCGCCACTGCACTCCAGCCTGGGTGACAGAGCGAGACTCCATCTCAAAAAAAAAAAAAAAAATTTGCATTTTCTTGATGATATATGATGTGTAGCATCTCTTCATATGCTTATTTGTCATCTGTATATGTCTTTTTAATGAGGGGCTATTAAGGTCTTTGGTCTACTTTTTAGTTGGATTGTTTTCTTATTGTTGAATCTTAAGAGTTATTTGTATATTTTGGATAACAGTACTTTATTAAATATGTCTTTTACAATTATGCTCTCCCCAAACATGTGGCTTGTCTTTTCATTCTCTTGACTGTGTCTTTTGCAGGGCAGAAATTTTTAATTTTAGTAAAGTCTAATTTATCAATTCTTTCTTTCATGGATCATGCCTTTGGCATTGTTGATATTTACTTTCAAAATGTGTGTCAGATGATATCAGTCTTTTTTTTTTTCTTTGAGAGTGACAGCCTGAAGAATCATCGATATCATCTTTAGGCTGATTTATCAGATTGGTTTGCCTTGCAAGCAAATGTGATCCCAAAGCTAGTCTCTATGGAATAAGCGGCATGAAAAGATACCATTTACTGGATTTGTTTGATAGTCTAGTGGAGATGATACTATAGTCTGGTTTAGAATTGAATTTCTATATATGGCCTCCAGAAGAAGATTAGACTTCCTCCAAGTTGCCATGACATGTTAGTGTTCTTACCATTTATTTAGTACATAGTATTTATTGCTGGCTTTTGAAAATTCTTATTTAGCATATGTATTAATTTCCTAGGTCTGCCATAACTACCATAAATTGGGTGGCTTACAAAAACAGAAATTTATTAGCACTTAAACCAACAAAGGAGTTTTTAGGGAGGAGTATTTTATCACCGACATTATTTACAGCCACCATCTCATAGTGATAATAAAAGGCAGACTATTTTCTAATCACTTGTATTATTGTTTTAGATTATTTACAGGCTATACCCCCTTACTGGCTGTCCCAGATGGACTGCTTGAAGCTCCACCCTGGAATGCCTTTGATGTGGAATAAAATGAGTTGTAACTTTAGACTTCAGGAGGGGACATCTGTGGCAGCTTTACCATGTATTTAGGTTAGCAGGACAGCAAAAGTATCCCAGCTGCAGTGGACAGGTGTTCTCTGTTGAACTTTATAGGACTGATATACTACAACAACCCCATGCAGCAGCAAGAAACCATGACACTATTGAATTGATGAGGCTTCCTCCTTTTAAATTTGTTTGCATTATGCCACCTTTCTTTAGTTTGAGTAAGTCTTCTTAGACAATACAGGTTGTGATGATTAATTTTGGGCGTCAGCTTGACTGGATTAAGGAATACCTAGAGAACTGATAAAGCATTGTTTTGGGTGTGTCTGTGTGAGTGTTTCCAGAGGAGATTTGTGTGTGAGTCTGAGTGGACTAAGTGGGGGAAGATCCACCCTCAGTGTGGATGAACATCATTTAATAGGCTGGGGCTGTGATAGAACAAAAGCAGAGGAAAGTTGAATTGGTTGCTCTGTCTCCAGGAACTGGAGTACACTCTTCTTCTGCCCTTGGACATCAGGCTCTCTGGCCTTTGGACTCCAGGACTTATACCAGCGCCCCTCTGGGTTCTCAGGCCTCTGTACTTGAACTGAGCCACACTGCCAGCATGCCAGCTTCTCCAGCTTGCCAGGCCTGCTGTGGGACTTCTCAGCCTCCATAATCATGTGTGCCAATTCCCCTAATAAATCTCCTCTCATCTGTCCACGTATCTATATTTGCATTCTGTTGGTTCTGTCTCTCTAGAAAAGTATTACTAATACACAGGTAGAGGAAGTCCCCAAGAAGAATACTGAACTGACACCAATGGAGTGATTATTGAAAAACAAAGAAATAGCTGGGCACAGTGGCTCACGCCTGTAATCCCAGAACTTTGGGAGGCCGAGGCGGGCGGATCACGAGGTCAGGAGTTTGAGACCAGCCTGGCCAATATGGTGAAACCCCGTCTCTACTAAAAATACAACAATTAGCCAGGCGTGGTGGCGTACACCTGTAGTCCCAGCTACTCGGGAGGTTGAGGCAGGAGAATCCCTTGAACCTGGGAGGCAGAGGTTGCAGTGAGCTGAGATCATGCCACCGCACTGCAGCCTGGCAATGGACAAGAAAAAAAAAAAAGAAAGAAAAGAAAGAAAGAAAGAAAAGAAAGAAATATAATAAGAAAGTGATGTGAGCACAACTTTCCTGAGTTTGTAGAAAAGGCAATACTCGTGATATCTAGAGTATAATGTTCCATAACCAAGAGACCAAATTGCATACCTCCTCATGCCTGACTAAGTATTTAGTACATATAGGACATTTAAAAATATTGCATTGATCTATGCCAGGTTTTCCAAAATGAAGAACAAGGGTTCAGCTATCAGAATCACCAAAGCAACTTTCTAAAAACATAAAGGTATAGGCTTAAACAGATCTACTGAATCAGAAATTTGGGGATATGGAGTCTGAGAATCTATATTAAATAAAAGCCTCTGACAGGCACAATGGCTTATGCCTGTAATTGCAGCACTTTAGGAGGATGAGGCAAGAGGATGGCTTGAGCCCAGGAGTTCAAGGCCAGCCTGGGCAACATAGTGAGACCCCCCATCTCTAAAATAAATACAAAACTTAGCTAAGTGTGGTGGCACGTGCCTGTAGTCCCAGTTACTCAGGAGGCTAAGATGGGAGGATCAATTGAAGCAGGAGGACTGATTGAGCCCAGGAGGTTGAGGCTGCAGTGATCTGTGCTTGCACTACTGCACTCCAGCCTGGGTGACAGAGTGAGACCCTGTATCAAAAAAAGAAAAGAAAAAAACGTCTCTCAGGTTGATTCTAATGCTCACCTACCTATGATGGGGAACAGTAGCACATACTGAAAATATAAAAAAAACTTATTCTGAACTACTGGGAAAGTGGAAGGGATCCTATTCCCTACCAACCTGGTTAGTGTTTCCAAATTCACTTTCTTCCCTTTGACCCTCTTTATATAATATCCACAAATCAAAATGGAAAGCCAAGAGATTATTGACATGGTAGCTGTGTATCATGCCTTCTGTTTAAGAATGTTTCCAGGTTCTCGTTGATGTTTGGCAGTCTTGCCAGCACATCCTAAATTAAATAGAATAGCGGTTTCTCCTAGCAGGACATTGGAATGACTCCAGCTAAGAACTGGTCCAGCTACAAACAACTTAATTTACGATGGTATAAAAAACCTCAGCCACAGAATATCTATAATTAGGAAGAATCCAACAGAGATTGAGGTGTAGTAAGATGAATATTCTCCTCTCCTTTCTTTGCCCATCACACACATATCTACCTCTTATTTTCATAGATTCTCACAGCTAGAATGCTCAATAAGAAATCACCTGGTCTATTGGTTGGGTGCAGTGGCTCACGCCTGTAATCCCAGCACTTCGGGAGGCCGAGGCGGACAGGTCACGAGATGGAGACCATCCTGGCTAACACGGTGAAACCCCGTCTCTACTAAAAGTACAAAAAGGCCGGGCGCGGTGGCTCAAGCCTGTAATTCCAGCACTTCGGGAGGCCGAGGCGGGCAGATCACGAGGTCACGAGATGGAGACCATCCTGGCTAACACGGTGAAATCCCGTCTCTACTAAATACACAAAAAATTAGCTGGGCATGGTTGCGAGCACCTGTAGACCCAGCTACTCGGGAGGCTGAGGCAGGAGAATGACGTGAACCAGGGAGGCGGAGCTTGCAGTGAGCTGAGATCGCGCCACTGCACTCCAGCCTGGGCAACAGAGGGAGACTCCGTCTCAAAAAAGAAAGAAAAAAAAAAAAAAAAGAAAGAAATCACCTGGTCTATCATGTGAGCTTTTAGAGTTTTTGAATGAATAAAATATCCTGAAACTGTGATAATCTCCAAGGATGGAGATGTCTCAACAGTCCTTGCAAGGTAAGAGAAACTCAAGAAAAAAGAAGACGGAGTCCTTTATATAGAGATTCTTGGTACTGTTCATACTCAGCCATGTTTCTGAACTATATAATGGACTCATTAATAAGAGTCTAACCCAAACAAAGTCACCTAGCTCCCCTCTTGAATCAGTTTGGGTTAGCTTTGGCTATGAATGACATAAACTCTCTCATACTAATGATTTAAACAACATAGACATTTATTTCTTTCCCACAAAAACAAATTCCAGAGGCAAGTAGTCCAAAGCTGGCATGATGAGGCCACCCATCATTGTTAGGGACTCTAACTCTTTCTATCCTGTTTCTTTGCCATTGTCAAAATGTGGTTTTTCTCTCATGCTCCAAATAGATTGCTTGAGTTCAGGAATCAGGTCCACAATCTCGCCAGCAGGAAGAACGAGGAGAAAAGAGCACAACTCCCCTTTTAAGGACATATCATCAGCTGGAACTGAGCCACACTTGATTGCCAAGAAAGCTGGGAAATGGAATGTTTATTCCAGGTGGTCATGGGGTTAGCTTGCATTCCGGGTTCCATTGCTAAGAAATAACTTGTGACTAGATAATAGAGGACAGGGCCAGGCATGGGGGCTCATGCCTGTAATTAGGGAGGCCGGGGCAGGCGGATCACCTGAGGTCAGGAGTTTGAGACCAGCCTGGCTGACGTGGTAAAACCCCGTCTCTACTAAAAATACAAAAATTAGCTGGGTGTGGTGGCAGGTGCCTGTAATCCCAGCTACTCAGGAGGCTGAGGCAAGAGAATCACTTGAACCCAGGAGGCAGAGGTTGCAGTGAGCCGAGATTGTACCATTGCACTCCAGTCTGGGCAATAAGAGCAAAACTTCATCTCAAAAAAAAAAAACCCACAAAATAATAATAATAATAATAATAATAGGCCATGGGCAGTGGCTCGCACCTGTAATCCCAGTACTTTGGGAGGCCGAGGTGGGTGGGTCACCTGAGGTCAGGAGTTCCAGACCAGCCTGACCAACATGGTGAAACCCCTTCTCTACTAAAAATACAAAAAATTAGCTGGCGGTGGTGGCGGGCACCTGTAATCCCAGCTATTCAGGAGGCTGAGGCAGGAGAATGGCTTGAACCTGGGAGGTGGAGGTTGCGGTGAGTGGAGATCGTGCCATTGCACTCCAGACTGGGCAACAAGAGTGGAACTCTGTCTCAAAAATAAATAAATAAATAAAAGGAGATATTCTATATAATTATACAAGAACAGATTGAACTTCCCTAATCTAAAAATCCAAAATCTGAAATGCTCCAAAACTTGAGCACCAACATGATACCACAGGTGGAAAATTCTACATGTGACAACTTTGCTTTCTGATGATTCAGTATACACAAACTTTGTTTCATGCACAAAATTATTAAAAATATTGCATAAAATTACCTTCAGGCTATGTGCATAAGGTTTATATGAAACAAATGAATTTCATATTTAGAATTGGATTTCATCCCCAAAATATCTCATTATGTACATGCAAATATTTTAAAATCTGAAAAAACACAAAATTCAAACACTTCTGGTCCCCAGCATTTTGGCTAAGGAAAGCTCAGCCTGTACTGCATCTATGCGTGCATATACACACCCCTGGTTCTTTTTTAAAAAAATAAGTAGAAGCCTATAAATTACACTTCACTGTTTATTGTTTTTTTTCTTGCGTAGAATATATTTAGTATACTACTCCATAACGCTAATATAGATTTATTCATTTTGAATGGCTGCAGGGTTTCTCATTATAGTGATACACTATAAAGTCCTATTAATGGCATTTAACTGTCTTTTTGGTCTTATAAATATGCTATCATGGCTATCATTCTAAGTTTGTTCACATGTGTAAACAAATCTGTAGAATATGTATATTCCTAGAAGGGATTGCTGGGTCTAAATTTTGATAGCTATTATCACATTGCCTCCAAAGTGTGTGTTCCATATTATACTTCCTCCAAAAAAGTGTGATAGATACCTATTTTTTTAACATTCTAGACTTAGAGTGTGCTATAAATATTTTATTTTTTTATTTCTCTAGTAGGTGAAAGATGCTATCTTTTTTTTTTTTTTTTTTTTTGAGGTGGAGTCTCGCTTTGTTGCCCAGGCTGGAGTGCAGTGGTGTGATCTCAGTTCACTGCAAGCTCTGCCTCCTAGGTTCACGCCATTCCCCTGCCTCAGCCTCCTGAGTAGCTGGGACTACAGGCACCCACCACCATGCCTGGCTAATTTTTTTTGTACTTTTTAGTAGAGCTGGGGTTTCGCCAGGTTAGCCAGAATGGTCTCGATCTTTTGACCTTGTGATCCACCTGTCTCAGCCTCCCAAAGTGCTGGGATTACAGGTGTGAGCCACCACGCCTGACTGAAAGATGGTATCTTTATTTCACCTTACATGTAATTATCATCTCATTTGTTTTAAAAGCTGTTTGTATCTTTTGTTTTATGAACTCTGTTTATGTTATTTAATCTTTTTTATTGGAATGTAGATTTTTCTTTTATTGATTTGATGTCTCTATTATTAAAAAAAAGATATTCTCTTCTGTCGTATGTACTGCAAATGTTTTCCCCTGGTTTGTCCCTTGAACTTTATTTTTATTTTTAAAAATTCTATTCCTTAAAATAAAAAACAAGTCCCTTGAATTTTAATTTATGGAATTTTTTTCATGCTGAAATGTATAATTTGTGTGTTTTCAATATGTTCATTATAATTTGTATGTTGTAAATATGCTTAATCTCTCCTAGGTTTTTTCATTTTATTCTTTTGTTTCTTGCTTAGAAAGATCTTGCCCTACTCCACTGTTATAAAAGCATTCTCCCACATTTTCTTCTAGTACATTTATAGTTTTCTTTTTTTGGTTTAGTTCTTTTATTTGTCTGAAATTTATTTTCTTATAAAAAATGAGAAACAGATACAATTTTACTTTCTACTGGATGGTTAACCAGTTGTACCATTATTATTTATTAAACAACCCATCTTTTCTACCCTGAATTAAAATGCTGTCTTTATCATATTCTAAATTCTTACATATTTCTCAGTCTATTTCTGGACTCTTCATTCTGTTCCACTGATTTGTCTATTCAGGCATCATTACCAAATATTTTAATTAGTTATAGATTTATAATGTATTTTCATAGACAATATATGAGTCATTCATATTTATTTATTTATTTATTTATTTATTTATTTATTTTGAGACAGAGTGTCACTCTTGTCACCCAGGCTGGAGTGCAGTGGTGTGATCTTGGCTCACTGCAACCTCCGCCTCCTGGGTTCAAGCTATTCTCCTGCCTCAGCCTCCTGAGTAGCTGGGATTACAGGTGCCCGCCACCACGCCTGGCTAATTTTTGTACTTATAGTAGAGACAGGGATTCACCATGTTGGCCAGGCCGGTCTCAAACTCCTAACCTCAGGTGATCTGCCTGCCTTGGCCTTCCAAAGTGCTGGGTTTACAGGCGTGAGCCACCGTGCCCAGCCAGGGTCGTTTATCTTTAATATTCACCAAATTTCCATTTAATTTATCAGAGTTACTTATTTAAAATCTTTCAGAATTTTTCTAGCTATTCTGGCTTGCTTATCTTTCCAGTAAAATTTAGGATCTACTTGTTTACTGTGAAAAAAAGTCCTTTTGACATTTATGGATAAAATGTTAAGGGCAGCCAGAGAGAAAGGTTGGGTTATCCACAAAGGGAAGCCCATCAGACTAACAGCGGATCTCTGAGCAGAAACTCTACAAGCCAGAAGGGAGTGGGGGCCAACATTCAACATTCTTAAAGAAAAGAATTTTCAACCCAGAATTTCATATCCAGCCAAACTAAACTTCATAAGTGAAGGAGAAATAAAATCCTTTACAGACAAGTAAATGCTGAGAGATTTTGTCACTACCAGGTCTGCCTTACAAGAGCTCCTGAAGGAAGCACTACACATGGAAAGGAACAACTGGCACCAGCCACTGCAAAAACATGTCAAATTGTAAAGACCATCGATGCTATGAAGAAACTGCATCAACTAACGAGCAAAATAACCAGCTAACCTCATAATGACAGGATCAAATTCACACATAATAATATTAACCTTAAATGTAAATGGGCTAAATGCTCCAATTAAAAGACACAGACTGGCAAATTGGATAAAGAGTCCAGACCCACCAGTGTGCTGTATTCAGGAGACCCATCTCATGTGCAGAGACACACATAGGCTCAAAATAAAGGGATGGAGGAAGATCTATCAAGCAAATGGAAAACAAAAAAAAGCAGGGATTGCAATCCTAGTCTCTGATAAAACAGACTTTAAACCAACAAAGATCAAAAGAGACAAAGAAGGCCATTACATAATGGTAAAGGGATCAATTCAACAAGAAGAGCTAACCTAAATATATATGCACCCAACACAGGAGCACCCAGATTCATAAAGCAAGTCCTTAGAGACCTGCGAAGAGACTTAGACTCCCACACAATAATAATGGGAGACTTTAACACCCCACTGTCAACATTAGACAGATCAACAAGACAGAAAGTTAACAAGGATATTCAGGAATTGAACTCAGCTCTGCACCAAGCGGACCTAACAGACATCTACAGAACTCTCCACCCCAAATCAACAGAATATATATTCTTCTCAGCACCACATCACACACACTTATTCCAAAATTGATGACATAGTTGGAAGCAAAGCACTCCTCAGCAAATGTAAAAGAACAGAAATTATAACAAACTGTCTCTCAGACCACAGCGCAATCAAACTAGAACTCAGGATTAAGAAACTCACTCAAAACTGCTCAACTACATGGAAACTGAACAACCTGCTCCTGAATGACTACTGGGTACATAATAAAATTAAGGCATAAATAAAGATGTTCTTTGAAACCAATGAGAACAAAGACACAACATACCAGAATCTCTGGGACACATTTAAAGCAGTGTGTAGAGGGAAATTTATAGTACTAAATGCCCATAAGAGAAAGCAGGAAAGATCTAAAATTGACACCCTAACATCACAATTAAAAGAACTAGAGAAGCAAGAGCAAGCACATTCAAAAGATAGCAGAAGACAAGAAATAACTAAGATCAGAGCAGAACTGAAGGAGATAGAGACACAAAAAACCCTTCAAAAAATCAACGAATCCAGAAGCTGGTTTTTGAAAAGATCAACAAAATTGATAGACCACTAGCAAGACTAATAAAGAAGAAAAGAGAGAAGAATTAAATAGATGCAATAAAAATGATAAAGGGGATATCACCACCGATCCCACAGAAATACAAACTACCATCAGGGAATACTATAAACACCTCTACGCAAAGAAACTAGAAAATCATGAAGAAATGGATAAATTCTTGGACACATACACCCTCCCAAGACTAAAACAGGAAGAGGTTGAATCCCTGCATAGACCAATAACAGGCTCTGAAATTGAGGCAATAATTAATAGCCTACCAACCAAAAGAAGTCCAGGACCAGACGGATTCACAGCCAAAATCTACCAGAGTTACAAAGAGGAGCTGGTACCATTCCTTCTGAAACTATTCCAATCAATAGAAAAAGAGGCAATCCTCCCTAACTCATTTTATGAGGCCAGTATCATCCTGACATCAAAGCCTGGCAGAGACACAACAAAAAAAGAGAATTTTAGATCAATATCCCTGATGAACATCAATGCAAAAATCCTCAATAAAATACTGGCAAACCAAATCCAGCAGCACATCAAAAAGCTTATCCATCATGATCAAGTTGGCTTCATCCCTGGGATGCAAGGCTGGTTCAACATATGCAAATCAATAAACATAATCCATCATATAAACAGAATCAAAGACAAAAACCACATGATTATCTCAATAGATGCAGAAAAGGCCTTCAACAAAATTCAACAGCCCTTCTTGCTAAAAACTCTCAACAAACTAGGTATTGATGGGACATATCTCAAAATAATAAGACCTATTTATGAAAAACCCACATCCAATATACTGATTGGGCAAAAACTGGAAGCATTCCCTTTGAAAACTGGCACAAGACAGAGATGCCCTCTCTCACCACTCCTATTCAATGTAGTATTGGAAGTTCTGGCCAGGGCAATCAGGCGAGAGAAAGAAATAAAGGGTATTAAATTAGGAAAAGAGGAAGTCAAATTGTCCCTGTCTGCAGATGACATGATGATTGTATATTTAGAAAACCCAATCGTCTCAGCCCAAAAACTCCTTGAGCTGATAAGCAACTTCAGCAAAGTCTCAGAATACAAAACCAATGTGCAAAAACCACAAGCGTTCCTATACACCAATAACAGACAAACAGAGAGCCAAATCATGAGTGAACCCCCATTCACAATTGCTTCAAAGAGAATAAAATACCTAGGTATCCAACTTACAAGGGATGAGAAGGACTTCTTCAAGGAGAACTACAAACCACTGCTCCACGAAATAAAAGAGGACACAAACAAATGGAAGAACATTCCATGCCCATGGATAGGAAGAATCAATATCGTGAAAATGGCCATACTGCCCAAGGTAATTTATAGATTCAATGCCATCCCCATCAAGCTACCAATGACCAATGACTTTCTTCACAGAATTGGAAAAAATTACTTTAAAGTTCATATGGAACCAAAAAAGAGCCTGCATTGCCAAGACAATCCTAAGCCAAAAGAACAAAGCTGGAGGCATCACACTACCTGACTTCAAACTATACTACAAGACTACAGTAACCAAAACAGCATGGTACTGGTACCAAAACAGAGATATGGACCAATGGAACAGAACAGAGCCCTAACTAATAATACCACACATCTACAACCGTCTGATCTTTGACAAAGCTGACAAAAACAAGAAATGGGGAAAGGATTCCCTATTTAATAAATGGTGCTGGGAAAACACTGGATCCCTTCCTTACACCTTATACAAAAATTAATTCAAGGTGGATTAAAGACTTAAATATTAGACCTAAAACCATAAAAACGCTAGAAGAAAACCTAGGCAATAACATTCAGGACATAGGCATGGGCAAGGACTTCATAGCTAAAATACCAAAAGCAATGGCAACAAAAGCCAAAATTGACAAATGGGATCTAATTAAACTAAAGAGCTTCTGCACAGCAAAAGAAACTACCATCAGAATGAACAGGCAACCTACAGAATGGGAGAAAATTTTTACAATCTACCCATCTGACAAAGGGCTAATATCCAGAATCTGCAAAGAACTTAAGCAAATTTACAAGAAAAAATCAAAGAACCCCATCAAAAAGTGGGCAAAGGATATGAACAGACACTTCTCAAAAGAAGACATTTATGCAGCCAACAGACACATGAAAAAAATGCTCATCGTCACTGGCCATCAGAGAAATGCAGATCAAAACCACAAAGAGATACCATCTCACACCAGTTAGAATGGCGATCATTAGAAAGTCAGGAAACAACAGGTGCTGGAGAGGATGTGGAGAAATAGGAACACTTTTACACTGTTGGTGGGACTGTAAACTAGTTTGACCATTGTGGAAGACAATGTGGCAATTCCTCAAGGACCTAGAACTAGAAATACCATTTGACCCAGCCATCCCATTACTGGGTATGTACCCAAAGGATTATAAATCATGCTGCTATAAAGACACATGCACACGTATGTTTATTGTGGCACTATTCACAATAGCAAAGACTTGGAACCAACCAAAATGTCCATCAATGATAGACTGGATTAAGAAAATGTGGCACATATACACCAAGGAATACTATGCAACCATAAAAAATGATGAGTTCATGTCCTTTGTAGGGACATGGATGAAGCTGGAAACCATCATTCTGAGCAAACTATCACAAGGACAGAAAACCAAACATGGCATGTTCTCACTCATAGGTGGGAATTGAACAATGAGAATAGTTGGACACAGGGTGGGGAACATCACGCACCGGGGCCTGTTGTGGGGTGGGGGGAAGGGGGAGGGATAGCATTAGGAGATATACCTAATGTAAATGATGAGTTAATGGGTGCAGCACACCAACATGACACATGTATGCATATGTAACACACCTGCATGTTGTTCACATGTACCCTAGAACTTAAAGTATATATATATATAAAAGAATATAACACTATAGGCTAATAGTCTAGGGGAGGGGTCAGCAAACTATATCCCACAGGCCAAAATTTATCCTACTCGCTGTATATCTATAACCCATGAACTAATAATAACTTTTTTTTTTTTTTTGAGACAGAGTCTCACTATGTTGCCCAGGCTGGAGTGCAGTGGCACGATCTTGGCTCACTGGAAGCTCCGCCTCCCAGGTTCACACCATTCTCCTGCCTCAGCCTCCCGAGTGGCTGGGACTACAGGTGACCGCCACCACGCCCAGCTAATTTTTTGTATTTTTTTAGTAGAGATGGGGTTTCATTGTGTTAGCCAGGATGTCCTCAATCTCCTGACCTCATGATCTGCCTGCCTCGGCCTCCCAAAGTGCTGGGATTACAGGCATGAGCCACCGTGCCCGGGCAGAATAAAATTTTTTTAAGTCTTAAATGCTTGAAAAAACTTTGAAAGAAAAATGATATTTCATGACACAAGAAAATTATATAAAATTCAAATTTCAGTATCCATGAGTTTTTTTTTTGGACCACAACCATGCTCACTCATTTATGTATTAGTTATGACTGAGTTCTTGCTACAAAGGCAAAGTTGAGTAGTTGTAGCAGAAACCATGTGGCCCACAGAGCCTAAATTATTTACTATCTGGCCCTGAAAAATTTGCCGATTCTGATCTAGGGCATGATTCTCAAAGTGTCAGAATCCTTGAGGTTAGCCTAGGAATCTATTTTGAATAGGCTCCTCCCCTCCTTTCTTATGCCCATTAAGTGAGACAATCATGAAAATAAATAGAAGCAATATGAGATGATAATTGCTTCAATGGCTGTGGGTGGGCAGTGGAAATAGGTTAGATAGCACCTAGATCCACCTGGAGGGAGCCAGGAAGTCTTCATCTCACATATTGTCAGTGAAGAAGGAAAGGAAGGCATTTTCCTGCCAGAATAGCAGAAAATGAGAATTTCAGAGGAAGGCCAGAGATAGTCCAGGATGTTCACAGAACTGAATATTGTTTCCAAGAGACCATATAAAATAGTGTTGAGGAATGTCAATTCTGAAGTCTGTTTGTCATTTATTATCAGAGGGACTTGGGGCAAGTCACTTAACTCTTGGTGCCTCAGTCTCTTCACTGCAATTGGGTCTAATAAGTATGCTTCAGTTTATTCATCTGCAAGAGGAATTGCTGTGGTGGTCATTAAGACTTGTTAGAACAATGCCTGGCCCATACTAAGTGAGATGTAAGAGTTAGTTATTGTTATGATGGATACAGAGTAAGGTCAGAGGGTGGAGTGGGGAGAGGTAGGGTTGGAGAGGTAAGGGCTAGATCTTGAAAGGCTTGTGAGTGTATATAGTATTTCAGTAAGTGATGGGGCCTGCCACAGTGTCTCATGCTTGTAATCCTAGCACTTTGGGAGGCCCAAGGCGAGCTGATCATGTGAGCTCAGGAGTTAGAGACCAGCCTGGGCAACATGGCAAAACCCCGTGTCTACTAAAAATACAAAAAATTAGCTAGGCGTGGTGGCACATGCCTGTAATCCCAGCTGCTCAGGAGGCTGAGGCAGAAGAATCACCTGAGCCCAGGAGGCAGAGGTTGCTGTGAGCCAAGATTGTGCCACCGCACTCCAGCCTGGGCAACAAGCAAGACTCTGTCTCAAAAAAAAAAAAAAAAAAAAAAAAAAGTTTGGTAAGCGATGAGCATCTGCAGCAGACTGTTACATTGGTAGCTTCCAGTGAACCACAGCTCATAGTATTCATATCCTTGGGTAATCTCCTCTCACATTGACTCTGGATGTTGCCATGTAACTTGCTTTAACTAATTGGACATTGGCAAATGTGATGCAAACAGAAGCTGCATAGGTACTTTAGGGCTTATCCTCCTGAAATGCTTTTTCTTAAAATCCTGATCCATTATGTAAAGAGGTCCAATTATATGCTGGAGAGACCATATGAACAAAGAGACATGCACAGCCAGTCCCCGGCATTTTCAGCCATCTCAGTGGGGATGTCAGACCTATGAGTAATGTCATCTTGGATTTCTAGGCCCAGTTTAACAGTGGGAGGACTGCAGCCACAAGAGTGACCCCAGGCGGGAACAGCAGAAGAACCACTTCACTGAGCCCAGCCCAGATTGCAAAATTGTGATCAAATACATGGTTGTTTGAAGTCACTGTGGAAATAGATAACTGAAACATTAGCATTAAGGAATTTTGTTCATGGAAATTATCAGATTTGTATCTATCAAGGGGACTTTGTTGACAATGTGTGAGATGATATGAGACTAGAAGAAGGGATACTGGTAAGAATGTTAGTTCATTGCTCAAAAGAAAAATAATAAAGAGTTGAATTAAAGCAGTGGGAAAGAGGATGGAAAGAGAGAAATGAGAAGACTTTCTTCTCTGCTGAGTGCCTCTGCCCCAGGTCCTGTGCCTTCCTCTTTCTTGCTTTGCTCCCTGATTCTGAGGTGTGAGCCACTGTGCCTGGCAAGACACCCAACATTTAATAAGTACTTAGTAGATTCCAGGTACTGTAATAACTAGTCACAATCAACTCAATAAATTTTAGCTCCTAAGATTATTTAGCAAAGTACCTGACACCTAGAAAGCACATTGTAGATATTAGGTCTTCAAAGATACATTCAGATACAGATGACTTTAAATAAGAAAAAATATATTTAACCCCTGATAATCTGGGTCTTCTTTGTGAAACAGGAATTGAAGAAATCTGGCAAGAGTATGAGTGAGGGTATTGGAGACAGCGATGGGGGAGTGAGAAATAAGCTTAGGTCTATGCAGTATCACGTTGTTAAGTAGTGGTAAGGACCTGTTGAGATTAGACACCATAATTAGTAGTGGCTCCTTCCTATATCATTAAGAAAATTAAGTCATTTTTCTCCAGCAGCCCTCTACATGCTAGAGGCAAACATTTGGATTAATCCAGGTTGGAAATTGGAGGATGAGTGTCATATAGGGAGACAATGGAATCAAATATATTGGCAAAATAATGGTCAAAACAAAGTTCCATATGGCCTAGACTAGATGAGGAAGGATGTGAAGCCAGGAGCACATGGTATGCTTAGAGAAAGAGGGGTCAAGATGGACAAGGGGAAAGACTGCAGACTTGGTGAAAGTATGGAGGGGAGAACATCGATACCTAAATCTCCAGTTGTGTTAGTCCAGAGTCTGCTAGTCTAGTCTAAAGGACAAGAGCATTGATATGGTTTGGATCTGTGTCCCTGCCCAAATCTCCTGTTCAATTGTAATCCTCAGCATTGGAGGTGGAGCCTGGTGGGAAGTGACTGGATCATCAAGGTTGATCCTTTATGAATAGTTTAGCCCCATCTCCTTGTGTTCTGTTCTCCTGAAAGCGAGTTCTTGCAAGATCTTGTTTAAAAGTGTGTAACACCTCCCTCCTCTCTCTCTCTTGCTTCTGCTCCCATCATGTGAGACACCTTGCTCCCTCTTTGCCTTGCACCATGATTGAAAGTTTCCTGAGGCCTCCCCAGAAGTGAGTGGATGTCAGCTTCATTCTTCCTGTACAGCCTGCAGACCTGTGAGCCAATTAAACTTATTTTCTTTATAAATTACCCAGTTTCAGGTGTCTCTTTATAGCAACGTGAGAACAGACTAATACAAGCACCATCTTGGATCAAGAATTTAAGAACCTTTAAAAAATTAACCTCTAAAACTCTATGACTTACTGTAATGGCACAAATTCATAAGAATGATCAGTCTGTGGTTTGTTTTGGAGAAATCACTTATGTATGTTTCACAGAAGAGAATAATGCTGTGACTTTGACTTCTTATGATCATAAAAACTTGAAAAGACAACAAAGTGATACAGGTACGAAAGTTTTAAGAGTAAATGTTTCCTTCTCTCTAATCCTAATTATGAGAGGCAATCACCCTTACAGGTGGGTGTTGTCCTAGCTTGGGTTCCCCAAAAAGTAGAGCCTGAGACAGGAACTTGAGGACTTAGGTGCAGTTAGGCCATGTGAAAGTCACAGGGAGCAAGAGAAAGAGGGAGAGAAGCAGGAGGCGGCAACATAGGGACATATCATCAAAATTCTGAGGTTCAATTCCACCAGGACCTGTGAAAGTTAAACTTACTAAAAATAAAATAAAATAAAATAGGACTGGGCATGGTGGCTCACGCCTGTAATCCCAGCACTTTGGGGGGCTGAGGCAGGTGGATCATGAGGTCAGGAGATCAAGACCATCCTGGCTAACACGGTGAAACCCTGTCTCTACTAAAAAATACAAAAACTTAGCTGAGCATGGTGGCGGGCAACTGCAGTCCCAGCTATGCGGGAGGCTGAGGCAGGAGAATGGCATGAACCTGGGAGGCGGAGCTTGCAGTGAGTGGAGATCCCACCACCGTACTCCAGCCTGGGTGATAGAGCGAGACTTCGTCTCAAAAAAAATAAAAATAAATAAATAAATAAATAAAACAAAAAAATAAATAAAATAGTTTTTCCGTGGAGCATGTTAAATACAAGCAAACACAATAAACTTAGAATTAGCATATGACCCAGCATTTTCACTCCCTAGTATATACCCCAAAAATTTAAAGTTGGGACTCAAACAGATACTTGTACACTAATGTTCATAGTGGCGTTATTCACAATATTCAAAATGTGGAACAACCAAATGCCCCCTCAGCAGATGAATGTATCAACAAAAGTTGATATATACATACAATGGAATATTATTCAGCCTTTAAAAGGAATGGCTGGGCACGGTGGCTCACACCTGTAATCCCAGCACTTTGGGAGGCCAAAGTGGGCAGATCATGAAGTCAGGAGATCAAGACCATCCTGGCCAACATGGTGAAACACCGTCACTACTAAAAATACAAAAATTAGCCAGGCATGCTGGCGCATGCCTATAGTCCCAGCTACTGGGGAGGCTGAGGCAGGAGAATTGCTTGAACCTGGGAGGCTGAGGCTACAGTAAGCTGAGATGGTGCCACTGTACTCCAGCCTGGGCGACAGAGCAAGACTCCATCTCAAAAAAAAAAAAAGATTACAATGGTAAATTTATATTGTGTATATTTTACTGCAATTTAAAAAAGTATACAGGATGACTCCCACACTTGTCCACTTGAAGGCTGTGGGTTGTGGTGGGGCTGGGGAATTTATGCATTAGCTCTCATTCTACATTGGTAGAGTGTTGCTCACGCACTTTTCCTAGGTGGCTCTTGTTTGCAAGGCTAAGTGGGCTTCCTTGAGAAGCCCCCAAGGCAGAGTATGAAAAGACCACAGGCATGCTCTTTTGGTGGGACATCACCACTACACTCAGAGCATGTGTGGAACCACCTACACAGCTGTGGCTGAAATCAGAGATGGACTGAGGGTATGCAATCTGAGGCCTCAAAAGGCCTCTGGTACAAATATGTATTCTTTTAGATAATTCTCTCATGCATTTACAAATATACAAATAAGGCTCTATCTATATCTACACATATTTTTATATACTGATAATTTTACTTTTGCAAATCATGCTATTCATGTTGTTTGGCAAACTTGCTTTCCTCATAGATATATTTCTAGCTTTGCACTTCTAGATGCACCTCAATCTGTTTAGCCACTGCAGAGTAATCCATTGTATATGGAGGTACCCTAATTTTTTTTAACCCGCTGCAATTGTACCTTCGCATTCATCAATAACAAATGCGTTTTGCTAAGGTCACGAGTGACTTTCATATCTTTAAACCCAATCAGTCATTTTTAGGGACTTCTATGGCCTTCACTTGCTTTCATCTTCTTTGATGTGTTTGCTTTGACATTTGCATTGTGATGGTATATTCTTTGCTTCAAGTCACACATTTTCAGATGTAATTTTAAAAGAATTAGTAAATATGGTGACAGATTCAAAGTCAAATCATCATATAAGATAGAACAGGGATTGTTTTCCTTGTCTTTTTATAAAAAGCATTTTTCCAAGCTGTTTGCTCCTGAATTTTCTGTAAGCAAGAAAAAACTCTCAAAAATGTTTGACTTGATGTTTGAAGAAAATATCTGCTAATTATAGTTTGCAGGCATGTGCAACAAAATAACATACATGTGGATTACAGCATTCTGTATTCTTTGCTGATGCTGAGTGAAATAGGCTATTATTAGTTGAGAATTATGTGGGCAGGATATAGATGGGGTGATTTTAACAATTAAGTGAAAAGACACATTTTTTTCATTCAATGTCAATATATTTTAATGTCCCTCAAAATCCAGTTTTATTTAATTGAAATCATTTCAGGAGATTTAGGAGTATTTATGTTGAGCTTCTATTAACCTTTCAAATTTAGGGTTGACACTTGAGACTTAGATTACAAAGTATAACATTTGTATTAGTTGGCATGCAAAAAGCACAAGTTTGTCCATCCTGGGCACCTCAGTCTGTTTAGGCTGCCGTAACAAAATACCGTAGACTGGGTGGCTTAACAACAGACATCTATTTCTCACAGTACTGGAGGCGGATTATGATCAAGGTGCCAGGCCAGGCACGGTGGCTCACGCCTGTAATCCCAGCACTTTGGGAGGCCAAGGTGGGCGGATCACGAGGTCAAGAGATCGAGATCATCTTGGCCAACATGGTGAAACTCTGTCTGTACTAAAAATACAAAAATTAGCTGGGCATGGTGGCACATGCCTGCAGTCCCAGCTACTTGGGAGGCTGAGGCAGGAGAACCCAGGAGGTGGAGGGAGGCCGAGGTTGCAGTGAGGTTGCACTGCACTCCAGCCTGGCTACAGAGCGAAACTCCGTCTCAATAAATAAACAAACAAACAAACAAACAAACATCAAGATGCCAGCAGATTCAGCATCTGGTGAGGACCCTGGCCCTGCTTGTTGACAGCTGCCTTCTCATTACATATTCACATGGCAGAGAAAGGAAGCTTTTGTATCTCTTCCTCTTCTTCTTTTTCTTTCTTTTTTCTTTCTTTTCTTTTTTTTTTTTTTTTAACTAGGCAAAGAACTTTATTAACCTTTGTTTCAAACTTTATTCCCAGGCTTCTTCGGTTTAATTAGCTGCAAAGAATGAACTGTGTATAAGCAAAAACTGAAAAGAGCTGCAGTGTCAAAGAGGCTTGGGCTTAAAGATATTAGAGATCTAGATTTTATCAGATCCATAAACAAATATTTCTTAAAAAGCAGTCATAATATAAAATGGCAGCTCCCAGTAACTTCTTCATGTTTTATCTTCAGAAGTTGACTCAGTTCAGTTTGCCTCATTCTTGGAAGCCTCATCAAAATTCTCCACAAGCTCTGGAACTTCATCATCATCACCATCATCCTCTCCAGTAGCAAGTGGTGCTTTTCCATCCACAGATTGTTTGGGCAGAGCTTCAGCCAGTCTCCTTAAACTAGACGGACTGTCTGCACCAAGCTGGTTTAAGACGCTGGCTAGCATTTCTGTCAGCTGCTTTGTCCCAGCATGGCCTGTAATGGTGAAGTGTTCGCTGCCAGAGATGCCTGAACCTTAGGGTGGTTAAAGTGGATCACTGTTCCTTGGTTTGTAAACATAGTCACCTCTTCAATACCAGAGATATTGTTTACCCCTCACTTCTTTAAGGAGAACTGAAGTTTTTGAACATCTGCTGTGGCTGTTCTATGAACCACCACCTTCTTTCTGTGAGCAGTTCCTTTCCCACCAATGCGCATTCGTGCCTGCAGTTTGGCGAGTTTTTCCTGGTTCATGATCGTTTCTTTCATCTTGTCCGAGCAGATAAGGGGTCGCGCGGGGGACTAGGATTGGTCCTCAGGGGGTCTCCGGTGGACCAGCTGAGATGAAGCACACACATGCTAGAACGCAAAATGGCAGCCCTTCCTCTTCTTAAAAAGGCATTAATCCCGTCATGGGGGCTCTACATCCGTGACCTCATCTAAATAGAATGACCTCCCAAAGGCTCACTCTCTAGTACCATCATGCTACATGCTATGGGTTTAGGGCTTCAACATATGAGTGATGGGGGCACATGAGCATCCAGTCCATAAGACAGGGATATGTGTTTTGCCGCTTATTATGTGTGTGACCATGGTTGTATCACTTAACCTTAGTTTTCTCATCTCCAAAATGAGTCATATTTTATAATCTCGTACAGCTCATGTGAAGATGAAATGGGATAACATTTCTTTTCTTCCTTTTTTTTTTTTTTTTTTTTTTGAGACGGAGTTTCGCTCTTGTTGCCCAGGCTGGAGTGCAGTGGCACGATCTTTGCTCACTGCAACCTCCACCTCCGAGGTACAAGCAATTGTCCTGCCTCAGCCTCCCAAGTAGCTGGGATTACAGGGGCGTGCCACCACCCCTATCTAATTTTTGTATTGTTTTAGTAGAGATGGAGTTTCACTACGTTGGCCAGGCTAGTCTCCAATTCCTGACCTCAAGTGATCCGCCCTCCTTGGCCTCCCAAAGTGTTGGGATTACAGTCGTGAGCCACCACACCCAGCCAAAATGGGATAACATTACTAAAGTGTTTGATGATGCCTTTTGTGTAGACAGCTATTATTAGGATACTTCTCTGAGTATAAAATGTTAGTCACTCTTTACGGTTCTTCAATATCATGGTGGTCAGATGGGTTGGAAGGGCATACTTTCAGTAGGACTCAATGGAGCATGAAACTATTAATTGTGTCAGCAAGGCACCCTAATTGGAAAGGTGATTTTTCAGCACTGAATCCATCTACACTTGCTAGATTCTGATAAGGATTAGGGATGTAGTCAGGGATTCACACAATGCTAACTGACCAGGAGGTAGGTCAAAGTCATGGACTTTGTTTCATTTTTATCACATTCTTACCTCCCAAGGATACTAGAGTCCAGAGACTGATGTAAGAGCTTTAAGCCTAGGGTCCCTCTGCTTCCAAGATAGAGCGTAGTGAATGGGCTTCCGATATACTCTTGCAAATGAGCTTTTCCTGTAGAGAAGCTTAGAGTGTCCTCAGAGTCTCAAAGGGGGTCTGTGACCCAACAGACATTACGAGCGTCTAACCATAAAGAAATTTCTAGTATTTTCCATAGCATCCTCCTCATCTAAATATCTTTTGACCTGTGCTTTCTAGTTAAAATTTTTATTTCTTTTCTCTAGGAAAAGATTAAATTTGGTTGGGATACTCACAATCTAAAATTGAACAAATGAATATATGTACTTTTTTTGGAGGGATTGTTAATTAAGAAACAGAGAAGAGCTATCTGTAAAGTAGAAAATCATGAAAGATAGAGAAGTTGCAGTCATTTTCCATAATTTTAATACTGCAGTGTAACCTAAATATCCTTGGCCTTCACAGCCAGTGGGTGTAAACAAGGCCACAGGAACATTAGTAAGACCTGAATTTAGCATCCTTATTATCCCTTCCTGACATATTTCAGGACCCC
Organism: Homo sapiens; assembly: GCF_000001405.40. Lineage (NCBI taxonomy): Eukaryota > Metazoa > Chordata > Mammalia > Primates > Hominidae > Homo > Homo sapiens. The sequence goes on from NC_000009.12 coordinate 72,109,973, forward strand.
AGCTCATCTCTAATTTCATGGAGGTTTCACTTGTGCTCAGGAACAAGTCCATACATGCTCTAATTTTGTATCATTACTGAAGTCCGTTACTAGGAACCATTGTATTGTGGTTCTTCAATATAGCCACTGTGGCCAGGATCTCCAGTGGGAATGCTACTTCCTGGCATTTCTGCTCCACTGCTGTGCTGAGATTCCTGCCAGATGCCATCCTGTGCTGTGCAGATTGAGGACATGCTCATCTCTTCTCTAAGCAGCAATTTGGCACCTAAGCTCCATAGTGCTATTGTGTATGCAGTTTGTCTTTTTTTTTTTTTTTTTTTTTTTGAGACAGAGTCTCATTCTGTCACCCAGGCTGAAGTACAATGGTGTGATCTCGGCTCACTGCAACCTCCATCTCCTGGGTTCAAGCAATTCTCCTGCCTCAGCCTCCCGAGTAGCTGGGATTACAGGCACCCGCCACCATGCCTGGCTAATTTTTTGTTTTTTGGGACGGAATCTCACTCTGTTGCCCAGGCTGGAGTGCAGTGGTGCGATCTCGGCTCACTGCAACCTCCATCTCCGGGGTTCAAGCGATTCTCCTGCCTCAGCCTCCTGAGTAGCTGGGATTACAGGTATGCGCCACCACACCCAGCAAAGTTTTGTATTTTTAGTAGAGATGGGGTTTCACCATGTTGGTCAGGCTGGTCTCAAACTCCTGACCTCGTGATCCACCCGCCTCGGCCTCCCAAAGTGCTGGGAATATAGGCGTGAGCCACCATGCCTGGCCTATGCAGTTTGTCTTGTAAGCCTCTTGTCATAATGCTTTTGCTTTTATTTATAACCCCTGCTTCTCTACACGGTGTCCCTGAGGGTTGGATAATGGACACTTTTCTATCCTTCTTTTCCACATCTTTCTTTTCTCTGTTTCAGATTACTATGCAAAACCACCTTGCCTTCCTTTTTTTTTTTTTTGTTTTTTTGTTTTTTTTTGAGACTGAGTCTTGCTCTCTCACCCAGGTTGGAGTGCAGTGGCACGATCTCGGCACACTGTAACCTCCACCTTCATGGTTCAAGCTATTCTCCTGCCTCAGCCTCCCTAGTAGCTGGCACTACAGGCACCTGCCACTACACCCGGTTAATGTGTGTACTTTTAGTAGAGACGGAGTTTCCCCATGTTGGCCAGGCTGGTCTCGAACTCCTGACCTCAGGTGATCCCCCTGCCTCGGCCTCCCAAAGTGCTGGGATTACAGGCATGAGCCACCGTGCCCGGCCACCTTGCTTTCTTTTCTGCAGGGGAGGGGTAGGTAAATTCTGCATGTAGAGTAATGAATGCAGATAAATCTTTGAGGTTGGAAATCTGGGGAAGTTACCAAAAGGTTAATGAAGTGCCTATGCTTAGCTTAGGCACTTCATTAAACTTTTAATAATAGTAATAATAAATGTTTTATGTCAATTGGAATTCTTTGGGCTGAAAGTAATAAAATATTTAATTTATAGTGTCTTAAGCAATAAAGGCATTAATGTCCCTTCTGCTCCAAAATATTAGGGCTCTGGATAAATGCCCAATGTAAGACTTTGTCTGTTTTATTTATTAGTGTATCCCCCAAAGTCTAGAAGACCTGGCAATAGTAAGTGCCCAGTAAATACTTGCTGAATGGACAAATGAATGTCTTTTCCACTCTCCTGACTTTTCACTCACAAGCATGACATGGCTGCAGCTGCTCTATTATGTTATCATAAGGCAATGACCAGAGCAAGAATAAAGGGTGCTCAAGATAAAATACTCTATCCACACATATCTTTGTTAGCAGGGACAAAAATTTTTCTGGGAAGACATCAGCAGACTTCTCCTTTTCATTGGCCAGAAATGGAACATCAGCTCACCCTTAGACCACTCAACATATGAAGAATATGAGATTGTCACAATTGACTTCAGTTGGTCTTGATTCATTTGAGGAGATTGGGTACTATTCTGCAGCCCAAACCAAATCAGGTCCCTGCTAGCAAGAAAGAAGAGAATGGTGGGGACCAACAGGTGCCTGCTACACCCTTTCCAACATTCCCAGCCCCAGTTTTCATATTTGTTGCATGTCCTCCCATGCAGCACACTTTGGTCATTGGAACAAAATAATTGGCCATGTCCTCATTTTTAAAGAGTCTTTCATAGAAAAGTTAGCAGAATATCTGGTCTGCATATTATTTAAATGAAGGGAAAGCTTAGCAGTTCTGAACATCATCATCTCTGAAACTAAAGTATATTTAGGCTGGGCGTGGTGGATCACACCTGTAATCCCAGTACTTTGGGAGGCTCAGGCAGGTGGATCACCTGAGGTCAGGAGTTCGAGACCAGCCTGGCCGACATGGTGAAACCCTGTGTCTACTAAAATTACAAAAATTAGCCAGTATGGTGGCGAGCGCCTGTACTCCCAGCTACTCGGGAGGCTGAGGCATGAGAATCTCTTGAACCTGGGAGGCGAGAGGTTGCAGTGAGCGGAGATCATGCCATTGCACTCCAGCCTGGGGGATGGAGCAAGACCCTGTCTCTAAATAAATAGATAAATAAAGAAAGAAAGTATATTGAGAGCCTCCAAGTTGCTAGTGTTCTTTCTTGAACATTACACTACAATTCAAATTTTTTGTTAATTCTGGCTGACCTCCCTCATACCTAGCCCAAGTTTTTAAGACATATGGATTGAGAAGTTTGTATTCAAAAGTTCTTTTTTTCCCCCCTGTGTGATGCTTGAATAGATAACATTGAACTGACATTCTATTAGTACTCTAGTAATGGGCCAGCTCATTCCTTCTTTAATCCAACTTCATGAAGCAACCTGTGTACCTAGAAAAGAAATCCTTGCATCATTAAATTGAAATGAATTAGACTTTTAGACACAGTGGGTGATTTTAGCTGTGTCATGCAATGTTTCGAAGAAGGGGCTTCTGTAGACATAGACACAGAGACATCAAGGAGGCATTAAAAAAAAAGCAGGTGCAAAATGAAGAAATAAACTGTACCCTAAGAGCTCTTGTCCATCTAGAACATGCAGCTTTACATTCTAGGGACACAAAGTACTCTTTCTCAACTTAAGGAATAGTCATGTATAATTTCCCCCAGACAGCATGAACATCCAGATGCCTAGTCCTCTTAGGGGTTCAGAAACCCTGAACCAGCGGTTGAAAAATCACTGGTATTAATAAAAGGCCTCCTGTCAGTAAAAGGTTATTAGAGAGTAACCGGGGAGCACTTTCCTTTAGAAGAGTGTGTTCAGAGCCATTAGAATGCCCAGAACTAGTTAACTGAGGGCATTTTAACTGTCACTGAAGAGACAAAATGGCAGTCATGCTGGGCTCCAATCACTGTTGGCCACCATGGAAACCATCTCTCAGAACTGGCTTCCAGCTGCTTACATTTCACATCTTGGTGACCTCAGGACAAACACAGGAGCATTTTTATGTTATTTTAAATCTTCAAATGCAGGCAGCTTCAGACAGAGTCTCAAGTTATCACCAGATTAATTGGAAATATTTGGACAGTCAGGAAGTGGTAAAGTTGTAGAAATTAGTAGGATATTGAATTCAGAGGTATATCCTTTTACATCTTAGCTCTCAGTCATCTTGGATAAATTATTATTATTATTATTATTTGAGACAGAGTTTCACTCTTGTTGCCCAGGCTGAAGTGCAATGGCACGATCTTGGCTCACCACAACTTCTGCCTACTGGGTTCAAGCAATTCTCCTGCCTCAGCGTCCCAAGTAGCTGGGATTACAGGCATGTGCCACCATGCCCAGCTAATTTTGTATTTTTAGTAGAGACGGGGTTTCTCCATGTTGGTCAGGCTGGTCTTGAACTCCCAACCTCAGGTGATCCACCCTCCTCGGCCTCCCAAAGTGCTGGGATTACAGGTGTGAGCCACTGCGCCCAGCCTTGGATAAATTATTTAATAAATCATTGAATCACTCTTTCCTCCCCCATGAAATGTGGATGAGAATGTTTATGTGGTTATTTTCTGGGGATTAAATGCAGTAACAAGAAGGAGCCAAAACACGGTAGGTACTCAATAATTATTTATTTCTTTATCTCCTGCCCTTTCCTTTCCTCCAACCTCTACTCCACTCTTCCTCTCTTCCTTGCATTCCCGCAACTCCTTCTTTCTGAGAAAGCTAACATACTTAGGCCAATTAGCTTTCTTTTTCAGAGAGCTAGCATATGTAGGCCAATAAACCTACTATATGTAGGCCCAATTCATTGATCAATTTTTGGGTACCTACTAAGCACCAGATACCCTTCTAAATATGTGAGCTACACAGTGAAAAAGGTAAGGTCTTGGCAGGGGGGCTTTTGTGTAAACAAATGTAGAATAAGGATTTATTGATATTCTAGTGCTGTGCTATAACTTAACAGGCAAATTTAAATTGTGTAATGTTTTTGTCACAAAATGCTCAAAAAGTCAGACCTGAGCTTACAGGGCTAAACTTCCCCTTCCTTTTTTTTTTTTTTTTTTTTTTTTTGAGACGGAGTCTCGCTCTGTCGCCCAGGCTGGAGTGCAGTGGCGCGATCTCGGCTGACTGCAAGCTCCGCCTCCCGGGTTCACGCCATTCTCCCGCCTCAGTCTGACTGCAAGCTCCGCCTCCCGGGTTCACGCCATTCTCCCGCCTCAGTCTCCTGAGTAGCCGGGACTACAGGCACCCGCTACAACGCCCGGCTAATTTTTTTTGTATTTCCCCTTCCTTCTTTGCTTTCAAAATCCAGGCTTAGGGGTACAAAAACCTATATTGTCTGAGACAGGAAGCACTCCGAAGTTTGAAGAAGAGGGCAGCAGCCCAACTCAGAAGAACTGGACTCCCCAGCACTATAAGGAGAGAGGGTGGTGGTTCCACCAGAGGTGAGGACTTGCTTTCTGCTCTCTACAGCACCCCAAAGAGGGATGCCTAGAGAATCCATACTGAGTACCACAGCCCTGTCCCAGGGGCTTAATGGGACAGAGAGAGAGTGTGTGCCTGGTACAGAGGTAAGTTTATTTTTGATGGACCTGGTATATCACAGGAACTGCCACTATGGCCTTAACCCACCCTGTGGATTGAGCAAGTAGGAGTTTGTGTATGATCTACCGGGAGGAGCAGGGGATAAAGGCCCAGAAAATTAAGTGGCATTTTATGACCTCCCAGTGCTGGTTGGGGCAGGCTGTGGAAAAAACAAGCCATAATTAATTTGATTTAGAAAAATTAAGAAGTTTGTTCTTGTGCACTCAAGGGTTATGGAACAGCTCAAGCCATTCTCAAAAAACCATTGTCCAGTGTTGCTTGACCCAGTTAAAATCACCAGGTGTGTCTAAAAGTTTCTGACTAGTTTCAATCCAATGATATACGGATTTCTTTTCTGTGGTGCACAGGTTACATTATGAACCTGGACTAAAAGGGAATGAGTTGACCCATTATAGAGTATTAACAGAATGTTAATTCTGTGGCACTTACTCAGACATCCTCCTGGAAGAAAAGAACTTTTTGAACGTAGACTTCTCAATCCACATGTCTTAAAAACTTGGGCTAGGTGTGAAGGAGATCAGCTATAATTAAGAAAAAATCTGAATTGTATTGTGATGTACAAGATAGAATATTTGTTATTTAAAATTTGCATCAAAGAAACATAATTCATTTGGTCTAAAGTATTTCCAAGTCAAGATTCATCTAAGTCTGCTTTATTTGTAGAAACTACGCCTTATTGGTTAAGATCCCTAACTTATACTTAAAAAGTAATACCACAAAAACGTAAAATACAGACAATTATCCTAAGTAAATTGATCCTAAGTAAACTGCTGATCTTGAATATTAATTTAACAAAATGAGAAACTTGTACAAATGTAAATCATAACTCAACAAGGTTGAGCTGCTGAAAAAGGGGGAGATGCAAATGAGCAGATCTTCCACAGATGAGAGCAATAGTTACTATTTTCATATGCCAAGGTTTTACCTACAACATAATAGTAAGAGACAATAACTATTGGGCTGGGTGTGGTGGCTCACGCCTGTAATCCCAGCACTTTGGGAGGCCGAGGTGAGCTGATCACCTGAGGTTGGGAGTTCGAGACCAGCCTGACCAACATGGAGAAACCCGTCTCTACTAAAAGTACAAAAAATTAGCTGGCTGTGATGGTGCATGCCTGTAATCCCAGCTACTCGGGAGGCTGAGGCAGGAGAATCACTTGAACCTGGGAGGGGGAGGTTGCGGTGAGCCGAGATCATGCCATTGCACTCCAGCCTGGGCAACAAGAATGAAACTGTCTCAAAAAAAAAAAATTTATGAAATATGTTCCTTATTTTGTTCTGTGTTTCCTATATAAGCATCAAGTCAAAGTAGATTACAAAGCACCTTACAATGCCTACTGACCACATGCCACATGGCTAAATGACTCTACACCTCTATGAAGTTTCCCCAGCCTTTTTTTTTTTTTTTTGAGATGGAGTCTTGCTCTGTTACCCACTGGAGTGCAGTGGCACAATCTCGGCTCACTGCAACCTCCGCCTCCTGGGTTCAAGCAATTCTCCTGCCTCAGCCTTCCGAGTAGGTAGGACTACAGGTGTGCGCCACCATGCCCAGCTAATTTTTGTATTTTTAGTAGAGACGGAGTTTCACTACGTTGGTTGGCCAGGATGGTCTCCATCTCTTGACCTCGTGATCCACCTGCCTCGGCCTCCCAAAGTGCTGGGATTACAGGCGTGAGCCACCGCGCCCGGCCTCCCCAGGTTTTCTATCCTCAATGATCTCTGATTTTTCAGAACCCTTATCTTATATAGAACTAAAAATATATTCATATCGTTATTTATTTATTTATTTATTTTTATTATACTTTAAGTTCTAGGGTACATGTGCACAACGTGCAGGTTTGTTACATATGTATACATGTGCCATGTTGGTGTGCTGCACCCATTAACTCATCATTTACATTAGGTATATCTCCTAATGCTATCCCTCCCCCCTCCCACCACCCCACGACAGGCCCCAGTGTGTGATGTTCCCCATCCTGTGTCCAAGTGTTCTCATTGTTCAATTTCCCACCTATGAGTGAGAACATGCAGTGTTTGGTTTTCTGTCCTTGAGATAGTTTGCTCAGAATGATGGTTTCCAGCTTCATCCTTGTCCCTACAAAGGACATGAACTCATCATTTTTATGGCTGCATAGTATTCCATTGTGTATATGTGCCACATTTTCTTAATCTAGTCTATCATTCACATCATTATTTGTTTTATGAGTATATGACTTGTTTAATTAAATGGACTCTGGACTCTATCCAGAGTCTGTAGGAATTTTTCACTTCACAAAGAAATAAAGAAAATAAGACAGAATATTAAGGTTTTAAAAAAGGTTTAATTAATTCAACCTTTGATTTTTTTCCTGAGTGTATGTCTTTTTTTAATGTTAAAATGACCTTTATAAAATGATAATTTGAGAAATACAGAACAATCTCTCTCTTTCTCCCCATCTCCCAATGAAGAGACTGAATTCAGAGAGGTGAAGTAATGTTGCCAAGGGTAAGCTCAAACTCAAGTGCATCAGTCAGCCATATGCAATAGGGTGGCTTTGATTTCAAGGTGGTAGTCATGGTTCTAGATATCACAAGGAGACATGCCAGTGTTTAACAACATAAGAAGAGATGCTCTCTTTCTGTGTTCACCTTTTGTAAAAGTGAGGAAATCTTTCCCAGAGGACATCCAGTGGACTTCTCCCTCATCTCACTGGTTAAAATGTGTCACATGTTGAGAACCAGCCCAATCACTGTGGCAAAATGAATGGGGCATCCACCTCCCAATTGGCGAGGAGGTACCACTGAGTTGGGTGATAGTTACTTTCTTTGAGGGATAGCTAATGGAACAAAAGTGGGTTCTGCAAGCACAAAAGAATGGAGGATTTGGTTGTCAATAAACAGTCACTGAGGTCAGCTACTCCGGGATAATTCTAGGGGTCTTTGTACTGGACAAAATATTGGTTGAATGAATAAATAGAAGTATATATGTAGGCGAAAGATATTAAGAATATAAATTCAGGCCAGGCGCGGTGGCTCACGCCTGTAATCCCAGCACTTTGGGAGGCTGAGGCGGGCGGATCATGAGGTCAGGAGATCAAGACCATCCTGGCTAACATGGTGAAACCCCGTCTCCACTAAAAATACAAAAAATTAGGCGGGCATGGTGGCAGGCGCCTGTAGTCCCAGCTACTCGGGAGGCTGAGGCAGGAGAATGGCGTGAACCCGGGAGGCGGAGCTTGCAGTGAGCTGAGATCGCACCACTGCACTCCAGCCTGGGCGACAGAGCAAGAGACTCCACCTCAAAAAAAAAAAAAAAAAAAAAAAAGAATGTAAATTCAGGCATTCAAAGAAAGAAAATTAATTCCTTACGTCTTTCTTTAGAACCACTAAATACCTTGATAATTTATGGTAATGTCCACTCAAATGTACTGTATAAAAATTTCTTCCTCATTCATACTTACAGTGCTATAAAGGCAAGCGAACTCTAAAGTCACACTATAAATATGTTTTTATCACGATATTGATTATTTCAACTCTATCTCTAAAGAGTTGTGGAAATTTAATAGAAAAGAAAAATAAAGCTCTAGGAGATGCATAGAAAAGCCAAACAATTGCACAGATTTTTAACCAGCATTTTTCCCCAAAATATGTGAGAGCAGTATAAATACATGAAAAAAATGTTCAGTTTCATCAGTAATCACAGAAATGCAAATTACCCTGAGAAACATTTTCATCCATCAAACTGGCAATTTTTTTTCTTATGTTTAGTATTAAAGTTGATGAGCATGTAAAGAAATAGGCACGCTCATATACTGATGGTGAGAATGCACTTCCTGTGGTCTTTCTGGTTTTCATTTTAACATTGCATGACAAAGGATTGCTTACTTTCTGTCTGCTTTCCTACGCCTCAGGATCATTTAGTACAGGGACTGTATTTGTCCCACTTGAGTATTCCTAGTGCCAAGACCACTGATAATTCAATAAATGTATAATTAAGTTTTACATATTTATTGAATGGTCACTAAATATTAATGAAATTGATAAGCAAATGATTAAAAAAGAAAACATAGTCTTTAACCCAGCATTAAGGTTTCTAGGAATATAAATAAAAAATATGAGTTATATGCCAAAAATTATCTATAAAGATGTTATCCTATGGTAAGTTGTAATATCAACTAGGAAAAAAAATGTCAGTGGAGGAAATAATGTTTAGGAATAAAGGATTAGCTTTCTAAATGTTAGCATATTTGGGCCAGGCGCAGCGGCTCACACCTGCAATCCCAGCACTTCAGGAGGCCGAGGGGGGCAGATTCCATGAGCTCAGGAGTTTGAGACCAGCCTGGCCAACATGGCAAAACCACATCTCTACTAAAAATACAAAAATTAGCTGGATGTGGTGGCTCACGCCTGTAGTCCTAGCTAGTCAGGAGTCTGAGTGGGAGGATCACTTAGGGAGGTCGAGGCTACAGTGAGCTGTGATCGGGCCACTGCTCTTAAGCCTGGATGACAGAGTGAGACCCTGTCTCAAAAAAAATTTCAAAATTATCCCTTTTGCTAAATACATGGATATGTGTAAATGTTTGGAAAAAATGCTGAAAGAATATATAACAAAATATGAACAATCATTATTTCACTATAATGAGAAGGTAGCTGATTTTTAAGATGTTTTTCTATTCTTAACGTGTTGTTTTGGGGATAAGAAAGAGAATAAATTTTCTTTTAAGTGAGTGATTTGGAAAAAAATTCTTTTCATTTGATTACTCCTAATCAAATGTCATTATTTATTTTGGTAAATAATGATGGCTTGAGCAAGATATACACTTTATCAAACAAAGTAAGCACAGAGAACCAATTAGTCATATTTTTTATGAGAGACCATGGGATGTTTTTCCTCTGTGACTTCTGCAGAAAAGATATACGTTTTGAAATAATATTTTAAAGATTATTAAAAAGAGTCACATTTCTGTGTAAATTGTGGAACCACATCTCTTAGAGCTGACCTTCAAAATATAATCTATTGTATCTAAAGTTAATCTTTAACCTTGTATAGCCCATAAGCAAGAAGAGGAACTTAATGTGTTTCAAAGCTGCTTGCCTGCTTCTCTCTCCTTGCCAGTGCTATTTAAAGATCAGTGTAAGTGCACTTATCAATAGGATTTATGAGTCATATCAATAATTACAAACTACAGCAATAATTTTCCCAAAGAGATGCAGCATTCTTTTTTTTTTTTTTGAGATAGAGTCTCCCTCTGTCACCTAGGCTAGAGTGTGGTGGCACGATCTCGGCTCACTGCAACCTCTGCCTCCTGGGTTCAAGCGATTCTCCTGCCTTGGCCTCCCCAAGTAGCTGGGACTACAGGCTTGCACTACCACGCCCAGCTAATTTTTAAAAAATATTTTTAGCAGAGACAAGCTTTCACCATGTTGGCCAGGCTGTTCTCAAACTCTTGACCTCAGTTGATCCGCCCGCCTCAGCCTCCCAAAGTGCTGGGATTACAGGCATGAGCCACTGCACCTGTCCACAGCATTCTTTTAAAACTCTAAGAAAAATGGCATTTGTCATGTGACAATGAAATCAGGAGTCGTTTAGAAGCAGTGGGGTCTTTTCTTGTTTTCTTTGGTCAATCCATATCACTGCAGGTAAGAAATAAATCAAGTGATTTAGTAAGCATAAAATGTGACATTGTTAACATGCTTACTATGTTAACATTTGATGCACATGATCCAACTTCTCTAACATGTTTTATAAGGCCATGTGCTCTCCGTGGTAGATATTTAAATTTTTCTACTCATATCAAGCCTATGCTTCCACCACCTACCCTTTAACACATGACTTCAACACTTCAGCATCATTCGGGAAACAGAAGGCAGCAGGCAGAAAATGACTCTACTTTGCACCACCGACCCTGCAAACTTACCAACCTCAGCACTCACCAATCCACTCTTCTTTCTAGGGTTAATTTCTCTACTTGTGCTCTGGATCTCATCTTCCCCTGCCTTCTTGGGGACTTTACTCCATTAATGAGTCCCCTCTCCTTTATCTTCAGGTTCTTACTTCAACCACAGGCGTTTCAATACCCTCTCGAGAAGCATATAAATAGCATTAATAAAATGGCAACTCCCATTCACTAAGCATTTAGTTCGTACCAAACATGGTAGGTACTGAAGCCTCTTAAATATATTATTTTTCTCAACCTCTTTTTACGGTTGATGTTGTTTTCTACATTATGCACATGAGGGAAATGAAACTCCAAAAGGATAAGCACCAACCAAGATTATGCAACATGCGTGTGGCAAAGCAGGGATTCAAACCAAACTCTGTCTGAGCATAAGATTCTATCTTGGCTGGGCGCAGTGGCTCACACCTGTAGTCCCAGCACTTTGGGAAGCCAAAGCGGGTGGATCACCTGAGGTCAGGAGTTCAAGACCAGCCTGGCCAACATGGTGAATCCCGTCTCTACTAAAAATACAAAAATTAGCTGGGCGTGGTGGCAGGCGCCTGTAATCCCAGCTACTCGGGAGGCTGAGGCAGGAGAATCACTTGAACCCAGGAGGCGGAGGTTGCAGTGAGCTGAGATCGCGCCATTGCACTCCAGCCTGGGTGACAAGAGCGAAAGTCAGCCTCAAAACAAGAAAAAAAGATTCTGTCTTAATCATTGTGTTATTCTGCCCTTGTTTGTCTCCAAAAAGCTCCCTCTTTAACCCAATCATTATCTCTCTGCCTCATCATAGACAAACTTCCTGAAAGACTTGTATACACTTGCTATCTCCACTGTACTTTGCACATCTCAACGCATGGAAGCTTGGCATACACCCAGTGACATCACTGAAACTGCTCTTGGCAACATCACCAATTACCTTCTTGTTTCTAACGTCAAAGAATCTGAGTCCCTTTAATAACTTGACTTAGAGCAGCCACTGACTCTGTTGACAGCCCTCTCCTTGAAACATTGACTTCCATGGACTTTCATGAAATACCACTTTGCTAGTTTTTCTCCTATTTTATAAATCTCTGGGGTTGAAGTTTGCTTCTTTTTCACTGTCTACCCCTTATGTGTTGAGATAGATCAGACCTGCCTTAGATCTCCTCTTCTGATTACAAGTACTGTCCTGGGATTTCATCCACTCATACAACTTTACTTCCATTTGCTGATCAAGCCCACAATTCTACCTGGAGCCCAGGTCTCTATCCTGACTTTCAGACATGAGAATCTTCTGCCTAATTGACATCTGATTTTACGTTTCTCACAGGCATGGGGGCAGAGCAGTGAAATGTTGAGAGCATCTTATTTAGACTCAGATTGCTGGGCTCAATTCTTGGCATGAGCAGCTAGAACTATGCATCTCTGGGCTCTGGGCATTCATCTCTTTGAACCTTCCTTTCCTCAACTGTAAGATGGGGAAAATAATCATTATTATTTGATAGGGGCATTCTAAGCATTAAATGAAAGAATACTTGGAAAGTACTTGGCAGAATGTCTTGCACATAGAAAGTTCTCTGTTAAATGCAGCCTATTATTAATATTGTAACTCTGCAACTTTATGGAACGGAGAGTTAACGTATGTAATGGAACACACTATGTACACAAGATTACTCTTTGTCTTCCTCTTGCACTTCTTTATCTCTTATTTTCATTGCTTTTGGAAAAAATGTATACATTTACACACACACACACACACACACACACACACAGACACCTGAGAGAAACAAAAGAGTTTATAATGGGATCAAGAGTAATCCTTTCCATCCAACTTTACAGTCTTTCTTTTTCACTGATGACAATGGAATCAGGTGCCTCCCCCATGTCTTCAAGATTATCCAGCCTTTCTATCATTTCCCTTTTTTGTAGTGGCCACCTTCCAGAACCTTTACTGTCCTGCTCCAAGGATAAGCTCTGCCCAGCAGGTGGGAGTGGGGAGAAGAATCCACTTTGACATTTTGGGAGATGTCCATGACCTTTCAGAACTCTTCTTGAAAAGCTTTTAAATTCTAGAATTTATGTTTTCTAATCATTATTTTCTTTGACTGTGTATTCATATTTTAAGAAGGCACCTTCTCGATCTCACCAAAGCAGTATTTATAAATTTTTTAGAAGTTCTCTTTTGTTCCCTAATTACTTATCTTTCTTCAAGGCAGTTATTCTTCTTGCTTATCTCCCCATGATCGAGAATACTTCCCACTCTCAGAGCTGTTTGTTTTCTTTTTTCTTCCCTTTTTTTTTTTTTTTTGAGACCGAGTCTTGCTCTGTTGCCCAGGCTGGAGTGCAGTGGCGCGATCTCGGCTCACTGCAAGCTCCGCCTCCCAGGTTCACGCCATTCTCCTGCCTCAGCCTCCCAAATAGCTGGGACTACAGGCACCCGCCACCACACCTGGCTAATTTTTTGTATTTTTAGTAGAGACATGGTTTCACCGTGTTAGCCAGGAGGGTCTTGATCTCCTGACCTTGTGATCCGCCTGCCTTGGCCTCTCAAAGTGCTGGGATGACAGGCGTAAGCCACCATGCCCGGCCTTTTTTTTTTTTTTTTTTTTTTGAGACAGAATTTCGCTCTTGTTGCCCAGGCTGGAGTGCAATGGCGTGATCTCAGCTCACTGCAGCCTCCATCTCCCGGGTTCAAGCGATTCTCCTGCCTCAGCCTCCCGAGTAGTTGGGAATACAGGCATGCACCACCACGCCCAGCTAATTTTGTATTTTTAGTAGAGACAGGATTTCTCCATGTTGGTCAGGCTGGTCTCGAACTCTCGACCTCAAGTGATCCACCTGCCTTGGCTTTCCAAAGTGCTGGGATTATAGGTGTGAGCCACTGCACCCAACCCAGAGCTGTTTTACTTGCTTTTCCCTGTGCTGTTGTGAAATAGAACTTGTGCAGTTTCTAAATAAATATAATGAAACAAAGAATTCATTTAATTAAATTTAATTTAGTTAAAATTGCATCAAGCAATTGTTTTGCGTGAAAAACTCTGATTAAGTAGAAGAGGTCCAAAGACAGTGAGAAGCCAGTGAGGATACATTTAAAAATTGAAGGCTGTGCTGCCATTAGGTGAGTGGAACACTTGAGAGTATTGTACCATAGTTTTGCAGAGAGGAAAACAAGGACCAAGATCTACTAGGACATACCAAAAAGGCCAACCTCTAGCAACAGGAAAAAAGAAGAGAAAACATGGAAAAGAAAAGAACTTTTCCAGGCTATATAGTGGAAACCACCTATGCCCTTTACCTCTTTATTTGTATCAGCCATGGCACCTTCCTTGTAGCTACAAGAGCTATTAACAGCAGTATCAAAGAAAGCAAAGTGTTAAATATCAGAGAAGTTTCTGTTGCACCACATTTTATAACATAGAAGACACTTTATAAATTGCAAACGCCTCAGTATTTTATGTGTCACCAAGAAAGCAAAAAATGCTGCTACTCAAACTATAATATGCCATTGATCATAATTTACACTCAGATTTCAGTGATGTTAAAATGTGAGACATATGTCTTTAGAACCAATGAGAACCAGTGGAATTTAGTATCTGCTCTGTTTGTCTTGATTGTGGAGAAATCACCAATAATATGTAGAAAAAAGGGCTTTAATTTTTAAAAGAGTGTTGAGAAGTCTTGGTGGAAAGCACCTAGATGTTGGCACCTGTCAAACAGGCTGCCTTCCTAGTTACATTAGTTACAAGGTGTATGACATCCACTAAATAAGCTCCTTGAAGGAGTTTTCTTTTTTTTTAATTTCTAAAATGAAGACAGTGTTGCTTAGTATGTTGTTATATGATGGAGGTGGCTAATGGGTTATGGGAATAATCAGCCTGGCTAATTTTTGTATTTTTAGTAGAGATGGGGTTTCACCATGGTGGTCAGGCTGGTCTCGAACTCCTGACCTTGTGATCCACCCGCCTCGGCCTCCCAAAGTGCTGAGATTACAGGCTTGAGCCATCGCGCCTGGCCCTGGTGATCAGTCTTATTTGGAAACCACTGGTGAGCAGGGTTTTAACCTCCAAAATCATAAAACAGTGATTACCTTCTTTAAAACAAATGAATACTATTTTTAGGGCTGCCGATATTTTATGTTTGAATCCTGGATGATTTGGGAGAGAGGACTCAAAGGATTCTTTATTAATGGCATTGATCTAGATAAAGACTACATTTACCAGTCTCCTTTGCAGTGAGGTGTGGCCATGTGCCTAAGTTCTGACCAAATGGATGAGAGTGGAAATGAAGTGTGCAAACTGCAGTCTTGCCTTTGAAGCACTGGTTTCTGGTGGCTTCTGTTCCGTGGGCTTCTTTGGCAGCCTGGAGAGGCCAGAGAAGGATCCTTCCTTCCTTCATTCCTTCCTTTCTTCCTTCCTTCCTTCCTTTACTCCCTCCCTCCCTCCCTCCCTTCCTTCCTCTCTCTCTCTCTCTTTCTTTTTCTTTGACAGGATCTCGCTCTGTCACTCAGGTTGGAGTGCAGTGGCACGATCACGACACACTGCAACCTTGACCTCCCCAGGCTCAAGTGATCCTCCCGCCTCAGACTCCCAAAGTGCTGGGATTACAGGCATGAGCCACTGTGCTTGGCTGATTCTTTCTTAAAAATAACATTTTATAGGCATAAAATAAAATCATGTACTTAGAATTAAAAATGACGCCAACTATATGATATATTGTTATCAAAATATTAAAACAATAAATTAATGATATAGTGGTATCAATATTTACCAGCCCATTCAACAACAAGATTTAGCAGCAGGTCAATGGCAGAATTGTGGGGCACTTTGGTTTCTCTAGCTTCTAAAATTGAATGAGTCTTTTCCCCATGTTTTCTAGACCCTGGAAAGTTCTAACTTTGTCCCCATCCACCCCAATGTCCTGATCCTCCCAGTTATTTATAAGGAAAATATATTATATAATATTACATAGTAGATATGGCTTTTCTATGATTTTGGAAGGTAAACGACAGGTTCAGGAAATTTGTTTGTTTGTTTGTTTGTTTGAGACAGAGTCTCGCTCTGTTGCCCAGGCTGGAGTGCAGTGCCATGATCTCGGCTCACTGCAACCTCTGCCTCCTGGGTTCAAGTGATTCTCCTGCCTCGGCCTCCTGAGTAGCTAGGACTAGAGGCATGTGCCACTACACCCGGCTAATTTTTTGTATTTTTAGTACAGACGGGGTTTCACCATGTTGGCCAGGCTGGTCTCGAACTCCTGACCTCAGGCAATCCAAAGTGATGGGATTACGGACGTGAGCCACTGCACCTGGCCAGGAATGTTTTTAAATAAAGGCAGACCCCTTGGAGTATTCTGATCTGGCTAAACACGATATTTTCTTTATTATAGTTCCAAGTACTTAGTTTGTTCGTTTATCTGTCCATGTATTCATCCACCCATCCAACAGACATTTTTTGAGCATCTGCTATACACCAGAGACTGTGCCGGTTTAGCTAATAAAGGTTAACAACTCACAGACTTGCCAGATGTTGAGTAGCAGCCATGAACTGTAGTGATAGACACGTGGCATCTCAGCTTTAAATCTGATTCACATGTGCTTGCCAACTGGAACAAGATAGGAATTATAGGAACTAGGATGACAACAAGAACTGTAAAGGGAGACTGAGAACCTGGTTAGTCTTTTTTTTTTTTTTTTTTGAGACAGGGTCTCATTCTGTCACCTAGGCTGGAGTGCAGCGGCGCGATCTCGGCTCACTGCAACCTCTGCCTCCCGGGGTCAAGTGATTCTCCTACCTCAGCCTCCCAAGTAGCTGGGACTACAGGCACCTGCCACCAGGCCCAGCTAATTTTTGTAATTTTAGTAGAGACGGGGTTTCATCATGTTGGCCAGGCTGGTCTTGAGCGCCTGACCTCAGGTGATCCACCTGACTCAGTCTCCGAAAGTGTTGGGATTACATGCGTGAGCCACCACACCCGGCAGAACCTGGTTAGTTTTTTCTCCCTATTCAGATTTGTCCTTTGACTGCCTGACCTTTTCTGAGAGTATCTGGTGCCATCCTTGAGCAAATTACTAGCCGCGATAGATCAGCTCAGAGAGAGAAGACACAGCCATTCCTAGGTTACTTCCCAGATTAAAATATTCTCCATGACCCTCTTGCTCCAAACTTACCATCTATCTGGCTCAAAATTATTGGGAAGCCTGTTGCATCCTAGATTTGTAATTACTTATGTCAGAGTTGGCATGATCTTGTTCACACAGCATGACACTTGCTATATGTAATGGACTACTAAACGGAGTAGAGTAGAAATTATATTCTGTTTTTAAAAATAAGTATTTGAACTAGGTTGAATCAAAACCAGTTTTAAAAAAATTAAATGGGTTGATGGGAAAATAGATCTCTTCTGACATGAAGAAACAAATAAACAAACCAAAACAGAACCAAAAGGATCTGAAAGAAAATCCTTCCTGGGCTGGGCGCGGTGGCTCACACCTGTAATCCCAGCACTTTGGAAGGCGGAGGTGGGCGGATCATGAGGTCAAGCGATTGAGACAATCCTGGCCAACATGGTGAAACCCTGTCTCTACTAAAAAGACAAAAATTAGTTAGGTGTGGTGGTGTGCGTCTGTAGTCCCAGCTACTCAGGAGGCTGAGGCAGGAGAATCGCTTGAACCCAGGAGGTGGAGGTTGCAGTGAGCCAAGATCACTCCACTGCACTCCAGCCTGGGCGACAGAGAGAGACTCTGTCTCAAAAAAAAAAAAAAAAGAAAGAAAATCAGAAAATCTTTTCTGGGAGAATCAACAGTATGTCTGTGGGTTTAGTTGGTCTTTCCTTTCAAGCTAGTTCTTGGATATTCTCTGATGTTATCTGTCTTGTCGTGAGGATCAAATGAAATAATGCATGAGACTGGGCACTGGCTCTACTCTTCTATGCAAAAATAAGGTGTTGTCACTATGAACTGATGACCTAGGAAGTTGTTTCCTCCAAAAGAGATTAGATTGTTTTCCACATTCAGTTTTTATGTATCTGTTTATCTTTTACTTTTGGCCAGTTTGTTCTTTTTCTTATCTGTTGGAGGCTGTAAACCATTTATTAGAGAGGACTTTGAAGTCTACCTTAATCACCTATTTTGCTTAGTGGTTTCATTTGAACCAGACTTCCAGGTTTTCCTGTTTACTGGATTTTGTTGTTAGTTATCCACGTCCTCACAGAGAAAGGGCTTATGATAAATGGCAAATTATTTCATATCAGGATGAGATTAATACAAGTGGCAAAAAAGTAAACATTAAATTAGGGTTGTGTTGCTGCTTCCAGACCTATTACTATCATATTTATAAAGCTACCTCCATATCTTAGTGAAAGTGGCAAGTGTGTTTATTCGTTATTCTGTGTTCTCTTCTATACTCACCTCATATTTCAAGTAAGTGATTCAAATAATGGAGTGATAGAGTGTGGTGGGGTGGGAGTGTGTTGGGCAGCTTTCTTATCATTCTTCTGAAAAATTTTCTTTACATTGGCAATATCTTTGCTAGTTATAATAGTAATAATGATAATGATTTTAAAATAACTACTATCATTTTTGAGCACTTGCCACATGCTAGGCATTTTATAGCCATTACCTTTGCAATAATAATGGAAGATAGATACTATTATTCACTTCCCAATGTTGATATATATATGTAACATATATATAATATCATGTAATAAACATATAATGTCTGTGTAACTAGAGTGAATTATTTGTATTAAGATTTTGACAGCTCCTTCAGGGAGTTCTTTGCCAGTCTTCAAGCCAGCACGAAACCATCACAGTAGTCCTGTGAGACAGGCTGGCAGCCAGCATCTTTATATAAGCAGGGCTTGAGCCTGATTCACTTTTCTGACTAGCACCTAGCTTATTTTTAGAATGCAATACGTGGTAATAAAAATAAAATAGTGAATAGCAATACAATCAAAAATATACAAATACACTTCTCAGATTGGGTGGAGTCTCACTGGAGTTTTTTTTTTAGGGTGTCTGAAGTTATGTCCTTGCCTGGCAATGAGAGATGGAATAAAATTACTCCAATTTTTTCTTTCTTTTCTTTTTTTTTTTGACAGAGTTTCGCTGTTTTGCCCAGGCTGAAGTGAAGTGGCCTGATCTGGGCTCACTGCAACCTCTGCCCCCTGGGTTCAAGTGATTCTCCTGCCTCAGCCTCCTGAATAGCTGAGATTACAGGCATGCGCCACCACATCCCGCTAATTTTTGTATTTTTAGTACAGATGGGGTTTTGCCATGTTGACTAGGCTGGTCTTGAAATCCTGACCTCAGGTTATCCACCTGCCTTGGCCTCCCAAAGTGCTAGGATTACAGGCGTGAGCCACTGTGCCCAGTCTCTTTCTTTTGATTAAAAAAAATATTCAAACTTTCAACAGAATAGACCAGCAGCCTCTCTCCATGAGTAAACCAGAGAATGAGCCAGGCACGGCTGCGTTCTCCACGGGCTGTGCTTCACTCCTCTTGGCATGTTGGCCATGGCATCCTGAGTTTGCTCGCCTCACTCCACCTCCAGACCCGTGGACATCCTCCAACTGTTTCTACAGTCCAAGTTAGGACTCAATGGGTGTTGAATCACACATAGGATAAGGCTGGGGAGTCATTCAAGAAAAATTACTTGTTGGGACCCACACAGGGTTCATAGTATCTATTGCAGAGTACTTTCACATCCCATATTCTGGCCTTCAATCTTATAGTTCCACAGATGCAGTATTGCCAGGGTCCCAGGATTTCCCAGGTAAAGGGAGACCGATGATGTTCACTTTGCTCACAACAGATTCCATGGAAAGCCCAAACTGCTAGGGTATTTAGCTGACCACGAGAAATGTAACTGCCCCAATGACTCTCTATTAGTGCCATCTATATGAGAAGCTAAACATTAACCAGAGGGTTGCTTGGTAAGCATGAAGGAAGGGCAGGGGAGTTAACAGAATGAGTTGTGTATTTAAAGTCCCAGGTTAGGTCAGACCCGGGCCAGGACACTCAATCTTGCCAACAAGATGAGATAAGACCAACCTTTGAGCCAGAGAATTTCATCCCCTGGAAGTTTCCCATCCTGGAGATGACTTGTGCTTGCCAGACGTTGTTGGATGGGCATTGGAAATATTTCCCCTGGCCTCTGTCACCTGCCCCCAGCACAATGCACTGAGCAGTCACTGAGAGAAAGTTAGACAATAAACACTCATAGCCTGGAGACACAGAATCCCTTATTCTAACCCTGCATTCACATTAGGAGGTCATCACCTTTCTGAAATAAGATGCCATGTGGTTTTCCTTTATTCATCATGAAGGAATACAGGTGAAAGTAAGCCAAAAATAAAAACTAAAAAGTGGGCCTCTGTTCCAAATATCTTTCAATATCATTTAGTGGCTTATTTATGTAGTTAAGAGCTGTTTTACAAAACAGATACTACCAGGAGGTGTAAGCCCACCTAATACTCATAACTTAGTGCATGTAAATGAAGAAGTTTTTGGTGAGATCTAATGCTTGGCTTACAAAAAAGTGACCATTAAGAACATTACATAAGAAGCAGCTGAGTCCTACTGAGTCTCAACATCTTGCTGAAGTCCACACCACTGGTTAGTGGAAGAGGCAAAGTCTATTCTTGTTCTCCTTAACACTTTTATAATGTATTAGTGGCCAAACTCCACTTCCACATGTATGTCTGAGGTTGAAAACCACTGGTGTATTGAAATAGACATATGTGAGCAGATGCTTAGTGTGTTGTTATATGATTGAGGTGGCTAAAGAGTTACAGGAATAACAAGGCAGGCAACCAATCCAGTCTAAGGCTTGGAAAGGGTCCATGAAGACTTTAGAGTGAAATTGATTCTTGTGTGAGCTGAGTTGTGAAGGGTAAGTTTAGAGTTTAATTAGGTAAAGGATATGGGGAAAATAATCCAGGCAGATAAGAGTCCCTGGACAAACACTCAGGGGTTTCCAATTTTTTCATCTGCTATCTTCACCTCCTATCCTTATTCACAATTTTGCCTTAACCCATAACCTCCTTCCATTGGATGTACACCCTGGGATGTATACCCATGGAAGAGGATGCACTAGCAGCTGCCATGTGTCAGGCATTTGAGAAATAAGGGAGCAATAGTCATCACAAGGACAGTGCAATTGGTTGGCTGTGGTTAAGTTCCACTGATGCCCTAGGAAAAGGTAGCAAAGAGCTGAGATTGATTAATCAGCCATTAAATAAATTCTAAGTGGGAAGGCCAGAGGGCCTCCCTGGAAACACACCAAGAGACTCTCATCTCTTAATTTGGAAGGGGAAAGGGGTTCAAATAGGAAGATCCAGGCCAGAATTTAATTGTAAGAGTAGCTGAAGTAGGTCTGCTATGCCAAAAGCATTGGGAAAAATGGGCACGGACACAGGGAAGGGCACATCTGTGTTGACGCCCCTCCCTGCCAAGAATCTTGAGTCTCCAGATT
The DNA here is from genome assembly GCF_000001405.40 of Homo sapiens. Classification (NCBI taxonomy): domain Eukaryota; kingdom Metazoa; phylum Chordata; class Mammalia; order Primates; family Hominidae; genus Homo; species Homo sapiens. The sequence goes on from NC_000009.12 coordinate 72,131,363, forward strand.
GCCCTTGCATTAGACCATTCTTTTGTAGCTATAGAGAAATACCAAAGGCAGCGAACTGAATGAGCAAGAACTTATCACCAAGGGAATGGTGCTGAGCCATTTATGAGCATCCACCCCCACGATCCAGTCACCTCCCACCAGGCCCCATCTCCAACACTGGGAATTACATTTCAACATGAGATTTGGAAGGGACAATTACCCAAATTATATCAGCCCTGAACCCTCTGAGCCTGCACAAATGGCCCACTTCTCTTTATGGAGGGCTAGAAACACACCACGTGCACAGACACACACACACACAAACACACACACATCAATTCCAAGGCCTCTCTACAAGACATCATGTACTCTCTTCAGGGTGTCACCCATCTTCCCTCCTCACTGCTAGGTCAATAACTAGGGTTAAGTCATAAAGTAACTGTGTCAAGAAAATGCTCGACTGCTATGGGAGGAAAAGAACTATACCCCTTTATATTAGTCTGTTTTCATGCTGCTGATAAAGACATACCCAAGCCTGGAAAGAAAAAGATGTTTAATGGAATTACGTTTCCACATGGCTGAGAAGGCTTCACAATCATGACGGAAGGCAAGAAGGAGCAAGTCATATCTTACATGGATGGTGGCAGGCAAAGAGACAGAGTTTCTGCACGGGAACTGCTCCTTTTAAAACCATCAGATCTTATGAGACTCATTCACTATCATGAGAACAGTGCAGGAAATACCTGCCCCTATAATTTAATCACCTCCCACTGGGTTCCTCCTGTGACACATGGGAATTGTGCAAGTTACAATTCAAAATGAGATTTGGGTGGGAACAAAGCCAAACCATGTCTCACCCTTCTAGGTCCAATTTCAGGATTAACTAACTGGGAGAATATGCCTGAGAGTGGATTCTGAGGGTGCCCAACCACGGTGGGGTGCCCAACCATGGTGAGTACAAGAAAGTTTGAATACAAAAGAATTTACCAATATGAGAACACTCTCCCATGTCACAGGATATAATAATACCCTGGCAGGGACCTGAGGGAGGGTGAGTGCACACTGTAGGATGGCTCCTAGGACCATGGAAAAAACAATGCCTCATACCAGTGACAAAATTGCTGTGACAGACAGTAGTACACAGTGAAGAGAGGGAAGACTTGTTTGGCATGTCTTCTGTCCTGCCCAATTTGATGGTAAATGACAAGTGCAGATATCTTAGCCTATTTTTTAAATCATGTCATCACTCTGAAGATTTCCAAATCAGTCAAGAGGATGCTGTTGGTGTCAAGACCTGTACCCCCAAAAATGCCCCATAAAGCACTGCTATGGTTGTCCAGAAACACTGAGAGACTCCCAGACTATTGAGGTTTTACTGGACCCTAAGTAGTTATAGTTTCTGGAGTTCCCTCACCTCCCACTACTCCAACACTAATCAGAACAATATCCCTGTACCCGACTAAGTTGTAAGATTTGTGACTCTGGCTTATGAGACCCCCTTATGCTGGGCAGTTTGGATATTTGCACTTGACTATGAGATGGGTTCCATTACCGCCAAGGACAAAGTGAAACCAGGGAAGAAAAAGAGGCAGTTGGGTATCCCCTGTGTAATAATCAATTTCAGGTGAACTATTATTCTTCTCTGGTAACAAGAAATAATTTTAGTTGGCCAGGTGCAGTGGCTCACACCTATAATTCCAGCACTTTGGGAGGCCGAGGTGGGTGGATCACGAGGTCAGGAGATCAAGACCATCCCGGCCAACATCGTGAAACTCTGTCTCTACTAAAATACAAAAAAATTAGCCAGCCATGGTAGTGCATGCCTGTAGTCCCAGCTACTTGGGAGGCTGAGGCAGGGGAATCGCTTGAATCCAGGAGGCGGAGGTTGTAGTGAACCGAGATAGCGCCACTGCACTCCAGCCAGGTGACAAAGCAAGACTCTGTCTAAAAAAAAAAAAAAAAAAAAAAATAATAATAATAATAATAATAATTTTAGCTTAGGAAGCAGTCTCTGAGCTTTATTTTTCAGTACTTAATCTATATTATCTATTGATTTGCAGGTTCTAGCAGGTCAGCTATTTTATTACATGAATTCTTTTCCATTTTAAAAATCAGCAATGTGAATGGTTTTGACACTACTTGGACTTCCTTGATCTATGTGAACTTTGTTCTTTGGGAATGTCGAGCTGGCAAGGCTCGATTTTAGATCAGCAGAGTGACCTTAGCCCACATAGCAATTATTCCCTGATCATTTGTTGCAAAATGCCACAGCCTTCCATCATTCTGATTTCTCCTGGGCAGAGTAGATGTTCACTCTGGTTACAATGTAAGGAGAATTGGGAAAGCCCTCTTATTTCTTCTCACATAAACTGGCTTCTTAGAAATATTCTCCCAAACAATGCTAGAAATTCCACTGTCATAGAATACTGCTGTGACCCTATGAATGGGGTCCTCTGTATGATGCAGTGCTGCTTTAGTGCAAGGTTCAAGATGTGAGCTGGGAGAACCCACTGTGCGGACTGAAACCTATCCCCAGTCCTATTATATTGGAATTTGAGCTATCACAGGAGTGTGCTATCATCAGGTTCCAAGGTTTAGCAATCTGATCATCTGGGTTACACATTGAACTCTCCCTGTGTTTCTCATGTAGTGTGTAAGAACCTATCAGATTCTCTACTTCTTGTGTAAAGAGTGAAAATCATTGGTGGGACAAACATCGGGAGGATCATGAATAAGTGAATTAGTGGAGGGAGTAGGGAAAGGGAAGGGGCTTGGCAAATAGGGATGAACGCCAGTTTTGGGCTGAAGTAGTTTCATCAAATAAAAGACCAAATAGTGCCATGAAATGGGCCTTGAACTACTTGTCAAAGGCCCAAGAACCTTAGAGAGCTAGTGTCATCTTAAACATGACATTTAATGTTTATCACAATTCCTTCATCTGTAAAATGCAAGGTACTATGCCTGCTCTAACTAGCTCCCTGACTGAGGGTGAAACCTAAATTTGTATTTCTGAAAACTCTCCATAAAACCTACTGTGCTCCAGGAAGGCCTCCCCCGCCAACTTTTTTTTTTTTTCTTAGACAGAGTTTTGCACTTGTCACCCAGGCTGGAGTGCAGTGGTGTGATCTCGGCTCACTGCAACCTCTGCCTCCTGGGTTCAAGAGATTCTCCTGCCCCAGCCACATGAGTAGCTGGGATTACAGGCGCCCACCACCATGCCCAGCTATTTTTTTTTATTTTTAGTAGAGATTGGGGTTTCACCATGTTGGTCAGGCTGGCCTGGAACTCCTGACCTCAGGTGATCCACCTGCCTCAGCCTCCCAAAGTGCTGGGATTACAGGCGTGAGCCACTGCACCTGGCCGGCACTTGTTTTTTATGGTGTTGTAAGCCTGCACAGATTCTGCCTCAAAATTTATTGGGAAAGAAGTTGGGTAAAAAAGAGTACATAGAATTGAATTAATACTTGTGAGCCATATGAAGAAGTAGAAGAGCTTCCACTTGACAATTTTGCCTGGTGGCAGTCCTGGAACTGTTAGTACAGAGCTGACTCCAGTCAACCAAGCTCCTTTGGGCAAATCATGGTACTGGGAAAAGAAGTGGTTGGACATATTGGTCAATGATATGCAATTAACTCTTCAGTTTCTTCTTGGTTACTTCCCTGTTGTGCAATATTCCTGTGGAACCACAAGGTTCTATAGATCAGGGAAGACAATGTTAGCCAAATATAGCCTACTCCACTCATTTTTTTCTCTACATCAATATCCACAGTTAGCTATTTATTGGCGAGATCAATTCATTTTTACATTCTTACAAATAAGTACTTTTTTTTTTAACCAAAGATGAATTAAAGTATGATTCTGAACATCATGGCCTACGTACGTGTGTGTGTGTGTGTGTGTGTGCGTTTTCAATTTCAGTCAACGAAAGTAATCACATGATCAAATAATAAAAAATAGCAATAATATTTTGAGCACATTTTATATTCTAGCTACTATGCCAAGAATTATATGTGTACTATTTTACTTAATTCTAACAGTGAAATAAAGTAGCCATTTGTATTCTCATGCTGAGAAAGTGGGATTTAAGATGATGCCACATGACAAGATCACATAGTCATAAGTAGCAGATCCAGGACCCAAATTCAGCTTTGTCTGATTCCAAATCCCAGGCTCTTATTCGCTTTCCTCTCCTATCTTCACCTAACGGCATCTATTACGAGGAAGGTGTGCTGCTTACTGGAGATAGAAGTATGAACAAAGTAGTATTTCTGTCCTCGATCAAGCTCTTGTGACTTTAAGAATAGTTGGCCTGGCGCGGTGACTCACGCCTGTAATCCAGCACTTTGGGAGGCCGAGGTGGGCAGATCAGGAGGTCAGGAGATCAAGATCATCCTGGGTAGCTGGGATTATAGGCACCCCCCACTATGCCTAGCTAATTTTCGTGTCTTCAGTGGAGACGGGGTTTTACCATGTTGGCCGGGCTGCTCTTGAACTCCTGACGTCAGGTGATTGACCCTCCTTGGCCTCCCAAAGTGCTGGGATTACAGGCATGAGCCACCACGCGGGGCCTGCTTGATTCTATGACCATAGTTTGACATTTATTTCTCTAACTTCGGGTATTACAAATGGCACCTACATTGATTTAGTTCTATCTGTAAATCTGTATTGCAATTAACTTTTTTCTTTAAATCCCATTTTTCAGACTTAAACTCAATTATTTAAGTAGAAAACTTTACATAAAGCCATAAATAAGAAACTAGCTATACCAAATCTATAAAAGGCCAGCAACTCTTACTATAAATAGAAGAAAACCATGAACATAAATGTATTATGAACAAAATAATGTTATTGAATTCTAGCTAGATACTGTGGCCTATAGAAAGTTCTAACTCTGAGGTCTCTTGTCTCTTTTAAAAAGATAAATTAACAAGGCTACAGAAATGTTAAATATTTTTTATACCAAACTGAGCCTGTGTCCTAGATTTAAGAAGGATTAAAAATTCAAATGCAAACAATGTTCTCATTATGTGATTATGTGAAATTCAATATTGCTTAATGCAGTGCCTGGGAGATCAGTCCTGAAGTACCTGTCATCTCACACTTTATCAGTTGTTCATATAGAATATTTTCTAGTATACACTGTACTATTCTTCTAAATTGCCTTAAAAAATAGTAGAATGATGAATCTGATGGGGAAAAAGAGTCTTAGGGCAATCACCACCATTTTCAAATCCTGGAAGATTGACATGTGAGAGAATACTGGTTTATTCTTGTTTGCCCCAGAAAGTGCTACCTAGCACAAACAGTGACATTTTCAAATGCAACTTTTGGCTCATTAAAATATACATATGAGGCTGGGCACGGTGGCTTATGCCTGTAATCCCAGGACTTTGGTAGGCCGAGGTGGGCGGATCACGAGGTCAGGAGATTGACACCATCCTGGCTAACACAGTGAAACCCCATCTCTAGTAAAAATACAAAAAATTAGCCGGGCATGGTGGCAGGTGCCTGTAGTCCCAGCTACCCGGGAGGCTGAGGCAGGAGAATGGCGTGAACCCAGGAGGCGGAACTTGCAGTGAGTGGAGATTGCGCCATTGCACTCCAGCCTTGGTCCTTGGCAGACAGGGTGAGACTCCGTCTCAAAAAGAAAACAACAACAACAACAACAACAAAAACATACATATGAATATTAAAACTAACAAAGGAAATGATCATCACTCAAAGAACTAAACTTTCTGCCTCTGAAAATTAATAGCAGACCATCTTCCAAGAATAATACAAATGATTTCATTGGGGAATTGGAGTGAAATTTAAGATCCTTTAAAATTTAGGATCCTTAAAAATTAAAAAATAAATAAATAAATTAAAAAAAAAAAAAATTAGGATCCTTTTCTTTTTTTCTTTTTTTTTTTTTTTTTTTTTGAGACGGAGTCTCACTCTGTCTGCCCAGGCTGGAGTGCAGTGGTGCCATCTCAGCTCACTGCAAGCTCCACCTCCCGGGTTCACACCATTCTCCTGCCTCAGCCTCCCGAGTAGCTGGGACTACAGTCTCCTGCCACCACGCCCGGCTAATTTTTTTGTATTTTTAGTAGAGATGGGTTTCACTGTGTTAGCCAGGATGGTCTCGATCTCCTGACCTTGTGATGTGCCCGCCTCAGCCTTCCAAAGTGCTGGGATTACAAGCGTGAGCCACCGTGCCTGGCCCTAAGATCCTTTTTAACTCTACAATTTTCTAAGACTCTGTGGTGCTTCTAGAAGCTCAAAGATCACTGAACATTTAAGATCCTATAACTGAGGATCTTACCCCACACTAAGGTTTTCAATCTCAGCACTATTGACATTTTGGACTGAATAACTTTGTGGTGGGAGGCTGTGCTGCTAAACATCTTAGATCCCTGTTTTTTTCTTATTAGATGCCAGTCATAACCCACCCCCCCACCTTCAACTGTTACAACCAAAATTATTTTCAGACATTGCCAAGTGCTCCCTGGGGAGTGTAAGAATTAAATAAAGAGGAGAGAAACACGAAGGGTGGCTCTACAGTCAACAGAGACAGGTTTATTTTAAACAAGCCTGAGAAAGGCTTCTGGCCGAGTTAGGTCAACGCCACACTCTCTTACAGACTGAGTTTTTAAGGATTCAGGGTGGGAGAGTTTATCAGAGGCTGAGACTGCTTCTGTGTCTCTTTGTTGTGCTTATATGGGAGGGAGAGTTGTGTATCTGTTCCCATACATCTGTCTGCAGCTGCAGGCATACCCCCGAGTCTGCTTTTGGCTTCCCTATCTTAGTGCACCTGAAGGAGAAGGAATGTGCTTATTAAGGACCACTGTTTTACTGGGGCCCATTGTATGAGGGTGAAGTTTGGCAGTTACCCAAGAGACTTCCCACCACCTCCCTCTGTGCCCAAGCTGTTTTATCTGTGTTTTACTGTCTGCTCTTTCTGGCGGCTTGTAGTTAGAAGAGAAGTGATTGCCTTGAAACGCATGAGGCTAGAAAGGGAGCTGGAACTTAAAGTGGTGGTGTTTGTCCAAGATGATGGTGCTCCTGCTCTCTCAGGGAGCAGAACCGCTCTTAGTTGAAAATCACTGCCCCAGACCAACTTCTCTGTATGCATCTACTCTTCTTATGAGGCAGGAATCAATATTTCTTGCATACTTCTACTGTTGCACTTAACACATCTAACAATCATCTATTGAGTGTCTACAGCATGCCAGGTACTGCATTAAACGCTGTTTCCATAGCAGTAAAGGAGACAGATCTGCTCCTCACAGAGCCCCATGATGGGTCGATGGAGTATGCAGGAGTTGAAGGGGGAAGAGACACCTGCAGACAGTTTATCACAGCCACATGTGTGCCTGTCGGTTTCTGCCATTATCTTATAAGCTTCTTAAGGATAAGAGTCATGACTTTTTAAAATCTTTCAATTTCTAGGGCTTAACAGAATACCTGGCATATACAAGGCGCTCAACAAATGTTCATAGACTAAATGAATGAGAAAGTAAGAGATTGGGGAAAGGCGAGAACTGGTAACAGCACATTAAACAACAGTGACAACAGCAACATCAATCATATTTAATTGACTAGGGAAAGAGAATAATTTATGTAATTAAGTTTTTATTGCATTTATGAAACATCTGTATCGTTGTATCTTTCCATGCATTTCGTGTTATATTGTTTTTATGGTCATAGTCCATCATCCTAACACATCTAAGAATATCTAAAAATATGGACAAGGCATGGGCTGCTATTCCTCTTTCAAGCACTTTACCTTAAGGTTAGCAAGTAAAAATTTGATGAACAGAAATGATCAAAGTAGGGCTTTTTTTATATGACTTGTTCGAACCAAGCATTTTGGTGTAGTTGGTCAAATGCAGCTTTACTGGATTTTGTAATCAATTTTAGGATGACATGAGGAATGGGTAAAAATTATACACATTAATGATAAAATTGACATTGTTATATTATATGTTCTGGGCCATTAAAATATTTCTCCATTGAAATACATATATCAAAATGTCCCATACTGGGAAATGACCGTAATTAGCTAAAAGGAAGTACATTCCTTATGGCACCAAAATGTTAAATGCCTTTCTTCTAAGTCATGGTGACCACACCTCTAACCTGAATCCATGTAGTCTGTAGTCTGAGATCTAAGGGAAGAGAAGTCTCTAAATAAAAATGGGAAGAGTCATTCCAGGCCAAGTGCAGTAGCTTACACCTGTAATCCCAGGGCTTTGGGAAGTTGAGGCAGGAGGATCACTTGAGGACAAGAGTTCGGGACCAGATTGCATGCAGTATAGGGAGACCCTCGCCTCTAATAAAAAAAAATGCTCCATTATTCATTTCATCTTTTTACCCTTCCTCCTGTGATTCTTAGTGTGAGGGCAGGGAATCTCAGTTTTATATCCTACACAATGCATAGCATCTTACTCATAAGAGGCACAAAATAAGGTTTTGTTTTGAGAGGAAAATGAAAGCATCTTGCAATAACTATTTAACTTACATCATGTATTCTACTATATTTTATCAATATTTATGCGGGTTATATTTCTAATTATATCTGTGCCTATCAGTTAGTTGTAGGTAACTTTTAATCAAAAGCCTGTACCTACCACACCCTAATAAAAACCTGCTGTTTTTGCTGCCCAGCACCCATTCACCTTCTTCTGGACACTATATTCCAAGTTCTCTAGGGAACCCCGCGTTCCCTACCCTGAGTGCCTGTACTTCCTCACCTACCTGCTCCTTAACTAACAGATGGGGCATGAGACCCAGATCAGAGTGTCACATGTCACCTTGCCCCGGCTATAATGCTTTTGTTATTGTTGTTAGGGCTGGGCATATCAGCCTATTGTGGCAAATAAGATGATGAGTTTGGTTTTTGTATTTTTCTGAAACTTTTGGGAAAGGTCGCTTCGCTTTTTCTTCACCTGAATTTGAGAGTATAAAGTCTAGAGCTGTTGTCATCACCTTGTGATCATGAGGAGGGAGACGTCAGAGAATGGAGTCTGTGTGGAAGAGAGAAGGAGAAGGGAAGAGCGGGAAAAGAGGAGGAAAGAGGGCAGAGAGAGAAGTTGGGTGCTGTAGACAGTGATTGAACCTACAACAAAGCTGCGCTGCCAGAAAGAGTGTGACCATAGATTTTTCATTGTTGTTGTTGTTATGCAAAACAATATATTCCCATTCCCATTTAGACTGCAGAGTTTTAGCTGGTTTTTGATTGATTTTGTAATCAATCTTAGGATGACATGAGGAATGGGTAAAAATTATACATATTAATGATAAAATTGATGTTGTCATATTATGTGTTCCGGGCCATTAAAATATTTCTCCATTGAAATAAGTATAGCAAAATGTCCCATATCTGGAAATGACTGTAATTAACTAAAAGGAAGTACATACCTCACGGCACCAAAATGTTAAATGCCATTCTTCTAAGTCATGGTGACCACACCTCTGACCTGAATCCATGTAGTCTGTAGTCTGAGATCTAAGGGAAGCAAAGTCTGTAAATAAAAGTGAGAAGAGTCATTCCAGGCCAAACAGTAGCTTACACCTGTAATCCCAGGGCTTTGGGAAGTCGAGGCAGGAGGATCGCTTGAGGTTTTCTGTCACTTTCAGCCTTGTCTGAACTTACACATGCTCCAAATCCCAATCACATGTTTTTCATTTCATAGCATATTTTGGTAATATGGACACTATGGCAATTTTAATGCTCCATGGGGGAGAATGAGTGATTCTGAACTGGAGTTTTATTATATATAACTTAGCATTAATTTGTCTAATATTAATATTTACTGATTCCCTATTATATGCCATTCCACAAAGAATTCCAAAAACACAAACCACACTTCTAAAAGCAATAACAAAAATTGCTTCTCAGAGATGGTTTCTTCCTTCTTATTAGGGCTGGATTCTTCTCACAACTATAGTTAGTGGGTTTTGCATTTTATATGGAAGAGTGTTACATAAATGGTAAATTTCATTTATATATAATATTAAAAATCATCCCTTTAGAAATATACACAAAGGAAGGAAGTTTTGACACTCATTTATAGTTTTTCAAATAAGTTTAATTTTACCTATTTAAATAATATTGTGAGAATTCCTTAGAATTTTTTTTTCCTTAAAATCATTGTTATGACAATTTAACTTGAGCTTCAGTTGGTTTTTACTTTCTGTATGAAATTTACACCTATCTAAAGAGGCACTAATTGTGTAGCATCTGTAGGGATGATAATGTTTGGCTTTCTGCTAGAGTGGAGTCCAATCTCATTATGGTTTCCAGGAACATGGAGTCTAGGAACATGCATGCAATGACTCTCAGCACCTCGGCTAGCATGCATTGTTAGCTGAGGTAAGCGTCTTTTCACTTTAGATCCACGGTCAGCTCAAACCAGTTAAGCTGCACATTAATAACCTTGGGAAAAACCAATCCTTCTCTGAGATCCCCAGAATGAGAGCCTAATAGGATTCATTTCATGCCCTAGGTCTCAGTTATCAATGTGGCACATTAGAGATGTATAGATTCTTCTATCTCAAAGCAGAAAAGTGGCAAAGTAGCTCCCAAAAATGTGTGAAATCATTTCAGTGGCTTCCCGACTCTACTTCAATATTGATCAACTTGGAGTCCCAGGATGCTTAGGAGGATTGTTCAACAAATTCAAGCTGTTTCTTGAGTCTCTAACTTTTCACAAAGGTTTAACAGAATTTGTCCAACTTGAGATAGGTTGCATGGGCTAAGTAAAATGTTAGACCTGCATTTGATTTGAATTATGTGAACTCGACATGCTAGATAGTTCATGTTCATCAGAAGTTCTGATTGGTAGTTATTTTGGTCTTTGATGAATGAGAAGTGGGGAAATCTTTCATTTAACAGCTTTTATTGAGTTTCTGTCTTGTACTAGTTTTCTTGATACAATGTAAAACTTAAGGTATGTAAGTAGCAGGAATAAGGAAATGAATCCTTGGGAATAAAGAAGTATGGAAACTGGCCGGGTGCGGTAGCTCATACCTGTAATCCTAGCACTTTGGGAGGCTGAGGTGGGCGGATCATGAGGTCAGGAGATCGAGACCATCCTGTTAGCCAGGTGTGGTGGTGGGAACCTGTAGTCCCAGCTACTCGGGAGGCTGAGGCAGGAGAATGGTGTGAACTCGGGAGGCAGAGCTTGCAGTGAGCCGAGATCGTGCCACTGAACTCCAGCCTGGGCAACAGAGCAAGACTCCATCTCAAAAAAAAAAAAGAAGTACGGAACCAGTGATAGCAGGTGACCTTTCATCTTGCAGATGAAGAAACCAAGGCCCAAAGTAGAATGACTTTGCCAAGATATCATTGGCTTGTGACTGAGCTGGAATAGGAACCTATAGATATTGATTGTATGTATTGCTTATCCCTTGATAGTAAAAGTGGAATACCTTTTATTTTATTTATTTATTTATTTATTGAGACGGAGTTTTGCTCTTGTTGCCCAGGCTGGAGTGCAATGGCGCGATCTTGGCTCACTGCAACCTCTGCCTCCTGGGTTCAAGCGATTCTCCTGCCTCAGCCTTCCTGAGTAGCTGGGATTACAGGCATGTGCCACCACTCCTGCATAATTTTGTATGTTTAGTAGAGACAGGGTTTCTCCATGTTGGTCAGGCTGGTCTCGAACTCCCGACCTCAGATGATCCACCTGCCTCGGCCTCCCAAAGTGCTGGAATTACAGGCATGAGCCACTGTACCTGGCTAGAATACCTTTATAATCCATGTTGGAGCATAAATGTACACAAAATAACACAGGTCAAGAATTTTTTTTTTTTTTTTTTGAGGTGGATTTTCCCTCTTGTTGCCCAGGCTGGAGTGCAATGGCGCGATCTCGGCTCACTGCAACCTCCGCCTCCCAGGTTCAAGCGATTCTCCTGCCTCAGCCTCCCGAGTAGCTGGGATTACAGGCATGCACCACCATGCCCGGCTAATTTTGTATTTTTAGTAGAGACAGGGTTTCTCCATGTTGGCCAGCCTGGTCTCGAACTCCTGACCTCAGGTGATACACCTGCCTAGGCCTCCCAAAGTGCTGTGATTACAGGCATGAGCCACCACACCCGGCCCAAGAATATTTGCTTTGAGCTTGCTGTCATGGTAGGAAGCCGGCATCAGCTAAATTTTACTAACGTGCTACCTGATTTGAGGGATCAGCAGTATGAGTAGGTGATGGAAACAGCTGCCTACATACTACTTAAAACCTTCCAGCCAGAAAAATATCTCCCTGCACCTGTCTGGCATAAAACCTAAGTCAAGTTGCAACTCATTCCTCTCGTTCTGTTTTCCCTTTTTCTATAAAATTCAGGTAAAATGTATGCATTTCTCCAAACTTAATTGCTATTCTAAAAAGAAGAGGTAGCTTTCCTCTTCCCTACTTTTCTCATCTACAAACTTCTAGGCTACTATCTTTTGTCTTTTCTATATTTGAACTTTTCTAAACAAACCACAAGGGTGCTAATGGTGATAATATATCTGGATAGTGAGATACGGTATTTTTAAATGTTCAAATCTTATAAAATAAACATATGCCGATTTTTCAAGAGTAATATAGGAGCTATTTAAAAATAATAGACTTCTGGCCAGACGCAGTGGCTCATGTCTGTAATCCCAGCACTTTGGGAGGCTGAGGAGAATGGATCACTTGAGGCCAGAAGTTCGAGACCAGCCTGGTTACCATGGTGAAACCCCATCTCTACTAAAAACACAAACATTACCCGGGTATGGTAGCAGGTGCCTGCAGTCTCAGCTACTGGGAAGGCTGAGGCAGAAGAATCCCTTGAGCCTGGGAGGCAGAGGTTGCAGTGTGCTGAGATGGTGTCAATGCACTCCAGCCTGGGCAACAGAGTGAGACTCTACCTCAAAATACTAATAATATTAACAATAGACTTCTTTAAAACAAGTAATATCAAATAGCATACTAGAGCATTGTTATCAATGTGTCACTTCAGCATCAATTGTTAAGTGCCTTGTATTATATTCGTATCACTTAAGATTTGACATGTAGTATATATAATAATACGACATTCACTAATTATGCTAGGGAAATGTTACAGTAATACTATGAAAGCTATTAATTTCTACTCCTAGAGGTGGCAGAGAGAAAATATATTAGTTCCATATAGGTAAGACAATATCTGTTTCATACAGTCATACCCACAGTGCTTAGCATGGTGCCTATCATAATATAGATGTCCAATAAATATTTGTTAAGTGAACAAACTGTTAAAGAATATTTATAGGGACTAGCACTATATTCTCATAAAAATGGACAAAATATGAATTGAGCCATCTCTCTATTGTCAGTAAATACAGAGGTGGGATACTCACTGGCATAACTACACTATACAGATAAAGTAGTTTTGGGGGGCCGAGGGTGCTGCCTCTATGGATAGGCAAACCTGGGTTCTCACCTAAGAACTGGAAAATGGAGATCATTATGATTTGCTATCCATTAAGGCCTCCCACTCAGAAGAACACACAGTTTTAAAAGGAACGCATTTATCCCATCTCAAATTTTTGGTGTATCTTTTTTTTTTTTTTCTCTAAAGCATAACAAGCTTGTCAGAGTTTCCATGGTGAGCACAGGGCACCATGGAAACTGATAGATTTAGCTACATGAAAAGAATAAATAAAATAGGCAGGCATTTATTTCACTGTACAATGACAACTTCTCTCCTAGATAAGAGAGGAAAAGTGGCCTCTCATTTAAACTGCTTCCCTGCACTCTCTGTACCTCATGAAAACCTGAGTTATTTTCGATAGCCCATTCTACTGACCTACGCTGATTGGATTCCTGTTTTTCTCAAGGCCCATTATTCCCTTTAGTTTTACTGCAGGCTAGATCTGAGTGTCACCAGCAACTGTTGGAAAACCATGTACAATGTGAAAGTTGTAGATGACAGCCCACAGTGCAGTGGCCAAGTGAGTCATGGCAAAACTGAATGAACAATTCCTGGGAGTTTACTGTGATGAGACAATGTATGAGAACAACTGGACTCAAGATCCAAGTCCATCCTATATTAACTGCACAGGCAAGCCAACCTCCCTGAACCCCAGTTTCCCCATCTGTGGAATGTTTAAAATACATCCTCTTCCTATTTTATAGGGTTGTTGAGAGGCTCAAAATTAGATAATAGAGGAGAAAGCCTTTTCAAACAGTCAGGTTCTATCTAGCAAAAAGGACTGACTGACTAAGCTACAGGTATAATTACATTCATGAGATGAGCAAAATGTCAAAGCTAATCATGCTATGGTCTAGGTTTTGGCCTCAGGCAATTGGAGGTTTAGAACACGATGATCCCACCCCAGTAGTTGGGGAATTTGGGGGCTACTTGGCTCCATCTGAAATAGAGAAAATTGAGATTGTAAGAAATGAAGCTTTAAAATTTTTCTCTATGTCTGAACATTCTCATAAAATGTTGGAAAACTAAATAAATGAAATAAAACTCATCCTTAAGTTCTAGTCCCAATGAATTGTTCACCATTAGCAGACACCCACTATAGCCTCTTAATTTTTATGACTAAAATATAGGCACTAGAGCCATCTCCTGCAATTCAATATTCATATAAATCTATTGAGCACCTCCTAGTGACCAGGGACTGTGTTAAGGGGATGGATACACAGAAAGAAAGAGGACATGGTCCTTCAGAAAAACACATCTTCTTTGGGGTATAGATGAGTAATGGAACAATTACAGCACACCCACAAACTCAGGGGAGGAACACTTAACACTCTAGAGCAGAAATGTAAAGATATCCTGGATAAAGGTGAGGGGGGGTTGGGGGTTGGGGGAGTGGGTGGGACAATGAGGCAGACATGGTGTAAGGTGGTAAAAGGGCACCACAGGCAGAGAGAAGAGTGTGAGCAAAGCGGATTCATAGCATATGGGAGAGTGGAGGTAGCCAAGCCTGAAGAAGCAGCCAGGGAATATTCCATGCCAAGGCGGGGCTCTTTTTTTCTGAAGGAAGTGATATGTGGGGGTGGAGCACTAATGATGCTTGGGCTGTATTTTGAGGGTGAATATGAAAGCTCTGTACTCCCTCTTTCCTCCAAACCTCTGTAGCCAGGAGAATATTTCCCTGGGGATACCAGAATGGGAGTCAAAATTGCAGGAGGACCAGCAATTTAAAGGAGTTGCCACCTCCGAGAGTGGAGTCTCACCCTGTTGCCCACGCTGGAGTGCAGTGGTTCAATCCTGGCTCACTGCAATCTCTGCCTCCCGGGTTCAAGCGATTCTCCTGCTTCAGCCTCCCTAGTAGCTGGGACTACAGGTGTGCGCCACCACACTTGGATAATTTTTTATATTTTTGGTAGAGACGGGGTTTCACCATGTTGACTAGGCTGGTCTCGAACTCCTCACCTCAAGTGATCCGCCCTCCTCAGCCTCCCAAAGTGCTGGGATTACAGTCATGAGCCACCATGCCTGGCTGGGAAGCCAAGACTTCTGGCATGTGGCTGAGCCATGCTGCCTGGCAGTATAGCACCCAGGGCTTCTGGATCCTGGGCCCAGGTACCTACAACTTGACTGGGAATGGAAGTGGAACTATGCATTGCTCAAAAGAGCTAAAATTTACCTGAGGAGCACTAATGCCATGTCACCTGGAGGTTCATGGCCAATCCTTCTGCTTAAGACGATTAATTTCTTTAAAAGCATCATAATGATTATTCATCCTATAAACCACATAGTAACAACATTAAAAAAATCAAAACAAAATTCTCTACCTAGCAATTCCATTATCTCAACAGAACAACACACATTGTTTGATGTACCTTTTCAATTCCAGCAAATATGCTTATAGCTTTTCATGGTTTTCATCGTAGCATAGAAGCTGTTTTTTGTTTGTTTGTTTTGTTTTGTTTTTTTGAGACCGAGTCTTGGTCTGTCACCAGGCTGGAATGCAGTGGCGTGATCTCAGCTCACTGCAACCTCCGCCTCCGGGGTTCAAGCAATTTTCCTGCCTCACCCTCCTGAGTAGCTGGGACTACAGGCACGCATCACCACACCCAGCTAATTTTTGTATTTTTAGTAGAGATGGGGTTTCACCATGTTGGCCAGGATAGTCTCAATCTCGACCTCGTGATCCACCCGCCTCGGCCTCCCAAAGTGTTGGGATTACAGGCGTGAGCCATCGTGCCCAGCCAGAAGCCATTTTTGAAAGCTTAACATTGTGGCTATATATTTCTCCTGTTGTTTTTAATAACTGTATAATGTTCTATCAAGTAGATATATTCTAGTTCATAAAACTAGTCTCTATTTTTTTTTTTTGACATTTAGGTTTTCATTAAAACCTAATCATCAAAAAAATTATTAACCGTATCTGTTTTAGGAAAGTAATACATCTGTTGGAAACATCTGATTGAATCCTATCTCAAAAGCCATTTTCTTCACCTTTCTGTCTGAGGTTTTTGTGTATACAAGGGAATGTTTTCAGTGTGCTGGCTGTCGGTACTGCCAGGAGGGAGTGCAGTTGGCAGAATCAGGAGAAAGTGACAAGGAGCAGGGACAAGTGTAATGACCTCAGCTGCAGAGATTCCTAATTCTGGATCCCTGGTAGGGTGATCAACCATCTGTGTGCATGGTTCTGACGGTTTTCCTGAACGGCCTTTCAGTGCTAAAACCAGGAAAGTGCCTGGTAAACCAGGATTTGTTGGTCACCTTAGACATTGGTTATGGGGGAGCTGAAGGAACTGAGAAGGGAACGAATCATTTCTATAAGCCAGCCCTGTGTCTTAAAAGCAGCAATTCAGAGAAAAACTGCTCACACACTGCAATGAAACCCTCACCCTTTATGTAGTTGTCAAAATAGTTATTTGTCTCAGGTTATGGCTCTGCTCACAGAAAAACCATCCATTCATTTATTCAATAAACATGTATGGAACACCGGCATTGTTCTAGGCATAAGACACATTCCCTGCTCCTGTGGTGCTTCTGTTATTGGTGTGTGTATGTGTGTGTGTGTGTGTGTGTGTGTGTGTGTGTGTGTGTGTGTATTGGTGAGAGGGAAACAGGAGTAAACTAAAAAACACAAAATAAAGAAGAATGGACACAATAAATGCAATGGCAGAAACAAGATGGATTAGTGGAGTAGAAACTGCTGGGAGTCCGGTGCCACTTGGTGGTCAGGAAAGGTGACTCCGAAGAGCCTGACATTTGAGACAAATCAGTGGTGAGAAGAGCTGCCAAGTAAAGCGCCACAAGAGGGATTAGGGGCAGAAGGAACAGCACGTTAGAGGGCCCTGAATGGAAGCCAGCTGGGTTTCATGGAGGAACTTAGTGAAGGACCCTGTGGTCATTGTGTAGGGTGGGAACGCTGACCCTAGTTATGACCCAGTCCAAGCTCCATTTTCATAAGTGGGGATGATAAGCACACTGAGGCCCACGTGTCTTGTCCACAGTCTCTTGATTCCCAATTCAGCACCCATGGTACCATTGCTGCCTATTTGACTTGAGAACTTAATTTTCTCCCTTTGTACAACTGGAAGTAAATAAAAGAGATTCATTCATTTTACACGAGAAAAATTGGTATTGGAATTGTTTGCGGACAAACACAAGAACCAAAAACATTAGCCTCAAGGTGAAGAGAGGAACCTTGGCGTCCACAATGACACCCAGTTTAGGGGTCCCCAGAGATGTTCGGTAAGACATGCTTCCAGAACCTTCCAGGTGAGGACCAATACTAATTCTGCAGTCTACATAAACTAAAAATGAAACTGGTCATAAGGTAGGCAGCCCCAGCTGACCTTTCACCTGTGCCTGAACTAATGCAAGTACAGGACCTGAGTGCTACAGGTTGAAGAAGTAAGTGATCCTAGGAGTTGAAGGGTCAGAGGAGCCAGGCTGACACAACTCATAGAAGGTGGAGGAAGCTGATCTTCTGAGCCTCAGCTGTGGTTGATCTTGATAACTCAAAGAGTTAACACAACCAAAACTAACGCAAGGGTGGAGAGAAAGACCACACCCCACGGGAGCGCGGAGCCAACTCGCGGGAGAAAAATCCTATTGGCATTGAGGAGGTAGGGAGCCAGCCCCTGGGCGCGGCCTGCAGGGTACCGGCAACCGCCCGGGTAAGCGGGGGCAGGACAAGGCCGGAGCCTGTGTCCGCCCGGCAGCCGCCCGCAGCTGCAGAGAGTCCCGCTGCGTCTCCGCCGCGTGCGCCCTCCTCGACCAGCAGACCCGCGCTGCGCTCCGCCGCTGACATGTGTGCCGCTCAGATGCCGCCCCTGGCGCACATCTTCCGAGGGACGTTCGTCCACTCCACCTGGACCTGCCCCATGGAGGTGCTGCGGGATCACCTCCTCGGCGTGAGCGACAGCGGCAAAGTAAGCAGGCGCGGGGTCGAGCGCACTCCGACGGGCGGGAGGATAGGTGCAAGGAACCTGGCGCGGTGCTTCGCGTAGCCCGGGGTTCGCTCGGTGCGCAGTGAGCGCCGCGGCTCCGGAGTTGAACTTGAGTCTTTGGCTCTTGGGCAACGCAGAGAGAACCCTGGCGCTAGGTTCGTGGGCTGGCTGGGGAGTTCCCAGAAGTCGGGAGCAGTGGCGTGCTAACGCCACAACTGGCTCGACAGCAGTCCGGGCTGCGGTAGAGCCGGGAGCAAGGATGTCACCCCCCGCTCCCCCGCCCCCCGTTCCAATCCTAAGATACCGGCAATAATCTTCAATCTTGCTTAAATCATCTTTGTTTCCAACACCTAGCACTGTGCCTGGCACAGGAGGCTCTCCATAAATGTGGTTGAATTTATTGTGAAAGAAATAAGAGGAGGGGGTCATTTGATTGATGTTGTTTAGCGTGTCCAGAACATAGAATAAATAGAACTGATTACATTCACCCTATCATTCAACAGAGATAATATACTAACGATGAAGGTTCCACAACTTGTAATACTAGAAGGGATGGTCCGAAAGAAATAATTCATCCATCTCTTTTCCTTCCTCTCTCTCTCTTATACACACACGCGTACACACACACACACACACGCACGCACACACACACACACACCATAGCCATTTGCATCAAAGCAAGCAGTTCCATTTTAAGGTTCAAAATGTCTTCTTTGAATGTATCTTTTACACTTCCTTTTCCAAAATCAGGATTTCTACAAATGACACAGGTAACTTGATGTCTACTATTTACTGTTCCATACACACATATAGTGACTATATCAGCCATGGCCTGGCAAGTTTGATAAGTGAAGCCATTCCATTTTTTAGAACAAAAAAATGATAAAATAAATATGGAGATGGGATTTTTTGAGCTGTTTTCCAACTACTGGTTTGGTTAGCAAAAGTACACATACTTGTGATTTGTCAAGTTGAAGATACTATTCTTGACTAAGATGCTACCGAGTCGGTGACAGTTTTGAATCGTGACTCTTACATTTGGGGGTAACTAAACACTGTTTTCTCATGGTGCTTTAAAAAATACTCTTTCTATGCACGTTCAGGGAGCCTGCTGTTGTGTTTCCAAGGTGATAAAACTCTCAGAGCTCTCCCAGGGAGATTCCGGTAAACCCTGAGACTGATGAACCCATGCTTGGGGACTTGGTCCTCAAGTTTCAGGGAACTCAGGTTTGGGGCAAGTCCCAGGAAGCAAAGGAACGGAGATTGCTAAACTGGTGTAAGATTAGAGGTGTTATTTTAATCACAAGAAGCTGTTCAACTCTTGGGTTTCTTTTTTAAAAATTAATTTCCCATATCCAGAATTGTAATTGGTAGGGTAACAGGCAACTGGTTTTACCAGTGGAGAGGAATAAGAAAAGGAAGTAATAAAAATACCTTTTCTGGTGCTTGTACAGAAGAAGAATAAAAGAGTTTCCCAAACACACAATTAGTAGTTGAGTCAGGGAGTCTATTCCTCACTAAAAATCATACTGAAGTTATAAATTTAGAAAACATGCCCTTCCCCCACAAGACAAAATGACTTAGGAATTGAATACAAAGGTGAGTTAGTCAGTGGCTGGAATGTATGGTACAGAGCTCCTGAACCAGTGGATTGCTAACTGTTGCTCTCCTCTCCTCCTAGGTGCAAGGCAGTTGATACCTGGCTGTGTTTAAAGAGAGAGCATGCCATACATATTTCAAAACTTGACATCCCCCATTTCAAAATGGAGAGTATCTTACTTTTAGAGTTGCTGGGATAAATATATTATTTATTTAAACATTTCAAGGTTCAAAAAAGAAAATAATACGCCTTTGGAATACAGAAATATGTTGAATTATTATGATCTGTAATTTTTTTTTTGGTTTTTTTTTGTTTGTTTTTTTTTGAGATGGAGTCTCGCTCTGTCACCCAGGCTGGAGTGTAGTGGCTTGATCTTGGCTCACTGCAAGCTCTGCCTCCCGGGTTCATGCCATTCTCCTGCCTCAGCCTCCCGAGTAGCTGGGACTACAGGCGCCACCACGCCCCACTGATTTTTTTGTATTTTAAGTAGAGTTGGGGTTTCAATGTGTTAACAGGATGGTCTTGATCTCCTGACCTCGTGATCCCCCTGCCTCGGCCTCCCAAAGTGCTGGGATTACAGGCGTGAGCCACCGCGCCGGCCAATGATCTGTAAATTTTTACTCCTAAATTTTTAGGAGCTCAAACCTTGCAATGAATCAGAAATATCTAGGGGTGCTTGATAATATGCTGATTTCTGGGCATCATCCTCAGAGACTCTGAATCTATAGACCTGGGGTAGGCCCCAGAAAGTGGCATTCCAACAAGCATCCCAGGAGATTCAGACGCAGGTAGCGGGTGGATTATAGCAGCGGGTGGATTACATTTTGAATAACTGTAACACATAGTTTCTGTGATGGGACAAGCTGTGTGAAGTATCAGGAGCTTATTTCTCCATTGCAAGTTTAGATCTGGGGTAGAATCTCAGCGAGAGGGCACAAAGCTTACTCTGTCCTTCTGGTCTCGCTTTTAAACTTTATTCCTTATTTTGTATAACTTCGTTTAGGCCCAGAGAATGCCAATGACTAACTGCTCTTAATACATTAAATTAAAGCTCATTCAAAAGCAGGTTAATTAAAAGAAATTATCTAGCCAACTTTTTGGTATAAAGCAAAATACAGAGTTATACTTTCTGCTCAAGTAGCATGTAGCTTTTAAGAATATAGACTCTAATGATTGCCATTCTAACTGGTGTGAGCTGATATCTCATTGTGGTTTTGATTTGCATTTCTCTGATGGCCAGTGATGATGAGCATTTTTTCATGTGTCTTTTGGCTACATAAATGTCTTCTTTTGAGAAGTGTCTGTTCATATCCTTTGCCCACTTTTTGATGGGGTTGTTTGTTTTTTTCTTGTAAATTTGTTTGAGTTCATTGTGGATTCTTGATATTAGCCCTTTGTCAGATGAGTAGGTTGTGAAAATTTTCTCCCATTTTGTAGGTTGCCTGTTCACTCTGATGGTAGTTTCTTTTGCTGTGCAGAAGCTCTTTAGTTTAATTAGATCCCATTTGTCAATTTTGGCTTTTGTTGCCATGGCTTTTGGTGTTTTAGACATGAAGTCCTTGCCCATGCCTATGTCCTGAATGGTAATGCCTAGGTTTTCTTCTAGGGTTTTTATGGTTTTAGGTCTAACGTTTAAGTCTTTAATCCATCTTGAATTAATTTTTGCATAAGGTGTAAGGAAGGGATCCAGTTTCAGCTTTCTACATATGGCTAGCCAGTTTTCCTAGCACCATTTATTAAATAGGGAATCCTTTCCCCATTGCTTGTTTTTCTCAGGTTTGTCAAAGATCAGATAGTTGTAGATAGGCGGCATTATTTCTGAGGGCTCTGTTCTGTTCCATTGATGTATATCTCTGTTTTGGTACCAGTACCATGCTGTTTTGGTTACTGTAGCCTTGTAGTATAGTTTGAAGTCAGGTAGCGTGATGCCTCCAGCTTTGTTCTTTTGGCTTAGGATTGACTTGGTGATGCGGGCTCTTTTTTGGTTCCATATGAACTTTAAAGTAG
The DNA here is from genome assembly GCF_000001405.40 of Homo sapiens. Taxonomy (NCBI): domain Eukaryota; kingdom Metazoa; phylum Chordata; class Mammalia; order Primates; family Hominidae; genus Homo; species Homo sapiens. The sequence continues at coordinate 72,153,308 of NC_000009.12, forward strand.
TTTTTTCCAATTCTGTGAAGAAAGTCATTGGTAGCTTGATGGGGAGAAATAGGAATACTTTTACACTGTTGGTGGGACTGTAAACTAGTTCAACCATTGTGGAAGTCAGTGTGGCGATTCCTCAGGGATCTAGAACTAGAAATACCATTTGACCCAGCCATCCCATTACTGGGTATATACCCAAAGGACTATAAATCATGCTGCTATAAAGACACATGCACACGTATGTTTATTGTGGCACTATTCACAATAGCAAAGACTTGGAACCAACCCAAATGTCCATCAATGATAGACTGGATTAAGAAAATGTGGCACATATACACCATGGAATACTATGCAGCCATAAAAAATGATGAGTTCATGTCCTTTGTAGGGACATGGATGAAATTGGAAACTGTCGCAAGGACAAAAAACCAAACACTGCATGTTCTCACTCATAGATGGAAATTGAACAATGAGAACACATGGACACAGGAAGGGGAACATCATACTCTGGGGACTGTTGTGGGGTGGGGGGAGGGGGGAGGGATAGCATTAGGAGATATACCTAATGCTAAATGACGAGTTAATGGGTGCAGCACACCAGCATGGCACATGTATACATATGTAACTAACCTGCACATTGTGCACATGTACCCTAAAACTTAAAGTATAATAAAAAAAAAATATAGACTCTAACATGTTTAATTCATTTGCAAATATTTAATCTTGAGGTAATGCATGCTCAAATATTACTAAGTTGCCTGATTCTTCCCACATACATCAGGGTCAGGTTGACAGTAAAGATGCATAAACATGCCTTGGGCCTTTTAATGCACACTTACCCAGAAACAAGAGTGAGGAAGAGATTCATTTTGAGGTTGTGTCCTGGGGTGGCAGGAGCAAGTCCAATGGAGGAATAGAGACTTGGGTTCAGGTCAGAGTCTCTACCACTTACCTGTGCTGAGACCACAGGTGAGACCTAACCTGCCTGAGCCTCCGTTTCCTCATTTGTAGAGTCAGATTTCCTTTTGCTATTTATTAAATGAGATAATGTATGAAAATGCCTGGCACTTAGTGGATACTTAACATGTACCATGTTCATTCTATTCCCTTTGCCTCCTAGCAAATCCTTAACCTCTTGCTCACTGTGATATTTTGCATGTTTTCACATGGTGACATGCCAAGTGGTAGAGAAGGAAGCCACGGCCTGTGATGAACTGTATGGGGTGGTCACAGAACCTTAGCTTTTTATTCTCACTGCTTATGTCATTGATCCCCTGGGACCCAAAGATGCACCCTGGAAGAAAGATCAAGAAGCATTTGGTGCTAGATTCACTAGCAAGCTATCTTTAGTATCTCTTTTAGACTTGACAATGTCATTATTTCCACTAACAGATGAGGAAGTTGAGACTTGAGAAGTCATGCATTCAGATACGGTGGTGGTGTAGCTGGATTTTGAATTAGTATGGGGCAAAGGCCATGTTCTCTTTACTGTCGCTGACTGCTTCTCTAGGGCACAGTCCTGGACCTCAAAGAATCTGCACTTTGGCACGGGAGCTAAGACTTGTAGCTGTAATAAAAGTGACTCATTCCTGAGCCAAACACTGGGGTTTTCACCGGAGATAAATTGATGAACAAAGTATGCAAATACTGCCCTGCCCTCTTGAAACTGATGATCTAGTAATAAATTAACAGAATCTGCCATGACCTATCAGAACTTGAACTAGTTAGGGGAAGGCTTTCCCTAGCGTGAAGTGACATCAAACTTGCGATGTGAACAATGAGAAGTTAAGTAGGTATATTAGTCAATTTTCACATTGGTGACAAAAACAACCTGAGACTGGGAAGAAAAAGAGGTTTAATTGGACTTACAGTTCCACATGACTGGGGAGCCTCAGAATCATGGCAGGAGGTGAAAGACACTTCTTACATGGCGGCAGCAAGAGAGAATGAGGAAGATGAAAAAGCGGAAACTCCTGATAAACCCATCAGATCTCGTGAGACTTATTCACTACCATGAGAACAGTATGGGGGAAACTGCCCCCATGATTCAAGTTATCGCCCACTGGGTTCCTCCCACAACATGTGGGAATTAGGGGAGTACAATTCAAGATGAGATTTGGATGGAGGCACATCCAAACCATACCAATAGGTAAGGTGGACAGCATTGGAAGTAAAGAAGAGCCTTCTAGGTTGAGAGAACTGCCTGTGACTGCCTGTGCAAAGGTCCTGGGGTAGGAAGGAATGAAACAGTCAAGGTAGTCAGAGTCCAAAGGTTGAGGAGAAGGCTAACACAGGATAAGGCAGGACAGGTAGGCAGGGCTATGTTATGGAGGGCATCGGGGATGGTGGGATTGTGTCATGATTATATTTTGTGGTTATAAAGGTCTAACTTCAGGATAAATGCATTGAAGAGAAGTTGAGTGCAGGCAAGGAGGTCAGATAGGAGCCTGTTGCAGTATTTAGGTAAAATGGAATGTGGTTTAGATGAGAGAGGCAGTGTAGTTATCAACTGAGATATGAACTCCTAAGAGTACCTCTATCACTTATTACCTATGTGAATTTGATCAAGTTCCTTACCATTTGTATCTCCAAATTTCTTTATGCATAAAATAATTACTATGGTCTACCTAATAGGGTTGTTGAAAGGATAAAATGGATTAGTAAGTGTAAAATATATAGAATAATGCCTGGCATGTAGTACATGTCCATTAGACTTCAGCGGTTATTGTCAGTAATGCAGATGGAGAGGTGGATAGAATCAGTAGCTATTTAGATCAAGTTGACTGGATTTGATGATAGCTTACATATGTAAGGTTGGAAGGTAAGTGCATCAAGAGTGATCGCAAAATGTATGTAAATGTGTGTAAATAGTACAGTGGGGCACAAGTTGACCAGTGATAGGAAAAGCTTCTTGAAGGAAGTAGTAGCTGAATTGGACCTTTTAGGACTGGAACATGCAAAAGAGGATTATATAGCCCTGGTGAAAAGAGTGACCCAATGTTCTTCAGTTCTGAAGACTGCTGGGAGGAGGAAGAGTTCTTTCTCACCTGAGGCTACTTTACCAGAAGTTCTCTCAGTCTAAATCACAAATCCTAGTGATTGTGTATCATCCTTTCCTCCACTTCCTGCCAAGCTCAGCAACTCAAAATATGCTGTTGGTCCTGAGAAAGGAAACTGGGCTAATCCCTTCCTTCTGAGGCTGCTGAATAGGAGCTTGGCTTTCATCAGAAAGATGCTTTCACTCCCAATTATTACAAGATCATCTTGCAAATTCCCATTTTCTAGAAGGCTGATTGCTTGTTCAGAATGCTCATGGCAAACACTGTTGGTTACCCACTCAGCAGTCATGACCTCTTTTTCCTTATTAACACCTGAATTTGATCAGTCCATGGTAGACTCAGCCTGTGGATACATCATGGTGTAAGCCAGTCATGGTAATCCTATCTCCATTTATCAGATACTTATTCTTCCAGCTTCCTGGTAGCTGAGGGTGACTAGTGATAATATTCTGACATACAGGAAGTTTGCTCAGAAGCTTCTAGGATGTGGGAAGAGAAGCCCTGCCTTTTTTGGATACTCTCATATGAAGAAAAGATACTTGGAACTGCTGCTGCCACCATGTGAGACTGTGAGGAAAAGGTTAAGGGGATTTCAGAGACACCATCCCATTTTCTAACATCACTGAGCAGTTGAACTACCCCTACCTGGAACTGTCTACTATCAGACTTCTAGACTTCCTTTTTTTTTTTTTTTTTTTTTTTTTTGAGATGGAGTTTCACTCTTGTTGCCTAGGCTGGGGTGCAGTGGCGCGATCTTAGCTCACTGCAACATCCGCCTCCTGGGTTCAAGCGATTCTCCTGCCTCAGCCTCCCGAGGAGGTGGGATTACGGGCACTCACCACCATGGCCAGCTAATTTTTTGTATTTTTAGTAGAGATGGGGTTTCGCCATGTTGGGCAGGCTGGTCTTGAACTCCTGACCTCAGGTGATCCACCCACCTTGGCCTCCCAAAGTGTTGGGATTACAGGCGTGAGCCACGGTAGCCAGCCCAGACTTCTTTTGTGAGATATGAAATGTCTTTATTGTCTAAATCTCTGTTAGTTGGGTACTGTTCATTGCAGCCCAATGCACCCTCATTACTACACTGCTTTTCAATGAACAATATTTTACACTTTACAAGAATAACTACCTTCTCCTTCTTCTCCTTACTGGCCTTTCCAGGCACCCATATCAATAGTCAAGCCCAGCCAATTTTCCTCTGGGATTTCTGTGTGCATATTCACTTCCATTGCCCCCATCTACCCTTTAGTGTCTCTGAGCTAAAATATAACAGGAGACCCTTAACTGTTTTCTCTCATTCTAGTATTTCCCCCACATTACTGAAAACTCTTTTCTTGGACCATGGGTAGTATCATGTATCTACTCTTCTATAACCATCTATGGCTCACTATTGCCTCTAAGTTTCAAATGTCCTGGAAGATGTTCTAGGCATGACATTATTTGGCCCCAACCTGTTCTCTAATTCTTTCTGTTGCTTCATTTATCTGTCTGGCAAGTGGGAATAGGATTACCATGACTGATTTACACCATATTGTATCCATGAGCCAAGGGATGTCTATCCATGCAAATTTCTCCCTGTTTTCCAGCACATCATGTCCTTTTATGCCTCCACATTGTTGGCACCAATTTCTTTGCCTGGAATAGTCCTCCTTTTTATATCCCCATTTCCATTTTACTTCTATCAAAATGAAATCTTGCTCTTCCTTTAAGGCCCAGCTCTGATCTTCTCTTTTTCACAAAGGCTTTCACAAAGGCTTTATTCCCAAGTTGAAATAAATTGCCCCTTCCTCTGTTCTTCCATAAAATTTTTCATATATTTCAAATCAGTATTTTACAGGTAGTTAAGAACATGGTTTCTAGAGTCAGATTATGTGAATTCAAATCAAAACTCTGCTACTTACTAGGACAAATTTTCTGACATAGCTGAACCTCAGCATCCTCATTTAAAAATGTGGATTAAGGCTGGGTACAGTGGCCCGCACCTGTAATCCTAGCACTTTGGGAGGCCGAGGTGGGCTCATCACGAGGTCAGGAGATCGAGACCATCCTGGCTAACATGGTGAAACTCCATCTCTACTAAAAATACAAAAAATTAGCTGGGTGTGGTGGCAGGCGCCTATAGTCCCAGCTACTCGGGAGGCTGAGGCAGGAGAATCCCTTGAACCCGGGAGGCAGAGCTTGCAGTGAGCTGAGATCATGCCACTGCACTCCAGCCTGGGCAACAAGAGCGAAACTCCGTCTCCAAAAAAAAAAAAAATGTGGATTAATAGCACCTTGATAGAGTTGTGAGGCAAGTGAGATAGTGTGTTGTTATTATTTTTCTTTCTCTGAAGTAGTTATTCCAATTTGCCTTTGATTATACTTAGCTTTATAGAATGTTCTCACTCACTGAAATGATTTAAAGTTTTTGGAAAAAGAGAGATGAACTGGAGAAAAGGTAACACTTACTAAGTCATACTGTATTTCAGACAGTCTGCCAAATCCCTTACAAATCAACAACCTTGAGACAAGGTAAGGACACCATCATCATCATCATCATCATCATCATCATCATCTCTACTTTACAAATGAGGAAACGGAGGCTCGGAGAGTTACTTGGCTGCAGTCACAGCAAATAAGTGGCAAAGGCAAGACTCAGAGCCATGCCTGTCTGATGTCCAAGGTCCGTGCTCTCCAGGAGTCTCTGCTGTCTTCTGTCATGGAGAGGGCCAAAACTCTATTGTCCTAAGGCCCCTTCAACATTTCATGTTGTTTTAGCACAAAGTAGGTGGTCAGTAAAGTGTGTTGAATGTGATGTGTAATACAAAAACGAGGCAGGCAGATCACAAGCTCAGGAGTTCAAGACCAGCCTGGCCAACATGGTGAAACCCCGTCTCTACTAAAAATACAAAAATTAGCCAGGCATGATGGCAGGTGCCTGTAATCCCAGCTACTCAGGAGGCTGAGGGGGAAGAACTGCTTGAAACCAGGAGGTGGAGGTTGCAGTGAGCCGAAATTGTGCCACTGCACTCCAGCCTGGGTGACAGAGTGAGACTCCGTCTCAAAAAAAGAAAAAGAGAAAAAAAAATGAGTGATAGAACAAACCTTTCTCAGCAAACCCCACCTTAAAACCCAACTGTGTCAATATGAGTTTATTTACAGCCCATTGATTCATGAATTAAAAAAAAATTGAAGGCCAAAGCAATCACAAGGTAATTATAATTTAAAGTGAGTTATTCTAAACTTACATATAATGATATAAGAATTTTAAAATTCCAAGATTCTCCAGAAGCTTAAATGGAAAAATAAAGTGCATCATAATCATACATTCCCCACCCTCACACATGCACACCCTTATACACTCATCAACAAAACACAGTTCTGGAAGAAGATATTAAAATAAAAACTTAAATAATTACTTTTGTAGATTGGGAATGGAGATTTGGAGCTATGGAGGATAATTTTTATTTTTGTATTGCTAGTTTTTAAAATTTTTGTCTTGCTTTTATAATTTAAAACCAATTTATTTTATTTTAAAATTTGTATTCTTTTTCTTAATTGCAGTAAAAAATGCATAACTTAAAATTCACCATTTTAAAGTATATGATTCAGTGGCATTTATTGTATTCAGAATATTGTACAACTACCACCACACTGACCATGATCTAGTTCAAGAATATATTCATCAGCCGGGCGCGGTGGCTCATGCCTATAATCCCAGCACTTTCGGAGGCCGAGGCGGGCGGATCATGAGGTCAGGAGATCGAGACCATCCTGGCCAACACGGTAAAACCCCGTCTCTACTAAAAACAAGAAAATATGAAAAAAAATTAGCTGGGCATGGTGGCGGGCGCCTGTAGTCCTAGCTACTCGGAAGCTGAGGCAGGAGAATGGCCGAAACCCGGGAGGCGGAGCTTGCAGTGAGCCGAGATAGCGCTACTGCACTCCAGCCTGGGCAACAGAACGAGACTCTGTCTCAAACAAAATAAAACAAAACAAATATATATATATATTCATCACCCCAAAGGGAAACTCATTGCCCATTAAGCAGTCACTCCTTATTTCCTCTCTTCACCTCTGCAACAATCACTAATCTGCTTTCTCTATCCACTTGCCTATTCTGGATATTTCGGATAGATGGACACATATAATACATAACCTTTTGTGTCTGGCTTTTTAGACTTAGCATAATGTTTTTAAAGCTCATCCATGTTGTGGCATGTGTCACAATTCATTCCTTTTTATGGCTGAATAATAGTCCATTGTGTAGATATACCACATTTTGTTTATCCTTTCATCAGTTGATGGACATTTGAGTTGTTTCTGCCCTTTGGCTATTTGTCAGCAGTGCTGCTATAAATATTTCATGCACATGTTTAAAAAAGCAGCTGGTTAAAAAAAATCTTTGTATGGTTTCCCATTGCCTAACCGTGTGATAAACCCAGGCCTGGCCTTGCTGACTGTTTGCCCAACCTTCCACGTTGTTAAATTCCTTTGTGTCTTTGTCCATGCTCCTTTTTCACCTTCCATTCGCTGGATGGATACACATTTCAAGACTAAATTTAGGTGTTACCTCCTCAATGAGGTCATTGCTGACATAGCTTCCTGCCTTCCTTCCACAGGCAGAGTGCAGTGGTACAATCTTGGCTCACTGCAATCTCCGCTTCCCAAGTTCAAGCAATTCTCCACCCGCCACCTCTCAAGTAGCTGGGACTACAGGTGTTTGCCACTAATTTTTTTTTTTTTTTTGTATTTTTAGTAGAGACAGGATTTCACCATGTTGGCCAGGCCAGTCTCAAACTCCTGACCTCAGGTGATCTGCCCACCTCGGCCTCCCAAAGTGCTGGGATTATAGGCGTGAGCCACCGCCCCGGCCTGTGTCCTACTTTCTACTCAGTGCCTCCTTACAACTCTTACTTGATCTCATGAGTCTCCCCAAAACCTGAGCTTGAAGGCAGGTTCACAACTTTATCACCTTTGTGTTGACAGCACTTAACACATGGTGGGCACTCTGATGAATATTTCTTCAATAACTGGTGCTTGGATTTTTTTCACCACAGGATAACCAGGTTATCTTCCAAATAACCAGTTGTTTGAATAAGAACTCTGGTTTTTTCTAATCTAGATGCCAATGTATGTGGTTACTGGGAGCTGTAATTAGTTTTATGTCCTGGTGAGTAATTAAGAACCCTAGAAGAGTACATTTTAATTAGAATTCTGAGACCTCATGAAGTTCTCAAAGGCCTTTAACTCTGACTATGTTAAGGACTTGCAATAATGTAGATTATAAAGGCCTGCTTGCTTCTTTTGGTTTTGTATTATGGTTTATTAAGTGTTTGCTTTTTCATAAGATGGTAATTTACTTGAAATGTTGCTTGTAAATGCCACTTACAATTTACAGTCCTGGAACATGGTAGACCCTCCATAAGCAATAGCTCTTGTTATCCATCGCCTATCCATCATAGTACTTTACACAGAGCTTTTGCACAAAATTAGCATTCAATGCATGCTTTTAAATGAAAGAATGAATAGAATGGGTATATGCTCTTCACAGAGTAGACAAGAAATAGTTAATCAACATTCTCAGATGGTTGTAGCCAATGTGCTTGAAGATGCAACACAAGAAGTAACATCGTTGGTGACTTCCACACACTGATGCAGAGTTTTTCTCCTGAGCTATTTAACCTATAAATTGTTTCCTTTCAGCCTGTGTAGAGTGGTCTCAGGTACCCTTTAACCCTTTTTGGAAATGCAAAACACAGAAGCCATTCCTGGTTCCTAGATGAGTGGGGACACTTGTGCCTCCTCACCTTCCTGCAGAGCGTGGACTCAATGGTCTGTGGTGCTACTATGCTTGGAGCTCATGAGAGCTGACAATAGCTGATGGAGAGCAAGGATCTCAAGGTCTTAGGGATAAAATGGTAAGCAAAAGAGATGCGGTTCCTGCCTTATTTGCACTCGGAGTCAATAATCAAATTAGTATGGATCAGTATACAGTTTCTAAAAGGAAAAAATGCAGAGTGCTCTGGAGATGCAAATCAGAGGACTTGGCTTATTTTGAGGAGATGCTTCAAGAATGTAACCCCAAAGAAGTCATGTTGGAGCTGAGTCTGAAGGTTAAATGGGAATTAACTAGGCAGAGAGAGGGAGGGGAAAGGCCTATGCAAAGACCCAGAGGGGAGGAGGAACCAGGAACCAGGTGGCAAAGAATGGAGGAGGAGGAGGTGGTGGAACTAGATGAGGGCAGAGAGAAACATAGTCATTCCCGTTAGCCCAAGAGCCATGGAAAGCCTACGAAGGGTGTCAGAGGAAGATAGGTCAGATTTACAATTTTTTTTTTTTTTTGAGACAGAATCTTGCTCTGTTGCCCAGGCTGGAGTGCGGTGGCGTGGTCTCGGCTTACTGCAAGCTCCGCCTCCCGGGTTCACGCCATTCTCCTGCCTCAGCCTCCCCAGTAGCTGGGACTACAGGCGCCCGCCACCACAACCAGCTAATTTTTTGTATTTTTAGTAGAGACAGGGTTTCACCGTGCTAGCCAGGATGGTCTCGATCTCCTGACCTCGTGATCCGCCCGCCTCGGCCTCCCAAAGTGCTGGGATTACAGGCGTGAGCCAATGCGCCCTGACATAGGTCAGATTTACTTCTAAAGAATATATTAAAAATAATTTCAGAGTAAGGAGCAGAATGGAGCAGAGCAAGACTTGCTGGAAGAGATGAGTTAGAAAATGACTGCAGTGGACCACAAAAGAGACAGGTAGATGGTGATAGACATGGAGAGAAACAGGGAGCTCTGTGAGATGAGAAGGAGGTAAATCAATGGGATTTGATGACAAAAATGGGTACAGAGGAAAGGGAAGAGCTTTCCTGGGTTTTAGGCTTGTACAACTGGATGGATATGGTGGCTGTCACTGAGTTTTTGAAGTCAAATAAAACATAGAGACAAATCTCTGAAATGAAAACATTTTATTTGGGAAGAAAAATTGCAATTTGGGGGGCATGCACACAGACCGACTGGCCTTCAGTATGTCCCATGAACAAAGAGAAAGAAGTTTTATAAAAAAGAGAAATGTTACATATTGCTCTTTGAGAAAGTTCATTGGCATTAGTAAGGTTTGAGGGAGCTGGCAAGTTTTGATTGGTAAGTGACAGTAACAGGTAAAATTATTCTTTTTTTTTTTTTTGGACTGAGTCTTGCTCTGTTGCTCAGGCTGGAGTGCAGTGGCACGATCTCGGCTCACTGCAAGCTCCACCTCCCGGGTTCACGCCATTCTCCTGCCTCAGCCTCCCCAGTAGCTGGGACTACAGGTGCCCGCCACCATGCCTGGCTAATTTTTTGTATTTTTGGTAGAGATGGGGTTTCACCGTATTAGCCAGGATGGTCTCCATCTCCTGACCTTGTGATCCACCTGTGTGGGCCTCCCAAAGTGCTGGGATTACAGGCGTGAGCCACCATGCCCGGCCAACTATTCTTAAAGTCACAGGAGATTGTTTCAGCAGCTGTTAGATAAAACTGTTTCAGGTGCAGGAGGCAGTTTCAGGTGCAGGAGGCAGTTTCAGCAGCCAGGCTTGCATAGAATTACGTTCTTGGAGCAATGTTTTGTTCCCTGAGTGCTTTTACTCCTGACCTCTCTGTTTTAGTTGGGTATGACAAGAATGACACATTTGTTGATTAACTTTCACATAGGGAAGAGAAGAAGAGGTCCAGCCAGGGAGGGTGGATCCAGAGGTCTGCTTTGGTCATGCTGAGTTGAGATGCTTTTGTGACATCTACATGGAGATTTGAAGCAGATGTTGACTTGCTGGTCTGGAGCTCAGAGGAGATATCTGAACGGGCGATATAAAATGTAGAGTAAAGGTTGAGAAGACAACAGGAACTAGACTAATTCCTCTTGTTGAGTTTAGAGTTAAAGAGAATGAGTAGGATGAGGACAATCCAAATATCAGAGGAAGACAACGGGAGGGTATTGTCATAGAAGGCAAGAGATGGGGATACTTCAAGATGGAGGGAGCAGTGCAGGTGTCATGTTACTGAGACATAAGAACAACACTGGAAAAATGTCCAGTGGATTTAGAAACCTCAGGCAACTGTTGACCCTAGGAAGCTTATTTCAGCACAGGGAGAGGGTGGCAATCAGCTTGGGTTAGGTTTTGGAATGATTGGAAGATAAGGACATGCAGACAGTAATCACAGACAACTCTTTTGAGATTAAAAAAATGTGTAGTGTTTTATCATATGAGAAAAATAATTGCTTCCAACAGCAATAAAATGTAAATAAGTTACATACCTGTTATTCCCACTGCTTAAGTTATCAGAGGACTTTTATACAAACATTTGCATTTGTAGCATTCTGAGGAAAAAATGCTCTGGCTGGGCCGGGCACAGTGGCTCACGCCTGTAATCCCAGCACTTTGGGAGGCTGAGTCAGGCAGATCATGAGGTCAGGAGATCGAGACCATCCTGGCTAACATGGTGAAACCCTGTCTCTACTAAAAATACAAAAAAAAAAAAATTAGCTGGGCGTGGTGGCGGGCGCCTGTAGTCCCAGCTACTTTGGAGGCTGAGGCAGGAGAATGGCGTGAAACCGGGAGGCGGAGCTTGCAGTGAGCCAAGATCCAGCCACTGCACTCCAGCCTGGGCTACAGAGCAAGACTCCATCTCAAAAAAAAAAAAAAAATGCTCTGGCTGTCCTCTGGTCTTCAAATACTTTGCTTAGGTTTCTGTGAATCTTTAAATTTCAGGTGACTTAAGTGCACATTCAATCTACTGAATCACAATTCACTTGTGCTCATATTCCTGTATTTGTATGATTTTTCCCAGCCTTCCTGTATTGTATGGTGAATAACTTCTTTCCAAGGACGTTTCAAAAGTTAAGAAAGCATGCTGCTGTTGCCCATTTACAAATATTTAATTTCAAAGGATGCCAAAGCATTGGCAAATATATGTGTCAGAGCTTAGAGTTAGTTGCAGCCTTCTTAATAATCATTTTACTATTTTATTTCAGAAATATAATCTAGCATTTCAGCGTCACTGGAAATCTTGGTAGGTAGTCAGTATTTTTGTTTGGAAGTACAGGATACCAGCAGTGAAACACTTCATTTTATTAACGTCAAGCAAGTAAGGCATTATTTTCCTATAAATGTGAGGTTGTTTGAAATGAAAACAAACAAAACCAGGTAAGACGATAGAAGCAGATGTTTTCTCTGTTTAAAAATGCGGTTGGTATGTGAGGTATGTGTAGGGAATGGCTAAAAAGAAAATAAAAATAAAATTTAAAATGCAATTTGGGTTGGGCATGGTGTCTGATGCCTGTAATCCCAGCACTGTGGGAGGCCGAGGTGGGCGGATCATCGGAGATCAGGAGTTCAAGACCAGCCTGGCCAACATGGTGAAACCCCGTCTCTACTAAAAATACAAAAATTAGCCGGGCATGATGGCAGGTGCCTGTAATCCCAGCTACTTGGGAGGCTGAGGGGGGAGAACTGCTCGAATCCGGGAGGTGGAGGTTGCAGTGAGCTGAGATCATGCCATTGCACTCCAGCCTGGGTGACAGAGCAAGACTCTGTCTCAAAAAAAAAAAAAACAACAAAAAATGCGGCTTGTTCCTAGTTAAGCATTTTAAGATTTCCCCCTTCCCCAAGGGAAGAGAGAAAATCTTACCCCTCCTTCTGTTCTTCCCTTCTGGGTGAATGACTGTACAATGAAGATTTAATCTAGTTGAGAAAAACAACACATAGGTGACTCACATACAACCTTTGTATGTATGAATGGAGGCTTGTATAATCATTTGTTTTTCACTGTCCTGACAATCAAGTGGGAATGAGAAAAATAAGATTTATGCTAGATTTATTTCAGTTGCAATTAGAAGGAAAACTATCCCTGTGATCTAGACAGGATTGGATGTTTCAAAAGTGCCAAATCATTGAGCAGATAGAGAAAGTGAGAAGACAATAAGGGAACAAGATTTGGAAAGGAAATGATTTAACAGTTACGCCAGTGTCCTCACTCATATGCAGGAGTTGAAAAAGTTGATCTTATGGAGATAGAAAGCAGAATGATAGATACCAGAGACTGGGAAGGATGTGTGGGTGGGGTGGGGGTGGGGGAATGAAGAGAGGTTAGTCAGTGGGTAGAAGGGCAGCTAGATAGAAGTTATCAACAACGTATTCTACATTTCAAAGTAGCTAGAAGACAGAACTTGAAATGTTCCCAACACATAGAAATAATAAATACTCAAGATGAGGGATCAAATACCCTGACTTGATCATTACATATTCTATGCATGTAACAAATATCACATGTACCCTATAAATATGTAATATATTATTTATAAGTAAAGAAACTTAAAAATGTAATTGTGCCAATATAAACTTATGTATCAATTTATATTTGTTCATGTCTTTTGACTTCTCCACCTTTTTGTTCACACTCTTAATGCCCTTACTCTCTTTTCTCGCCTATATTTACCATACTCATCATTTCCTCTAGAAACACCTTGGTTATTCTGTCCTCACCAATTTCCTTTTTCTCAGAGTTTTCATAGATCAGTCCATAATGCCAATTTGGTGCTTAGAAACATATCATTGTGCATTGTTCTCGATTTTTCATAGGCAGTAAATTTTATTTTCTCTACCAGAAACTAAATTCTTGACAGGCAAAGATGATTTTGAAACTGACCCAATAGTTCCATAGACAGGTTTTTGTTGTTGTTGTTGTTCTGTTTGTTTGTTTGTTTTTGGATAAACATAGAAATTGACGCTTTTGGTCTTAAAGCCTGAAACTTACATTTGTTTTATTTGAGTTCCTTGTTTAGGAAATGACCCCCAGGCCTCTCAAAAGTATCAAAGAACTGAAACTAACCAGATATTGCATCCAGACAATGAAATGCCAGGCCTCTCATTCATCATGATTGCTTCCTTAACCCCTCTGGAGTTCCTGTTTTCTCATACCTTTCTTCCCTGCTATATAAACCCCTCATTTTAGTCCATCAGGGAGATAGATTTGAGACTGATCTCCCATCTCCTTAGCTGCAGCACCTGATTAAAGCCTTCTTCCTTGCCAATAATCGTTGTCTCAGTGGTGTTTCGGTAACAACTTCTTATATATTTACCTGAACCCTTAGCAGTTTGATGAGCATACATTTAAGAAATAAAGGATTCCTTGAATTGTTATCAGTTGAAATGCTGCATTTCTGAACATGGCAAAAAGTGGTCTAAGAAGCATAGCTTAAGCAACTTTCTGTCCACCACTGGTTTTTCTGCGCCCAGCCTCTGCCTGCAATGTGTGATTGGCATACAGCCTCTCACAGGCCCTCAGAATGTACAGGTCTAACTTTCACAAATGAACCTGGAAGATAATTTGTAATTTTGTGGAGGTGTGTGTTCAAGAGCAGCACATTGGTGTGCTAATCAGTATCCCTTCACCAGCCAGTGAGCCTTGCTGCTCATCAGCATCAATACCTCAGTGTAATGTCTTGCCCTTATCATACATGCAGAAACTCTCAAGAAGTAGTTGAAAAACAATCAAAGCTTAGCATTTTAGTAAAATGTTACAGTGGTTTTGAGAAAATTGCTGACCAAAGGAAGATGTGCACCTATCAAAGTAGTAAATTTTTACTAGTGTTGCTGCTGCCATAGGCTATAAGCTCCCTGAGAGCAGGGATTAGGTCTTACTCACATCATTCCCTAGTGCTGGGGTACATCACCTGGGAGATAGAATGTGCTCAGCATATATTTGAGGAATGGCTAAATAAGGAAATGATTATTTCTAATAAAAGGAAAAGATTGGGCAGGGTGAGGTAGCTTGTGTCTGTAATCCCAGCAGATTGGGAGGCCAAAGCAGGAGGATCACTTGAGCCCAGGAGTTTGAGACCAGCCTGGGCAACACAGGGAGATCCCTCTGTACAAAACAAACAAAAAAACACGAGCTGGGCATAGTGGTGCGTGCCTGTGGTCCCAGCTACGCAGGAGGCTTAGGTAGAGTACAGCTTGAGCCCAGGAAGCTGCAGTGAATTGTGATTGCACCACTGCACTCCAAACTGGGCAACACACTGAGACTTTGTCTTTTTTTTTTTTTTTTTTTTTTGAGATAGAGTCTCGCTCTCTTGCTGAGGCTGGAGTGCAGTGATACGATCTCAGCTCACTGCAACCTCTTCCTTCCAGGTTCAAATGATTCTTGTGTCTCAACCACCCAAGTAGCTGGGATTACAGGCATGCACCACCATGCCCAGCTAATTTTTGTATTTTTAGTAGAGTTGGTTTTGCCATGTTGGCCAGGCTGGTCTCAGTCTCCTGGCTTTAAGTGATCTGCCCACCTTGGCCTCCCAAAGTGCTGATACCCTGTCTTCAAACAAACAAATGAAGAATGTATAGCACTTACTATGTGCCAGGCACTGCTCTAAATCTTTTACATATATTAACTCATTTAATCATTGCAACAACCCTATAAATTAACTATTCTTTATCTCTATTTTTCAGATGAGGAAACTGTGTCACCAACAGTTTGAGTGCCTTGTTGAAGGTCACATAGCTGGTTACTGGTAGAGTTATGATTTATAATCCACATGGTCTGACTTTACATTTAACAGCTCTCATATGGAATAAATTAAATGCTATACTGCTATTCAGATATGTGGGAAGACATGAAAGCCTCAAGATATAGTCACCAGCCTCTGTTACAAGCTTGTTGTTTGTTTTTGCTTTTGGCTTTTTGTCTTGCCACGGCAAACTCCTAAGGGATTCTGGTAATTTGTTAGCAAACTTTCTAAACCCTTCCAAGACTGCCAAATTGCTAATTCTTAAGCAGTTTTCATTGACACTATTACATTGTTTCATGTCAGGGCTTTAGAAGCAGGTGAAATAGATATTGGTTTTGGGAAGTGGGGGAAAGCTGACTAGTAATTGATGAATGGCTAGCATCTTTATACAGGAGAGGAATTTGCAAGGCAAGTAGGTGGGCTTGTTCTGAGTTTCTTTTGTTAGTTTCAGGAGTTAGGCTTGTTGAATTAAGTAAATAAAGCTCACAATGTGCTGATCATGTGAAACCTAATGCCAAGTCTATTTCTGAGCCACTGTGAAGAGGACATAGATAAACAAGGAGGGAGGAGTGTCAAGTCACACAAAATATTTCTTACTGGACTTGGATTTTATTTTTTAAATCTATTCTTTTGGAAATAGAGCCATGATCTAACTTAATGTGGCTACTCTGAATGCATGCTTTCTCCATGTCCACTCTAATTTCTTTGCAGGTTCGTATAAATTTTGTAAGTAGGCTTTGTAAATCAAACTGTGGACTAAATATCCTGGTGCGACTCTCAAATTGCTCTCTCAAATTGCAGGCACAAAGTCTTGGAAGTTCTGTTGGGCAGAAACAAACTGGACCAACATTTTGCGTTTCTGTTATCATCCAACTTCCTATATGCAGTCAATCTGATAACAAACAAGCTAATGAGCTCACACTAGAATTAGAAATTATAAAACATTTGGTTTTCCAGGGGAACTGGGAATGGTTTTGTAATTAATGTGTCAGAAGGAAAACTGAAGCAAAGAAGTTTTCAATTGCACCATATATGACAGACAAAAAATGAAATTAAATGCATCCTTCAGCTCTGAGGACAGATAATGGTCCTCTGTATCTAAGCGTCCAGGAGGAGGTGTTCTCTCTATTCCATACATCTGTGTCCCAGTGACCAAATGCAATGAAGAGAGACAACTTGTAAATTAAACAAACACAATGGGGCATAAAGATTTTTCCCCTTTAATATTACGGGATATGACAAAGAAGATCATTTTCTGGTTGCCGTAAAAATACAACAGTAAAGTTGAATTAGACCCGCAGATTTGATTAATGAATGCTGTGCTTATGAAAACACATAATTATTCCTGAGCTCTTGGAATGAACCAAGTGCGGTAGCTTCTGGGGCACTTGTGCATATTACTTTTAAAGATAGAATCCTGCTTGGCAAAAATGGCTCTCCCAGTTCTATATAAAAGATACAGCAAGAAGCAGTGAATGTATATATAGACAAAGAGAAAAATAAAGCTCATAGCTGTCTTCATACCAGTATAGATCTTTCTTAGCACATAACTAGATTTTTGTGGATTTTACAAGTTAAATAATGTGAAAAATATATTTGGGCACAAGCCGGGATCGCTGAGCTATATAAAAGGGATTCTATCACTCAGAGAGTTGTGTGATCATGGGCTAGTCAGTATCCTTTGTCAGTGGGCCTGTCTCCCTCATTCGTAAAATGGATATGGGGAGGCTTACTATTTCCTTACCAGCCATTTCAAATATATGTCTCCTGATAACCTTTGCATTTTAGAGCTCTTCTTTTGTTTTCCCATGAGCAAATCAGCAAGAGCTACAAGTTAGCAAACTTTTAAGGAGTGCTTGCTGTGTACCGGCCCATGATAGGTGATAGGGGCCACAAAGATGAAGGCGCCTTTTCTCTCTACCCATGAGATCCAGTGAGGCCAATGAATTACTATTATTGTTGTTGTTGTTGAGATAGGCCCTCGCTCTGTCACCTTGGCTGTAGTGCAGTGGCGCGATCATAGTTCACTGCAGCCTCAATCCCCTGGGGCACAAGTGATCCTCCCACCTCAGCCTCCCAAGTACCTGGGACTACAGGCGTGCACCACCATGCCTAGCTAATTTTTGTATATTTTTTAGTGACTGGGTTTTGCCACATTGCCCAGGCTGGTCTCAAACACCTGAGCTCTGGCAGTCCTCCCGCTTCAGCCTCCCAAAGTGCTGGGATTACAGGCGTGAGCCACCATCCACCGTGCTCTGGGTCATTTTTTTCAGCTCTCTTATAGTTCATATATACTTTCTCCGGCTATTGTATATTCCATCTGTTAATCTTGTCAAATCTATTGTATATTCCATCTGTTGACCTTGCTATAGCAACAACTATAATTTTAATTCCTTAAGTTCCACTTAGTTCTTTTTCAAATTTGCCTGATCATTTTTGATTGTCTCTTGTTGCTTATTCCATTTTATGATTCCATTCTTTATTTCTTTAAGCATACCATGTATATTTGTGTATACTTCGTATCAGATCATCTAGACTCCTTGAGATTCTAAATCTGGACTTTGTAGCTTCTGCTAGCCTTTACCTGGGATGGTTTGTTCCTTTTGATTTTGGTGACCTATTTTTTATGGGTTCAATTTTGGTTAATCTTAACCTGGGAAAATTTGGAGGCTGAAATTAAAGATGTGATCCTCCAGAAAACATTTTTTTTTTCCTGTTCAGAGATAGTGACCATTGGGGCCACCATGCATTTTGTGTGGGTTTATTGTTCACGGCTCCCATTTCAGCTTAGAATCTCTTTTTTTCTTCCTCTTTTTTCCCCTTTAACCTTCATATTCTCCCTTAGGTCCTGCAAAGTGCTACCTAAAAGGTCTTGTACATTATAATGTTATTTTATAACTTAAAGGCCCCTCAGGGTATCTTGCCCACCATATTTCTAAAAGTGAAATTGCTGATGTTATTGAATGCTTACCCTGTGCCAAGCATTCTTTTGAGCATTTTACTTGTGTTAGCTCATTTAACACTCACAACAACTTCATGAGGAAAAGTAACATTTTTTATTCTCATTTCACAGGTGAAGAAATTGAGGTGCAATGCGATTAAGTAACAGGTTGCCAATGTTACACAGCTGATACATGCTACATGAGTTGATAATGTTACACGGCAAATAGAGCTGGGATTGTAAGAAACACCTAAAAAATTTATGCACATGATAGGAAATTCAAAGTGTACAAAAGGCTATATAGTGAATAGTAAGTCCTTTTCTGTTCCTGTGCCCTAGACATGCCATTGCCCCTCCCAGGAGGCAATTATTACCAGTTTCTTACGTATTTTTCTAGGGGTTGTGTACAAAACATACAATCTAATATATATATATATATAATAGTATATCATATTTATTATACATTATGTGTCTGATTTTGCTAGAAAAATAGAAATAACAAAAAGTAACATTTCTTGAATACTTACTCTATGCTTGTTACTTTTCATTCATTATCTCATTTGTTCTTCTGAGGAATTATTAGTTTTACTTTGTAAGTGAGAAATTGAGTATTACAAAAGTTAAGTAACTTGCCCAAGAATTTGCAGATAGTAAGAAGCAGAGCTAGGATTCAAACCTAGGTCTTCGTGGTTCTTGGGCCTGCACACTTTGGCTTTTCACAGGGAGCTGACTAGGGGTTGACATCTTTAACTCCTCTGTAGTGGATTAGGACAAGAGTTAGAGTAAAGGCTGGGGTTTAGGGTTTGCGCTAGGACCTCCTCTCTAACCCCTACACCATACCTGGATGTGGCCTGTGCAAGTGTGTTTTAGGATTGCTGCTTCCTGGGGAATGAGATGGAGAACACAAAACTCAACCTTGCCCATCTTCTCTGCATCTATATTTGTTAGTTTCATATGTTTAAGGATAGGCTTTTGTTAACCAATTACTCTATTTTGAAACTCCCTCTTCTCTTTTCTTCTTTTTCTAATTTCTTCCTTCCTTCCAACCCTCCTGTAAACATTTATTTGAGTGCCTTTATATGTCTAGCATTCTGTTTGGTGCTGGAAATACCAAGATACAAGAACATAACTGTCTTTTGAGAAGGTTGTACTTTAGTGGGGAGACAAATACCCTAACTGCAAATTATAACACAGTGAGTTAAGTGTTTGTACTTTCCTATGGCTGCCATAACAAATTATTACAAACTTGGTGGCTTAAGCAACACACGCAGATTCTCTCACATTTCTAGAAATCAGAAATTTGAAATCTGTTTCACTGGTCCAAAATCAAGGTGTCAACAGGGCTACAGTCTCCTGGAAGCTCTAGAGGGGAATCTCTAGATTCTCCTTTGCTTTTCCAGTTTCTAGAGCCACATTCCTTTTATGCTGAGTTCCAGGAACTTCCCTCCATCTCCAAAGCCATGAATGCAGCATCTTGCGTAAGTGATCACATTGCCTTCTTCTGGTGAAATACTGCTCTGACTTCCCCTTCTTTTTTTTTTTTTTTTAGATGGAGTCTCGCTGTTGCCCAGCCTGGGGTGCAATGGTGCGATCTCAGCTCACTGCAGCCTCTGCCTCCTGGGTTCAAGTGATTCTCCAGCTTCAGCCTCCTGAGTAGCTGGGAATACAGGCGTGTGCCACCACGCCCGGCTAATTTTTATATTTTTCGGAGGGGCAGGATTTCACCATGTTGGCTAGGCTGGTCTCAAACTCCTGACCTCAAGTGATCCAACCGCCTCAGCCTCCCAAAGTGCTAGGATTACAGACGTGAGCCACCAAGCCTAGCCCTGACTTCCCCTTCTAAGGACACTTGTGATTGTATTTAGGGTCCACCCTGCTAATCTGAGATAATCTTCCCATAGCCAGATCCATAATTTAGCTATGTCTGCAAAGTCTCTTTTGCCATATAAGGTAACATTCACAGATCCCTGACTTTTATAGTTCTGTTCTTTTGTCCTCATTTTCTCATTCTGTGAGTGTGTGTGTGTGTATCCTCAACAGTTTCCTCCAGACCTGGTGTACTAGCAAGTTGTGTGGGTTCTTCCTCAAAATACCACCCATGGGGTATTTCTTTTTCTTCTCTCTCTCTGCTCCTCTCTACACTGGTTGATGCCCTTATTCAGATAAACATTCAAATGGTCAGCTAAGGGTTCTCCCTGTCTCTAAGCTCTCCTCCCAACTTACCTTACAACCATTGTTCCATTAATTGTTCTATGTGACCCTTGTTTAAAAACTTCTAGAGAATAAATTCTGAACTCCTTAGCATGACACTTCAAGGTTCTCTGGAGTTCAAGACCTATATCAACTTCATTTATTTATTCAGCAGGTGCTCATTAGGATTTCTCATGTGTTAAGACTGTGCCAGGCACTGAGAGTATGATAGTGGGTAAAAGTAGGCATGTCCACCCTTGGGGATTTTGCTGTCTAATAGGAAAGACAGATATGAATAAAATAATAATTATGAAGAAATGTGAAATTGCAACTACAATAAAACAGCAGCTCAGACTTATGTAATGCCTGCCATCCATCTAGCATCATCCTAAGAATTTTACATATACTGTCTCTTGTAATCTTCACAGCTTGTTCATAACTGCTACTTCCTACTTTATGGATGAGATAACAGGTGCAGAAAGTTTAAGTGATTCAAATTCACACAGCTGGAAAGGATTTAAGCCAGGTAGCTTGGTTCTGGATTTTGTGTATGGAACCACTGTCATATTTTGATAAAAGAGAAGTGCCTGGTGCTATGAGGATCGTTAATTGGGAGTGGGACCAGGGTAGAAAGAAGCACAGAGAGAAGCAAAACTGCTTCATGAATGATGTGTTGAGGAGGTACACAGCTTGATGGTAGGCCGGGTCTGTTGGGAACTGTTGAGGTTATATATTGGGAACTGTTGAGGTTATATATATATATATATAGAGAGAGAGAGAGAGAGACAGACAGACAGACAGAGACAGAGAGACAGAGACAGAGTGGGGATGGGGAATTGGAAAAGCTTCCTAAGGAAGGGACAGCTAAACTGAAGTTGGAAATATACCTTGGCATTAATTGGACAGGAAGAAAGGAAAAGTGTTCCATCCAGAGGGAAGATCATGTGTCAAGGCCGTATGGAGGCAAGGAGCAGAGTGCTTAGGGGGTCTGAAATGGGACCAGGTGGAGCCGAGAGAGCAAAGGCAGAGGGAGGAGCAAGGTATAGGATGGCTGCAGTGGGATTAGGCTGGGGAGGCAGGTAGGTGCCAAATCACCCAGGACCCTATAGGACATATTATAAACCATTTTCTTTATCCTAAATGCAATGGGAAACCATTGCCATTGAGTTTTTGTTTTGTTTCATTTTTCTGAGATAGGGTCTCACTCTGTCACCCAGGCTGGAGTGCAGTGGTATGATCATAGCTCACTGCAGCCTTGAACTCCTGAGCTCAAGCGATCTTCCTGCATCAGCCTTCCAAAGTGCTGGGATCACAGGGGTGAACCACCACACCCAGCCCCATTGAGGTTCTATTCAGGGGGTACGACAGAGATGTGTCAGAGGTTTCTGGATTGTGCCCTGAATTGATGTGGTCTCATTCTCTGGAACGGAACCCAGGAAAGAGAACATGTTCAGGAATAAGATCATGGACTCTGTTTTGGACCTGTTGACTTTGAGAAACACAAATGAGATGTGAAGGAAATTTTCAAATATTTGGATCCAGAGTTCATAGAAGATGTCTGGGCTGGGCCTTTAAGTCCAGCCCTTGTGTCACTGACTTTTGGCAATTGAAAGATGAACCTTTTGAAGGACTTCTATGGTGCTAAGGAGAATTTTAAATTCTACTTGTGAGACTGCATTAATCTTTTGTTGTAGATTTGAATGTGGGGTGAAAATCAGTCAGAGTGGGAAGAATTAATTTTAGAGTCCTTCCCCACTTTCTACTTTTACAACAGAATACCTTTGGATAATCATTTATCCTTCAATAATAGGAACTAGTTTTTGGAAATTGTGGTTTGAGTCTGCTATAAGGAAACCGGCAAGACAAAAAACAAATAACCAAAAAGCTGTGTGAGAAGGCTTCTTAAGACTGCAATGTAACCTCAGTGTTCAAGGCAAAAGGGAGTGTATTTGTTAGCTATTGCTGTATAACAAATTACCCCAAAACTTAGGGGCTTGAAACAACAATAAAAATGTATTGTCCTCACAGTTTCTGTGCATCCAGGAATCTGTGAGCAGTTTAGCTGAGTGGCTTGAGCTCAGGAGGTAAGAGGTCCCAGGCAAGATGTCAGTGAGTTCTTCAGTCATTGGAAAGCTTGACTGAGGTTGTAGGATCCACTTCTGAGGTTAAAGGTCATTCACATGACTGCAAGCTAGTGTTAGCTGTTGGCAGGAATCCTTGGTTTCTTGCCACAAGAGCTTCTCTCAGAGCTACTTGAGTGTTCTTACCCTATGACTAGAAAGCTCCCCCTAGACAACCTAACAGTGAGAGGGCCAGATGGAAGCCATCCTTTTTATGAGCGAGTCTTAAAAGTCACACGGTGTGGTGAATGCTTCATTCCAAGCAAGTCACTATGTTTGGCCCACCTCAAGGGTGAAGGAGGGAACTCGGCTCCACCTTCTGAAGGGAAGAGTGTCGAAGATTTTGTGGGCGTATTTTAGAACACCACATGGGTGTTTGAAATCTGAGCTGTGGATAGGGCCTCCCCTCTCACCCTGTGTAGGAATTAATTTCGGGTACAGCATCCCTGACAGATGGTCATTCAGCCCTCTGCTTGCCACTTCCAACTACGAGGAGTTCACTACACTGTGAGTCAGTGAATTCCACTTATATCCAGTGTTAATTGTTAGAAGCTTTTTCTGTTCATGAAATTGAAAGCTCTATTGTGGATATTCCATTATTAAAGCTAGTTCTGCTACTCTAGAATGGCACTTTTACATGATGGCTTTTCCAATATTTGCAACTGTGGTAATCTTAACTTTTCTCTTCTCCAGATGAAATTTTGTCTGTTCCATTCAGAGCTTCCTCTCGTGTTTTAATTCCAGGCTTCTTCCACATTCTGGTCACCTCCTTGTGAAAACATTCTGATTCAGTTTATCCTTCCAGAACTGAAAACACACTACTAATTCTGTAGCCCGCGCTAAGTATAAAGGGACACAGCAAGGGTTTCCTCACTTTGCGTAATAGTGGAGGACTGAAAAATGACTGTGAAACCTGAAATAATGCAAAGTGATCCTAGTGGGAAAAATGATGATCATTCTGAGACCTTTATAAACTGCTTTTTTTTTTTTTTTTTTTTTTTTGAGATGGAGTCTTGCACTGTTGCCTGGGCTGGAGTGCAGTGGCACGATTGTTGCTCACTGCAACCTCCACCTCCCGGGTTCACTTCATTCTTCTGCCTCAGCCTCCCAAGTAGCTGGGATTACAGGCACATACCACCGCATGGCTAACTTTTTGTATTTTTAGTAGAGATGGGGTTTCACTATGTTGGCCAGACTGGTCTCAAACTCCTGACCTTGTGATCCACCCGCCTCGGCCTCCCAAAGTGCTGGGATTACAGGCGTGAGCCACCGTGCCTGGACAAAACATCTGTTTTTAAAACTTTAAAACTTGTTAAAATTAAAAATTTTATTTCAAATTTAAATGCAAAAATTAGTAAAACTAGTGTTCATTTAGTATTCATTAGTATTCTGTAATTAAAATATTACATATTACATTAAAGATATAGAGAATTTAAAATACAGAGGATTAAAATACTTTTGCAAAAGAAAAAAAAACAAAAACATCAATAGTAGATTGAACAGTGCTTGCCAACTCCTTCTTCTTGTATAACTAATAATACAGAGTGAGTATTTTTGCTTCGGCAAATTGTCATCCTGCTTTTAAAATTTGTATCAGCTTTCAACATTATATCCTTTGAGCTTTCAGTATTATAAAACATCTCTGAGAGTTCCTTTAATGTGAAGTTGTTTTTGCTGGTATCATTTCCTTGGAGATACCTTTAATCACTATCCACATTTATGTTGACAAGTTCATCTTTGCTAAGTTCCTCTGGCTGTAGACTTTAGAGTCTCTGACAGTGGCAGTGACCACATTGCTATGGTTAGCTGTATAATTACATTTAGGTCCGATTCCCACCTCGCTACTCTGTTGTCACTTTTCACTTCTTTGCTGTACTTTCATGTTTCTTGACCAATTCACTCTCTTCATTATCCATTCTTATAAAATGCCACATGGGTTTACTGCTGGGAAGCAAGGAAGCAACACAGCTACATGCTTTGATGTCAATGTGTGACCTGAATAATAGATGCACAGTGACTAGCCACACATACTTTGGAATAAGGAGTGTGGTTGGTTACTGATCATGATGCACGTCTGTTATGTATGTAATGATTTGTGGACTACAGAACTAGAAACTAAGTTTGCACTTTATTCAATTACTCACAGTTAATATACCATGGTAATTGATATTTGAACCATGTTGTTAGGGGACTGGTATTATTTAACTAAATCATGGTATTGGAAATTTATGTACATCAGATTCATGCAAAGCAAAGTCTGCCTGTAGGCTTACGAATTGGTCTGGAGTTGGAATCGATATTTTTTTTTTTTTTTTTTTTTGAGATGGAGTTTCACTCTTGTTGCCCAGGCTGGAGTGCAATGGTGCAATCTCGGCTCACTGCAACCTCCACCTCCCGGGTTCAAGCAATTCTCCTGCCCTAGCCTCCCGAGTAGCTGGGATTACAGGCATGTATCACCACGCCTAGCTAATTTTTGTATTTTTAGTAGAGGCAGGGTTTCACCATGTTGGTCAGGCTGGTCTCGAACTCCTGACCTCAGGTGTTCTGCCCGCCTTGGCCTCCCAAAGTGCTGGGATTACAGGCGTGAGCCACCGTACCCAGCCTGGAATCGATTTTTATGGGCGACTGTT
Source organism: Homo sapiens (assembly GCF_000001405.40). Classification (NCBI taxonomy): domain Eukaryota; kingdom Metazoa; phylum Chordata; class Mammalia; order Primates; family Hominidae; genus Homo; species Homo sapiens. The sequence continues at coordinate 72,178,745 of NC_000009.12, forward strand.
CTGTGCTGCTTATTTTAAGCTCCTGGTCCTCGCTGTAATCAAGTCTCATATGTCTTTACCTATGCATTTGAATTGTGTAAAATGTAAGTGTAGGATTTTACATACATTCCATTTAGCTTGTGGCTGTATTTTTGACATTTTAAAAATTTTCTGATACATAATATTTGTACATATATATGGGGTCTCTGCCTTTTTAAAGCTGGATTGTGCTATCTAGTAAACAAACTGTCTTCTCCAAATTGTTATCCTTTTCACAGTAAGCCATTAGCAAGAACATGGCTGGGGCCGAGCTCAATGATATGTTTCCAGAGTTCTCTAAGAGCTCTCCAGCCATACTTCCCTCATCCTATTAATCAACCTTTTAAGTAGGAATATATAGCAGCTATGAATTTCTCCAACTCTGCTGTCATCCAGCCTGACGTTTTCGAGCTTGTCCAACAAAGTTATCTGTCTGGTGCCATCAGATGCCTTTCTGAAATCAAAGCATATTGTATCAGTAGTGGTGTCCTGAAATGCCACTCTGGTTACCCTACCAAAAATTAACACTATGGGTAATACCTTATGTTTACAGAGAACTTTTACAGTTCACTGGAGTGTTTGGCATATCTCTATTTTAAAATATTTTGTCTATATAGAGTTGAAGGGAGATATGGCAGATATCATTACTTTATTTTCAAAAATGGTAAATCAGAGAGGTTAAGGGATTGGCTCTTGTTCACAGAGCTAGTAAATAGCAGAATCTTGATCCTTCAGTAAATCCAGTGTGTTTGACCATTTCAAACTATCTCAGATGAAGTGACTACAGGCAAGAAAAAGGGAGTTTCTGCAGTGTTTTCCTGTCGATTTATTAGGACAGATCAGTCTTATGACCCTCCTCCTATAGGGTCTGTGCTGGTTTCCCAGGGCTGCTGTAATGAAGTACCACAAACAGGGAGGCTTAAACAACAGTAATTTATTGTCTTAGAATTTTGAAGTCCAAGATCAAGGAATCAGCAGAGTTGGTTTCTTCTGAGGACTTTGAGAGAAGGATCTGTTCCAGGCCTGTCTTCTTTGCTCATAGATGGTTGTCTTCCCTCTATGTCTCTTCAACTCATTTTCTTTCTATATGTGTTCCTGTGTCCAAAAGGACACCAGTCATACTGAATTAGGGCCTATCCTAATGATTTCATTTTAACTTGATTACCTCTGTAAAGATGTTATCTCTAAATAAGGTCACATTCTGAATTACTGGCGGGGGGGGTTAGGACTGTAACATATTAAATTGGGGTGGGAGGGGAGGTTCAACTCATACCAGGTCTTCAAGGCAGATTTCAAGTTTTTTTAAAAATGGCCATCCGGGCGCGGTGGCTCACACCTGTAATCCCAGCACTTTGGGAGGCCAAGAGGAGCGGATCATGAGGTCAGGAGTTTGAGACCAGCCTGGTCAACATGGTGAAACCCCATCTCTACTAAAAATACAAAAATTTTCCAGGCATGGTGGTGGGTGCCTGTAATCCCAGCCACTGAGGAGGCTGAGGCAAGAGAATCGCTTGAACCCGGGAGGCAGAGGTTGCAGTGAGACAAGACTACGCCACTGCACTCCAGCCTGGGCAACAGAGCAAGAGTCCCTCTCAAAAAAAATAAAAATAACAAAGGCCCAAAGGAATAGGCTTGTGTAGGGAGTACTTTTGTGTGTGCCTGCATTTTTAAATCAATGTCTGTGTATCTGATACAGTCTATTGAGATCAACTTTATGGTCAATTGATACTGCCTTTCAGTTTTTCAAAAGAGAGAGAGAGTGAGTGCTTTTCCTAAATTAATTCTTAGTTGTCTACTTGCTGAATGTAGTCTCTGAAGATGTCTTTTGTGAGGCAGCTGCTGAAATTATTTGCTTGTTTGATGATTTCAGGATTCAAATGTGTCATTTAACTTTAGAGCTGAGATTTATGGTGAATTTCACTCCGAGCTTGGTGTTAATTTTACACACATCTAAGCAGTTTCCTTCTTCCACAAGTTGGTTAAGCATCAGAGGATTCTGAATTTAGGAAAAAAAAATAAATTAGGCAGTAACAATTTGCATCCCAAAGTGATTCACAAGTTTTCAAGTATATTCAAGGGTTGTTTAGCATATTACCGACTACTTATCAAAACACGGGACTGATTATGACCTTGTTTTAGATTGCTGGTGTTGAGGTGCTACAAATGTGAGATCTGTATTATTGTGTTTCCTCATTGCCTTCGCTTCTTCTGTGGTTTTTTCCTTTTGGTCACTTTGGGTGTTCCACAGATTACCAATGTGTGCATTTCACATGAAATAGATTTTGATTTTTTAAAAATAGCATTTATTGTGAGTAGAAAATTTGGTTTCACTCATACATTTTTCTGGTGATCTTTGTGCATTTTACTTATTTTTTTGAAGTGATTCTTCTTTTTAATTAACTCATTGGGTAAAGAAAGTACAGTTCTAATGTCTATGTAAGGTGTAATGAATAAGGATGTGATGAACTGTGGTTATCTTTGAAGCTCTATGTGTTCTCAATATCCGTTCCCTTCCCTTATCACCATTATACTAAATTTTATGCTTATCATGTCCTTACTTTTACTTATACTTTCACAATTTTTTTTGTGTGTGTCACTTGTTGCTTAGGCTGGAGTGCAGTGGCGCGATCTTGGCTCACTGAAACCTCCACCTCCTGGGTTCAAGCAATTCTCTGCCTCAGCCTCCGGAGTAACTGGGATTACAAGCGCCCGCCACCATGCCCAGCTAAGTTTTGTATTTTTAGTAGAGACGGGGTTTCACCATCTTGGCCAGGCTTGTCTTGAACTTCTGACCTCAGGTGATCCACCCGCCTTGGCCTCCCAAAGTGCTGGGATTACAGGCGTGAGCCACCGCGCCTGGCCTCACTATCTTTTTTCACTTTCTTTTTTTTCTTTTAGTCAGAGTCTTGCTCTGTCACCTGGGATGGAGCACAGTGGCGTGATGGTAGCTCACTGCAACCTTGAACTCCCGGGCTCAAGCAATCCTCACATTTCAGCCTCCCAAAGTGTGGGATTACAGGTGTAAGCCACTGCACCCAGCCTATACTTTCACTTTTTATATTTGCGTTTCCAAATAATATACTGTTTAGTTTTTCAGTTAAAATTTTTTATTTTTAATTCATTAAAAAATGATTCAAAAAGTTACAAGAATATACAAAATAATGCTGCTATAGACTTCACCCGGATTCTCAGTGCTAATATTTTACAAAATTTGCTTCATTATTCTCTACTCTCTCTACATATATAGGTAGACACACACATGCACGCACACACACACATTTTTCTGGACTGAGAGTAAGTTATAGACATGCTGTTGGAGTCTAAATACTTTATTTTTTTTCCCTAAAAAATAAGGACACTGCCTTACATAATCATGAATTATTATCTGGGTCAGGAAATTAACATAGGTATAATTCTACCACATGATCTGTAGACCCATTCAAACTTTGCCCACTGGCCCAATAATGCCCTTGGTGGCTATTTCCCCTCCTCTTATTCAGAATCCACTCCAGAACCACAGGCTCCATTTATGTATCACATTCCTTTAGTTGCCTTTCATCTGTAATGGGTCTTTAGTGTTTCTTTGTCTTTCATGCTCTGGATAATTTTCAAGAATATAGAAGAGTTTCTCCTTTTTTCAAACTGTCCCTTAATTTGGGTTTGTCTGATGTTTCCTCATGATTAGATTCAGGTCGTGCATTTTTGGCAGGGACATCGGAGAAATGATGCTGTGCTCTCAGTACATCATATCAGGAGGCACAGGATGTGGAATTGTCCCGTTATTGGTGATGTTAACTTTGGTCACTCGGCTGAGGTGGTGTGGGCCAGCTTTCTGCACTTCTCTTTGTAAAATAAACTTTGTGGGGAGATACTTTGATAATTATATAAATATCCTGTTTCTCAACAAATTTTCACCCACTAGTTTTAGTGTTCATTGATGATTTTTGCATGAATCATTTTTTTATGATGATGGATGCCAAATGCTCATTTTCTAATTGTGTAATTTCTTCCACATATATTAGTTGGTATTCCACTGGAAGAAAGAACTCTCCATTCTCACTCATGTACTCATTCATTTACTTATCATTGTGGACTCATGGATTCCCATATTATTCTTTGGATTTTAATTTGTTAGTATTTTTATTTATTTTGATGCTCAAATTGGCCCAGATTTACCTAGTGGGAGTTTGTTTAGAGTGGCTTCTTTGTCCTTTTGACTACTTTCTGACTATATTCTAGCACTTCCTTACTTTTGGCACAAAATTATGTTCTAGATTCATCTTGTATTTTCCTTACCAGAGCCCTGGAATGAGCCCTGGAGTCACTTGGTTCTGTTTTGTGGAGAATGGTATTTAGAAACCAAGATCTGAGAACTAGGGGTGCTGATTGCATCTGGGTTTCATTGTCTCTAGGCCTCTCAGCAGATAAAGCTAGTATGTGTGTGCATGTAATGTATATGTATGTATGTAAATATATGTAAATATATATTACTCCTATATGTAATCAATCTCCTGACCCTGGGGACTGTCTCCTCGGCTACAGCCTTGCCCATTCCACCTGCCTCCTTGACACTGCACTTCTCCAACCCCAGTTCCCCTGACCCTATTAGCATTCTCAGCCTTGACTGCTCCCTTAGCCCCAACTACCTCTGCATTCCTGGATCCACCAGGCCCACCTGCTGGGGCTATATGAATGGAAGGAAAAGGAAAGGAAAGGCACAAAGAAATAGTTTATAAAGAAAAAAAGAAAAGGAAAAGGCTGTTTGGTTTTTAAAATATTACATGAAAAAATACATAACGTAGTGTCTAATGGCCGTTAGCCTGTAGGCAACTGGGGTTCAAATTCAGGATTTATTACCTGCCAGATGCGTAATTTTGGGCAAGGTACTTAACATCTCTGTGCCTCAATTTTATCCTCTGCAAAATGGGGCTAGTAATAGTGCCTCATAGGGTTCTTGTGAGGTTTAAACAAGTTAACACATGTAAAGTATGTAGGATGGTGTTTGGCACATAGGAAATATATTTTAATCTCTTTATTATTATCAGACATCCCATCATTTTAGAATATGTTGCTTTATATTTCTAATAAAAATGTGTTAAATACCAATGATTTATTAGTGGTGTCTTCTACAGAGATCAGAAGAGTTATTAAAGTTACCGTTTTTCCTTCCATGAGTATTATTTTCTTTATTCAGATTTGACTGTCTATACCTTATACCACTTTGCAACATAAGCATTACATTAAATTACTATTACAAATCTTGAATCTTTGCACTTATCTTTTAAAAATTTAATTTTTAGAGAAGTTTTAGGTTCACAGCAAAGTTGAGAGAAAGGTTCAGAGCTTTCCCATGTATCCCCTGCCGGGACACATGCACAGCCCCCTCATTATCAATATCCCCCACCAGAATGCTACATTTGCAACAACTGATAAACCTACATTGTCACATCATTATCAACCAAAGTCCACAGTTTATACTAGGGCTCACTCTTGGATTTGTACATTATGTGGTTTTGGACACTTGTATAATGATGTATTGACCATTATAGTATCATAGAGAGTGTTTTCACTGTCCTAAAATTCTTCTGCTCTGCCTATTCATCCTTCCCCCTCCAACCCTTGACAACTACTGATTTTTTATTGTCTCCATAGTTTGCCTTTTCCAGAATGTCATATAGTTGGGATCATATAATATGAAGCTCTTTCAGATTTGTGTCTTTCACTTAGTAATATGCATGTAAGATTCTCTATGTATTTTCGTGGCTTAATAGCTCATTTATTTTTATTACTGAATAATATTCCGTTTTCTGGATGTACCGCAGTTTATTTATCCATTCTTCTACTGAAGGACATCTTGGTTGCTTCCTAAAGGTACATCCTTCATCTATCAAGGAGTGTTTGTTTTCTACTACAGAATGATACTTGTAAGCCACCAGAGTCTGTACTCTGATCAAATACCAAGGGCATTTGATCAGTCCCTGACGTTAAAGAAAAATGTTAAATGTTATTTCCATTTGGAAGCTAATCATAAATAAATATAAAGTTTCAGAGAAATGCTAGTGAAAGCCACTGGGATGGTTTTCAAGTTATATAATTTTAATTTACATGCATCTTTTTAGGAGTTCATATCAGAGCTTGGCAACTATAGGCCACAGGCCAAATCCAGCTCCCTGACTGAGTTATATGGCCTGTGAGCTAAGTATGGTTTTAAAATGATTGAAAAAAAGTGAAGAAGAAGAGGAAGAAGAAGAAGATTTTATAACAAATGAAAATTACATAAAATGCAAGTTTCAGTTCCTGTAAATAAACTTATATTGGAATATAGCCATAGCCATTTGCTACTATATTGTCTATGGTTGATTTTGCAATTCAGCGACAGATTTAAGTAGTTCAATAGACACAATATGGCCCGCAAAGCCTAAAATATTTACTGTCTCACCCTTTAGGGAAACTGTGCTGATCCTTGGTTTATACTATTACAGAAGCAATCATAAAGTTTTGGAAGAATCTCGGAAGACATGTCTAGTTTAGGAGATATGGCTTCCCCTGCACCTTAGGCATTTAAAATAACCTGGCCTGTTTCTTTCTGAAATGAGAATATTGGATCTGAAGATCTAAGTCCCTCATGCCTCATGCTATTCTTTGATGCCTTTGTAACATTATTCGCCCCATTGTACTAGTCCGACGGGGTTTTTTCCCCCACTTTGGTTTTTATTTTAAGGCAATCTCACTTCATCTCTCTTTTCCATTAATCTGTTTGACATGAACTGAGCTAATACGGCAATTTTTGTCTCTGTTCAAAAACTTCAAGAAATTTTGAGACCTCATATTTTTATCTGGTTTTATTTCCCCTCACAGTGACGTAAGAGTGGATTTTGTATAATAGATTGAAATATGTTCTTTTATTTTGTTGGATGGCTGAGCTATTTCACAGTGGCTCAAAGAGCAGTTTACTTTGTTCCATAGCAACAAGCCTCTTGCCCAAATTTGCCATCTGGTGTTTGAAGCCTGTATCTTGCAGCAGTTTTTTTCATTAGCTGACAGCCATTACTCATCTGCTTTTGGCTTTAGTATTCCCGACATTCTCATTATTGCTCATCCTAAATAGTCCCAGTTTCAAGTAAGAAAGCACTTGGAGTTGTTTGCTTAGCAGAAGGGAATCAATTTCATCTGGAAAACAAGGGGCCAGTTGAGAAGATACCTGCCAGCTGGGACCATGACTTTATTATTTGTGAAACTTGGTTTTTAATGACTTGTGTATATGCTTAACAGCCCACCTAGAGTGTGGCCTGTGAAGGGGAAGACCAATTGGCCATGGTGGGTACCCACTAGATGGTGAATGAGTGAACGGGTTTCCTGCATAAATCCAGGAAACCTTGGGATGAAAAAGCAGTAGCCCCATGAAGAAAGCATCAATCATACTTTGTAATTTTGCCACATTTGCTTTCCAAATTTTTTTTAGAGATTACCTGAAAATAAATCTCAGGGCTGATCCCTGGCTACCTCTGATCTGATCTTCTATCAGTCTTTCTTGTAGTCCTTGTACTGTATCCCCACTAGCCTCTCTGGTGTTTCAGAACCTGCCAAGCACACTCCCATTTTGGGGTCCTTGCTAGATATTCCCTCTGCCTGGAATGCTCTTCCCCAAATGTCTAAGTGGTTCACTCTCTCCTTTTATGCAAGTCTCTGCTTAAACCTCATTCTTCAGAGAAACCATCACACTCCACATTTTAGTCTATTTACCTCTCTTTATTTTCACCATAACCCTCACTATGAAGTATATCTTCATCAATTTATTGTTCCCAGTCTCTGGAATAATCCTGAGCATACAGGAAGCACTCAGGAAGTACTTTCTGAGTGAAAACATGAACAAAAGCAAGACAAAAATCTATTAAATACTTGATTTGTGAATTAAGGTTTTCCCCAACCCAACACTTCCGTGTTATTTACAGAATACTCCTGTCTATTTCACATCTTGTAGCTTTTTGCCTCTTTGCTGCTCCTGTTGTTACCCCTTCCATCCCTTTTCCCACAACCCTGGATACTTACCAAGTACCAAGTCCTACCAACCACTGTCCAAGTTCTGCCTTTTCTTTGAAATCTTCGCTGATCACACTTATTATCTCTCCATTGGAACCCACAGGGCCATTGCACTTCCTCATCCTCCCTTCTCATGTCTAATTCATTTTCTACCTCTGCCTGTCTTAACTCCTAAACCTTAAGCTCTATGAGTAGAGACTATGCATATATATTCCTATTTTTCATACTTTGCATTTTCATATACACTTAATGCATATTTTTAGTACATTGGCTAGAATAAGACATTTATTATTAACAACTTTGTATCTAAAAAGGAGTAAAGATGAAAGTGGAGTCACTCTCAACTTCTTTCCTAAAGAGATAAGCACTGTCATTATTTAGACACCTGCTATGGTTTGAATGTTTGTCCTCTCAGAAACTCATGTTGAAACTCAATTGCCATTGTAATACTATTAAGAGGTGGGGCCTTTCAGAAGTGATTAGGCCGTGAGGACAGAGCTCTCATAAATGGATTAATCTTGTTACCATAGTAGTGGTTATCTTGACAGTGAGTTGTTATAAAATGACTCTGGCCTCGAGTGCTTCCCTCTTTCACATGCTCTTGCCTGCCCTTCCACCTTTCTGCTGTATGATGACTCTGGCTAGATGCTGGTGCCATGCTCTTGGAATTCCTAGCCTCCAAAACGGTGAGCCAAACCCATTTTGCTCTTTATACATTACCAATCTGTGGTATTCTGTTGTAGCAGGAGAAAATGTACTAAGACAGAAAATTGGTACCAACACCAGGGTTGTTGGAATAATAGATACCTGAAAATATGCAAGTGGCTTTGGAACTGGGCAATGAGTAAAGGCTGGAAGAATTTGGAGAAGCAGGCTAGAAAAAGCCTAGATTGCTGTAAATGGAGCATTGAAAGTGATTCTGGTGAAGGCTCAGAAGAAGAGAAGACTGGGGAAAGTTTTGAACTTCTTAAAGATTACCTAAGTGGTCATGACCAGAATGTTGATAGAAATATGGACAGTAAAGGCTGTTCTGATGAGATCTCAGATGGAACTGAGAAACAAGGTATTGGAAACTGGGGCAAAGGCCATCCTTGTTATAAAGTAGCAAAGAACTTGGCTGAAATGTGTCTATAACTGAGGGCTTTGTGAAAGGTGGAATTTAAAAGTGATGAAATAGGATATCTAGCTGAAGACATATTTAAGCAGCAAAGCATTCAGGCTGATGCATGGTTACTTTTAACCGCTTATAGTAAGATGCTAGAGGAAAGGAATGATTTAAAGATGGAATTTATAATGAAAAAGGAAGCTATGTGAAAAGATTTGGAAAATTTGCAGCCTGGCCATGTAAACAACAAAAAAGCATTCTAGTGTGGAACCAAGAGACCATTTACTGACGAGATTAACACAGACAGAAGAGAGCCACCATCAATACAATGGGAGATAGACCCTGAAAGCATTTCAGAGATCTTTGAGGCTGCCCTGCTCATCACAGGCCCAGAGTTCTAAGAGGGCAGAATAGTTTGAGGGGTTGGGCTAGGAGCAACCTACACAGGCTCCCTGCCCAGACCGACCTCACATCTCTGCTTCCTGCATTCCAGCAGAGAGCTCTTTCACTGCTCCCACCATGGCTCAAGCAGGTCCATGTGTGGCTCAGGCCACAACTTCAGAAGATGCAAGTGGCAAATCTTGGTTGCATCCATGTGGTGTTAAGTTTGCAGGCATGCAGAATGCAAGATCTATGGGGGCATGGCTTCATCCACCTAGATTTCAAAGTATGTTGCAAATAGCCTGGAGCCCCAGGCAGAGACTTGTCACAGAAGCAGAGCCACTGCAGAGAGCCCCAACTATGGCAATACTGCACAAAAATGTGGGGTTGGGGTTAGTGCCAGAGCTGCCACAGAGAGTCCTCACTGGGGTAATGCCTAGTGGAGCCCTGGGAGCAGGACTGGCACTGAGACTCCAGGATCGTGGAGCTACTAGCATGCAACCTCAGCCTGGGAGAGCAGCAGGCAGGAGACTCCAACCTATGAAGCATGGGCTGGGTCTAGGAAAGCCATAGGAGTGGGGCTGCCGAAGACCTGTGTGCCCAGGATGCAGAAAATGGAGTCAAAGATTATTCTCTAAATTGAGGGCTTAAAGTGTTTTTTCCCATTGGGTTTTGGACTTAATTGGAGTCTGTTACTCTTCTCTTTTTGCCTATTTTTCCCTTTTGGTCCAGGACTGTCAATCCTATGCTTGCCCCACCATTGTATTCTGGAAGTAGATAACTTATTTGATTTCACAGGCTCACAGCTGTAGGAATATGCCTATGGATGAATCCTGTCTGGTGTCTCACCCACATCTGATACAGAGGAGACTCTAGACTTTTTTTTTTTTTTTTTTTTTTTTTTTTTTGGAGACAGGGTTTCACTTTGTCACACAGGCTGGAACTACAGTGGTGTGATGACAGCTTACTGCAGCCTTGACCTCCCAGGCTTAAGTGATCCTCCCACCTTAGCCTCCTGAATAGCTGGGGTTACAGGCATGCATCCCCATACCTGGCTAATTTTTTTGATTTTTTTAGTAGAGATGGGGTCTTGCTATGCTACTGGTCTCAAACTCCTGGGCGCAATTGATCCTCCCACCTCAGCCTCCCAAAGTGCTGGGATTACAGGCGTAAGCCACCACGCCTGACCTGAGACTCTGGACTTTTGAATTGATGCTGGAACAACCACTTAAGACTTTTGGGACTACTGGAATGAGATGAATCTATTTTAGGCCAAATACAGTGGCTCATGCCTGTAATTCTAGCACTTTGGGAAGCCAAGGCAGGAAGATCAGTTGAGCTCAGGAGTTCGATACCAGCCTGGGCAACGTGGTGAAACCCCTTCTCTACCAAAAATACAAAAGTTAGCCAGGCGTGGTGGCACATACCTGTGGTCCCAGCTACTCTGGAGACTTAGATGGGAGGATCATTTGAGCCTGGGAGGTGGAAGTTGCACTGAGCCAAAATCATGCCCACTGCACTCCAGCCTGGGTGACAGAGTAAGACCCCATCTGAAAACAAAACAAAAAAAAGAAATGAATATGTTTTGTACTTGAAAAGGACATGAGTTTTGTAGGACCAGGGCAGAATGCTATGGTTTGAATGTTTGTTTTCTCTGAAACTCATGTTAATATTTAATTGCCATTGTAACAGTATTAAGAGGTAGGGCCTTTAAAAAGTGACTGGGTCATAGGGATGAAGCTCTAATCAGTGGATTAATGCCATTATGAAGGGAGTGGGTTAGTTATTGTGAGAGTAGGTTGTTAATGTTTTCTTTCCTTTTCTTGTTTTTTTGTTTGTTTGTTTTTGTTTTGTTTGAGACAAAGTCTCTGCTGTGTTGTGCAGGCTGGAGTGCAGTGGCATGATCTTGGCTCACTGCAACCTCCGCCTCCCAGGTCAAGCAATTCTCCTGCCTCAGCCTCCCAAGTAGCTGGGACTACAGGCACCTGCCACCACGCCTGGCTAATTTTTGTATTTTTAGTAGAGATGGGGTTTCACCATGTTGGCCAGGCTGGTCTCGAATTCCTGACCTCAAGCAATCTGCTCGCCTTGGCCTCCCAAAGTGCTGGGATTACAGGCATGAGCCACTTCACCCCGCCATGTTTTCTTTTCTCTAGCTTACTTTAGTGAAGAATACAGTATATAATACATATAATATAGAAAATATGTGTTAGTTAACTTTATGTTGATTATGTCGATTATGTTATTGGTAAGTCTTTGGCCAACAGTAGGCTATTAGTAGTTAAGTTTCTGGGAAGTCAAAAGTTATCGCTCATTTTAGACTACGGTGCTCCTAACCCCTGCATTATTCAAGGGGCAACTGTAATCCCCTTTTCTTCTTGAATTACTAATTCTATTCTACTTCCCTCACAGACTTTTTACTAATGCAATATATTTTTATACTTGAAAGCCTTCTGTTGATCAACCATTGTAGTAAAATATCTGTACATAGATTTAAGCATTTACAGTGGCCCGGGAATATAAGAAAATTAAAAAAAAAAATTGTATTACACGTTTTGAAAGTAATTTGTTAAGTGTAAAAAGTTTTTTTCATCCAGTTTGATAATATATCTATGAATGATTGTTAGTTGTTGGTAGAATAAAATAAGGGGCAGCATCAATTTTTTCTTATTTTCCATTTTTATAGATGTGAGTTTTAGGAATAATTTTAACATAAATCGAGTAGATGCGAATGGAAAAAGTTTCATTGTAGCAATATCATTCAATTCTTTGAACTTGTTATGTGATAAATTTACATATTAATCAATCAAAAATATCTTTAATGATCTGTCAATTGATAAGCAATGAGGACTTCTATCATTTTATTGACAGTTAAAGACCACAATGCTAGAGAAATATCGTAGGGTGCCAGGCAGAAGCCTTGGTAGGGGCACATTTGAGCTTGGTGACTATGGCTATTCCATCTACTGTGCTGCGTGCCTTGTTCCAGTACTGCATGGCTACTCAGGTGCAGCCCAGAAAAAGGGAAAGTGGGACTCAGTTATTTTTACCAGCTGTATGTTAAGTAAAAGACAATGGAAATATGAAATAATAGATAGTGAAATCTAACCTCGACAAGGAAAATGGAGGAAGAAGATGGCTGGTGGACTGGGCAAAAGTACAGGGAGAAAGTAAAGGGAAGGCTCTTTTTTTTTTTTTTTTGAGACGGAGTCTTGCTCTTTTGCCCAGGCCAGACTGCAGTGGTGCTATCTTGGCTCACTGCAAGCTCCGCCTCCCGGGTTCACGCCATTCTCCTGCCTCAGCCTCTGGAGTAGCTTGATTCTTTTCGCTTTTGTTGCCCAGGCTGGAGTGCAATGGCGCAATCTCGGCTCACTGCAACCTCCACCTCCTGGGTTCAAGTGATTCTTTTGCCTCAGCCTCCCAGATAGCTGGGATTACAGGTGTCCACCACCACACCCAGCTGATTTTTTGTATTTTTTAGTAGAGATGGGGTTTCACCATGTTGACCAGGCTGGCCTTGAACTCCTAACCTCAGGTGATCCACCCACCTCGGCCTCCCAAAGTGCTGGGATGACAGGCATGAGCCACCATGCCTAGCCATGTTTCTTTCCTCTTGCTGCTTTTAGGATTCTTTCTTTATCCTTGATCTTTGAGAGTTTGATTACTAAATGCCTTGAGGTACTCTTCTTTCGATTAAGTGTGCTTGGTATTCTGTTACCTTCTTGTACTTGGATATTGGTATCTTTCTCTAGGTTTGGAATGTTCTTTATTATCCCTTTGAATAAACTTTCCATCCCTATCTCTTTTCCTACCTCCTCTTTAGAAGCAAATCTATGAGTTATTGAATTTGTGGGTTTTTAGATCCTATAGGCTTGCTTCATTGTTTTTTATTCTTTTTATTTTTGTCTCCTCTGACTGTGTATTTTCAAATAGCCTTTTTTTTTTTTTTTTTTTTTTTTTTTTGAGAACGAGTCTCACTCTGTTGCCCAGGCTGGAGTGCAGTGTCGCGATCTCGGCTCACTGCAACTTCTGCCTCCCGGGTTCAAACAACTCTCTGCTCAGCCTCCTGAGTAGCTGGGATTACAGGTGCCCACCACCACGCCCAGCTAATTTTTGTAGTTTTAGTAGAGACGGGTTTTCACCAAGTTGGCCAGGCTGGTCTTGAACTCCTGACCTCGTGATTCACCTGCCTCGGCCTCCCAAAGTGCTGGGATTACAGGCATGAGCCACTGTGCCTGGCCTCAAATAGCCTATTTTCAAGCTCACAAATTTTTTCTTCTGCTTGATCAATTCTACTATTAAAACACTCTGGGCCGGGCACATTGCCTCACACCTGTAATCCCAGCACTTTGGGAAGCCAAGGCAGGCAGATCACTAGGTCAGGAGATCGAGACCATCCTGGCCAACATTGTGAAACCCCGTCTCTACTAAAAATACAAAAATTAGCTGGGTGTGGTGGTGCAGGCTTGTTATCTCAGCTACTCAGGAGGCTGAGGCACAGGAATCACTTGAACCCACGAGGTGGAGGTTGCAGTGAGCCGAGATGGTGCCACTGCACTGTAGCCTGGTGACAGAGTGAGACTCCTTCTCAAAACAACAACAACAACAACAACAACAAACAACAGTCTGATGCATTCTTCATTATGCCAATTGTATTTTTCAGCTTCAGGATTTTTCCTTGATTCTTTTTAATTATTTCAATCTCTGTTAAATTTGTCTGATAGAATTCTGAATTATTTCTCTGTGTTATCTTGAGTTTCTTTGAGTTTCCTCAAAACAAGTATTTTAAAGTCTCTTTCTGAAAGATTACATATCTTTCTCTCTCCTGGATTAATCCCTGGTACTTTATTTAGTTCATTTGGTTAGGTCATTTTTTTTTTCCTGGAATGTCTTGATACTTGTAGATGTTTGTGCCTGGGCATTGAAGAGTTAGGTATTTATTATACTTGTCACTATCTGGGCTTGTTTGTACCTGTCTTTCTTGGGAAGGCTTTCCAGGTATTTGAAAGGACTTTGGTGTTGTGATCTAAGCTATATCTGCTTTAGGGGGCACCCCAAGCCCAGTAATAGTGTGGTTCTTGCAGACTCGTAAAGGTAGTGCCTTGATGGTCCTGAACAAGATCTGGAAGAATTCTCTGGTTTACCAGGCAAAAAGACTCTTGTTCTCTTCCCTTACTATCTCCCAAACAGTCTCTCTCTCTGTTCTTAACCACCTGAAGCTCGGGGTAGAGTGACACAAGCACCCTTGTGGCCACAATCACCCTTATGGCCACAATCACTATGACTGTGCTGGGTCAGACTTGAAGCCAGCACAGCACTGGGTGTTGTCCACAGCTTTCTGTAATCACTCCCTGGCTACTGTCTATGTTCACTCAAGGCCCTGGGGCTCTACAATCAGCAGGTGGTGAAGCCAGCCAGGCTTGTATCCTTCCCTTCAGGATAGTAAGTCACCGCAGTTCCCTGGCAGTTCTAGAGGTGCCGTCAGGGAGCTAGCGATTAGAGTCGAAAGACTTAGAAAGCCACCTGGTGTTCTATTGTACTGTGGCTGGGCTGAACTCAAACCACAAGATACAGTCCTTCCCACTCTTCCTTCCCCTTTTTGAAGGTGGAGGAGCCTTACCTTGTGTCCACTGCCACCACAGGTCCCCTGGAAGTCCTGCCAGACTACTGCCTATGTTCCCTTAAAGCCCAAGGATTCTTAGTCAACTTGTGAATTCTGCCTGGCCTGGGATAAACTCTTCAGAGCAGTGGGCTTCCCTTTGGCCCAGGGCAGATCCATAAATGCTGTGTAAGAGCCAAGTTCTGGAACTGGGGACTCCAGGAGCCTGCTTGATGTTTTATTCTTCTGTGGCCGAACTGGTACCTAAAGTGTAAGACAAAGTACCGTTTACCCTCTGCTTTCCTCAAGCAGAAGGAGTCTTGCCCCATAGCCACCACAGCTTGGGTGAATGTGCTGAGTTTCACCCAAGGCCCTCAACATAGTACCTGGTATTGCTGCTGGTTATTCAGGGCCCAAGGGCTCTTCAGTTAGCAGGTGACGAATCCTACCAGGACTGAGTCTTTTCCTTCAAGGCATCAGGTTCCCTTTTGGCCCAAAATATGTCTAGAAATGCTGTCAAGGAGCTAGGGCCTGGAAAGACAGTCTCACACCCCTGACAGGTGCCCTATCCTGCTGTGGCTGACCCGGTATCCAAGATGCAAGAAAAAGTCCTCCCCACCCTTCCCTCTCCTCTCCTCGAGTGGAAGGAAGGAGTCTCTTTTGGAGCCATGAGCTGTGTGGCCTGGAGTTAGGGGAGGGGTGATGCCAGCACTCCTGCAGCCACCCCAATTTGTGTCTCAGGAGGTTGTGTTCCCCCCCTTCCCGGCCCAGTCTATTGTCTCTGGGCCCAGTTCAGCACTAGGACTCACACAAAAGTTGTAGTCCTTGGGACCTAGACTGGCTTTTAAGTTTATTAGGGCCTCTGGGCACTTTAGCCCACTGTAGTCTGTGGCTAGGCTTGTGGAAACTCAAGTCCCAACTGCTGGGATCAGCAATTCCCCTCTGGCCAAGGCTGGTTTGAATGTTCCCTCTGTGGGCAGACATCAGCTAAGTTTGGTCCAGTTTTCTTTCTGCTATAACAGAACAGCACTGAGTTCGGTGGCTCATAATTGCTATGCTCTCCTTCCACCAGTGCCCAGAAATGCTCTCCACACCACATCACCACGCCCTGGGGGGTAGGGAAGGGGTAGCATATGCAATTCAAGACTGGTTTTTGTATCTCTTCAGTGCCTCTTTCAGCAAGATAAAGTTAAAACCAAGTACCATGACTGCTCACCTGATTTGTAGTTCTTATGAAGGTGCTTTTTAATATAGTTGTCAAATTGGTGTCCTTGCAGGGGGTGATTGGTGAAGCCTTCTATTCTGCCATCTTGCTCCGCCTCTCCAATTAGCCATTTTTAATACCTTGTATCTTCAATTGAGAATTTTTGAAGTCTCAGATTGATATTATGGCAGAAAAGGAGGAATCACACACAGCTTGTCTTTGGATGACCAAAAGCAAACACCTGTCTTTTTTTTTTTTTTTTTTGCCTCTAAACTCAATTCCATTTGGTATCAAATACCTTTTAACTCAGCTATAGTCTCTTTTAAGAATATTTACATATTTAATAAAAAACAAATGACTGTGACTCACTAATATGTGTTTCTTTTCTTTTCTTTCTTTCTTTTAAAGATAGTGTTTTTAGAAGAAGCATCTCAACAGGAAAAACTGGCCAAAGAATGGTGCTTCAAGCCGTGTGAAATAAGAGAACTGAGCCACCAGTAAGTTGTTACTTCTTCCCTTTTACTGGGTGCCACTAATAAGCTTAAATTATAGAAAACCTGCCTTGAGAGACAGAGAGACTTTAAAAAATAATATTAATTTAACAATAATTATTTTGTATTAATTATTTGTTAAGGGAGGAGATGGGAAGGAGAAGGTATACAGGAAGCTGAAGGATGGAAACTTAGAGAGCTAGAGGCTGCCATCATTCATCAATTTCTTTAGCATATATTTGTTGAGCATGCTATGTGCAGTACTGGAGGGTCTGGAGGTGAAAAAGATCTTCAAAGTCCTTGTCCTCACAGGGTTTACAGTCCATGGAGGACAAAGACAGTAAACAAGCAAACAGATACCTGCGCATGACCATAGTAGATTGTGATAGCTTCTATAAGGAAGGAAACAAGGTGGGGAGGGGTATGATAGAGGTTAACTATTAAGAAGTAGGGAGGAAAGAAAATTTGAGAATCAATTGGTTGGGGAAGTTCAGAAGCACACTTGAGCTGTGATATTATATTTCATCTACTTTTAGTGGTTTTTAATATTCGTTATATTTCATATATAATATATATTTAATATATGTTATACAGTTCTTAAAGAAATGATTGGGCCAGCCAGGCATGGTGTCTCATACCTGTAATCCTAGCACTTTGGGAGGCCGAGGCGGGTGGATCACCTGAGATCAGGAGTTCAAGACCAGCCTGGCCAACGTGGTGAAACCCCGTCTCTACTAAAAATACAAAAATTAGCCTGGCATGGTGGCGCATATGATGCCTGTAATCCCAGCTACCTGGGTGGCTGAGGCAGGAGAATCTCTTGAAGCCCGGGGGGCAGAGGTTGCAGTGAGCCAAGATCATGCCACTTCACTCTAGCCTGGGTGAAAGAGCAAGACTCTGTTAAAAAAAAAAAAAAAAAGCTCAGTTTCCTCATAGCCTGGTTGATATGCTTTATGGAAATGGGAAAACTTTTTTTGATTATAATTTTTATTTTATTTTTTGTTTATTTTACTTTAAGTTCTGGGATACATGTGCAGAACGTGCAGGTTTGTTACACAGGTATACATGTGCCATGGTGGTTTGCTGCACCTATCAACCCGTCATCTAGGTTTTAAGCCCCACATGCATTAGATATTTGTCCTAATGCTCTCCCTCCCCTTGCCCCCCACCCCCCAACAGACCCCGGTGTGTGATGTTCCCTTCCCTGTGTCCATTTGTTATTATTGTTCAACTCCCACTTACGAATGAGAACATGCGGTGTTTGGTTTTCTGTTCCTGTGTTAGTTTGCTGAAAGTCATGGCTTCTGGCATCATCTATGTCCCTGCAAAGGACATGAATGGGAAGACTTTTTTAAAGCTAAAATATTTTATCTTGTTTCAGGCCAAGTAAGTTCCAAGGCCAATAAAATTGGTACCATTTATATTCTGAAAACACTTTGATAACTTGGGAATTGACTTTCACGTAATATAGAGAAACACTGTTTCACGTAATAGAGGAACATTGAACTAGGAATGAAAATACCTGGTTTGAATCCACAGACTGTACTGTAGCTTTGCAGATGTTAAAAGTCAAGCAAGCCACTTTCCCTCTTTGAGGTCATCTAGACTATGAAGCTCATCCCTGGTCATAGTCCAGAGAGACAGAGTGACTATTTATAATGTTTCACTCCACCTGCAGTTTTACTCACATCCCTTGCCTCCTTCCCTCTCCCTGCTGCCTCTCTATGGGCTTGGAAGTGTGTGGGCGCTGGGCATGGAAATGAATATAGTAGCTTCTGCTGTTACCATCTACTTCCTCTTGCTAGATTTTCATGTAAGAATCTATGATGAGGAGCAACTGACATTTATAGTCTCCTGCTTGCGTGTCTTTGTGATGCAGGATTAGAAGAAGGCTTGGAAGCAGTTGAAGTAGAGGCTGAGATGGGATGAGAGAATGGTGGAAACGGTTGGAGGATGGAGAGGAGGGTAAACATAACTGTGGGTCTTCACTTCCTTTTCTTCCTCTTTATGAGGTTGCTTTTGAAATTAAATCCATCAGAAATGCAGATTCTGGGGGTCGTATGTAAGTACTGCACACAAGGAAGTAGTAAGGTAAGAAATAATTTAAATTTTAGTAGAAGACTGAAGTCTTTGAAGAAAGATTATATTTAAAATGCAGAGATTCTTATATCAAGCACACAAGTTATGTGCGGTTGAATTTAAGTCATGATTAAAATACCATAAAGGGATGTCTCAGACAGTTTTTAATAGACTTGGCCCAATACACAGTGTATCTACAGGTCTATCTCAGTACTGTCTGGATTTTTAGAAAAGGGAAATCACAACTGGAGTACCATGGGCAGTGCTGTGGTAGGAGTGAATCAGATGGTGGCCATGGACCCTGGACAGGTTTGCAGGGCCAGGATTAGGGTGAGGGGAGTGAGGCATTCACCTCAGGCACAAAATTTAAAAGCAGCGGGGGAGGGGCAAAAACTCAGTAATCAAGATAAATACTTTTAAGACAATATTTTAAAATATAAAAAGTAATGCATGGCTGGGCGCGGTGGCTCACCCTGTAATCCCAGCACTTTGGGAGGCCGAGGCAGGCGGATCACTTGAGGTCAGGAGTTCAAGACCAGCCTGGCCAACATGGTGAAACCTGTCTCTACTAAAAATACAAAAATTAGCCAGGTGTGGGCCGGGTGCGGTGGCTCACACCTGTAATCCCAGCACTTTGGGAGGCCGAGGCAGGCGCATCACGAGGTCAGGAGATCGAGACTGTCCTGGCTAACACGGTGAAACCCCATCTCTACTAAAAATACAAAACATTAGCCGGGCATGGTGGTGGGCCCCTGTAGTCCCAGCTACTCGGGAGGCTGATGCAGGAGAATGGCTTGAACCTGGGAGGCAGAGGTTGCAGTGAGCCGAGATCGCACCACTGCACTACAGCCTGAGTGAGACTCCATCTCAAAAAAAAAAAAAAAATTAATGCAAAAACTCATGATGAACAAAATACCAACATTTTAAATAAAGACAAGATGTTGTTTGTTTTACAGCCATGCATTTTTTTTGTGCAATGGAACAGTCACTTTCAAATAACATGGATTCTCAGGCCCATGATGCCATTGCATTACTGGTAGGGCAGGCTGATGATGGTGATGATGGTTTGGGTAATACACACATGTATTGATATATACCTGTATTGTTTTCTGATTATAAAACTTTATTAATGTGTTCCATTTGGTGAAAAGATAGGTGGATGTTCTGATAAGCATATATAGGGGGATATATATATATATAAAATTTTTTTTGCTCAGGTTATGATACAGCTTGGCCAACACTGCAGATTTGGAATACCTGGGGGAAGTTGAGATTCTCTGAGGAAATTATGATGCTGATTAAGTAAAGTGAGAAGAGGAAAGCTGAAAAGAAGGGAGAAAGGAGAGCTTTTTTACCTTCTGCTGCTGCCTTCAGATCTCTTCTCTGCTTTGCCTGCAGCTGGGCTTGTAGTAGCTACAATTTAGCCATAAGTGATGTTGTGAGTGGAGAACCGAGTTTGAATCCTAGCTGAGCCACCAACAAATTGCAAGTCAAAAATAAACTTGCAATCCCAGACCTTCCTTTTGTTCTCTCTATAAAATGAGCAGGTGGGCTCACTGACCTCTAATCTCATGTGCACTCTCACATTCCATGCTTCTGTGTGTACCAATATTATCTGTAATTAATCCTGGACTGTAACCTTGATTCTGGGAATCTTTTTATTAATAATCATTTCACGATGCTTACTATTTCCTTAAAAGGATTGTAACTTTTCTGGGTAAAAAAATCACACTTCAGATGCAATAAATCCTTGCGCTTCTGTTGCCTCTGAAGACTTTGTACTCTGAATCATCTTTCACTCTCTCATCTCAGCTACAATGAACATGCTCATTTCTCCTACATGAAAAACATAAAGTGACTTGAACTCTTCTTCATCCTAACTTTCACTACCAAATATTTTAAAAGGGCGCTCTCCATCTGCACAGGACTTTCTCAAACACTCTCTTTTTAGCACTTAGTGCAGTAACAAAAACATTCTAGAGACTCAGTGACTACTTTTTAAAGGAAGAGCTAAATCTTTCCAAAATTGGGGGTCTTAGGATTATTCCTGAGGCCATGCATTTTTGACCCTTGCAGTTTTTGGCACTAGTCACTGCCCTGCTCCTTCTTGAATGTCTCTTCTTTACTGTCCCTGACACCTCTCTGTCCTGGGTTCCCTCTACCCTCCTGACAATAACTCTGCCAAGATTGATCCTGATCTTTTCTTTCTCAGTCTTACTCCTGAAGTCGAAGGTGCTGCTTAAGATGTTGGTTTGTTCTTCCTTCCACAGAGAACTCTGGCATCGCCAACTTCTAGAGTTACCTATATAAGACCCTCAAATCTGAATCCTTTCTTTTTTTTTTTTTTTTTTTTTGAGATGGAGTCTCGCTCTGTCACCCAGGCTGGAGTGCAGTGGCATGATCTCTGCTCACCTCAAGCTCCGCCTCCCGTGTTCACGCCATTCTCCTGCCTCAGCCGCCCGAGTAGCTGGGACTACAGGCGCCTGCCACCACGCCTGGCTAATTTTTGTATTTTTAGTAGAGATGGGGTTTCACCGTGTTAGCCAGGATGGTCTCGATCTCCTGACCTCGTGATCTGCCCGCCTTGGCCTCCCAAAGTGCTGGGATTACAGGCGTGAGCCACCGTGCCCAGCCTCCTCTCCTTCTTTTCTTCTGCCTCTTCTCCCTTCTCCTTCTTCTTCCTTTTCTTGCTCTTCTTCTTCCCTCCTCCTCTTCCTCCTCCTCCTCTTTTTCTCCTTCTCCTCCTCCTTTCTCGTCCTTTTCCTCTTCTCCTCCTCTCCTTTTTCTTTCTCCTCATTTTTCTTCCTCCTCCTCTCTGTCTCCCTCATTCACCCGTAACCTCCTCAACTAGATTATAAAGTCTTTGACGACAATATGCCTTATTTTTCTCTGGACTCTCCACAGGGCTTGGCGGTTTCCTAAATATAGTAGACATTGGGAAATATTATTTGGTTAAACAATTTAACTGCATGAGGAAGTTACACTGCTATTCCGTTTTATGACGGGAGAGAAAGCAAAGACCCAAAGGACTGACATTGTAGAGAGATCAGTGACTGATACCTGAGAGAAATCCATATTCCACCCTCCCTTTCAGAGTGCTTCCCACATTATAGGCCCACTTAATGCTGCCTTCTTGACGTCCTTAAAAATTTGTCACAGTTCTTTATTTCCATAGTCAGTGAATTAACAATTCCATCACGTGGAACGTAGTGACCGAGAGTACTGAACCTACAGACAAACTGCCTGGGTTTGAATCTCAGCGCCAAAGCTGACTAGTTAACAGTTACTTTTTTTCAAGCTACATAAATTCCCTGAGCTTTAGCTTACCCTTATGTAAAGGAGGGTAACAGTACTCTCATACTTACTAAGTTTCTTGTGAACATTACATCATCATCATCATCATCCATAACATTTATTGATGCTTTCCATTATCTAGGCATTGTTCTTACACACACTAAATACATCCTCATGACAGCCCTATGATGCTACTACTATCTCCATTTTACATAAGGGGAAACTGAGTCACACAGAATTTTTTTTTTTTTTTAATATGTCAAATATCTAACTGCTGATTTATGGTCAAACCTGATTTCAGATCTTAGCAGGCCAAAACCAGAATGTATACACTTTAACTCAACTGCTGCCCACAGATGAGATGATGTATGTAGAACGCTGTGCCAGTGCCTAGTGAATGTACATATTCAGGAAACATTAGCTGCTGTCACCATCATTATTATAATAACTGACTACAAAAAAGCTAGTCTTTTCCATGCGATGTAGAGGCTTTCTTGTAGTCAGACAAGATCAAGATGACCACTGAGTCTGCCATTCCTTGCTCTTGTTTTAAAATAAAGCATTTAGAGTTACTCATGGCTTTATTTGGCTTACAGTTAGGTGGTATGTATACATTTGATTTGATAGCATGAGGAATTATTTGTAATGTTAGGTTTCAAGTTCAAGTTGCTTATGTGATTGAATACTTACCTAGGATAATGGTGGCAGTAGAGGGTCCCATCTTTTGGCAAATATCTGTTTGGATGAGGTTGGATACTTAATAGTGACTGTGGTGAACTGCATTAGCTCTTTAGAAAAGCATGAAGTGTCTGTTAGCACCATACTGCCTCAATTCTGTGGGTAGTGCCTCTGAACACTTTCCAGGACTTTCTAATTATAAGAATTAATAGAAATATGAATATTAATTGGTGGATCATGGTGGTAGCATTAGTGATCACAAGCATCCTGAGCATGGTTGTCACAGCATCATATGTAACTCCCTCTTCGCTTCACTACTTACACCACTGCCCGTTTGTGGTCCATCTCCTGAGATCGCCTGTCCCTAACCAGCTTGCTCTTGCTGCTTCTATTTCAGAACTCAGTTTCTGTAACACGTGGGAAAAGACTAGGTTTCTTGTAGTCAGACAAGATCAAGATGACTGCTGAGTCTAAAATTGCAGCCAGTCTGTTTCTCACCTTTAGTTGCCCTTAGTGACTGGTGTGCACATTGCTCAGCACGGCTCTAGAAGTTTTAAAGGCCTCCTCTTCCATTCTTGATCTCTGACCTACAACTATCAGTTGTGAGAACAAAGTCATGGGATTAAATCAGAGTTCCCGTCCTTTCTTGTGCCACCACTGCTTTGCTTCTGCTCAATGCTGTGTTTTTCCCTCCCTTCGTCATCACTGGTTAACCCCGACCAGCCATTCCAACCTAGAAGCTATATCTCTCCTAGCAGAGCTTCATTTTTATGTCCTGACCTCTAAATAATTGGAGAATTTACAGTTGTCTGATTGCATTACCTATAAACCTGTGTGGGTGAACAGTGAAATCATGCTTGGGAAAAAATGTGATTTAAAAATATGGGAAATGACTGAAGATATTATTAAATACTTTTATTCTCATCTTAATTTCCAGTGAGTTCTTCATGCCTGGGCTGGTTGATACACACATCCATGCCTCTCAGTATTCCTTTGCTGGAAGTAGCATAGACCTGCCACTCTTGGAGTGGCTGACCAAGTACACATTTCCTGCAGAACACAGATTCCAGAACATCGACTTTGCAGAAGAAGTATATACCAGAGTTGTCGTAAGTATCTTGTGTGTGAGTGTGGTATTCTGTTTGGTCATCTATAGAAATATCAGTTTCCTAGGACAGATTTAAATTATAAAGCATAAGCAGTTAAGCCTAAGATGGGCCATAGAGAATTTTTAAGTTTCTTTTTCACAGTCCAGTGAGTTTGTGACCACCTCACCTACACAGCTAGTCAGTGGCAAAGAGAGAATTTGAATCCAAGTTTCCAAAACCCCAATCTGGTGGGTTTACGTTACTCTTTTACTTTCTGTGTTTTACTTTACCAAATCTGGGTTTAATGAATATGTGTATTTCCCTACTCCTGCTAATCCATAATGCTGTTCTGAGGACCATATGGATTCATTATGTGACCTTTGCAAAGTTATGTGACTCACTTTTCCCATCTGTAAAAAATAGAGATCATGATAGTACCTATTTCACAGGATTCTCATGATAATTAAGCAAGTTAATATTTGTGAAGTTCTTAGAATAGTGCCTAGCACATGGTGGGAGCTCTATTTGTTTGCTTTAAAAATGCCCAAGGAAATTTAAAATTAAATATTTAAATTACTGTTAGAAGGAATATCATGTTATTCTGGGAGCTTTGCAAGGAAGGAAAATAGGATGGTCCCATATTGCATGGCACGTGGTAATGTGACTTGAGCACTGACACCACTAGAGGGAACTCTGGGGCTAGTACAGTCATTGAACAGTGGCAGTAGTGTGTACCAGCCATATGTTGAAGGCTCTGAAAGTGTCCTTCCTTCTCCTCTTTCAGGAAAATCAGTTCCTTTCTTACTCCAATCCTGTGCCCAGAACCAGAATCTACTCAGGAATTAGAAACAGTTTCTGCAGTAAAGGAGCTAAAGCGCAAATGCTGCCTTGTCTGATCATTATGTCCTGGTGTTCAGCGCACTTGGTCTGAACACTCATGGATTTTTGTGGGACCCATTGATTCCTCCTAAGGTGTTCACTACATGTGGTGGTGGCAGTATTATAAGCCTTCCACATCAACTGACCTAACCATCTTGCCAGTTTTTTTGGTCTTGCATCATTCCAGTCTTAGAGAGTAAAAGCAAGTGCTTTTTTTTTTTCTTCTTTTTTTTGGAGACAGAGTCTCACTTTGTCACCCAAGCTGGAGTGCAGTGGCATGATCTCGGCTCACTGCAACCTCTGCTGCCCAGATTCAAGTGATTCTCCTGCCTCAGCCTCCCAAGTAGCTGAGATTACAGGCACCTGCCACCACACCCAGCTAATTTTTCTATTTTTAGTAGAGACGGGGTTTCACCATATTGCTCAGGCTGGTCTTGAACTCCTGACCTCATGATCCACCCACCTCGGCCTCCCAAAGTGTCAGGATTACAGGCATGAGCCACCGCGCCCGGCCGAGCAAGTGCTAACATTTATACACTTGCCTCACGTAATTATAAATTCAGTGCAATTGTGGATCTTACATATTTAGCATGCACCACATGACACTAGAAAAGCTGAGAAGGACTAAAGCTATGTATAAAGTAGCTGGTGCATTGTGTTAATGAATGGTGTTAACCACACCAAATCTTTATTCTCAAAATTTATTTATGCCTCACATTGTTCTAAAAAAGATGTGAGATAGCTGAAAATTGCGTAGTATACAACAAAAGAAAATGAGTCATGATATCAAGGCAAAGAAAAAAAAGGGGGAAGGAAAAGTAAAATAAAACCAAGAAAACAATGTCTACTGTGGGGGTCCATGCATTTGTTAGTTTGTCATGAATTTGGCTTTAGATTTCTAGAACCTGACCCAAAGAGGGAAATCAGTTCTGAAATTTACACTGCTTTTATGATTAAAAAACACATTTGTTAAGGTAAAGCATATCTATGCTTCATACTGAAACTTAAGAAAATTAATCTCAATATTCCTTAGTGTGGATAGACACTATGCTGCCAAAATATATATTGTAAAGATTCTATACTATCAAGAAGTCCAGATAGATCATTCTTTTATGTTTAGAGAGGTAGAGTATCAAAGACTATATATTTTTCAGGCAGTACTCCATATAAATTATTTCTGACATCAGAGATTTGTTTAAGTATTTGATGTCAGGCCGAGTGTGATGGTGGTTTAAGTATTTGATGTCAGGCCTGTAATCCTAGCACTTTGGGAGACCAAGGTGGGTGGATCACCTGAAGTCAGGAGTTTGAGACCAGCCTGGCCAACATGGCAAAACCCTGTCTCTACTAAAAATACAAAAATTAGCTGGGTGTGGTGGCATGTGCCTGTAATCTCAGCTACTCAGGAGGCTGAGGCATGAGAATCGCCTGAACCCGGAGGAGGAGGTTGTAGTGAGCCAAGATCAGGCCACTACACTCTAGCCTGGGTGACAGAGTGAGACTCTGTCTCAAAAAAAAAAAAAAAAAAAAAATTGCGGAGCACATATCCTATGTTCTTTCTTATGTGTCTGATAATGAATGAGTGTGGGCCCACAAACTTTTAAGTTGGAGGCACTGAGGGTATGGCTGACATCTGTTTAAGGGTGTGGAGATGTGTTAACTAGCCACGTAGCCTACTCAGTGGGATGAGCTCAGTGGGAATAAACAGTAGTAGCTTTGGGTTTCCTTCCTCCCTTCCTTCTTCCCTTTCTCAGGGGTCTCCCTGTCCTGTCCCTTTACTGTAATTAGGGCACTTCCTGAACTTTCTAGTGTTTTCAGTTCATTCTAGTTGTGGAAAGAAAAACTTCACACAAATTAAATTTAACAGAGTAAATTGAGCAAAGAACGATTCCAGAATCAGGCAGCTCTCAGAACCAGGAAAGGTTCAGAGGACTCTGCCCAGCAAGGTGGGCAGGCAGCATTTAAGACAGAAAATGGAAGTGAGGTATAGCAACAGCTTGATTGTTACAGCTCTGGGTTTGCCTTATTCAAACTTGTTCTAATCACTTGGCACCTGTGACTGGCTAGAGCTCAGCTGCTGTGATTGGCTGAGACTCAGCTATTTGTTACAAAAGCATATTACTAATCAGGCTTTCAGTGAGTTGATAAACTAAGTTAGGTTGCAGTTCCTTATAAACTCAAAGTTGAGAAGCATGCTCAGGCCAAATTTAGCTTGCTTTAACACAGTCCAATTTGAAGTTTCAATTTCTCATTCACTAAAATCTTCTCCCATATAAGCCCTGTACCTCCTGGTTTGGGCCTGACACTGAGGAAGGGGCTTACTATCAGTGTTTGTGTAGTGCTTCTAAATAACCCCAGCTTTCCGTTTCAATTTCATCTTTAAGTCAAGATTGTAGAAAGGTGCTTAAAATTTTGAAAATTTAGAAAAATTTAGATTACATATCCGTTTTAATTTTGAGTTTTATTTTAGTTTGGTTAGTAAATGTAATGTGTCATTTTTCTTGGGGATAGCTGAGATTTATGACCTAATAAAAGGTTAATTTTTATGATTATTCTGCGATTTTTTAAAAGAAGACTGCATTTTCTCTGTTGATTTGACATTTTTTTCTATCTCTATGAGATGAAGTTGTTAAAAGTCTTGAACACTTCTATTCTTTTGCTGCATATTCTCCCATATGGTAAGACAAGAACATTTTCATTCTGTTCCCTTCTTCATCCCTACCTTTTTTGCTACGTCCTATGTTATATCATCTGAGATTTTAGTTCCATTTTTTTTTGCCGTGTATACTATATTTAAGATAATATTTAACTTTTAAGTTTAATTTAAAAAAATTATCTCAATTTAATTCCAGTTTTTTATTTTAACATCTGCACTTAATTTAACAATGAGGGCCGGGCACGGTGGCTCATGCCTGTAATCCCAGCACTTTGAGAGGCCTAGGCGGACGGATCACCTGAGGTCAGGAGTTCAAGACCAGCCTGGCCAACATGGTGAGACCCCGCCTCTACTAAAAATACAAAAATTAGCCAGGCATGGTGGCGGGTGCCTGTAATCCCAGCTACTCAGGAGGCTGAGGTGGGAGAATCTCTTGAACCCAGGAGGTGGAGGTTGCAGTGAGCCAAGGTGCACCATTGCACTCTAGTCTGGGTGACAGAGTGAGACTCCATCTCAATAATAATAATTATTATAATTATAATTTAACAATGAGCTTTGCTTTTTATTTTGCTACTTGGATCCCTGTCTTCATTCATTTTTGTTGGAATATATCCTCTGACAATTCTTTCCAATCAGGTGAGTGATAAACATTCTAAAACCTAGAATTATCAAAAATGGCTTTACTTTTTTTTTTTGACTCTTGAACAATGCCTTAGCTGTAGAGAGAATTCTATTTGAAATTATTTATCTATCAGCATCCAATGTGCTGACATCAATGTGATTCTCATTTCTTTCTAGTTAATTTTCTGGCCTTTGAGATTTTTTTCTTCATTCCTGATATTCTGAAATTGTAATTGTTGATCATCCCAATTCATTCTCAGTTTAATTCTTCAATTCATTCTCTTTAATACATAGTTCTTTCAATAAGAGAACTTCTGTCTTCCTTCTGTTTCTAGGAATTCTGTTATTTCTCTTTCTCTTTCTCTCTCTTTCTGAGTATATTCCTCTCTTCAATCTATTCTTCCTTTTGATAATTACTATTAGAAAAATATTGAAACTTCTGTTCTGTTTTCATGTCTCTAAACTTTTCTTTCACACTACATTCTTAGGAAATGGTATGGGCCAGTTTTGTAAATCATTAACTCACTCTTACTATTTATAATAACCTGTTCCTCTTTCAAGATATGACATCCTGTCCTATTCATCAAAGGATGCTATTTTTCATTCATTTTATGTCTCTTGTTGTTTTAGTAATTCTGCTTCCTCAGGTGTTCATTCAGTAAATATTTACTGAGCACATCCTAGAACCCATACACTTTTCTAGTTGCTGGAGATTAAATTTGATACCTTTGTCATGGTATTGGCTTTCCACCTGGATTTGTGATGGAGAGCTCATCCTTGTCTGTAATTGACAGGTTCTAAACATCCTCTGCTGGTGGCCAGATCTTTTTGTTTTACATGAAAATTATCTTAATATTTGGAAAAATTGACAGGTTTCCAAATTCTTTTGACTTTTGGGGCTAACCAATATTACTGAGTTCTCATTTGCTTTTTTGAAACAATTGACTGGGCCAGGTGTGGTGGCTCATGCCTATAATCCCAACAACTTTGGGAGTCTGAGGGCAAGAGGATCACTTGGGGCCATGAGTTCAAGACCAGCCTGGGCAACATAGCAAGGGCTTGTCTTAAAAAAAAAATAGCTAGGCATGGTGGCATGCATCTGTAGTCCCTGCTACTTGGGAGGCTGAGGTGGAAGGCTCTCTTGATCCCTAGAATTCAAGGTTACAGTGAGCTGTGATGTGTGATGGCACCTCTGCACTCCAGAGCAAGACCCTGTCTCAAAAAACAAAACCCAAAATAACAACAACAACAAAAAATGGAACACACTGGATCTAATTAGAGGCTACTGTCTAAGGTACGGCATGTTCATTTCTATTATCCTAACTCCAAACTATTTCAATCCTGCAGACACTTGAGCTTCTGATGTCTGTACTAGTCAAGAAAACCCTGTTTTTTCACAAAGGAGGAAACATGGAATGTAAGCAACCTTCTCAAGGTCACGTAGCTAATAACAGGCAAAACGTAAGCAAGAGCCACTGTCTGGAGGGTTTTCCTCTGCATTTAAAAGCTTCTGCTAAAGATATGCCCCAAAGTATTCAATCCACTAGTCCTTTTTCCAAGTGCTCAGACAGGTCAGGCAATATCCGTTCCATTTTCTTTCTTGAAGATCTTCTCACCTCCTCCCATTCTCTTGTTTCTGGTCAGCATTCTCTGTAGCACTACTGTAATCTTGGCATTCTCTTTGCCTCTTTCCTGCGTTTAATGCCCACTCCCTGGATCCAGGAATTACTTTGGATTACTCTTGTGTTTTACTAAAAGACAGTTTCTAAAAGCTTCCTAAGAAAGAGTTCATGGAGAGTAAAATTTTCAAGTCCTTCGGTACTTAATCATATTTCTATGCTACCTTCACACTTGATTGATAATTTACCAAGGTATAAAATTATATGTTAAAAATAACTCCTGTTGTGACAAACAACTTATATGTACTTGTGGGAAGACCTCCTTTTTAATTGCTAGAACATGAGCATTGCATTTTTTGCAAGTACTTAATTGTCTGTGTATCACTGTGGCCCTTAGAAAATTTTCTAAAGTACTTAGAAAATAGAAACCTATATAATAGAGCGTTTTCTATTTTCTAAGTACTTTAATTATTTACTTAGGATTTTTGGTTACAGAATGATATATATGAGTTGAATTTGAAGGCATTGTTCTGCTTCCAGCATTGTTAGTGAGAAATCCAATGTCGTTGTGAGTCCTGTCATTTATCTGTGACCAGTTTTTTTTTTTTTCCTGGAGTTTTTAGCATCTTTTCTGTACTTACGAACTTAATATCTCACAATTATATGCCTTACTTTGGGTTCTCTTTTTATTCCCTGTGCTGACAATTCTATGAGGATTTTAATTTTGGAGATGAATATTATTTTTCATATTTTTGTCCCTTCCATTTATTTAAAAAAATTTAGATTTCTTATTCTAAATGTTGGATTGCCTAGATTGAGCCTAATTTTCTTATGTTCTCACCTTTGATTTTCATCTTTTCCTTTTCCTGAGCAATTCTCTTGTAATTTATCCTACAACCCTCCTACTGGCTTCCACATTTCATTTATAATATTTTTACTTTTGGAGAGCTCCTGCATTCTGATTTTCATAGCATTCTGTTCTTGTTTTGTGGGTGCAATAGTGTGTTTTATTTCTTTGAGGATGTGAGTCATAGTTGTTTTTTTTAACTGAGCTTTTTTCTGACCTTATAGATTATGTTTCCTCTAAGATTTTTTCCAGATTCTTTCTCCCCCTCCTTATCTTTTTGATAATAGATTCCCTCCAATGCCTATCAAACCCTGGACATACATTCATACTGTGATGCTATAAGGTGCTGACTGGAATTTCTGGGTGGAGGTATCACTTGTTGATGGTAACTTCATTATAGGATGAGTAGTGAAGGCAGTGAATTTGGGTCCCAAACGTCACTGTGAAGACATCTTTCTTTTAGAGCCATTCATTTTCTCTAGAAAATAATCGTTTAGTCCCCTGCCAGGAGTTGTGGGAGTAGTACACGTGGTATTCTGGGGAAAATGACTGAGTGCCCTTGAGGTCAGCCAGATTTTCACTTAAACCTCTGCTTTACCTTCTCTTTTGGAGCTTGTACCCTCTAAATACTATCCAGGTTCTATAAAGAGTAAATCTCTCTTATAAGGAAGAAGTTAAGGGTGGTTGGCTGATTTCAACAAGGTTCCTGCCAGGGTTTAATCATACCTGCATAGACTTCCAGCCAGTCCCCTGCTAAAACCCACACACTTCTCTCCTTCTTTCCAAGTTGCTTCCAGGTTCTCGTCCATGTTTTTTGTCTTCCAAGAAGATATTGAAATGTTTTCTCTGCTCATGTCTCTCCTCTCATGTTCTTCTTGTGGGTTAATAACGTTTGTACTCCTTTACTGTCATGTTTGTTGTAGTTTGCGAAGGAAAGGAGATAGATATATGTGATTAACCTTCCAGGTTGAGCTAAAGTCTGGCTGAATATTTTTATTCTGTAGTAGAAGAAAAACTTATTTATGTACTCCCAGATGCAATAAAATTTGGATATCCTTAAACAATCCTAAGAAAGAAGGAATTCATTAGTATCACATTTTAATGAATTCTGAAGCACAGAACTGTGTGAATCGAGAAAAAATCAGAAGTATCAGCTTCTCCTCCAGCTAACTTTTGGAATATAAATACCTTTTGCCATTTACCTAACTGTACTCTACATCAAGATGGCATACCTTTAAATAAAAACATTTTAAAATTAAAAACTAAAATTCTGTTTTCCTCTGGATGTACCATGTGACTTTTCTGAGCACACGTGATTCGCGGTTTTTGTGATTTATTTTTAGAGGAGAACACTAAAGAATGGAACAACCACAGCTTGTTACTTTGCAACAATTCACACTGACTCATCTCTGCTCCTTGCCGACATTACAGGTGAGCAAATGAAGCATGATTTATGGGCACCTCAAGCAAAGACAGCCAGACCATCGTGGCAAACAACTTATATGTACTTTTGGGCAGACCTGCCTTTTAATTGCTAGAACATGAGCATTACATTTTTTGCAAGTAATTACGTGTCTATATGTCACTGTGGCCCTTAGGAAATTTTCTAAAGTACTTAGAAAATAGAAAACTGTATCATAGAGTGTTTTCTATTTTCTAAGTACTCTGATTATTTACTTACAATTTTTGGTTACAGAATGATATATATGAGTCTGAATTTTGTGTATTAATTTAGGGCTTTTTAGGGAAACTTTACTAATTCTAGTTGTGGTAATAGTTTCTTATATCAGCAGATACATGGTGGCTATTGGCTAGAGTCAGGGCACTGTGCTAGATGCTGGAAACGCAATGAGATAAAAAATAGTCTCTGCCCTTGAGAAGCCAGACAGAATACCTACACCATTGATCACTAACCTTAGTAACAACTATGGTGCTGTTACTAGACGTCTAGCATTGTGCAAAGCACTCTGGAAGAATTAGTTCAGCAGCAAACAGCCTTCTGAAGTGGTTACTGATGTCCTCATGTTACAGATGGTTAGACTGACGCTCAGAGAGGATAAGTAACATGCCCAGGGTTGCACAGCTAGTAAGAAGAGCTGATTCTGGATTCGGGTTGATGATTCCAAAACTTGTACCCAGCACAGTACCTGGCACATAGCAGGTGCTCAGTAAATACTGTTGGCTGATACACTGATGCCACTGTTTGCTTATGCAAAAGACCTGACCTAATGGGTGACTCTGAAAATAGATACTACAGTCTTCAGAGAAGGCAAAGAGAACCCAGAACTACGACATCTGGGAAGGCTTTATGAAAGGGTCCTTTAAACTGGGCTTTGAAGTAAAGACAAGATGAGGAGAGGACAAACTGTCTTCTAGATAGGGGAAGGACACAGGTATGGGAACAGGAGTGTCAATAGTGGATGCAGGGACCACAGTAGTTTAACTAGAGGAGTGGATTCATCGCCTGGGGGCAGTGGGAGAAGAGGGTAGGCAGATGGGAGGGTTCACATTGTAGAAGAGCTCAAATATGCACCAAAGACTCAAAAAAGGTTCTGAGTCCAGGTGTGAGTGATGTGATGAAAGTGGTATTTTAAGGAAGATTAATCTAATGGCCAGTTATCTAAATGAATTACAGGGGAAGGAGAGAGGCAGAAAGGTTTTTAAAAATCTCTTATGACAGAGATGGAGACACTGTAAAAACAATTACCATTGTCCCATATAGCCTCAGCTTTCTTGCTGAAATAGAATTCTTCCAGCACCTTTGATGAGGACTAGGTTCTAGTGCTGAGAGCTGCTAGTAAGACTGCGTAAAATTCCTCACAGATAATATTGGCATTGTTTCAGTTAAGAATAGTATGGCCAGGCGCGGTGGTTAATGCCTGTAATCCTGGCACTTTCGGAGGCCGAGGCGGGCGGATCATGAGGTCGGGAGATTGAGACCATCCTGGCTAACATGGTGAAACCCTGTCTCTACTAAAAATACAAAAAATTAACCAAGCGTAGTGGTGGGCGCCTGTAGTCCCAGCTACTCAGGAGGCTGAGGCAGGAGAATGACGTGAACCCAGGAGGCAGAGCTTTCAGTGAGCTGAGATTGTGCCACTGCACTCCAGCCTGGGCGACAGAGTGAGACGCCACCTTAAAAAAAAAAAAGAATAGTAGCAGTATGTTGCCTAGATAACCACATGCCTGACACCTTATATATATTATTGCATGTATTCCTCACAACCCTACACATAGCAGAGAACACTGTACATATATAGGTTTAGACCTTAACCAAATAATATCCACCACCTGGAGTAATCAGAGGAATAAGGAATCAGTCCAAATCTTTCCAATTCCAGTGCTCATGTTCTTATCCCTCAGCCATTCTGTGTTTTGTCTAGAAGAGGACCATGATAGAGAGAGGGAGAGAGAGAGATCCAAGGGATGGTGGTAGAGTAGGAGACAGGAGGGAGATTGTAAGTTGGGGTAGAAGAAGCTGAGTGTAGGTATGCCAATGACTAAGAGAGTCTTTCTTTAGGACCTGAGACTGTTTGCTCCTTTACCATGTGATAAAATGAGAGCAAAGATAGTTACATATTTAATGAAAATATAGACACACTGGATAAGCAAAGGGAAAAACTGAATAATAACTTAAAAACACCCAGCCAAGCACAGTGGCTCACGCCTGCAATCCCAGCACTTTGGGAGGCCCAGGCAGGCAGATCACAAGGTCAGGAGATCGAACCATCCTGGCCAACATGGTGAAACACTGTCTCTACTAAAAATACAAAAATTAGCTGGGCACAGTGGTGCGTGCCTGTAATCCAAGCTACTCAGGAGGCTGAAGCAGGAGAATCACTTGAACCAGGGAGTTGGAGGTTGCAGTGAGCCCAGATCACGCCACTGCACTCCAGGCTGGTGACAGAGTGAGACTCCGTCTCAAAAACAAAACAAACAAACAAACAAAAAAACCAAAAAACCCACCTGACAGCCTGAGAATGGGGATGGGGGAGGTAGTGGGTTAAAGTGATGAATAGAAAAACTTTTACTGTTTACTGAATATAGTAGGGAATTTGTGGTGGTTCTTGTTCTTAAGTGGTGTGATGGTGGATGATCTTTTACATTTTCATTTATGTTTTCCATATATGATTTTAATTTAAAAATTACTGTTGAAAGCTTAGAAAAAGTACTGTTTTGGCCGGGCGCGGTGGCTCACGCCTGTAATCCCAGCACTTTGGGAGGCCGAGGCGGGCGGATCACAAGGTCAGGAGATCGAGACCATCTTGGCTAACACGGTGAAACCCCGTCTCTACTAAAAATACAAAAAATTAGCCGGGCGCGGTGGCGGGCGCCTGTAGTCCCAGCTACTCGGGAGGCTGAGGCAGGAGAATGGCATGAACCTGGGAGGCGGAGCTTGCAGTGAGCCGAGATTGCGCCACTGCAATCTGGCCTGGGCTAAACAGCGGGACTCCGTCTCAAAAAAAAAAAAAAAAAGAAAAAGAAAAAGTACTGTTTCAGAAACAAACATGCCTTCATATTCTTTTTGTGTATACTTTACAGATAAATTTGGACAGCGGGCATTTGTGGGCAAAGTTTGCATGGATTTGAATGACACTTTTCCAGAATACAAGGAGACCACTGAGGAATCGATCAAGGAAACTGAGAGGTAAAAGGCCCATTTGTCTTGATTTGTCTTACAGGTGAATTCCTGTGCTGCACTGATGGAGTTAGAGATGGAAAAAGGAAACAGGATACTGTTATCACCCAGTTGGGATGTGCACATAGTGACTCAGAATGTTCTGTTTAATGCAATGGGTCGGTTAGTCTACAGTGAATTTGATCAAACACTCGATAATCATTAATGATTTACAAAGAGCTTTCCTTTGTAGTGCCACACTTGATCCTCATAGAAATCTCCATGAAGCATCTGTCTTTTTATTTATTTTTTATTTATTTTTATTTTTTTTTTTTGAGACGGAGTCTCACTCTGTCATCCAGGCTGGAGTGCAATGGCGTGGTCTCAGCTCACTGCAACCTTCAGCTCACTGCAACCTCTGCCTCCTGGGTTCAAGCGATTCTTCCACCTCAGCCTCCTGAGTAGCTGGGACTATAGGTGCATGCCACCACACTCAGCTAATTTTTGTATTTTTAGTAGAGACGGGGTTTCACTATGTTGGCTGGGCTGGTCTCGAACTCCTGACCTCGTGATCTGCCCGCCTCGGCCTCCCAAAGTGCTGAGATTACAGGCGTGAGCCACCACGCCCAGCCCACATCTGTCTTTTATGATAAGGAAGCTGAGTCTGACATAGGCTAAGAGGCTTGCTCACAGTCATACAGCTTTTAAGTAGTGGAGCCAGAATTCAAAACCAGGGTCTATGACTCTAAATTCAAAGTTCTTTTTTTTTTTTCTTTTCTTTTCTTTTTTTGAGACAGACTGTCACTCTGTCACCCAGGCTGGAGTGCAATGGCGCGATCTCAGCTCACTGAAACCTCCACCTCCTGTGTTCAAGAGATTCTCCTGCCTCAGCCTCCCGAGTAGCTGGGATTACAGGCACGTGCCACCACACCCAGCTAATTTTTGTATTTTTAGTAGAGACGTGGTTTCACCAGGTTGGCCAGGCTGGTCTTGAACTCCTGACCTCAGGTGATCCACCTGCCTTGGCCACCCAAAGCACTGGGATTACAGGCATGAGCCACTGTGCCCGGCTCAAAGTTCTTTCTCTCATGATATAGATCACACCTCATATTCAATGTAAGTAAAGAGAATAAAAGAGAGAGAAACAGAGGGTATGCAAGAATACTTGCTATGGCATGTGTTAATTTAAAAATGATGATGGAAGTGAATAATTATTTGTGAAATAAAATAGTATACAAGAAGTTAGGAAAAATGAGTTATAGTTACAGGTTAATGAAAGACTTTCACTACAAAAGGATTTTTTTAAAAGATACCAAAGTAATATGTGTTTCCATGGTCCAGAACTTAGAGAAACACAAAAAGGTATAAAGAAGAATTTTTTTTTGTAATGAAACCACCAAAAGTTACCATAATAGGGTATCTTTTATTGTTTTCTCAAGGTGGTATATGCATCCTTCACTACTATTTCGTCCTACCTTGGGAACAGGAAAGTTGTTCTGGATGTATGCTGTAATGGCCATAACAGGCTAATATAGGGATCTAGAATATCCCCTCTCCACAAAGGTGACCTGAAAGAACATCTCTGCAAGCTGAAATGCAGGCATACAGGAGGGAAGATGTGGTTCCTTTTTCTGCTTTGGTTCTACATCTGTGCTCCTAGGGAATAGGGCCTCACTCTACTACCTGTAATAAAAGCTCTGAGGATGTTATGTGGTGACACAGGCTAGAGAGAGACCATGGGAGGGACCAAGGCCCACTCTGCTGCTGCTGGACATTGAGCTGGATTCCCAAAGATTGTGGACAGCCTACTTTGGAAAGATTTCCACCTCAAAGAATAGGATACCATATGCAGATAGAATCATAAAAAGTAAAGATGTGCAAGGAAAATGAAAACATGTTTCCACGTAAAGACTTGCAGGTAAATGTTCATAGTGACATCATTTATAGAAGACAAATGCAGAGCAGGTTCACTGCACATAGGTATCAATCCCAGGGGAGGACTCTAAACACCTCACCAATACTGCACACCACTTGCATGAATCTGGTGAGACAGCACACTTATACAACAAGTTAAGCAAAGCAAGTTTATTATGCACAGATAGGTAGCAAGGGACAATAGAAGCCTTGGTGAACTGATCCTCCACGGCTCAGGAAAGTTGCCCAAGAGTCTCATATGTGCATGCCCCACATCACATCATAGCTGAGGGACCCTGTGAGCATGCTCTACCTGTGGTTTTATACCCAGATGAAACTGGTCTCACTGAGCTAAAACATTGCAGAACATCCTGTTCTAGGAGAAATGGGAACAGAACCCAGGCTGTTCTGACCAGTTTCTCCATATCTCAGGGTGGTTGCATTTCCAGCACATTCTACAGTTATTCTGATAACTACAAGTAAGAAAAGGGGAAAAACTGGGTCACCAAGGCCATATGAGAACTTGTCCTGCACCAAATAGTGGAAACAACCAAAATGTTCATAACTGGTGAATGGATAAACAAAATGTGGTATACAATGGAATATTATTCAGCCATAAAAAGGAATGAAGCACTGATACATACTACAACATGGATGGTTTTTAAAAACACTGTGCTAAGACAAAGAAACCAAACACAAAAGGCCACACATTGTATGATTTAATTGATATGAAATGTATAGAAAATGCAAATTCATGGAGACAGAACACCAGCGATTGCCTGGGGCTGGAAGTAGGAAAAACTATTTTTTTTTTTTTTGAGACGGAATCTTGCTTTGTTGCCCAGGCTGGAGTGCAGTGGCACATTCTTGGCTCACTGCAAGCTCTGCCTCACAGGTTCATGCCATTCTCCTGCCTCAGCCTCCCAAGTAGCTGCGACTACAGGCGCCCGCCACCACGCCCAGCTAATTTTTTGTATTTTTAGTAGAGACAGGGTTTCACTGTGTTAGCCAGGATGCTCTCGATCTCCTGACCTCGTGATCCACCCACCTCAGCCTCCCAAAGTGCTGGGATTACAGGTGTGAGCCACCGTGCCCGGCCCAGGAATAGCTATTAACTAAATGGGCCCAAGGAATCTAACTGGGGTGATG
This sequence comes from Homo sapiens, assembly GCF_000001405.40. Classification (NCBI taxonomy): domain Eukaryota; kingdom Metazoa; phylum Chordata; class Mammalia; order Primates; family Hominidae; genus Homo; species Homo sapiens. The sequence continues at coordinate 72,217,025 of NC_000009.12, forward strand.
AGAATGTTCAAAAACTAGGTTATGATGGTGGTTGTAAAACGCAATAAATCTACTAAAAATCATGGATTTGTGCACTTAAATCAGGTGAATTTTATGGTATGTAAATTATACTTCAATATAAATAGTTTTTAAAAATAGCAGTATGTGGGTGAGATTGTGTTCATGTACATTTGTGTTTTCTAGTTCACATCCACTTTAGATAAGAGTTGAGTAGAAAGTGATTAGATTTTTTTAAAAGGAAGATTTTGTACAGAATAAATAGCTGTGAGCATATTTGCAGAGACTCCAGCTCTCTGTGATTTTCTCCTGTGGTACAGTAGTGCTTCTCTTGATGCTTCTAGCATTCTTCCCCTCACTTTTCTCCCTTAATCACACATTGTTGAAGCCAAAACCAAAAAACGCCTGAGAAGCTCAAGATGTATTAACACACTGCGTCGAATTAAAGTTGAAAGATGATTAATGCACTGAGGCATTCTTCCTATTTGCCAAGGTCACTGTGTGGGTTTGTCCAACTTGAATGTCAATATTATTTTTGTGTAACAAATTATATTTAAAGCCTGCAGGAACTTGCTATAGGAGTCCTAGGGTAAATCCTCTTGTAAAATGAAGTAAATCATTTACCCTCTCCCTACCCTTTATTATAGACCAGGGCTTCTCCTGTAGATTGGATTTGCTTTTAAGTACATATGGCCTGCTCATTAAATTACTTTTGGTTGTGGGTCATACTATGGCTTGAGATTATGAATTTTCATTATGTTCTTTTTCATACAACATTGGGAGATTCTACTGACCATATAAATACTTTTCTTATATTTTAAAATGGCATTTCTATAGTACCTTAAGGATTTGACAAGAAATTGTATTGGTTTATTTATTTATTTTTATTTTCTATTTTTTATTTTTTTTTTAGATGGAGTCTTCTTCTGTAGCCCAGGCTGGAGTGCAGTGGCACGGTCTCAGCTCACTGCAGCCTCCCACTCCCGGGTTTAAACAATTATCATATCTCAGCCTCCCTAGTAGCTCGGATTACAGGCCCCTGCCACCATGCCCAGCTAATTTTTATGTTTTTAGTAGAGATGAGGTTTTGCTACATTGGCCAGGCTGATCTTGAACTCCTGACCTCAAGTGAGCCGCCTGCTTCAGCCTCCCAAAGTGCTGAGATTACAGGCGTGAGCCACTGCACCTGGCCAAAATGTAATTTTATTCTGTTCAACATCTAAGAGATACAGAAGAAAATGCTTTAGATACAAATCTTTGCCAAGACCAAACATATTCTGATGCAGGTTTTAGAAGTTCAGCTTTTTTTCTGTTCCCCAGACCCCTTTCCCCTTAAAAGTGTCCTCTGAAAAGGGAGCAGAGGGGCTGCTTACATGCTCACAGAGAGGAGGAAGTACCCGCCTTCCTTTAGCATCAGCCTATCCCAGCTTATCTATTAATCCATTTTTGTGGTGATAGTAAACCTTAATTCTCATTTTGTTCTGAAACAAAGGAATGCCAGAAGGCAGAAAACTACAGCTGCCTAGGGAGGGCAGAAAGAGCCATTTCATAGTCTTTACAGTTGCCACCATCCCTGCAGGCATAAACTGGTGGGATCACTACCATCCCATTCCCCATGCACCTCACAACCAACTCTCGCCTTTTCCTTCTGCTTTACTCCAAGGTTCATCCCCAAGAGAACTCTACCCTTGTAAATAAATGGTGATGTTGTGGGAACAAGTAGCTTCCACTTTAGGAGAATTCGAAGTAAAGAGCTTCATGGCTTCTAAAAGCCTCCAAGTGCATAGGACTTCATGACTCTAACAACCGTAGAGCATAATATATTGCAACATTTCTCCAAACGGAGCTTGAGCTAGTAGAACAGCTTGAGTGCTGTGGGAATATTTGAGAACAGCCCGACCGATGCTAGATGATAACATTACGTTTCCCTGTGATTTTGCACTCCATCTCTGGCTGCAAGTAAAAAAGCAGAGTAATTACTACTTGTTAATCTTTAATTAGTGGTGGTGGAACATGTGCAGCATTAGAAATGTTTGCATGAAAATCAGGATATGTAAGAATCATGTTTTTATCTTTTTAAAATGTTTATTTGAAAATGGTCGGCCGGTCGCGGTGGTTCACGCCTGTAATCCCAGCACTTTGGGAAGCCGAGGAGGGCGGATCACCAGGTCAGGAGATCAAGACCATCCTGGCTAACACGCTGAAACCCCGTCTCTACTAAAAATACAAAAATTAGCTGGACGTGGTGGCGGGTGCCTGTAGTCCCAGCTACTCGGGAGGCTGAGGCAGGAGAACGGCGTGAACCCGGGAGGCGGAGCTTGCAGTGAGCCGAGATCGCACCACTTCACTCCAGCCTGGGCGACAGAGCCAGACTCTGTCTGAAGAAAAAAATAATAATAAAGAAAAGAAAAAAAGAAAATGCTCAAGTTTTCTAACCCATTTGTTGCTTTATTTCAGATTTGTGTCAGAAATGCTCCAAAAGAACGTGAGTAACTTTGTTCAGAGCTCGCTTTTAGATTGCCTTTGCATTAGCTGTAGGATTCATAAAGTTGCTTGATAGTGATTAGTCTGTGTACGACTGGCTTATCTCATGCATGTAGAAGTATTTACCTAGAGCCTGATGTGTCACTGTGGACTGTCACTGTCAGCTCAGTGAAGTCAGACATTTTTAAAAAATTATCTTAAAATATTTAATTGACAAAAATTGAATCCACTCAAGGTGTACAATGTGATGATTTGATATATTTATACATTGTTTATTGATTATTAGAATCAAATTTGTTAACACATCTATTCCCACACACGCTGTACACTAGATCCTCAGAACTTGTTCATGTTATAACTGAAAATTTGTACCCTTTGACCATCATCTCCCCACATAAGCCAGCAATCCCACTTTTGGGTGTATATCCAAAAGATGCAAAATAAGCATCTTGAAAAGATATCTGCACTTCTATATTCATTGCAGTATCATTCAGAATAGCCAAGATATGGAAACAACTTAAGTGTCTGTAGACAGACAAATAAAGAAAATGCAGTGTATATGTCTATATACAAACACAATGGAATATTATTCAACCATAAAAAGGAAGGAAATCATGCCATTTGTGACAATGTGGATGAACCTACAGCCCATTACAATAAGTGAAATAAGCCAGCCCCAGAAAGACAATACTGCATGATCTCACTTATTTGTGAAATCTAAAAAAAGTCAAACTTATAGAAACAGAGGTCAGGCATTTTTTGCTTTCTTGGGGGCAGCTCTGTACCTAGCCCTCTGTGTTTTGTTTTAAATACATTTTGAAATAATGAAATATTAATGATTTTAGTGGATTTGTTTAGATATCGTTCACATATGTACAAACATCAAACTTGCTTTATTCTTAAAATTGTGTGTACTTTTCTTGGCTCCCAAACCCCATGCCTACATGCAACAGAAAAACTAAATTTCGTCAGGCAGGTAAACTTCGTCTTAAGTTCACTAAGCTTTTAGTTGATCCAATTTTTATTAGGACAATCTCAGTCACTGCTCAGGTTAGAGTTACCGTCTCAGGGTAGGTTTTTCTTCCTCAGTGGTTTTCCTTACCCCCCTCTGGGATCTTCTGATTTCACAGGATTGGTTTCTGGCAAGCAGGGACAGGGCTTGATGGGCGTGGGCTGACTGGTGGCACCTGGAAGTTGGGGACTGCTTGGTGGCCACCTCAACATTGGCTCTGGCCACTTGTGCCCTTGGTCTGCTCTGTAACACAGGCAGTGTCTAGTCCTATGCCCCTGCCACTGGCTGTCTTGGTCCCTATGTGTGTGACACCTCACATGGCCTGCAGGCATGCAGCAGGCACCCCCTATTGTGGTCCCCTGGTGTTGGTGAGCCTGTGGAGACAATGCTGTTTCCTGCCTCCACCCCTAACAGGCTGGCATGTGGCTCTGTCAAGCAATCTCTTAGACTGGCAAGCCTGACCCTTCCCTGATCATCTTTTGGGGCCTGATAGGAAATCATAAGAAATCTCAAAATTTCTTTCCATCTAACTTTGGGAGATTTAGATGAAACTTTGTAGATCCTTATCCTCACTACCCCTCTATGAGTCCTTCTCTCCTGCCTGGCCACTCACCTCAGGTGCCACCAGAGCCAATCCTACAACTGAATAGTGCTCAGGAAGGCTGTAACCAGCACACCTGGACAAGATGTATTCCCAAAATGGAATCGGCTATCACCTCACTTTTAGTCTCCCCAGCACTCTTTTAAAACTTCAGCCTCCACTTTTCTTCATAAAGGCTACCCAGTCTAGCCTTCATCAGAGCCTTAATGTGGTGGCAGAGGAGCATCTGTCATTTGGGATAGGATCTTTTGTTGAACTTGGGTGCTGAAGAAGATACCCTCCTTTATTCTCCACTTTGAGCTGTTTTCATGAAACCCCGTACTTCCACCGACTGTTAGAATGGAGGACTGCTCCCCAAAATGAAGACACAAAATCATCTTGCTGTATGATATGCATTTTGGGGTACCCTTCACATTCATGATATCCATAGTTTCCTTTTTTTGAAAAAACTTTTAAGTTCAGGGGTACATATGCAGGTTTGTTTACACAAGTAAATGTGTGTCATAGGGGTTTGTTGTGCAGATTATTTCATCACCCAGGTATTAAGCCTACTACCCATTAGTTATTTTTCCTGATGCTCTCCCTCCTTCCATCCTCTACCTGCCGATAGGCCCCAGTGTTTGTTGTTCCCCTCTATGGGTCCATGTGTTCTCATCAGTTAGCTCCTACTTATAAGTGAGAACATGCAATATTTGACTTTCCCTTCCTGCGTTAGTTTGCTAAGAATAATGGCCTTCAGCTTCATCCATGTCCCTGCAAATGGCATGATCTCATTCTCTTTTTATGGCTGCATAGTATTCCATGGTGTATATGTACCACATTTTCTTTATCCAGTCTATCATTGATGGGCATTTAGGTTGATTCCATGCCTTTGCTATTGTGAATAGTGCTACAGTGAGTGTATGTGTGCATGTGTCTTTATAACAGAATGATTTATTTCCTTTTGGTATATACCCTGTAATGGGATTGTTGAGTCAAATGGTATTTCTGTCTCTAGGTATTTGCAGAATCACCACATTGTCTTTCACAATGGTTGAAGTAATTTACACTCTTACCAACAGTCTATAAGCATTTCTTTTTCTCCACAACCTCACCAGTATCTGCTATTTTTCTGACTTTTTAATAATATCCATTCTGACTGGTATGAGATGGTATCTTATTACAGTTTTGATTTGTATTTCTCTAATGATCAGTGATGTTGAGCTTTTTTTTCATGTGATTGTTGGCTGCATCAATCATATGTAAAACAGTGAAAAGTGTCTGTTCATGTGCTTTGCCCACTTTTTAATTGGGTTGTTTTTTTCTTATAAATTTGTCTAAGTTCCTTATAGATGCTGGATATTAGACTTTTGTCAGATGCATAGTTTGCAGAAACTTTCTCCCATTCTGTTGGTTGTCTGTTTACTCTGTTGGTGGTTTCACTTGCTGTGCAGAAGCTCTTTAGTTTAATTACATCCCATTTATCAATTTTTACTTTTGTTGCAATTGCTTCTGGTGTCTTTGTCATGAAATCTTTTCCCATGCCTATGTCCTGAATGGTATTGCCTAGGTTGTCTTCCAAGGTTGTTTTTTTGTTGTTGTTTGGTTGGTTTTTTGTTTTTTTTTGAGACTGAGTTTCTCTTTTGTTGTCTAGACTGGAGTGCAATGGTGAGATCTCGGCTCACCACAACCTCCGCCTCCTAGGTTCAAGCAGTTCCCTTGCCTCAGCCTCCCGAGTAGCTGGGATTACAGGCATGCGCCACCACGCCCAGCTAATTTTGTATTTTTTAGCAGAGACAGGGTTTCTCCATGTTGGTCAGGCTGGTCTCGAACTCCCGGCCCTCAGGTGATCCACCTGCCTTGGCCTCTCAAAGTGCTGGGATTACAGGTGTGAGCCACCACACCTGGCCCTTCCAGGGTTTTTATAGTTTTCGGTTTTACATTTATGTCTTTAATCCATCTTGAGTTAATTTTTGTATATGATGTAAGGAAGAGGTATCAATTGTTTTTAATTATCTCCAGTATTCTAGAGTGAAGCCCATAGTGACACCACGTTTTTCCCTCTCCTGCTCTGAGACTTTGATGGGTGAACTGGGCAACATTGCTAAAACCCGTGATTTGCACATTCAGGTGGGTATTCTTCTTCTCTTTATGCCTCTATGCAGACCTGCAAGATTTCTCAGCACCCTTAAATCATCATTTCCAATAATCTGTAGTTGTTTTACTGAGTAATCTGTTTCTTCAACTGAGATATCCTAGAGTCACAGCATAACAGGAGAGAAAGGACCCCTGTAGATATCACCTAATCCAATTCTTTCATTTTGCAGATAAGAAACCTGAAGTTCCTTATACCCTCAATGTTTTCTGATCAGTCTTCTAAAGACAAGAAAATCGTTTTAAGTAGTGGCAAGATCAATAACAGACTGTGATCTGTTCTCTGTAGGATACATTTAATGCATTTATTTCCTACTTCTCTTTCACTTGATACTTTCTCAGTGTGTTCTGTACCTTCATTCTTAGAGAAACCAGCTATTATTTGAAAAGCAAAAAGAGCCTAATTTCCACCTTACAAAATAGCATTTAAAATCCCTTTTGTTCTGAGTTTCTTAATTTAAAATCAGAACAAAAAAGTATACCTTGCTTTGTCATTAAATTGTTGCAATTTAGGAATAAAACACTTTTTTAAAGCTTATATCTGGGTTAAAATTGAGAGTTCCCCTTCTCCCATCCAAGCTTAATTACATACTGTACTAAAATTTCTCCTCTTAGGAGTTGACGGTCTTATAAGAAAGGTCAGATCAGGGCAGAGACAACACATTGATTCTTTACCATTTGTAAATCAGTGTTTTTTTGGTTTTTGTTTCCCAAATCTATTTTCTTAGGAACCATTAACCGCTCTCACCTTCCCTATTATTGTTATTATTATTTGCAGCCTATAATTTTTGAATTTTTAATTCAGTCCCACACATTTCTCTGCTGGAGATAAAATTCAAAACTTACCTGATGTTTCTGCTTTGCAAACAAAATGCTTCTGTCGCCGACAAAATAAAATACACATGAACATTTAAAAATACATGAAAAATAAGATGAGAAGAACACACAACAAAATCAAGTTTATCCTTGCTAGAGAGATGCATGTGGATGTATGCACATTTACTCACATTTATCCAAATGACTCGAATCATCAGATTGTCCTTTCTTCTGTTGCTGTCCATGCATTTCATCGGTGGTCTGGGACTTCCTCAAGGCCAGGGATGGAGTTCATTGTCTGAGTAAAACACGTGTTTTCAGAACATTGCTATTTTTTTCTTTTAAAAATTTAGCTACGCATATTCTAAATGGCATTGCCATTCTTGGAAGTATTAATTATGCCCTCTTAGATTTTGTGGTGCCCTAGAGAAAGGTCTTAGGGGCCTTTTTCAGTGTGGGGGCATAGGACTTATTGTTTTGCTTGCATGTGGATTCTTATGGGCTGTTTCTTGATGACCGTGGAATTTTCTAGCTCAGCTATTTTCAAACTCTTTTTTGGAGAACTCATTCTGGAAACTAACAAAGGGCACAGAATGGAGACAGGGTCCCAGAGTCTCAATCCTGCTGCATCCGGAGGGGCAGTGCTTTTATGCCTTCTATATATTGGGTTTCTGTGAATTTTTATATGAATAATATATTCAGTGCCGAGAGAATTTGGAAAATCACTCATCTAGCCCAACCCTTTTTTTTTTTTTTTTTTGAAAGATGGGAAAATTGCTGTCCAAAGAAAAGAATGACTTTCTCTAGGACACATAGCTGTCAGAACTTGGGCCAAACCCAGCTCTCTTTACTCAAATTCCAGTGTTCATATAAGTGAACCCCACTGTCTGCTTTTTTATGAACACTGAGCTCTTTTCTTAAACGGCCAGTATGGCCAGTCACGGTGGCTCACGCCTGTAATCCCAGCACTTTGAGAGGCTGAGCCCGGCAGATTACTTGAGGTCAGGAGTTTGAGACCAGCCTGGCCAACATGGTGAAACCCCATCTCTACTAAATATACAAAATTAGCCAGGCATGGTGACACATGCCTGTAATCCCAGCTACTCAGGAGGCTAAGACAGGAGACTCACTTGAACCTGGGAGGCAGAGGTTGCAGTGAGTGGAGATTGTGCCACTACACTCCAGCCTGGGCGACAGAGCCAGACCCTATCTCAAAACAAAAGAAAGGCCAGCACCAGAAGAGGCAGGTTGCTAGGGTCCTGACTATCTTCAAGGAGGACTTCATATTTGTTCCAGCTGGAGGTCAGAATTTGAAAAGACTTTGTTGGAAAAATTTGTCTTGATATTATACATACACATACACACCCACACCCACATCCACACACACACACTACATGTTCATAATATTCAGTTTCTTTGTCATATACATTATATTATCTATGATGAATATAATTGTTTCTAACAAAATGCATGTGTAATCTTCATTGCCTTTCTATGTGGTCCCTTAAATAGGCAAGTAGAAAACCATTCACACCATTTTGAGGTAGGAAGTGTAATTTCTAATGGTATTTTACAGAAGAAAAATGAAAATATTATTTTTTTCTTGTAGAGCCATATAAGTGAAAATCGTGATGAAGTTGAAGCTGTGAAAAACTTATACCCCAGTTATAAAAACTACACATCTGTGTATGATAAAAACAATCTTTTGACAAATAAGGTAAGTTTTATATCATGACATAATCTGTTTAAAGGAGGGCATATTTATCTCAATTTTAAAATCTCAATAGTAATCTTCAGATTTCTGATATGAATACATTTCTTTAAAAATTTTTTTTAAAGTTTTAATTTTTGTGGGTACACAGAAAGTTTATATATCTATGGGGTACATGTGTATACATTTCTTAAATTAGAGTAAAGCCTAGTGTGTGTGTGTGTGTGTGTGTGTGTGCGTGTGTGTGTGTGTGTGTAGTTAAAAATGGACCCGAAGTTTCATCTTAGTGAATTAAATGTAAAGGCTTCATTGAAGATGGGAATGTCATTTGGTCCAAGGACATTTTAACAGTATCTATTAGAATGTAAACCTACATTTCTTTGAGTCAGCAGATGCATTTCTAAGAATTCACTCTAAGTAATATGAATAGGGATGCTAATTTTATATTAAAGTTTAAAAATTGTTATCGGTGAGGGATTAAATTACAGAGCATACATAGGATTTTATCCAGCATTCACAAAGAAAGAGGTATGCAGGCTTACAAGGAAGAATGTTTGTGTAATATTATTTGATGTGTATGTACATATGTATAGATGCATGCTTACTTAGAAAAAAACTGTCTGAAAGACACAACTTGAGTATTAAAAATGACTCTTCCTGAGGGACAAACCAGAAGGACTTTCTGCTTTTTATTTTTAAATACTCTGAGAGTGCTTTTAAAAAATGAGTATGCATTACTCCTATAATTAAAATTAATATGTGTGAAGAGACCTCATTACAATAATGTACTACTTGGCCTTGGCCTTCAATGAAATGTACAAACCGCATGGAGAGTTTACCATAGCAAATAATTTCTTAGTGACTGTGTGAATGGAGATATGAATATAACTGATTTAAAAGGTTAATACTTTGCATAAATCATGTAAAAGCTACACCATAGTTTTCATTCTTTATATATTTTCCATATGATTAATAAATTAACCTTCCATTTGCATGTTAATTTTATTTGAACAGAGATTGGGAAAGTTATATTTTAATAATAATTCTGTAGTCACTGGGCCGGGCCTGGTGGCTCATGTCTGTAATCCCAGCACTTTGGGAGGCAGAGGCAGGCAGATCACGAGGTCAGGAGATCGAGACCATCCTGGCTAACACGGTGAAACCCCGTCTCTACTAAAAATACAAAAAAATTAGCCAGGCGTGGTGGCAGGCGCCTGTAGTCCCAGCTACTCGGGAAGCTGAGATAGGAGAATGGCGTGAACCCAGGAGGCGGAGCTTGCAGAGAGTCGAGATTGCGCCACTGCACTCCAGCCTGGGCGACAGAGTGAGACTCTGTCTCAGAAAAATAATAATTCTGTAGTCACTGAACCGTGCCTCTCAAAGGGGAAAGCAAGTTGGGTACAGGTTTTGTACTGAGAGAAAAATAATTTTGAAAGAGTAAAGTCTTATTTAAGAAAATCTACAAATAAATACTACCAACATTAAAAATTTAGAGAGGTCTCATGTGTGTGCAGTGCCTGCTTTCTTGGATCAATTTTACTTTCTGAATTAATGATTATAAGATGTTAAATTTCCTAGTTTTTATGAAAATATAAACGTAGGTGAGTTAAAAGTTTATTTAGTTGAAAATATCAAGGCCATTGGCACTTACATTGAAGCTAGGAGCAGAAATAAAGAACAGCGCTTTGCAGGATTACTCTCACAGCTTTCACATACTGAGAAGGGACTTTTAGTTCTAGAAAGTTTTTTTAGAATTGGAGCAAGCACAACACTACCAGTTGCTTCCCATATAAACTTAGAAAAGAAAGTAACTTGACAGTCTTCTAAAGTAGAGATGAGAAAATCATGTTATCTTCCATCTGGATGGATATTCTGTGCTGTAGATCACCTGGACCAAACCCTCATTACTTTATAGATCAACAAAAAGAATCTAAGTAAACTCCACAAATTTCCTGAGACTTTCGTAAGACAATGTGTTTACAGGCCTTTTCTAAGGTATAACTTGTACCTAGCAACTTTGTACATATAGATCATCATAAATGTTCTTGTGAAGATGCTAACAGCCAAGCTACAGCTTCGGTCTCTCTCTAAAATACCTTGTGAGTGAGTACCCACTTAATCATTTGTGAGCGGTAAACTCCACGTAGGGCACTCTTCTCTCCAGACAGTGATGGCACACGGCTGCTACCTCTCTGCAGAAGAACTGAACGTATTCCATGAACGAGGAGCATCCATCGCACACTGTCCCAATTCTAATTTATCGTAAGTAGACAATGATTGTTTGGTAGATTACGAATGATTGGGTTGCAGATTAGCAGCCAAATGCCTTTGTTTCCTCTGTCATTCCTCCAGGATCTCCCCTCTATTCTGTGTTTGGCAGGACCCAGATAGATAGACATTTACTCGTGCTGTTGAGGAGTAAAAGAGAACACGTAAGAGGACATTTATCTCAGAGGACACGTGAAGAGCACAGCATCTTCTGAAATCTCTGAGTTTGTACAAAAAAAGGACAATAGGGAATACAACATAAAAAATTTACAGTGAAAGTACTGAAAGAACCCATATGTCAGCCAGGAAATCCAGAAGAGGGTAGTCACTCCCATTACTGTTTGTGCTGTAGTGTGAGAAGGAAACACAGCAATACCAAAGCAAATGCACTATGATGTATGTTACCCTGTTGGACCTGACGGAATGCCAGCCCACACAGGCAAGCCCAGGAGGACCTTGTCCTATTATAATTCCCCAGAATACAGAGGTGTTATTTATTAACTGGTTCTTAACCTTTTGAAAGGTGATGGATCCGTAAATGAATAAAATGAAAGTTATTGCCTGGGCGCAGTGGCTCACATCTGTAATCCTAGCACTTTGGGAAGCAGAGGCAGGCAGATCACTTGAGGTCAGGAGTTCAAGACCACCCTGACCAACATGGTGAAACCCCATCAGTATTAAACATATAAAAATTAGCTGGGCATGGTGGCAGGCACCTGTAATCCCAACCACTCAGGAGGCTGAGGCAAGAGAATCGTTTGAACCCGGGAGGCGGAGGTTGCAGTGAGCCAAGATTGCACCACTGCACTCCAGCCTGGGTGACAGAGTGAGACTCTGTCTCAGAAAAATAAATAAGTTATAGCCTGTAATTTCAGGGGAAAAAAGCCCATGGATATTACAAGTGTTGCATCTAATTTCAGGGAATTCATAGATCTCATGATGCCAGTCCATGGATGCTAGGTTAAAAACCCATGCTTGTGGCTGTAATCTCAGAAAACAACTTCAGGGGTCGGGCGTGGTGGCTCACACCTCTAATCCCAGCACTTTGGGAGGCCAAGGTGGGCGGATCACGAGGTCAGGAGATCGAGACCATCCCGGCTAACACGGTGAAACCCAGTCTCTACTAAAAAAAAAAAAAAAAAAAAAAAAAAAATATTAGCCGGGCATGGTGGCGGGCGCCTGTAGTCCCAGCTACTCGTGAGGCTGAGGCAGGAGAATGGCATGAACCCGAGAGGCGGAGCTTGCAGTGAGCCGAGATCGCGCCACTGCACTCCAACCTGGGCGACAGAGCAAGACTCCATCTCAAAAACAAAACAAAACAAACAAACAAACAAACAAAACCTTCAGGGAAGTAAAACAGGGAAGGGAAAGAAGTCAGTGAAGATCGTATCATCACGGAAGTTACCACTGTGGGCTCCCGGAGTTTAATCCTTCTATTTAATAGAAAACTCAGGTAACCAGTGTCCAAAACAGAACTCAAAGTTATCCTGCCCAAGAAGTGAGGGAGCTGGCTGTGACAGTAATACCCAAATGCTTATGGGTTGTTGTTGAGGGCTCCTGGGCAGAGTGGAGAAGAGTATTAATTCCCTGGAACTTCTGGCCGTCCCCAAACAAGGGCAGAGCAGGCTCTAGCACAGGAGAGAGCTGAGAAAGCTCCTAGGCAAAGAGCTGGAGGCATTCACAGTTGGAAATCTAGGGACTTTGCAAATTACAAAGATATATGTCAGTGTCATTATGGGAAGGGTGCTGAGAGCCACAGTGACATATTTCTGGAGTGCTTTAGGGACCCCAGAGGTTCTGAGTTTTCAGACTTAAAGGAGTGACACAGGGAATCTTGTCTATGTACAGCTTAGTGACTATAATTAGGGTCTAGTTACTTGATAGTGGAAGGATTTAACACCCATTGGGTGTTAATATCCTCTAAATTAAAGCATAATCTAGCTTTGCAAATTGAGTTTTGAAGTTAAATTTCTTTAGGACACATTTCTGTTTAAATGGTCACTGCTGTTCTTTCTCCAGCAACTGAGAGATTTATTATGTATGCACCAGGGCTTTCAAAATTAGAGTTATGTGCATCTTCCAGCAAACCACTTTGACCTTTGCAACTTTTTAGAATTCTAAGGATCACCTTAGTTTTCCTTTGTCTCTTTAGAAAGGCAGCACATGGTGGGCATGGTGGCTCATGCCTGCAGTCCCAGCACTTTGGGAGGCCAAAGTGGGAGGATCACCTGAGGTCAAGAGTTCGAGACCAGCCTGACCAACATGGCGAAACCCTGTTTCTACTAAAAGTAGAGACTGGACATGCTGGCGGGCACCTGTAATCCCAGCTACTCGGGAGGCTGATGTAGGAGAATCGCTTGAACCTACCTTGAAGGAGATGGTTGCAGTGAGCTGAGATTGTGCCATTGTACTCCAGCCTGGATGACAGAGACAGACTCTGTCTCAAAAAAAAAAAATATATATATATATATATATGGCTGGCACATCTCTTTAGCTCAGAGTCACAAGGTCCCAAATTCAGCCCAGGAACCATCTATCCTACTTTCTCTGTCTTCAGAGGCAGCGTTTGAACAGTCAGGTCCTGACTTTTTAGGCTGCACCCCTTTTTCTAGTTGTACTCCCCTTTTTCGATCTTAAAGTCACTACTCATTCAGGGTAACAAATTATTCCAGGCAGAGAGAATAGGTAATGCTTTATAATTTCTGCTTCCTAACATAAAAAGATGTGTTGGTTAGAAAATATTAAAGACAGATAAAAGACTTTTGTATTAATTGCAAAGTTTGATTTCTTCATTTTTTTCCCATACAAACGATCCCCTGCTTTTCCTTCTGGCTCTTGCTGCTTTGTGCCCACCTGAGATTAACCTTGGCCCAAGGATTAGGCTATTTTATGATCCTGTTTACTCCAGGACTTGGATGGTCTGATTTGACTAATATGTTTGTGTCAACATTAGAGCCGATATATTGGGAAGCACAATTTTCAGTGGCATCACCGTCATTGTTATTAGTGTTCATCTTTTATTGGAACCACATGGATCTCCTTGTTCTGACATCTCCTCTCTCTACAGGCTCAGCAGTGGATTTCTAAATGTGCTAGAAGTCCTGAAACATGAAGTCAAGATAGGGCTGGGTACAGGTTAGTAGTTCACCATTTGGAGCTATGGCAAAGTGGTTGATTACTGTGTAATTTTCTAATGTGACTAATTTGCAGGTGACTGTTCTGTTTAAAAAAAAAAAAAATTAGTTTTGGGCCGGGCACGGTAGCTCACGTCTGTAATCCCAGCACTTTGGGAGGCTGAGGCGGGTGGATCATGAGGTCAGGAGTTCAAGACCAGCCTGGGAAACCTCGTCTCTACTAAAATACAAAAAAATAGCCAGGTGTGGCAGTGTGCGCCTGTAGTCTCAGCTACTCGGGAGGCTGAGGCAGGAGAATGGTGTGAACCCGGGAGGCGGAGCTTGTAGTGAGCTGAGACTGCGCCACTGCACTTCAGCGTGGGTGACAGAGCGAGACTCTGTCTCAAAAAAAAAAAAAGGAAATTGTATGCAAAGGGAGAAGTTTTGATGATACTGACCTCCTGAAAGCTGTTATCCCTGTTTATTATTCAAAGATTAGGCTATAAAGGATGATTAATTCCTTCTGACGTGTTTCAGAGGTATTCTAAAAAGTCCTTGACTTTTGTTTTGTTTTGTTCTTCTGGCTAGGTTTTAATGGTTTGGATTTCTATATTTTTAGTTTTCAATAACTGTCATTACAAATGCTGTCTCAAAAGAAATTTTTTTGTCCTTGCCATAGTGAGCACAGATTCAATCTATGACAGAATTGAGAATTCGGATGTATGTTAAGAATTGGTTTTGCTTTTAAGCAACGTTTAGCCAAATGAGACCTCTCCATATCCACAGGCAGTCTGCTTGTCTACTAGGCTGAGGGATGTTCTAAGTGCATATGAATTAGTGACGGATTAGTGATGTTTCCTTTCTTCACAGTACATTTTAATTGTGTTTCTTGAGAGTGTGCAAGCGTTGCTTGCTTCGAAAGTGTGAGTCAGGCCCAAATTTCTAGGTGTCCTCTGTGAGGCTTCTTTTATGACTGAATGACTGAATTAAAAATTTTTTTAATGGGTATGGGGCAGGAGGACGTGTTTTCTGTTCTTGATGCCTTTATCTTCCTCATATTTAAGAGCATCAGGCTGTATGCATGTTGACACTGGTGGTTTTCATCACTTTCTGCAGGAACTCAAGTCTCAGTTTGTTATAGTGAGACATTTTACAAAGTAATTAACTGGTAAGACACAATAATACGCATAATGATTTTACTGATATTTTGAAAGAGGTATATATTAGATTAGAAGTTTTTCCCTATTTTATGGGAATCAAAGTAATCAAGATTTTGAAAATTCTAATTTAAGCCTGAAATCATCAAGATTGTGATAATTCTACATAAAGTCACAGGTGTTAAAGGAGGAAACCAGTGATTTTATGTTCACAAAAAAGCTTCAAGGGATAAGAAAAAAATGGCCAAGAGTTTTGGTTACACACTATAGTCAGTTAATATGAAAAATTTAGCAGACACATAAAAATCAGTCAGATATTGTTTTCAGATATTCTAGGATTTTGGTCTCCATAATTTAAGTTCATCACATGACTTCCTTTTCTTGACTTTGGATTGTTTAGTGATGGTCTATAAAGTTCAAGTTGAGTTCTAGCTGTCACTTATTATCTGTAAGACCTTGAGAAAATTAATTTTCTAGTAGTTTTTAGTCAAGGATTCATTTCCTGATTTCTACAACAATAGTAACTAGCAATTACAACTATGTCTATCTTACAAGCTGTTTAGAGAATTAAACTTTAAAATGCATGCAAATTGGTTAGCACAGTGCCTGCCTGGCACATGACACAAATCAATCAAGATTGGCTTAAAAAGGAAAGGGCGAAGTTGGTGTATTGACCAAACGTTTGAATAAATATGACCTATTAGCTTATTTACTCAGAGGATGGTGTTTCATTTTTACCTAGTCCTTTTTGCAATTTAGTCACCCTCTACTCTACTATTTCCTAAACGTGACTTTTGTGTATCAATTTACCCTTCAATTTGTAAACTTTAGAAGATTATTATACCTCATACTATGAATAGAGAGCAAGTCCAAGAGCAATTCACACACCCTGTCTATAACAAGTGCAGGCAGATCTTGACTTGCACAAATATTAGGTAGAAGAAACCCACATGAAATTTAACAGAAATATAGCAAAACAAGATAAAGTGATATCACAAACAATAAGAATGTGAACAAATATCTGAAAATGATCTGCTTTAGGATCCAGAAGAAAATTTCAGAAAATTGCCTTCATCCCTGGAGTACAGGAAATCATGGTTCTATGAAAAGATTGTGGTAGAAATTTTAGAAATCAAGGAAGAAAACTGAAAAAAATCAGATTAAAAAGCACATAGACTCTCATACACTGATGGAAGGAGAGTGGATGGTACAACTACTTTGGAGAATGTTTTGGGAGTTTCTTCTAAAGTTAAATATACGTCTACATATGACCCAGCAATTTTACTCTTGGGTATTTACCCTAGAGAAATAAACATATATGTTTGCAGAAATAGTTGTATGAGGCCCAGGTGCAGTGGCTCATACCTGTAATCCCACCACCCTGGAAGGCCACGGCAGGAGGATTGCTTGAGCTCAGGTGTTTGAGATCAGCCTTGGCAACATGGCAAAACCCTGTCTTTACAAAAAATACAAAACTTAGCTGGGCATGGTGACATGCACTTGTAATCCCAGCTACTTGGGTGGCTGAGGCAGGAGGATCGCTTGAGCTTGGGAGGTCAAGGCTGCAGTGAGCCATGTTCATGCCACTGCACTCCAGTCTGGGTGACAGAGTGAGACCCTGTCCCTAAATTAATAAATAAATGAAAGAATTGTATGAGGATGTTTATATCAGCTTTATTTATAATAGCCCCAAACCAGAAACAATCCAAACATCTATCAGCAGGAGGATGGATAAGCAAGTTGAGGTATATTCATATAATGAAATATTATTTAGCAGTAAAAAACACACTACAGATATATGCAAAATGTGGGTAAATATATGCCAGTGTGTGGGCTTAAAGAGCACACACTGCATGATTCCATCTGTATGAAACTCACAGACCAACAGAACTAACTGATATTGGTAGAAATCAGAAAGTGGTTGCCAAATGTTGTAGGTAAGAATTTGGGGAATTGACAGGAAAAGGCCATGAGGGAATTTGCTGGGGTGATGGAAATGTTTAATATCTTAGTTTTTTTGCAAAATAGTTAATGCTATATAATTGTTAACATTCTCCAAACTGAACATCTAAGTTATATATGTATTATGATATTTTAGTTATACCTCAGTTAAAAAAATGACAAACCCACCAACCCTGTAGGAAGCTATGAGAAGCAGAATTATTGTTACAGAAAATCAAATCAGTGATGTGAGAATAAAATCAACCAAAGATGATAGAAGGTGTTTGAGGATGATCGATGTGAAGCCCAGAAACCACAGAGCCAACACATGGGGTTTTTTTCTGATGGAGCACCCAGAACAAATGGGACAGATGCAATAGTCAGAGCTTTGAAGGGTAAATCTTTTCTGAGCTTAAGAAAGAACTGCCTTGCAAGTGCTTACCCTGTTTTACGCTAAATCGTAACTGAACATGTTGTGACAAAATATTTTAATTACAATAAAAAAATTTCTACAATATTGACACAAGGAAAAAAGTCAATTATCAACAAAACAATTAAAAACCAGTTTGCTTTCAGATGTTTTTGTTGGCACACAAAATACCAAAAGGCAAGAAAAGAGTTTGGAGACAAAGCAGTGTTAGCCAAGAATAATATATCTGGCCAAATTCTCCTTTATGTAGGAAGGCAACAAAATTCTCAGCTATACAAAAACTTGGAAAATATTTTCCTTAGGAACCCTTTGAAAAACTTACTTGAAAATCTACATCATTCAATGAAAGATGAGGCAAATGAAGGGCCATGGGGGGAAATAATGGCACAATATGATGTCATGGAAAGCTAACATCAATCAGAATAAGAAGATCAAAGAATTGTAAAGGAGTTTAAAAAATGAAAGTAAAAGCCAAAAATATATCTCAAGAGAGAATAGGCACAATGTTAAAAACCTATCAGAATGGTAACATAAATCAGGAAGATGTTTCCCTCAGGCTGGAAAGAGGTTCCTGGGACCGAAATACATGGCACTTATTTTAAAAACTGAGTGTTAGGTCCTTGAGTTTTGGTTTTATGCTTTCCTTATGTCATTTGAATGTCTTCAGTATTTTATCACAAAATTTTAAAAAATAATATATGCTCTGCCAAGGAAGAATTTTCCAAGTATAATACATAATTCTGTCTTATAATTTTATTAACAAAACCCAAGAAGTTGTAGTTTATGTGTAAGGCTGAGAGGAGGATGTATTTGGCAAGTGGCCAACATGGTGAAACACATTTCTACTAAAAATACAAAAATTAGCTGGGTGTGGTAGCATGTGCCTGTAGTCCCAGCTACATGGGAGGCTGAGGCAGTAGAATTGCTTGAACCCAGGAGGTGAAGGTTGCAGTGAGCCGAGATTGCACCACTGCACTCCAGCCTGGGTGACAGAGAGAGACTCAAAAAAAAAAAAATTCCTTGTCTCAGAAAAAAGAGAATTGCACATATTTTACTTTTGACTTTTCAGTATAAAAATATTAGAGATAACTACTTGAAGAATTTTAAAGATAGGATACCTCCTATGTGAAATATGAAAAAAACCATAAAAACAAAGAAAACATAGCAAATAACCAAAAACACTCATCTGAAGGAAAAATTTAAACATATAGAACAAGTTTACTAAACAAGACCTATAAACTCATTAAAACAAGCAACATACATGGAGCCAGTGCCTCACTTTTCAGTGACAATTCCCTATCCTAACTTACTTCTTCCATTATTCCAAAAACAACAGCTCTTTGATCTCTTGTAGACTCTAGTCCAATGACTCCATGCTTTCTCAAAATCCATTATTCTAATTCGAATTCTTAGATGTCAGAGTACATCACTATAATCATTTCCTTGGAAACATTCTCGCTTTTCATATTCCCCTCATTTTCTTTGTATTCACATTGCAAAAGCTCCACCCTTGATTATCTCAAAAGTCCCCTTCTCAGTGCCTGCAGTGGAGCATCTGGAGGTTGCTGGAGAAAATCCTCCAGTGGGCTTTCATTTTAAATTTTGTTCTCAAATCCCAAATGGCCCACCGCTTGGGGATTAGAGACAGTTATTAGTCTGTAATAAGCGTATATCTCCTTTTTCCAAGACAGCGTTTTCTCATTTCTTCTTAAACTTTCTACCCCAACTTCTAGTTTAAGGCCTCCCTCATATCATAAGTTATTGAGAAATAGAAACGACCAGAAATCCTTCCCTCAATCTCCCACCACGAAATTCACACACCTTTCTGCATCTGCTGGGATTTTCTCTTCTTTGCCCTGTTGCAGCAAAAACAACAACAACAAAACCCTTCTTCCAATCAAAGGCAAAAATACCAAAATACCCCGACGTGTGTTCTGTATTCTTTCCCTCTCCCAGCATCTCAATAAACTAATTCCTTTGGCCATAGACCGTCCTGTATCATCAGTGTCTCCTTCCTGCTGGATCATTCCTGCTGGTACACAAACATCTCTAGTATCTTCTTTTAAGCAAAGAAACAAAACCACTCCTATTTTTTTTTTTTTTTTTTTTTGAGATGGAGTATCATTCTGTCTCCCAAGCTGGAGTGCAGTGGCACGATCTCAGCCCTCTGCAACCTCAGCCTCCAGGGTTCAAGTGATTCTCCTGCCTCAGCCTCCCGAGTAGCTGAGATTACAGGCGTGCACCACCACATCCAGCTAATTTTTGTATTTTTAGTAGAGACAGGGTTTCAACATGTTGGTCAGTCTGGTCTTGAACTCCTGACCTCAGGTAATCCACCTGCCTTGGCCTCCCACAGTGCTGGGATTGCAGGCATAAGCCACCACGCCTGGCACAAAACCCCTTCTTAATCAGACATCCCCCTCATGCTCCTGCTCCACCTGTCTGCCTCCCTTCATGGCAAAGCTTCTTCAAAGAGTGGGGATCCACACTGGCACCACTTTCTAGGCCCTTTTCCCTTCCTCCACCAACTTCAGTCTGGATTCTTGCCCCACCCTCCGTGACAACTGCTTTTGCTTTTTTCTCCTGTGGGTATTACCACTGGAATTTCTGCTGCCAACTCCAAAGGATGCCATTCTGTCCTCATCCAATGGGACTTGTCAGCAGTATTTGCCATGATTGACTGTTCTCTCCATTGTCCAAGTAATCTTATCTTGAATCCTATGAAGCACCTTCGTTCTTCCCTTCTTTCTCTTCTCTGAAGGCTGATTCTCTTCCTCTGGGCCATTTGAAAGCTTGCTTCAAGGGTCAGTCTTTGGCAGTCTCTTTGACTTTACACATTCTTCTTAGGAGGTGCCATCCACAACCATGGCTTCATGTGATTTAATATACTCAGATGACACACAGGTTCTTATATCCAGCCCAGACTTCTCTGAATTCTAAACCTATGTTTTCAACTGACTACATTCTCCCTTCTCTTAGACCCCTCCTGAAGGAACCCCCGAACTTCATTCTATCCCAAAACACATTTAAACCTAGTTCTCTAAAATAGCTCTCCTTTTTAGAGAATTCATTTTTGCTAACTGGAAACTTGATCATTATCTTTGGGACCTTCTTCTCCCTCACTTCTTCCCCAGCACAATGCCCAACCTCATGACTCCTTAGTATCTCCTTGAACCATCCCCTTTCCCCTCATTGGTCACTACCACCTGATGCAAGCTGCCATCGTTTCCTGCTGAACTGCTGCACCAGCTTCCTAATGGGTCTCATACCATCCTAGGCCCTTCCAGTCCATTGTGATTTACAAAAGAATCACAATGAAAATCTGATCATGTCACCCCCTTGTGCTCGTCACCCTTCAATGCGATTTTGAGTGTGTAAGGCTCATTACAAGGCCCACAAAGCTCTGCAATGGTTTGACACCCATCCACTGCCCAGCCTCATCTCACACTACTCTCTCCTCCTCACCCTGGCTATCTTTTATGAATAGATATGGCTTTTATGAATAACCTGACTATCCTCTCTATAAATCATACTCCCTTCTCTCAAAAGTCCTGTATGCATTGTTTCTCTGTCTGAATGCCCTTTTGGCCTCTGTTTATATGGCTGAGTTCTTCTCATCCTTGTTGTAGTTTAAATGTCATTGCCTTAAAGAGGTCTTCCCTCACCATCCTATCAAAATGGGCCCTTCATCTCCATTTTCTTTATCACTAAAGTGAAAACAACTTATTGTTAATATATGTCTGTTTATATGATTCTTTTCTTTCTCCCCAACAAGATAGTTAACTTGCTCATGTGGGAAGCCCATAGGTTTTATTTACAAGTGCTTAAGTAAATCAAGCACATGCAAGGAGTGTAGTAAATGATTGCTGAATAAGTGAATGAATGCATAGGAAATGAGCACATACCTATGAAATCATTTTTTAATCTTTCCATTGTCCTCTGGCTTAAGTTTTTGCTCTTGCATAATTTTGTTAGAGTCTTCTTGTAAATAATAGTGTCCAAATGTTGGCTCTGACGAGCAAGTAATGATACCATCTTCATTGTGATGGTCCTGGGGGAGTAGTGGGGTAAGGGGGCAGATCTTCTGAGAAAATGCTTCAATTTTCCTTCCTCCTCCACACAGTTTCCACCCTTTGGTCCTCATTCTTCAGCACTTCAGTTATGTAACTGAATTTTCTCTGCAATTATTAAGATATGTGATGTTATTTCTATTTTCTGAGAAAATTGAGATTCACAGGTCCTAAGTAACTGATCAAAGGTCCGCAAAGCAAAAAGTTCCATGCGCACAGTTTAAAACCAGGTCTGTAAAATGTAGATATTCGTGATTTCTCTTTCTATCCTACCACAGTGCCTCTAGCCATATGACAAAGTAGGGATTCCACCTACATTAAATGTGTTGTAGATGGAAGGGGAAAACTACAAAGCTAATCCAGTCGGGAAGAATCGGCAAGTTACTGTCACAGTGGAAATCCCTGGAAAAAAAGGCTTGACTCTTACTAAATACCATGAAATTATGCAGCCCAGAGTTCTTTCTTTGATGAGCACAAAATTGTTTTTTGGTTTACAGTTATTTTACTGACATAACATTGGCAACCAGAAGAATATAGGATGATTAAATCAACATCATAAGGCATCTCTCAATTTTTTTCCAGTAAATTGCATAGCATTATTTCCTAATTTATACTTATTCTTTCTGTAAGGTTAATTTTGAGTAGGTATTTAGGAAAATGCTACTTTCTGTTATATTTTATACCTTATTTTTAAAACTGCAGGTATTTAAGTCTTCCATATTCATACCATCCCAACTGCATTGCTTTCATTTCTCTATGTTTACTTCCAGTCGTTACCCATATATTATAAAATATAGTTAGTCTTTACATATTTTATACCACATAGTGATATAATTTTTATTCCACCTTTATTTATATTTAACATTTTTGTTGTTTTAGCAATAAAGAAGGAAGCAGCAGACAGACTATTTCAAAGCTTAATGTGTGTAGTTCCCAAATTGTATTTGTTTTCTTAGTATTTGTTTTCCTAGCTATGATAAAAATGAAGATTTAAGGGATGGTTACTACATATTAACACAGACTAGTAACTTAAGTAGATGTAATGAAATTTTTTAGAGAGCTGGGTGATTCTCTAATTTAAATACAAGTTTAAGGACATGTAGGATAGTTGAACATAAAATTGAGCTACAATCTAGAATTACTACTAAATAGGCAATTATTTTGTTTTGGCAACATATATAGAGGCACTAACAATTACATATGTCTACCTAGAAATGACAGAAGGAACACTTGAAATATGAAGCTTACTTTATTAGCTATAAGTGTGTTTTTCTTTAATAAAACATACTAACTTACTTGAAATTTATTTATACAAACTCACTTAACTCCATGTTCATTCTTGTTAAAGGTAGTATTTCATTTGATTATGATTAGGGACTTTATTTAAATCACTAAAATTTCATTCTTCATTTAATGATGCCTACCAAAATATAGAGCTGTCTACATTAGCACTGCTCATTTATTACACTAATTTCCCAAAATATACAAGTTTATTCTAAAAGCTCTTCATAAAAATTACAAAGAAGTGGCTTTTTAATTTCCCAAAGTTCTCATCTGGATTAGAACAAGGTTAGGATAAATTTTTAGTGAATAGAACCATGAGCTTATTTTAAACCACATATTATCTAAATTATCTTTATAACTATGCAGGCATATTTCAACAATTTCTGTGAGAGTTCATGGACTCTTCAGAGATAAGAGTTTCTTTTGGCTCTTTAAACCATTTGAGTATTGTGGTGGGTTGAATTGTGGGTCCCTAAAAGATGTCTATCAGAATCTGTAAATGTGACCTCATTTGGAATAAAGGTCTTTGTAGATATAATTAAGGAAGAGATCTCAAGATGAGATTATTCTAAAATAGAGTGGGTCCTAAATCCAGTGATCAATACCCTTAGAAGAGACAGGAAAAGAGAGACAAATAGAAGACACAGGGAGAAGAGAAGAAGGCTATTTGAGGATGGAGGCAGAGATTGGAGTGATGCTGCCACAAGCCAAAGAATGCCAGGAGCCACCAGGAGCCACCAGAAGCTGGGAGAAGCAAAGGAGAATTCTCCCTTAGAGCTCTTGTGGGGATCATGGCCCTGCCAACACTTTAATTTCAGACTTCTGACCTCCACATTGTGAGAGAATAAATTTCTGCTGTTTTAAGCTAGAAAATTTGTGATAATTAGTTGCAGCAGCTGTAGGAAACTAATACAAGTATGCATTTGACACTAATTACAGATTTTGAATTGCTTTAAATCTTAGTCTACGACTATCTTGTGTTTATAGTTAAGAGCTTTTTAAAAAAAGTATATTAAGGACTGAATATCTGTCATAAAAACAATGTTATATATGTATTATTCCATTTATCCTCACAAGGTTACTGTTTTGGTTTTATTTTACCTACTGCAGACGTGGCTGGTGGCTATTCATATTCCATGCTTGATGCAATCAGAAGAGCAGTGATGGTTTCCAATATCCTTTTAATTAATAAGGTAAATGAGAAAAGCCTCACCCTCAAAGAAGTCTTCAGACTAGCTACTCTTGGAGGAAGCCAAGGTAATGACTCTTACATTTTTCTCTCACACAATATACAACCATGCTGATCGGTGTCTTTGGATGTAGTATGAAGATGCATGATTGGTATTAGGAAAATCCAATATTTGTGATGATCACATCTCATGTAACATACCCAGAACTCAGCCAGTAAAGTGAAGTTCACTGAAGGAGGAATCATTCCTTAGTGAATTCACTGTCTTTGGTAGAATAGATGTCTGAGACACAGTTATCATATTAATTGTTTTAATGGGTATTACATTGGTTACATGGATATGAGTGCTTTAAAATAATCCATTCTTAGGCCAGGTACCTAAGAATCACAGTAACTTACGTCTGTAATCCCAGCACTTTGGGAAGCTGAGGCAGGCAGATTGCTTGAGCCCAGGAGTTTGAGACCAGCCTGGGCAATGTGACAAAACCCCGTCTCTACAAAAAAATACAAAAATTAGCTGGGCTTGGTGAAGTGTCCCTGTAGTTCTGGCTACTTGGGAGGCTGAGGTGGGAGGATCATCTGAACCCGGGGAGGTAGAGGCTGCAGTGAGCAGTGATTGTGCCACTACACTTCAGCGTGGGCAACAGAGTGAGACCTTGTCTCCAAATAAATAAATTAAAGAATCCATTTTTCCACTAAGTCAAGTAACTTGCTCTCCAGTGGCCTAAGTGATGATCATAATAGTAAAATAGTAGCCAAGGCTTACTTAAGCTCTTCCCCTGTGATAAGAATCATACCACATACTTTATATGTGTTGTTATTTAATCCTCACCACCACTGTTATTCATTTCGTTTTACAAACAAGAAGCCTGAGTGAGGCTTACACAGCTGTCAAGCCACAGTGTGCTATGATTTGAATCCACCTAATCTGATGCCAGCATGCAGATTTCTTACCTTCTGCCCTTCCACTACAGTATCTTCCTGTATAAATCCCTGCCAAGACCATGCATTTGGTTCATATACTTAAGTACACTAATTACTCTTTAAAAGGATAAAGATGTAAAAATTTAGTTGGTTGATATGCAAATATTGCTCATCAACTTTTCCCAATTCTCACGTGTAACTGTATTGTTACGGAAAAAAATAAAAATTGGTCACTGTATTTCTTTAAGTCACTTTAGAATTATACATGTAATCAGAATGGATGATAGTGAAACACAGCATGAAACCATAGGTAGCTAGTGAGAAATTAAAATGTAGATATAGATTTAGAAACATATTGGGTGTAGATTTATGATAGATACCCTGAGTCTTACAAATGAAGGATGACCGAAGCCAAGATTATCCTGGGAAGAGAAACTTCTCAGATGTTCTCTGAGTGTTGGGGACTATGATGAACACCATAAGCACATTTCAAGAAAAGCAAATACAATGTTGTTTTTTGTTTTTGTTTTGTTTTGTTTTGTGATTTCCCAAAGTATTATGGTTCATTTTCCAAAATCCCAAGTTTCAAATCACCCACTATTTTAATAATTGTTACAACCTTTCACCCACACCACCATTGTCTTTTCACATCTGAATCTGAGTTTGAGTAGTTATTCTACCATCTATGTTTGTGGTACAAACGAGTTGTATTTAAAGAGTGCTTTTTGAATTCTAGGGCTCTCTGTAAGTTACTTCATCAGGATCCTGTTTCTTTGATCAAGTCAGCATGGGTGCCTACCAAATCATTTCTACTTTGCTGTGTAGCTTTTAAATCTATTTTCTGGGTCACTGGGCTTACTCATGGAATTTCTTTTCCTTAGTTTGTTTCTCTACTATAGTCAGAGTAAAATGAGATGAATGGATCTGTATTTAAAGTGTGGCATTTTCCCAGAACTGCCATGGCCTTTACATTCATTCTCAAGAAGATCAAGATGAGCAGAAATGATCTTCACAGAACCAACATTTACTCCAAAGGCATCAAAACTCTATTTCCTGAAATGCATTTGAGTCACTTACCAGCCCAGTGGGATCTCTGTGCAACAATTTGAATTTATATCAGTTTACAAATTCACTGAAAAGAATTGTGTCTTTTTTGGTTAGTTCATTCCTGAAGTCTCCAGGCTCTACTGAATAACCCAGTTGGTTTATATATACCATCAAACTTGCCTAAACCCTAGTCACTGCACCTGGTTATCTGGCCTATTAAATGCACAGTCAGTAATTCAGTTTAATTCAGTTGAATTCAGTCATTAAAAACTCATACTTGACATGTTTCTTTGTCAAGGGCAAAAAGAAGTCAAGTAATCAGTGAAGGAGGAGAGAATTTCCAGTGATTTTCTGTTACATTCAGTCCTTTCCCATACAATTAGTAGAAGTCACCTGGCTCCTTTTAACATTTTGGATTATTTTCATACCCCTGTCTTGCTAAAGAGAGTACTTTAGCTAAAAAGCCATTTTTCTTTTCTGAGAATAAAAGAGTTGCCCTTTAAAGAATCTTTTAAGAACAAGTAAGATTTCTGAGTCAGTGTTTAGAGAAATGCCACAACTTCTGGATACCTATAGGTAGAAATATAATGTATTAGATATTGCCTAACAAAGGTAGTCGATTCAATATTTTCACATGAAACTTTATCTTAGCGGTGATAGAATGCAACAAATACATGTGAAAATTGAAATAAGGCTGAGCACAGTGGCTCACGCCTGTAATCCCAGCACTTTGGGAGTCCGAGGTGGGCAGTTCGCGAGGTTAGGAGATCGAGACCATCCTGGCTAACACGGTGAAACCCCATCTCTACTAAAAATACACAAAAAATTAGCCGGGCGTGGTGGTGGGTGCCTGTAGTCCTAGCTACTCGGGAGGCTGAGGCAGGAGAATGGTGTGAACCCAGGAGGCACAGCTTGCAGTGAGCTGAAATTGCGCCACTGCACTCCAGCCTAGGCGACAGAGCAAGACTCCGTCTCAAAAAAAAAAAAAAGAAAGAAAGAAAATTGAAATAAATAATACTGCACTCCAGTTAACCTTCCATGCTTCCATTTGTGACCCCAGTTTACACCTTCCTCAGATTACAGGCTTTAAGGAACTTTAGAGCCAATACCTCTGTTGGCGAAGAAAGCCAACTACCCCCATCTTTCTGAAACTAAATCATAATAATGAGAGATGTTCTTCCTTGATATCCAATAATCTTGGAACATGAATTGTAGCTATGAGATGAGCCAAGTCAATAGATATTATTGGCCTGTGCTCTATTTTAGAAGACCATTCTTCTCTGGTGACCAGAAAACCTTTGAGGTTGCAAAGAGATTGGTCTGTTTTCAAAAGCATTGAGACTTTTGAGTTATGAGAATCTGTTCATTTTGAGAAGTGAGGTTTTTTTTCCATTCAAAGGATTTAAACTAAGGAATTTCTGATGGATATGCCTGCATTGACAAATATGCAAAAGGATAATTATTTTTTATTTATTCAAGGTTCATTTCACTGCCATGAAAATAAATCTTGTCAGCTATTTCATGGAACAGAAAGAACAAAAAAAAGCAAGGCAAGGAGTTGGAGTGTTGGGGGAGAATAGAAGGGAAAAAGAATAAAGGTATTATGTTAATCATCATGTTGCTTAGAGGGATAAATGAAAAGCATAGACCAGCTGGGCTATGAAGTGCACTGATAGAGCTGAAATAGAGACATACCAGAGTTATGATACAGTAATGAAGGGAATTGTTTTCATTCTCAGATTTTGCTTTCCTGTGCTTACTCCACTTTATGTAAGTAGAAGTCTTGTGACCTGTTAGAATGAGAGTGATTTTCTGTCTCACTGTTAAGATACTAATTTTTTTTTTTCTCCTAGCGACATGTTGGCAAAATCTGTCCTTACAAACTGAGACATTAGTGTGGTCTGATGGCTTGCAATCCTGACTGTTTATTCACTTGTTCTCAATAGCCCTGGGGCTGGATGGTGAGATTGGAAACTTTGAAGTGGGCAAGGAATTTGATGCCATCCTGATCAACCCCAAAGCATCCGACTCTCCCATTGACCTGTTTTATGGGGACTTTTTTGGTGATATTTCTGAGGTAAGTAAAAGAAAGTTAATCAAAAGGCATTTATTTCATAAAGTCGTCATAATAGCTTCCCTGTAGAAAAGAAAATAGAAACCGAAACTTTTTAATGGAATGCAGGAAAATCTTAAAATGGACGCTAGAGCCCTTTGATAATTATTATAATTTTATGACAGCAATGTTAAGAATAATGGTGTTAACAAAACTTTTATATTTTGAATGTGTTTGTGTATTTGAATGTATTTGGCTACAAACAGCCATAATGTAACTAGCACTCATTGAACACTTGCTATGTGCTGGGTAGGCATGGGATTAGGCACTTCCATACCTAATTTTGTTCGATCATCAGAGCAACTCTAAGAGAGTAGGTACTATTAATATTGCCATGTTAATTTATAGGGGCAGTGAGGCTTAAGGAAGGCTAAGTGATTTACGTAAAGACTCATAGCCAGTGATTAGTAGGTAGAGTTTGGATTCACACCTGGGACTTTCTGACTACGAGAGGCGAGGCTCTTGAGCACTATGCTATGTCAATGTTTTTAATTTTATAAGAAAATGAACTTTGTTTCTCTTATTATAAAATGTTTTTCTATGGATAAAATAAACTAGTTCATCTTACCTGAAAAATAATTCCTTGTAAGATATTGAGTTCTTCCTAAAAAAAGAATTAAGTATTGCCATTTCTAAATTGATCTACTTGTGAGAGTAATTGCGATAATAAATATGTTAAAGATTTTAAAAGAAAAATTCTGTATTATATGAAGTTTGTACCATTTGTTATTATAAAAGAGGAAAAATATATTTTTCTCTACCCATCTTAGGGTCAAGGCTGAGGTCACTATAACAAGAGACAGATTTAACAGGAGAAAGGCATACACATTTATTTAATATAAATTTTTTTGAGACGGAGTTTTGCTCTTGTCGCCCAGGCTGGAGTGCAATGGCATGATCTCAGCTCACTGCAACCACTGCCTCCTGGGTTCAAGCAGCTCTCCTGTCTCAGCCTCCCAGGTAGCTGGGATTACAGGCGCCCACCACCACACCCACCTAATTTTTGTATTTTTGGTAGAGACAGGGTTTCACCATGTTGGCCAAGCTGGTCTTGAACTCCTGACCTCAGGTAATCCACCTGCCTTGGCCTCCCAAAGTGTTGGGATTATAGGCGTGAGCCACTGTACCCGGCCTATTTAATATAAATTTTATGTGACATAGGTGCCTTCATAAGGAAGTGAAGAACCCAAGAAACAGGTAAACTTGGATATTTTTATGCTAGGTTTGATGAAGAGTGGAAAGTTGTAGAGAAATATGATAGGACAAAGAGTGTGGTCCAGTGGTAATAAGCTAGAGAGAACTTAGCAAGGCCTGCTTGTTCAGATTCTTCTCTGTGATCCTTTAGCTTCAGAGATCAGGTATAGGGAGGGCACCCCTTACGTGATGGTCTTATGACCTGCATTGGGGTAAGGGGTAAGGGGAGGGTCAGAGTGACCTTCCTGTGTTTGATTTGAGGGTAGCGTGTCCTGACCCCCTCATTATTTTCATATTGCTTATTCTTTTACTCTCTGATTAGAGTAAATTTCTAAGAATAGGGCTCTAGGGAATAGTCCTAGTGATTTTTCTTATATCAGGGGTGTCCAAGGGAGTTCTTAGTTTCTGTTTCAGGTTGTGCCAGTAAAGCCCCCTCCCTCATCCCTCTTTTCTGCTTATCAGTAGAGACAGAAACTAAAAACCATGGCTTCAGGCTGCTAAAAGCCTAAAACAAAACATAACAAAACAGAACAACAACAACAAAATAAGGCAGGTTGGATGAGCTTGTCTTACATCATACCCGTCTTGAAATATTTGAATTATTTTACTAAATTAATTTCTTTAATTTATATAATACCTTTTCTCTGATGACTCAAAATTCACATACCCAGAACTTTCACACAATAGGTAAACTTCTGTTAATTGCCAGTGGGTTATTTTTTGTTCTGGGAGGTTTTTATAAAGCACATAGCCACTTCTTTTTTAATTAATAGAAGTAGATTTTGCCATTGAGAAACAAATTCGTATTTCTGGGCTTTGTCAACCACTATCAGCTGTGAATTTACTTTTCTAAATGCACAAATGAGTCTTTCTTATTACTTTTATTTTCCATTTTAGGCTGTTATCCAGAAGTTCCTCTATCTAGGTAGGTAGATGCATGTCTCTATGCTAAATATTAAATAGAACCTTTCCCTGTCTTTTTCTTGGGTATGGCTCTATGTATTTATCCTACCATATATTAAACTCTGTGGATGATAATTTGCTTTGATTCATTATTTTTTTAACAGTCTGAAGCATCAAGCCCATTGGTGGCACATTATTTAAAGGTTCTATTTGAAATGCACATGACTCCCTCTAGTCATAAATTCTAAGCTGAGGAATGGAAGGCCAAAGGTGAAGAGATCTTCATGTTCAACCCTCTTGTACTCATTCGGTATCTGACATACTGCCCTGCCATGTTTTTGTGACAAATGTATAGTAGAGTCTCACCACACGTGCTGGTGATGTACTCACATTCAATTCCATTCACTGAGAGAGAGAGAAACAGTAATGCAGAATATTCTACACTGCCTCCCATTCTGTTCAGTGAGCCCAGGACTGAGTGAACTCAAGATGGAAAGATGCATGTGTTACTTCTTGTGGAGCTGATTCTGGAGCGTAAAGAGTAGTATTTCTTTCTCAGTGGGGGCAAAATGTAAACCAACCACTTCAGCTGAGAAAGGACAGCTATAGGGGGTTGATTCAACTTTATGTGATTTCTGCCTCTGGTGCAGAATTCAGACCCTAATCATCAAATTAGCTATGGCATTTTCTACTAGTCATATCTTCCTGTTCAGATTATAAACAATCTGAGGGTTGGGGGAAAGCAGCTTTTAGTATTTCCTCTCCTAGAAGTATCTTTAAAAAAAATCTCTCCCAATGGCAAGGAAGATACTTATTGACACAAAAGGATTTTATACATGATTCCTTGATTTTTCTTTCAGGAGATGATCGAAATATTGAAGAGGTTTATGTGGGCGGAAAGCAGGTGGTTCCGTTTTCCAGCTCAGTGTAAGACCCTCGGGCGTCTACAAAGTTCTCCTGGGATTAGCGTGGTTCTGCATCTCCCTTGTGCCCAGGTGGAGTTAGAAAGTCAAAAAATAGTACCTTGTTCTTGGGATGACTATCCCTTTCTGTGTCTAGTTACAGTATTCACTTGACAAATAGTTCGAAGGAAGTTGCACTAATTCTCAACTCTGGTTGAGAGGGTTCATAAATTTCATGAAAATATCTCCCTTTGGAGCTGCTCAGACTTACTTTAAGCTCAAACAGAAGGGAATGCTATTACTGGTGGTGTTCCTACGGTAAGACTTAAGCAAAGCCTTTTTCATATTTGAAAATGTGGAAAGAAAAGATGTTCCTAAAAGGTTAGATATTTTGAGCTAATAATTGCAAAAATTAGAAGACTGAAAATGGACCCATGAGAGTATATTTTTATGAGGGAGCAAAAGTTAGACTGAGAACAAACGTTAGAAAATCACTTCAGATTGTGTTTGAAAATTATATACTGAGCATACTAATTTAAAAAGAGAACTTGTTGAAATTTAAAACGTGTTTCTAGGTTGACCTTGTGTTTTAGAAATTTGCACTTAATGGAATTTGCATTTCAGAGATGTGTTAGTGTTGTGCTTTGCCTTCTTTGGCGATGAATGTCAGAAATTGAATGCCACATGCTTTCATAATATAGTTTTGTGCTTCAAAGTGTTTGACAGAAGTTGGGTATTAAAGATTTAAAGTCTCTTAGGAATATTATTCATGTAACTCCATGGCATAAATAGTTGTATTTTTGTGTACTTTAAAATCAACTTATAACTGTGAGATGTTATTGCTTCCATTTTATTAGAAGAGAAACAAATTCCATGCTTTATGGAATTTATGTAGACTGGAGTCTTCGTGAACTGGGGCAAATGCTGGCATCCAGGAGCCGCCAATACTAACAGGACAGGTTCCATTGCCATGGCCTATTCCACCCAAACAATATGTTGTAGTTTCTGGAAATTCCATACTCAGATATCAGTCTGCTAGAACTTTAAAATGAAGGACAAATCCTGTTAAAGAAATATTGTTAAAAATCTTTAAACCCTGTGTATTGAAAGCACTCTATTTTCTAATTTTATCCAGTTTTCTGTTTAACTCCTTATAATGTTTAGGATATTAAAATTTTAGGATAATGAAGAGTACATAATGTCCTACTTAATATTTATGTTAATAGGACTTAATTCTTACTAGACATCTAGGAACATTACAAAGCAAAGACTATTTTTATGCTTCCATAACCTAGAATTAAAACCAAATTATGACCTTATGATAAATCTTTAAGTATTGGTGTGAATGTTATTTAAATTCTATATTTTTCTTATTTAATTACAAATACTATAAATGAGCAAGGAAAAGGAATAGACTTTCTTAATATATTATAACACTCATTCCTAGAGCTTAGGGGTGACTCTTTAATATTACCTTATAGTAGAAACTTTATGTAATATAGCTAACTCCGTATTTACAGAACAAAAAAACACAGTTCCCCCTCCTGTAGTATAAATTTTATTTTCACATACTTAGCTAATTTAGCAGTAATTGGCCCAGTTTTTTCCCTAATAGAAATACTTTTAGATTTGATTATGTATACATGACACCTAAAGAGGGAACAAAAGTTAGTTTTATTTTTTTAATAAACAACAGAGTTTGTTTTGTGAGATAAGTATCTTAGTAAACCCAATTTCCAGTCTTAGTCTGTATTTCCAATATTTCTAATTCCTGAGCCACGTCAAAGATGCCTTGCCAAATTTCTCCCCATTTCTCTACGGGGCTAGCAAAAATCTTCAGCTTTATCACTCAACCCCTGCCAAAGGAACTTGATTACATGGTGTCTAACCAAATGAGCAGGCTTAGGAATTTAGATGAGATGTGTAAGATTCACTTACAGGCAGTAGCTGCTTCTAGCATTTGCAAGATCCTACACTTTTACCTTCTTTAAGGGTGTACATTTTGATGTTGAACATCAGTTTTCATGTAGACTTAGGACTCATGTGCAGTAAATATAAATAAGTGTAGCATCAGAAGCAGTAGGAATGGCCGTATACAACCATCCTGTTAAACATTTAAATTTAGCTCTGATAGTGTGTTAAGACCTGAATATCTTTCCTAGTAAAAATAGGATGTGTTGAAATATTTATATGTACTTTGATCTCTCCACATCACTTATAACTTATGTGTTTTATTTCTCCAAGTGCGGTGTTCCTGAATGTTATGTATGCTTTTTTTTCTGTACCACAGGCATTATCTATACCTGGGGCCAGATTTTCTGCACTTTGAAATGTTGCCTTTGCCTAATGTAGGTTGACTTTCTGAATTGTGGAGAGGCACTTTTCCAAGCCAATCTTATTTGTCACTTTTTGTTTTAATATCTTGCTCTCTGACAGGAAAGAAACAATTCACTTACCAGCCTCCTCACCCCATCCTCCACCATTTCCTTAATGTTCCATGGTATTTTCAACGGAATACACTTTGAAAGGTAAAAACAATTCAAAAGTATCGATTATCATAAATTCACAAAATATTTTTGCAACCAGAACACAAAAGCAGGCTAGTCAGCTAAGGTAAATTTCATTTTCAAACGAGAGGGAAACATGGGAAGTAAAAGATTAGGATGTGAAAGGTTGTCCTAAACAGACCAAGGAGACTGTTCCCTAATTTATTCTCTTGGCTGGTTCTCTCATTGAATTATCAGACCCCAAGAGGAGATATTGGAACAGGCTCCCTTCATGCCAAGGGTCTTTCTAAGTTAATACTGTGAGCATTGAGCCCCCATTAAAACTCTTTTTTACTTCAGAAAGAATTTTACAGGTTAAAGGGAAAGAAATGGTGGGAAACTCTCCCCGTAATGCTTAGCCAACTTTAAAGTGTACCCTTCAATATCCCCATTGGCAACTGCAGCTGAGATCTTAGAGAGGAAATATAACCGGTGTGAGATCTAGCAATGCATTTTGAATCTTCACTCCCTACCAGGCTCTTCCTATTTTTAATCTCTTCACCTCAGAACTAGACATATGGAGAGCTTTAAAGGCAAGCTGGAAGGCACATTGTATCAATTCTACCTTGTGCTATACGTAGGAGAGATCCAAAATTTGGATGCTTCTGGAGACTCTTAGACATCTTTTCATTGTTGTCCATTTTTAAAGTTGATGATTGCTGGAAACATTCACACGCTTAAAAGCAATGGTGTGAGTTATTAATGGGTAAACTAAGAAGTGTTATAGGCAATGACTTGAAATGGTTTTTAAATTGTATGGATTGTTAAGAATTGTTGAAAAAAAATTTTTTTTTTTTGGACAGCTTCAAGGAGATGTTAGCAATTTCAGATATACTAGCCAGTTTAGGTATGACTTTGGAAGTGCAGAAACAGAAGGATACTGTTAGAAAATCCTAACATTGGTCTCCGTGCATGTGTTCACACCTGGTCTCACTGCCTTTCCTTCCCACAGACCTGAGTGTGAAAGACTGAGAGTTGAGGAGTTACTTTGTGGATCTTGTCCAAATTTAGTGAAATGTGGAAGTCAACCAGACCAATGATGGAATTAAATGTAAATTCCAAGAGGGCTTTCACAGTCCACAGGGTTCAAATGACTTGGGTAACAGAAGTTATTCTTAGCTTACCTGTTATGTGACAGTGATTTACCTGTCCATTTCCAACCCAAAAGCCTGTCAGAAAGCATTCTTTAGAGAAAACCACTTTACATTTGTTGTTAAACTCCTGATCGCTACTCTTAAGAATATACATGTATGTATTCATAGGAACATTTTTTCTCAATATTTGTATGATTCGCTTACTGTTATTGTGCTGAGTGAGCTCCTGTGTGCTTCAGACAAAAATAAATGAGACTTTGTGTTTACGTTATTTTTTGTTGTGAGTTCTCTCTGTTTGGTTTTGTTGTGAATTCTATCAATCTGCTGGAAGAGGAATTGATTTTACAATGTTTTTCTTCTTTTAGCATGAATTTAAAAAAATAGAATAGAATACTCAGCTGTGAGCCAACATGTATCTAACATCCTATAATAGTCACTATACATAGCTTTTAAAAATTAAGCTCGAATGTTCAGCCTTTTAGAAGCAGATTGCTATTGCTTTTGATTTCAGCATAGTGTATATTTTATATATTTTAAGACATTACCCAGAGTGAGTAATGCACTCTATATGAAGAATCAGTTCACACAGACATATGTGCATGTGTATTTAAAACAAAAGTTTCACAGAAAAATACTTTCTCTATTTGTGATGCCCTGGGCTATTTTCTATACTATTTTAGTCTATGTCATTTTATTTTATTCTCTACTTTTTTATGGTGCTGATGATTCCCCAGTTGGTTTCTTGAGCTTCTAAGGAATCACCTGCAATTCAGAAGCAATATTCCAGTATCTTTTGATCTATGTTTGAATCTAAGTTTGGCCATTGCCTTGCTGGGTGGCAGATATGTTACTTTAAGTGTCCATTTCTAACTCTGTGATATGGAGATAATATGAGTGCCTGCCTTACAGTCATGAAGATTAAATAAAAGGATACATAGACAGCACTTAAGCTAGCAGCTGGAACACAGTGAGTGCTCACTATCTGGTAGCTATTATCCTAAAAATTAATATAGACCAAATAAAAATAGAAATAATTTTATAAATATTTTTATCAGTATATATTTTAGAATCTAAATCAAGTGATATTACGGATCCTCCTTTACACAGAAACACTTTGCATCTGATTTTTCAACAGTATTATATATTCTTTTTTTATTTGTAATATGAAACATAAAGACAGTAGTAGATTAGGTCTATAAATTCATCCCAATGTCTGAGCAGCTTACAGAACAAGTCTTCGGATTGCACTGGTGACCCAGCTCATCCCCTCTTTCTCTCTTGTAGTTCTCAGAATAACTGTAGAATGTGCTGGAAATGGAACATTCTCAGATAAGGAGGAACTGGCCAGATCAAACTAAGCTGTGTTCCCATCCCTCCTGAAACAGGATCTTATGGTGCTTTAGCCCAGGACGTCAAGTATCCCCTAGGTATGAAACCCAGAGTGGAGCATGCTTTGAAGGTCCCTCAGCTACATGCAGACTAGACTGCATGTAGCTGACTCTAACTGCCCTGGGAAACTATCCTGAGCTTTGACAGACCTGCCATGAATCTTAAGCTTTTATTGTCCCTTGCTGCCTATCTGTGAGGAATAAAGTTGCTTCACTTACTTTGCTGTGTGATTGTTCTGTCTCACCAGACTCATGCGAGAGGTAGAAACTGCAGTCCCAAGATGCAGTGGGCATGATGAAACTGCTTCCCACAAATTACTGAGCACTTTATTTTTCTCCTAAAGATCAATTTAGTATAAAATATCCAGAAAAGAAATTTCACATGCTTAATTTAGCAATAATGTATGTCCAGTTTGCACATTGTAGACACTGGGTATTACAACAGATAATATATAAACGTGCAAATTATTGCATGGTACTAAATTCAGGATTTAAATTAAAAAAAAGATTTGGATATAAGAGTTAGTGGGTGCAGCACACCAGCATGTCACATGTATACATATGTAACTAACCTGCACATTGTGCACATGTACCCTAAAACTTAAAGTATAGTAATAATAAAAAAAAAGATAAATACCTCCCAGTAGCAAAACAGGACTTGTGTTATGGTGTTCTAAGACTCCATGAAGAGGCCACTTAGTTACTGGAACTACTGGAACAGAACTCACAGGTAACGCTCACCAATGGCAGCAGGTGTTTTGTTTTGTTTTCATCTTATTTTAAAACAGGATAAAAGGGAGATGTTCTCTGTCTTTGATATGACAGTATTTTAAAGTGTAATTAATTTTTTAAACTAATTCAGACTTATCACTTTTATCTCCAGCCCTGCCCTAACCTACTACCACATCATTGTAAGACTACATTGCATTTATCATACTTAAAAAATTGTTCATGCGTCTATAATAGTTGAATCTAAATTTTGGAGCAGGAGTATAGATAGAGAGATAAAAGCATTTTCTCTGTAGCAAAAACTTTGTTGGGAAATTCTTCAATGGTAACTAAAAAAAGTAAAAAATAAATGTTTTCTCTCCAGTACAAAATGCAATTAAAAAAAAAACAAAAAAACAAAACAGATCACACAGAATTTCATACTCCACTTGGGCCCTCCTCTATTGCCTGGCTTCTGTAGAGAGGAAGCAAACATTTGTTCCCTGTCTGTAGAAGGAGAACCCAAAGTCATAAGCAGTCAAATCAAACTGCAGAAATAACGGCCCTGGAAGATGGTTATTTGGTCAGATGACATCCACTCACTTGAAAACTGAACTTGTAGCTTCACTGTGAAATTAACTTCTGTCCTTTTAGTCTGGGCCAGTCTCCAGATCAGACTTTTGGTTAACTGCTGTCAAATAAAACCCATAAGTGGATAATCCAAGCGAGAATTCTGTTTGTGTGTGTGTTTCAGATTTCTAAATTTGGTGCCCTGGAACACTTGAGAGACTTCAAATGGCCTTGGTGATTTTTGTTTTTGTTTTTCTTCCACAAAAGTTGGTTTCATCCACACCTGAGTTAAGGAACAAGTGAAGGATGGCTTTGTGTTTGTAAAGCGCTTTGAAAACCTTGACTGAAGCACAGCAACAGATAAAGGCAAGAAAGGCTTAATTTATCAAAGTATTGCAGAACAGATGAGCCCTCAAATTGGAGCTTTGCCCAGGAAGGTTATCCGGGAAAGAATTCAGTGTTAGACAGCATCTTTTGTTGAATAGTACTGCTCCCTACAGAGCAGGGCTAACTCATAGGCAGTGCAGCTAAAGTTGACAACATATGAGTTCTTGGCAGCTGTATTTATACTCACTTAAACCTGCTTTCAATTACATGCAAATTAACGGGTGGGTGGATGCAAATTGAGGGGCAGTTTGTTTAGAATTTTCTAGCAAAGGGGTAGTAACTTCCAGGTCATCCTCATAGCTTTTGTAAATTGTCATGGTGCTGGTGGGAGTGTCTTATGCTAATGAGCAATGAGGGCATCTATGGATTGCTTTGGTAGCCATCTGCTGGTTCCTACCAGTTTCTTCACTTTATCCTGTTTAGACCAGATCCTGTTTTGGTCAGCAAGGTTGTGACCAGAAAACAAGGTTTAGACCAGATCCTGTTTTGGTCAGCAAGGTTGTGCCTGTCTCCTACCTCAAAAGGTTACTCAAAAAGATAAATTAAGGGGCTCAGAAATACAAGTGCACACACTTCTTTCAATTCATGAACTTTCTTAGTGGAACTATGAAAGATGAATTGGCAACTTACGTATTTTGGACTAATTTATATAACCACAACAAACCCTCCAGCATCATAAACGTGTCCTGGCATAATGCAATGGCATGCTATCCATCCCGTAAAATCTCATGGTAGTGACTCAGAAACGTGGGGGTAAAAGAGAAGCTATGGAGTTTAGGTTGTTTGTTTATTTATTAAAGCTGGGTAATAGGCTTTTTATGTCATCCAGGACAATTTTGCAATCTCTTATGGATGTATTATTTATTGTAACTTATGGGGGAAACTCATGATGAGACTCACATTCCCTAGAAAATTTTCACATTCCCTAGAAAATTATTGCCCAGACTAAATAAGAAGTCAGTATAAATGCATATAAAAACTCATTTAATGTTGTTTGTAGTACTGTAGACCATTTAACATGGCATAATTTAATCCAAAAGAAATTATAATTAATCAGTCAGTTTGCTCTGAAATATACTTGGCTGTTCTCTTATGCTTTTTATGTCTTTGTAAATTTCATACTTAAAAAAGGTTAATTAGTTGGTTTTTTGAAAGATTTAAAAATGGTTAATTAGTTGGTTTTTTGAAAGATAGAAATCTGTACCTGCAGAAAACAAAATAATGGCCTATTAAGTCATATTTAATTTACTAATCATGAAGTTGTAAATTTTAATCAACATTCATTTAAGCAACATTTCATAATAAATACCAGGTATGGGTCAGTTCTGAGGATTAAAAATAACATTCATCTCTTTGAAGAACTCACAGTCTGGGATGGGAGGTGAGAGGAAACACATAGACAATATGTTATGTTTATGACAGATGTATAGAGAGCTAAGGGTGTTTAAGGGGGAAACTGGTTCTGTTGGGTACATAGTCCGCAGAGAATACATAGGGCTAAGTGTGGTGGTGAATCTTTCACAGAAGTGACATCTAAGCCTGGAAGAAGAGTAGGAATTTATTTTCCATGTGAAAACTCAAAAAGGTATTTCGAGTAGAGCGTTCAGCATGAGCAATAGCAGCTCATCATAAAGACTTGACTTCTGGAAAAGTAAGATAAGAATGAAGTGGATGAATCCAGTCTTCGTAAGAATCACCATGGGTGTTGGTTCAAAATGAAGGTTTCCAGGCCCTTGTCCCTATACATTCTGATTCAGTAGGTTTGTCCTGGGGCCCAAGAATTTGCATTACCAACAAATACCTTGGTATGGTCAGGCAGTGGGTGTAGTGAGGAGAGTCATCCTGGGTATGACAAGGACCAGGTATAATCAGGTGTGTAAGCTAATGAAGAGAAGGCACCAGGCTCACTGAGTGCAGAAACTGTGGGTCTCACGTACATTGGTGGTTTTCCTATTCACTGGCAGATAACTGTTGTTGTTTCCCAGGCTGATCTTGATATCCTGGTCTCAAGTGATCCTCCCACCTCAGCATTCTAAAGTGCTAGGATTACAGACATGAGCTACTGCACCCAGCCAATTGGAGGCCTTGCCCCAGCAGGTGGGGAAGGAAATGCCAGCCAAGTTCCCACCACATGCAGAAACCTGAGAGGGTGAACCCTACCCATCAACACCTGGAGACCTTTTCCTGACTCTGGGACCCGCGACAGACAGAGTAGCCCCTGCATGGGTGACTCCCTGATTCCCACGAGGCCCCAGGGCTGCCGTGGCTCCTGCTGCTCCACATATTGTGGGGCACCTTGATAGCCGAGGTTGCCTTAAGTTACCTCCAGCTTTGTTTCTGTCACTGCAAATCAAAGAGCCCAGCCTAAAATCCTCTGTAGCCTTCTTATTTCCCCCACGGTGAGTACATTCTTTAGAGATAGGATATAAACTTTGAAATGACCATTTTCTTTTTAAATGAATGATAAACCATTGTTCCTTCATTAGGCATGTGGCCACTCTCTACCCTCTCGCAAGCCTTGCCAGAGATGCCATCCTCCACTTCCACTGGGCACCTGGAGCCTGAACCTGGAATCTTCCAAGACCCCAGATCAGCCTCTGCTGACAGTTCTCTTGTAAAGATACTGAGGATAGGATTACAGGTAGTGGCTCACGCCTGTAATCCCAACACTTTGGGAGGCTGAGGCGGGTGGATCACTTGAGCTCATGAGTTCAAGACCAGCCTGGGCAACATGGCAAAACTCTGTCTCTACAAAAAATACAAAATAATACAAAAATAAGCTGGATGTGGTTGTGTGCACCTGTAGTCCCAGCTACTCAGGAGGCTGAGGTGGGAGGATGGCTTGAGCCTGAGAGGTGAAGGTTGCATTGAGCCGAGATTACACCACTGCACTCCAGCCTGGGTGACAGAGCCAGACCTAGTCTCGAAAAAAAAAAAAAAAAGATACTGAGGATGAGTCAGTCATGACAGAATCCTAGTGACATACTAAGAGAGGGAGATGTTGTTTAATGAAATAAATGGAGGCCAGGTACGGTGACTCATGCCTATAATCCTGGCAGCTTGGGAGGCTGAGGTGGGAAAATCACTTGAGGCCAGGAGTTTGAGACCAGCCTGGGCAACATAATGAGACCCTTATCTCTACAAAAAAATAAAAAATGTAGC
The DNA here is from genome assembly GCF_000001405.40 of Homo sapiens. Lineage (NCBI taxonomy): Eukaryota > Metazoa > Chordata > Mammalia > Primates > Hominidae > Homo > Homo sapiens. The sequence goes on from NC_000009.12 coordinate 72,258,169, forward strand.
TGGGCATGGTGGTGCACACTTGTAGTCTCAGCTGCTTGGGAGGCTGAGGTGTGAGGATCACTTGGGCCTGAGAGGTTGTGGCTGCAGTGAGCTGTGATCATGCCACTGCACTCCAGCCTGGGCAACAGAGCAAGACCCTGCCTCAAAAAGAAAAAAAAAGAGAAAATAGAAGAAAAGAAATAAATGGTGGTAGATTCAGTCAAAAATGACCTGTTTTCTCTGCAGAGGCAGTCACACTTCTGAAGATGACTTCGTGGACTGGAGACCAATTGCAGGGCACCCTTGGGAGCCATGAGCTGGACGGGACAGGGCAACATGATATAAAGAGTCTGGGCCACTTAAGTTACCACTGGGGGAGAGTCTTCCCCTGATTCAGGAATACATGGATTGGAATGGGGCAGCTGGCCCCAAAGAAAATCTGTGAAATGTTAAGACATTGCTAATTCAGTTATTGAAATCCAGGGCTGTTAGTTTATGCCCTTGTTGAGGTCTTTCAGGGCTCTGTCCCTGCCCACCTGGACTGACCAAACACAAACGGGTGGAGGACCTTTCAGTGGACAGAGGTCCTGTGACCTTTGTAGGTGGGATCAAACTTTCCCTGCTGCCAAAGGAAGCTTGGACTCGGAAGAAAGAGCCTCACCCATGGGTGTGGACACAGGTCTTCTGCTGCAGTGTGCCCCACCATTACTACCTGACATGCTTGTGGGCACAGAATGGGTAATGACATGGCACTGCTTTAGCTTCTAGGCTTCTTGCAGGGCCAGCCAGGGATTGGGATGGTCAGAGCTCATGAATGATCTCCTCTGGCTGCAATCAGCATTTTCCACTGGCTCAAATGTACTGTACAAATAATAACTCTTTTTTTTTTTTTTTTGAGACAGAGTCTCACTCTGTCACCCAGGCTGGAGTGCAGTGGTACGATCTCGGCTCACTGCAACCTCTGCCTCCCAGGTTTAAGCGATTCTTCTGCCTCAGCCTCCCAAGTAGCTGGGACTACAGGCGTGCACCATCACGCCTGGCTATTTTTTGTATTTTTAGTAGAGATGGGGTTTCACCATATTGGCCAGGCTGGTCTTGAATTCCTGACCTTGTGATCCTCCCACCTCGGCCTCCCAAAGTGCTGGGATTACAGGCGTGAGCCACCGTGCCTGGCCACTTTCTATTTTTGCAGTGAGCAAATCAAAATCAGAGAGCGCTGTCTTTCTACGATGTGGCTCCCAACCCACTGATGGCCTGTCCTGGATGCCAGGCACTTGTTTGGGTTGGAAGCGGACTGCTCCACAGCTGCAGGCTTTTTTGTGGTTAGTTGTGGCCCACAGGATACTGGCAGCTGGAGGCAGAGCAGTGGTGCCTTTTGAAGCCATGGAAGACCTGCTGATTGCCAGCAAAATGTCTTCCCAGCCAGTTGTTCCTGGAGCCGCTGTGCAGGGCTCTGGAGATGGTGTGTGAATGCTTGAGACACGGCCTAAGTCTCTTTGAATCTCTCTGGGAGATTCTGATATATGCTGCCCCAATTATTATAGCAAAGAGCCAACATACTTGGAGGAGAAAAAAAAAGCTAGTCAAAAGATTTTCTGCTCAGGTTGAAGAATATCTTAAAGTCAGTGTAATCGATTAGACTGATTATACTAGTTGATCAAGCAGCCACTCCTCTGAAGTTACAAAGAGAATTTGGCAGGACTTAATAAATATTTGAACAGGTTCAAGTTTTTACTTGAGGTTGTCATACACATTCTCCACAAAGAACAGAAAAGTGAGCCCCAGATTTTCATTTCATGGAGCTATGATGGCTTCACCTCAAAGATAGACACAGTCACTCAAAGATGTATCAAAATCCTGTCACTCCCAAGTGACCAATGCCAAAAACGCCATAGAGAAAGTAAAACAACTTCAGGAGGAAATCATGGATGGTCTGGGTGAAAACACTTATTTTTAGGAAAGACAAGTTGCTTTCCCAAGAAGCTTCTGGATGGAAGGAAAGAGCATGGAACTGAAGGTACAGGAAAAAAATTCCTGACAACTCAAACACATGAACGAAATAATTTGTAAATGATAAAGCCTGTTAAAATATCCAAAACTGCACTAAATATAAGTTTTCCTTCTGTCTTTAGAATAGATTACATGGATGATGGTGATTTGAAATTAGACCCCCCACCCAAAAAAAAAAAAAAAAATGGAGATCACCTAGACTGACAGAAGTCTATTTGAAGAAACTCATTGACGCTGTTCACTTATAAAGGCTTAAAGGAGAAAAACAAGGACAAATACATGTGCAAATATCATGTATTTTTAAATTTTTTATTATTTAAGTTCTGAGGTACATGTGCAGAATGTGCAGTTTTGTTACATAGGTAATTTTCCAAGGCTTAATTATTCTGTTTAGGAGGTTCTTTGTTAGACATTTCTAATTTTTATGCAATCAAAAAAGTCTTAATTTATGGAAAAAAATTTGCATGACCTAAATTGCCAGTCGGCAGCCTTGGCTGAACTGTCCCTTACAAGGGTGATAGCCATTTCTCCACACTGGCCATACTCTGCTTTTGGATTTCCTGCCTTTTCCTCATGCTCATACTGGAAAACGGCAGTATGTTTTACTCTGACATCCCATCCCTCACCATCACAGATGATTGGCCAAGTATAAGAAGTACTGATCCGAGCTAGACCAGTGCAATTCTCTCTTCCTGGAATTTGGATTCAGGACCCAAATAAGCTGAGAGGGTTTGCTGGAGGCACTGGGCACATATAACATTTGAATTCCTCATTTACATGTGGCTGTTTGGAGCCATCAGTGGGCCAGATGAGAAAGCAGATTCAACCTGCAGGTAGAAGCACAGTATTTTGGGGGGAGAAATTCTTAATTCTAAAACATGTCTGATCCAAGGGTTTCAGATAAGAATTGTGAATTTGTACTACCCCAGTTTTACAATTGGGTCAACTGAGGCTCAGAGAGGTTAAGCCACTGCAAAACTAGGACATGAGAGAGCTAAGGTTCGTTCAGACCCCATGCTCCTTTGGCATGACACTAGCTCCAAGAGGATTATTAATGAACTAGACACTGGCATTTGGATTCAGGACCCAAATAAGCTGAGAGAGTTTGCTGGAGTCACTGGACACATACGACATTTGAATTCAGGGGCCAAGGTTCCCATTTGCCTGTGGCTGTTTGGAGCCACCAATGGGCCAGATGAGAAATCAGATTCAAACTCCAGGTAGAAGCAGGAGAAATGGAAGAGACTTCAAGGCCCCAGAGAAAAACAGAAGCTGGGTTGGCCTCTTAATAACATTTTTTTTGCCTTCAGTTAAGGCTCTCAAAGGGCTGGGTCTCATAAGATTTATTTTATTAAATAATAATTCTAGCTACTTGGGAGGCTGAGGCAGGAGAATCGCTTGAACCCGGGAGGCGGAGGTTGCCGTGAGCTGAGATTGCGCCACTGCACTTCAGCCTGGCGACAGGGCGAGACTCCATCTCAAAAATAATTTTAAAAAAGAATAAAAATTCTTCTTCTTCCTCCTCCTCCTCTTCTTCTTCTTCCTCCCCTTCTTCTTCTTCTTCTTCCTCCTCTTCTTCTTCTTTTCTTCTTCCTTCTTCTCCTCCTTCTCTTTCTTTTCTTCTTCTTCCTCTTCTTTCTACTTCTCCTTCCTTCCCTCCCCCTCCCCCTCCTCCTCCTTCTTCCTCCTCCTCCTCTTCCTTCTCCTCCTCCTTCTTCTTTTTGCTAATCATACAACCCTTGACTAAAGATCTACTTGCCATTAAAACGGAATTTTGTTATTCCCTATGACCATAGCAAACAGGCAGCTGATTTCTTGAATTGGGTGGGAATGAAGGTGGGGTCTTCTTGCCACTATGCAACACGACAAGTTTGAGTTATAATTCTTCAGTGAAGAGGTGAAACAAAACCCTGTTACTATAATCAGTTGGTCTGACTATCCAATTAGTATTTTTTATGTTTCTACTTAACACTTGTGAAATAACCATCTGCCTTTAAATAACTGCCACCTCCTGCCAGCCTCTCAGCTACGTACTAATAGTAGCTGAATGTCCCTTTACAGTTTATGAGAGGACAGGATGAGTGACTTATGCCACTGGACTCTGCAGTCCGTGATAGGATGGTATCACTTCCTCTGAGTTATGACATCTCAGCCAGGTACAGCCCCCACACTGGGAAGGACCAGAATTTCCTGCTTTCCTCTCCTACCTTTCTGGACTGGACTAAAGCTTGTTCTATTATCCAAAGCCAAATTGATTGGATAAGATTCTGCCCACAGTGACAAACTATTGACTAGATTTTTTTTTCCACATTTTTTTCCTCAATGGCTTCCCAAAATTCTTTTAACCCTTCAATCTCAGCCAGGTTTCACATTGGTATTAACATGTGAAACCAATCCTGTATGAGGTACCAGTGCCATATCCTCAGTGTCATGCCTAAACAAAGACATTTCCATTTTTACAAAGTATTCTCGGAGATGCAAAGTCACAACTTGAAATGAATGATGGGATTTCAGGTATGATTTAGAAAAAGCACTGACTTTCCAACTTATTAAACTTTCCTCAAACTAATCTGCAACTTTTCTGTCTCTATAACTAGTACTTCAGTGGCCTTTCTGAAACTGCTCAATTCTAATGAGTTCTAAAGCAGAAAATAAGGTATGACTACTTGTTCTTCCTTTCTCATTTTTATTTTCATAGCATTTGAGAGTACAAATACAGTTGAGAATCATCCGGCCGGGCGTGGTGGCTCATGCCTGTAATCCCAGCACTTTGGGAGGCCGAGGTGAGCGGATCACGAGGTCAGGAGATCGAGACCATCCTGGCTAACACAGTGAAACCCCGTCTCTACTAAAAATACAAAAAAAATAGCCGGGTGTGGTGGCGGGTGCCTGTAGTCCCAGCTACTTGGGAGACTGAGGCAGGAGAATGGTGTGAATCCAGGAGGCGGAGCTTGCAGTGAGCCGAGATCGCTCCACTGCACTCCAGCCTGGGAGACACAGCGAGACACCATCTCAAAAAAAAAAAAAAAAATCCTTAAATATTTAGTTCAAGTTTCAACATTGTAAGTAGAAACTCACTATTGTGTACTTCAGCACTATTTAAAATAGCAAAAAACAAAAAAGAGAAATAACCTTGGTGCCCAGCAATAGGGGATTGGAAAATACATTATGATATAGTCAAAGAATAGAATCCCATTTAACATTGAAAAGCAAAACATCTATTTACTTAATAAATAGATTTGGGACAATCAGGTAATCTTCTGGCAAGAAAAATTTGGACTCCTTTTCTCATACGTCACACTAGAATAAATATAATTCAAACTAATTCTAATTCAATCTGATTTAATCAAAGCTTCAGGTATAAAATATGAAATAATAATGATACTAAAAAGAAAACATGGGAGAATCCTTTTTCTACTCTCATATGGGGAAGGCAAGACTCAAAACTCACATGCCATATAAGATAGATCGATATAGTTGACTACCCAAACACTTGATAGGTTGATAAATTTGGCTATACAAACAAAAAAATTTTTGCATGACAAAAGTCAACACAGTGACAGTAGCTGGAGTGGGGGATGATCTTGTGAACTTTGAGGCCACTCTGATGACCTTGGATCTTACTCCAGGAGATGAGAGTTGTTGGAAGCTTTGAGCAGATGTGATATGACTTAAATGTTAACAGGATCTGTGGCTGCAGTGTGCAGAATAGACTATGGGGTGTGTGAGGAGATGATGGTGCTCAGCCCACTGCAGTGGCAGTGGAGGTGGAAGGAAGTGGTTGGATTCTGGGTGCCATAAGGCACTGCTCCTAGCCATGCACCATTTTCTCTCATCCTCACTACCACCCTATGAGGTAGGTCATTTATCCTATAGGGGAGGAAAGATTTTTTCCTCTACCCTCCTAGGTTCCATAGCTGGGTCAATAAGATAGACTTACATCCAGCAGATCAACGGGAGAAAAAGTATACATGATTTTTTTTTTTTTTTTTTTGAGACAAGGTCTGGTTCTATCACCCAGGCTGGAGTACAGTGGCGCAATCTCGACTCACTGCAATCTCCGCCTCCCAGTGGCATAATCTCGACTCACTGAAACCTCCACAAACCATCCTCCCACCTCAGCCTCCCAAGTAGATGGGACTACAGGAACATGCCACCATGCCTGGCTCATTTTTGTATTTTCTTGTAGAGATGGGGTTTCGCCATGTTGCCCAGGCTGGTCTCAAACTTGTGAGCTCAAGCTATCTGTCTGCGTCTGCCCTCTAAAGTGCTGGGATTATAGGCGTGAGCCACTGCACCTGGCCACAATTATTAATTTTTATTATTAGGTGTGTGGGGGCCTCACAGGAAACATGTGAATACCCCCAAATGTGCCGAGATTAGAGAGTGTGTATACTCTTTTAATAGGAGATGGGGAGGAGAGATGTCAGCCACTTAAGGGAGACTAAGTGATTTTTAGGAAAGATGAATGGCTCTTGGAAGAATAAATGGGAGATATGATAATGCAGGGAAGAAAAGATGTCTATTTTTATCCCTTGCTAGGTTCATGGCTGAGGCCCCTATAACAAAGGCAGATTAACAAGAGAAAAATATACAAATGTATTTAATATAAGTTTATGTGACATAGGGGCCTTCAGAAATGAAGACCCAAAGAAACAGGTAAACCTGTGTGTATTTTATGCTTGACTTGATGAAGTGGACAGTTGTGCAGAAGAAGTATAATTGGGCAAAGGAAATATAATCTAGTGGTAATAAACTGGGGGGAACTTAGCAAGGCCTGTCTGGTCAGATTCTTCTCTGTGTCCCTGTGTCTTCAGAGATAAGGACATTTCCTTTTCTCCAGGTATAGGGAGGCCACCCCTAGAATGAGGGTCTTATGACCTGCTTCAGAGGAAGGTCAGAGGATTCTTTTTTGACCTACCTCAGGGGAGATGGGTGGGAGAAGGTCAGAGAGTAACCTTCCTGCTTCTGCTGTTTTCTCAAAAGCCAAGCGTATTAATCAGTTTTCAGGCTGCTGATAAAGACATACCTGAGACTGGGAAGAAAAAGAGGTTTAATTGGACTTAACAGTTTCACATAGCTGGGAAGGCCTCAGAATCATAGTGAGAGGTGAAAGGCACTTCTTACATGGTGGCATCAAGAGAAAATGAGGAAAAAGCAAAAGTGGAAACCCCTGATAAACCCATCTCATGAGACTTATTCACTATCATGAGAATAGCACGGGAAAGATCAGCCTCAATGATTGAATTACCTCCCCCAGGTTCCCTCCCACAACATGTGGGAATTCTGGGAGATTCAATTCAAGGTGAGATTTGGGTGGGGACACAGCCAAACCATATCATTCCACCCTTGGCCCCTCCAAATCTCATGTCCTCACATTTTGAAACCTATTATGCCTTCCCAACAGTCCCGCAAAGTCTTATTTCAGCATTAACCCAAAAGTCACTGCCCAACGTCTCATCTGAGATATGGTAAGTCCCTTCTGCCTATGAGCCTATAAAATCAAAAGCAAGCTAGTTACTTCCTAGATGCAATGGGGGTAAATACAGCCATTCCAAATGCAAGACACTGGCCAAAACAAAGGGGTTACAGGGCCCATGCAAGTCCAAAATCCTGTGGGACAGTCAAATTTTAAAGTTCCAAAATTATCCCCTTTGACTCCAGGTCTCACATCCAGGTCACACTGATGCACAAGGTGGGTTCCCATGGTCTTGGGCAGCTCTGCCCCTGTGGCTCTGCAGGGTACAGCCTCCCTCCTGGCTGCTTTCACAGGCTGGTGTTGAGTGTCTGTGGCTTTTCTAGGCACACAGTGGAAGCTGTCAGTGGATCTACCATTCTGGGGTCTGGAGGACGGTGGCCCTCTTCTCACAGCTCCACTAGGCAGTGCCCCAGTAGGGACTCTGTGTGGGGGCTCCAACCCCACATTTCCCTTCCACACTGCCCTAGCAGAGGTTCTCCATGAGGGTCCCGCCCCTGCAGCAAACTTTTGCCTGGGCATCTGGTCGTTGCCATGCATCTTCTGAAATCTAGGCAGAGGTTCCCAAACCTCAATTCTTAACTTCTGTGCACCCACAGGCTCAACACCACTTGGAAGCTGCCAAGGCTTGGGGCTTCCACCCTCTGAAGCACCAGCCCAAGCTGTATGTTGGCCCCTTTCAGCCATGGCTGGGGGGGCTAGGACATAGGGCACCAAGTCCCTAGGCTGCACACAGCACGGGGACCCTGGTCCTGGCCCAGGAAACCATTTTTTCCTCCTGGGCTTCTGGGCTTGTGATGGGGGTCGCTGCCGTGAAGGTCTCTGACATGACCTGGAGACATTTTCCCCATGGTCTTGGGTATTAACATTAGGCTCCTTGCTACTTATGCAAATTTCTGCAGCCAGCTTACATTTCTCCCCAGAAAATGGGCTTTTCTTCTCTATCACATTGTCAGGCTGCAAATTTTCTGAACTTTTATGCTCTGTTTCCCTTATAAAACTGAATGCCTTTAACAGCACACAAATCACCTCTTGAATGCTTTGATGCTTAGAAATTTCTTCCACCAGATACCCTAAATCATCTCTCCCAAGTTCAAAGTTCCACAAATCTCTAGGCATAGGCAAAATGCTGCCAGTCTCTTTGCTAAAACATAACAAAAGTCACCTTTGTTCCAGTTCCCAATAAGTTCCTCATCTCCATCCGAGACCACCTCAGCCTGGACTTTATTGTCCATATCGCTATCAGCATTTTGGGCAAAGCCGTTCAACAAGTCTCTAGAGAGTTCCAAACTTCCCCACATTTTCCTGTCTTCTTCTGGGGCCTCCAAACCGTTACAACCTCTGCCTGCTACCCAGTTCCAAAGTCACTTCCACATTTTTGGGTATTTTTCAGTAGTACCCCACTCTACTGGTACCAGTTCACTGTATTAGTTTGTTTTCAGTCTGCTGATAGACATGCCCAAGACTGGGAAGAAAAAGAGGTTTAACTGGACTTACAGTTCCACATGGCTGGGGAGGCCTCAGAATCATGGCAGGAGGCAAAAGGCATTTCTTACATGACAGTGGCAAGAGAAAAATAAGGAAGAAGCAAAAGTGGAAACCCCTGATAAACCCATCAGATCTCAGGAGAGTTATTCACTATCACAAGAATATCATGGGAAAGACTGGACCCCATGATTGAATTACCTCCCCCATGTTCCCTCCCACAACATGTGGGAATTCTGGGAGATACAATTCAAGTTGAGATTTGGGTGGGGACACAGCCAAACCATATCACCAAGGTAACATATTTTGGGGTACTGTGTCCAGAACCCCATTAATAGTTCATGACAAAGTTTGTCTGAGTGCGGTGCTGACTTCTTGTCTCCTATTTTGTGATCAAAGTTGATCTTCCCTGGTTGATCAAACTCCTGGGGAGGGGATTGATGACAACTGAGTTCCTTTTGGAGTTTCTATCTTTAGGCAAATAAGAGGAGTTCAAAGAAAGCTTCTCCTTGCATTTGCTACTTTTCAAGTGCTTTCCGCTCAAACTAATCCCTATGCCAGAGAGACATGTTTTAGAGTGGCATATTCTGCCATCTTTGTTCCCTGTTGCACAGATCAGGAAACAGGTTCAGAAAGGCTACACCACTAGTAAGCAGAAGATTCAACCCAAGCTTAGCCACGCCCAAAGCCCAGGTTCTTTGCATGCCACTCCACTGCCCCCCAGTAAGTCAAGACATTTCACCAGCTGAGATTTTTATGCTAATTTGGAACTTTCCATAAAGTATCATATTATCATTCTGTATCTTTACAGTAAAGTTCAAATGATTTAAAAATCACCATAAACAAAATTGAAAAACAATTGACAATTTGGGCTAAAAATACAGTTCATATCACAGAGTAATTTTTTTTCTTTTTTTTTTTTGAGACAGAGTCTCGCTCTCACTTACGCTGGAGTGCAGTGGCATGATCTTGTCTCACTGCAACCTCTGCCTCCCAGGTTCAAGCGATTCTCCTGCCTCAGCCTCCTGAGTAGCTGGGATTACAGGAGAGCACCACCACGCCTGGCTAATTTTTGTATTTTTAGCAGAGACGGGATTTCACCATGTTGGTCAGGCTGATCTCGAACTCCTGACCTCGTGATCCGCCCACCTTGGCCTCCCAAAGTGCTGGGATTACAGGCGTGAGCCACCGCACCCAGCCGTAATTTTGTAAATGTCTAATATCTGTAACTCATAAGAAAATGTCCAATGTTTTTAAAAATTGGTCAAAGAATATGAATAGAGTGTTCACGGAAGAGGAAATACAACTGATTCTTAATAGATAATGATGTTCATTTCCACTAATAATAAGAGATTTTTAAATTAAAAAGGGAACTACCAATTTTCAGCCATCAGTTTGTTAAACTCCTAAAATGATAATCTCATAATTGGAAGAAACATATTCCCTCATATGCTGCCAGTGAGACTGTAAATTGGAACAATCTCTGAAACGGGAAATTTGGTAACAACTCTCAAAAATAAAGATATTCATGTCCTTCACAAGCCCCCAGTAGAAATGGGAAAAGTTCCCTTGTCCCCCTCGTAAGGCATGTTATGGGGATGTGGCTTGCTTCTTCAGTGCCCTGCTGCTCAAACCTCTAGAGGAGCATACAGAATGGCAGGCTGTGGGGCTGCAACCCCACTGCAGTGTCTAGGGGTGAATGTTTACGACTCCTAAGAAGCCCCAGTGGCGTGTGTTACAGGGTGCCCTTTTAGCTTTGCTCTTTTAATTTCACCGTCTGTAGGTGGCTTGTGTTAACCAGCTTAGTTAAACTCTACTTTGTCACAAGCACAGAAAGCTTTCTGTATCCTGGTTTCTTGCCTTGGTGTACTGGAGGAATCAGATCACACCTGGGCTTGGAGAATGAGTGCAAGGTTTTACTGAGTGGAGGTAACTTGGGGGAAGTCAGAAGGGGATATAGTGGGAAGGTTTTCCCCTGGAGTCGGACTGCTCAGCAGCCTGGGCTCTCCTCTGACTGCCCCAGCAAAACTCCTCATTGTTCTGTTGGTGACTGTTGGTACATTCCTCTTGACATCCAGCCACCCATGCGTTCCTCCATCTATGTGCTCAACATCCAGCAGCTTGTATGTCTGTCTTGCTAGGGTCTCGGGTTTTTATAGACACAGGATGGGGGTGTGGCAGGCCAGGGTGGTCTTGGGAAATGCAACATTTGGGCAGGAAATGCCTGTCCTCATCTAGGTCTGTGGGGGTGGAGTCCTAGACAGGGACCATGCCCTCCTCTACCCAGCACTTCCTTTCCTTGCTTTCATATCATTTAAAGGCATCATGCTCTTTCCTTCCCAGTACTTCCATATCACACTGAGGAATTTAGTCTATACACAAACACAAGAATATTTTCGTAACTATAATAGCAAAAAATTGGGAGTGACCTAAAAGTACACCAACAAGGCACTGGTTAAATACCATGCAGTGGCTGGGCACAGTGGCTCATGCCTGTAATCCCAGCACTTTGGGAGGCCAAGGTGGGCGGATCACTTGAGGCCAGGAGTTCAAGACCAGTCTGGCCAGTATGCTGAAACCCCGTCTCGACTAAAAACACAAAAATTAGTTGGGTGTGGTGTCACATGCCTATAATCCCAGCTACTTGGGAAGCTGAGGTAGGAGAATCGCTTGAACCTAGGAGGTGGAGTTTTCAGTCAGCCAAGATCATGCCACTGCACTCCAGCCTGGGTAACAGAGGGAGACTCTATCTTGAAAAAAAATAACAATAATAATAATTAATTTTAAAAAGATTTTTGGCAGGGTGCAGTGGCTCACGCCTATAATCCCAGCACTTTGGGAGGCCGAGGTGGGCAGATTACCAGAAATCGGGAGTTCTAGACCAGCCTGACCAACATGGAGAAACTCTACTAAAAATACAAAATTAGCCAGGTGTGGTGGCACATGCCTTTAATCCCAGCTACTCAGGAGGCTGAGGCAGGAGAATCACTTGAACCCAGGAGGCGGAGGTTGCGGTGAGCTAAGATCCTGCCATTGCACTCCAGACTGGGCAAGAAGAGTGAAACTCCGTCTCAAAAAAAAATAAAAAGTTTTTTAAAAATACCATGTAGTACTACGTAGTTATTTAAAATTTCCCAAAGCAGTAGCCTTTGGAGAGAGTAGCAGGGAAACTTACATTTCGCAGCATTCTCTTTTGTATGTGTACCATTTAACTTTTGTACTGAATGTATGTATTGCTTAATTTTAAAAATACATATATTATTTTATTTATTTTTTGAGGCAGGGTCTCACTCTGTTGCCCAGGCTAGAATGCAGTGGTGCAATCATGGCTCACTGCGGCCTCAACCTCCTATGCTCAAGCGATCCTCCCACCTCAGCCTCCTGAGTAGCTGGGATTGCAGACATGTGTCACCATGCCCAGATAATTATTTTTTGCTTTTTCTGTAGAAATGGGGTCTTGCTATGTTGCCCAGGCTGGTCTCACATTCCTGGGCTCAAGTGATCCTCCTGCCTCAGTCTCTGAAAGTGCTGGATTACAGGCATGAGCCACTGCGCCTGGCCAAATATATGAATTTTTAAAAATGAAAAGTAAAACTAAGATTGAAGTAGTAACAATTGCCAACACTTAATGTGGTGGTTATTCTATAGGCCAAACATTGTTCCAAGAGATTTATTGGATCAACTCATAAAATTTTCACAAAAATTAAATGGGAAAGATCTATTACTATTTTAATCGCACAAAGAGAGAAACCAAGGTCCACAGAAGTTAAATAATTAGGTTGGATTCCAGGCCAAATAAAGGACATTAGTGGGACAATTGGAAAGATTTGAATAATGTTTGTTGATTAGATCAGGGATCTGCAAGCTTTCTTTGTAAAGGGCCAGAGAGTAACTATTTTAGGCTCTGTAGACCAAACGGTGAGAGAACCTTGGCAGGTCTCTGTCACAAGCAGTAAATTCTGCATGTGCAGCACAAAAGCAGGCACAGACGTGTGAACAAATGAGCATGCTGAGTTCTGATAAATCTAGTGTATGAACATTGAAACGTGAATATCATATAACTTTCATGTGTTAAATAGTGCTTAACTGGCTGGGTGCGGTGGCTCATGCCTGTCATTCCAGCACTTTGGGAGGCCGAGGCCGCTGGATCACTTGAGGTCAGGAGTTCGAGACCAGCCTGGCCAACGTGATGAAACCCCATCTCTACAAAAATTAGCTGGGCATGGTGTCACACGCCTGTAATCTCAGCTACTCAGGAGGCTGAGGCATGAGAATCGTTTGAACCCAGGAGGCGGAGGTTGCAGTGAGCCGACATCGTGCCACTGCACTGCAGTCTGGGCAACAGAGCAAGAAGAAAGAAAAGAAAGAAGGAAGGAAGGAGAGAGAAAAGAAAGAGAAAGAGAGAAAGAAAAAGAAAAGAAAAAAAGGAAAGAAAGAAAGAAAGGAAAGAAGGAAGGAAAGAAAGAGCTTAACTATCTAAAAGCATTCTTACCTAGGGCGCCCTGCAAAAATAGATGGTGGGCTGGATTTGACTGAGTTTCAGGCCAAAACTTGCTACCCCCTGGGTAAGATAACGGTATTGGTCATCGCACTCTGGTTATGTAAGAGAATGTCCTTGTTTTCAGAAAATACTACACACGAAAATATTTACAGTGAAAACGTCATTCTGTTTCTAACTTGTCTGCCAAGTGGTTGTCTGGCCTCCGCTTGCACAGCTCCCTTGATGAGGAACTCATTTTATTAAGTGGCTTATTTTCTTACAGGACAACATAAAAAATTATTTACCAGATAAAAAATATATATGCTTCCATGTGAGACAAATGCTAGAATAAATACAATTATTTTAAAGTGAATGAAATTGGTCTTTTGATAACAAGACTAAAAAATTGGCGTTTTTCAAGTGCAAGGTGAGATTGCAAGCAGGCCAGCCAATGTTTAACTAGTACTCCACCTAGTGGCCAAAGCTTGAATGAACGACTGTGGAATGACCAGTCTCCCTCCAAAAGGGCCAAGGGCAGAGGAAAAAATAAGTTAAATTAACTTTATTTTGACAACCAGTAGAATAGAAATTCATGATTTTAAATGTACAAAACAAGTAGTGATTATTTTTCTAGCAAGAAACTGGATGTATTTTTTCTTATGTGAGGAAAATAATTTCCTAGGTTGAACCCAAATTCTACAATAGATCAGTTGTAAATAAAATTATATTCTCAATGAAAACAAATATTGCTTACTTAATTCCTTCGTGAAGACAATTTTACAAGGAAAAAACCACAAAATTATGAACTTCCAAATGGCTTGCTTGAATCACCTCAGCTCCTTAAGATAAAAGGCAAAGATTTGTCCATTGGAAAGCTATCTCTAACTTGTGGAAATACGAGAAAATAATGAATGTCCATGAACATATTAAAGTTAACTTAGGAAGTTTCAATGTAATTCAAAGCATTTTACATATTCACCAAATATGAAATTCAACAACACTGCTTACAGTTGGCCAATTATTTTAGATTCCTATGGACACATACATGATTCAAACCACACAGCTTGCTCTAGCTTATATAAACCAACTACAAGTTAATGGGCATCACCCCTCTTCCAGGATTACATAGTCAGGTGAAATCATCAGCGGGGAAATTGGGCAGATGGTGCTATAATGGTTCCATGACAGATGTTAAGAGTCAAGGCTTGGAAATCTAGAATCTCAGGTTTGGAAGGGCACTCTAAAGATCACCTTGCTTGGCCAGCTGACTGATCTTTGAATCCCTTTTTTGACATTTTCAGCAATGAATATTCAATCTCGTTTAAGCCCTGAGAGTGATGGGCAGCTCAAGACTATGTCCCAAGGTTCTTTCCATTCTTGCCAAGTTGGAAAATCTCTTGAGTAGCCAGAATTGTTCTTGCAGACTTTCACCTCTAACCCGCTGATACGCCTTTCAAGAGCAAGTCTACCATGTCTGCTTATGAAAGTCTTCACATATTTGAAGAAAACTACTATGTCCCACTGAAGCATTTAAAAAAATCTGGATGAAGTATTTTTAGTTCTTCATATCTCACTGTTTTATTATCTACTTAAACCTTTCATTCTTTTCCACATTGGTCTCTTAAGTCATTCATCTACTCATCAATTTTTTCATTAGTATTTATAGATCCAACTGTTGGAGTTTTCTTCTACCTCTATTGAATTGCATGTTCCTAAAGTAAGTCCATCCTTTTAACCCACTGAAGTCTTCGGATCCAGAATTTTTCTATGCTCACTAGATTTGTATCATTTCAAGTTTAAGTCTATCTCTGTTCATCCATAGGGAGCAGTCACTAGAATTTTCCCAAGCTTTATTTAATCCTCATAACAACCTGTTATTAAGTGAAGATATCTTGAAAGTGATAGTGATTGACAGTCAGGCAATAGTTAATCCATTTTATAGAGAAAATAAAAAGCAGGCGGCCAAGTGAGTCATTCAAAGATGGTGTCCAATGGACCATGACTCTCAGTTTTCATGCCTACTCCCAGTGTGGTCCTCTTTTACATTAAACCTGGGCTTGACCTGTGGCTCAACTGGTAACACTGTCTAGGTTGAATGTGATTTTTTTTTTTTTTTTGAGATGGAGTCTCGCTCTGTCGCCCAGGCTGGAGTGCAGTGGCGTGATCTTGGCTTGCTGCAACCTCCGCCTCCGGGGTTCAAGCAATTTTCCTGCCTCAGTCTCCCGAATAGCTGGGAATACAGGCACATGCCACCATGCCCGGCTAATTCTCTGTGTGTGTGTGTGTGTGTGTGTGTGTGTGTGTGTGTGTGTGTGTGTGTAGTTTCAGTAGTAGAGATGGGGTTTCACTGTGTTAGCCAGGATGGTCTCGATCTCCTGACCTCATGATCTACCTGCCTTGGCCTCCCAAGAGTGTGATTTTTAATTGCCTTTTGAGTCAAATCATTCAGCTGGTAATAGATGAAACTTATGTTCTCCTTGCTAAGAAATGATGAACACAACCACAATACTAAACAATGGTATGAATGAAGCAGAATTGGGAATTATTTTGTGGGCAAAATGTAAATTAGAGCACATCTGAATGTTTTATTCAATCACAATATATCCCAATGTTAAACTTAGAAAGTGAATAAAGCATATTAAATTGATTTGTCTCTGCAAATTTTAGAGCGTATGACTAGATTTGTACATATCTGAAGAGTCATTAACAGTGCCAATCAATCCAATTATATACATTTTACAGGCATCTTGCTGTGAAAATAATTGAACACAACTATTTTGCTTCCCTAAAATTATTATATCTTTAAGTCAATAAATATATTTTCACATTTTAAATTCATGGGGACTTTTTTTCTGCCCATAAAGAGAAGAGATTAATAAATATATTGATAATCCTTGGAAGGAATTTGTCTTTAAGGGGAAAAAAGCTATCTGATTTGCCTCTATTTTATTTGAAGACAGAGCTGAGTTTGCCTGAAGGCATGTAGAAATTTACAGCTTCTGGATCAAAGAGAGGTCATGATGTAATCAGGACTGTTTGATGCAAGTAACAGCAACTGACCAGGGCTATCCAAAATCAGCTCTCCACTTCCAGAGGACGTGCCAGTACTGAATGCCTCTTCTATCGCTGGGTACCATAACCATGTGGTACACGGTGAAAGATGCTAACTGCCCTTCAACTCTGGTCCCTGGGCATTGGATTAACCAGCTTGGGTCATGTGCTCCCACCTCCATGATGGGCGTGAAGGAGGAAGACTTCATCCTGATATTCTTTGGTAAGAGTTGAGGTACCACATCCCACGGACACCACACAAGGTGGAGGATTCTTGCAAATTAAAAAAGGGGGGTTGGATGTGGGGACAGCCTGAATTAAAATAAAAGCTGGTTACAATATTCATCTCTACAGTGCCGGTGGTTTTGACTTAACGGCCCTGCTCTGACCTGCATCTCCCAGAACAACATTTTTTTTCTTCACATGAACTGTCCTGCCCCAGTGTTTCTTCCTGCCCAAGCCTGTCCCATTATATTACCTAAGTATTCATGATTCATCACTAACTCTTCCTCTACCCCGCACCACCCCCTCCACCACCACCACTACTATCTCCTTCCACTTCCAGTTGGATTTTTCTCCCCAAGTCATGGGAAATTCATCACTGGTATATGAAGAAGGAAGCACAAGAATGGGAAGGAGTGAGGCAGGGGCTATCTGCAGAGGAGAGTTCTTGTTCTTACTGGCAAGGCTGAAGCAGGAGAGATATGTGTTCTAATGCTCATGATAGGAAATCTGGGTGCAGGTCACTGCAGCTCTCAGCTCCTGCAGTGCAGCCACTGCCTGCCCCATCAGCTTCCCAGACCATGTCCAACCTCGAGCGCACCTTTATCTCCATGAAGCCACACGGTGTGCGGTGGGGCCTGCTGGGCAATGTCATGAGGCACTTTGAGCTGAAGGGATTCCACCTTTGGGCCTCTGAGGAACACCTGAAGCAGCTCTACCCTGACCTGAAAGACTGTCCATTCCTCCCTGGGCTGGTGAAGTACATGAACTCATGGCCATGGAGGAGGGACTGAGTGTAGTGGAGACAGGCCGAGTGATGCTTGGGAGACCAATCCAACGGATTCTAAGCCAGGCACCAGTGGCGGGGACTTCTGCATTCAGGTTGGCAGGGACATCATTCATGGCAGTGACTCAGTAAAAAGTGCTGAAAAATAAATCAGCCTATGGTTTATGGCTCCATGTCCCCAAATACCCTCAGCCCTGGGAAACCAAGACAGTTGATGGCACTACATATTTCCAAGGTCAGAGTCTGTGGGTGGGAAAAACTTAACCTGAAGAGCTGGTTGATTACAAGTCTTGTGCTTATGACTGGGCCTATGAACAAGAGGTGGACACAGCAGCGGTCTTCTTCAGCACTGCTTGGAGTGTCCCTGGACATGGTTCTTCATTCCATTGACTTGGAAGCAACAGGATTGATCATTCTTTTCTAAAGAATATTTACCAATAAAGCCTTTGGAAACTGGAAACAAACAAATAAACAAACAAAAAGGAATCTGAATGCATATGTGATGTAAATGGGTCAAAGATGGGCCCTGTTTCTTGGTCCTCATGTGTTGAACTTCTTCGCAGCAGGCTAGGACCATGAACTCGAAGCCTGCCAGCACCAATTCAAATTTTTACACATATTACTTTAAATATAGCCCCAATAAGCCTATTTTTAGACCATTAGAGCCTGACTTCTTTGCACACCCCACAAAACTGCACCCAACACCTGTTAACCATATATAAGATACATTCTGTAGCTACTAAAAACCCCAACAGACCTGCTGCTCTTCAGAACTCTGACCCAGAGGCTCCCCACCTTGCTGCTGAGTGACACTGCCTAGACCCGTGTACCTCCTCTCCCATTTCCCTCTCCACTCAGTGCTCTCTTTCCCTCTTCCCTTCCAGGTGGTGGCCCCATGCCTGCAGCTCTCTCTAGATCAGCTCTTGGTAGGAAGAACACCCTTTCTTTCTTATGCAACCTTGTCACAGCACTATCAAATAAGCTTGTTGTGCAATATTGCCATCTCATCTTTTCCTTAATCAGTCCTGAAATTTACAAACTTACCACAGTACCTATCTTATCTTAACCATGATCCAGGACTAAATTTCAGCTATATCAAGGATTAATTAGGCTTCTGGAAACATAACCATCAGAAATATGTAGTGTCATCAACTGTCTTGGTTTCCCAGGACTGAGGGTATTTGGGGACACGGAAATTTTAGTACTAGAACTGGGAAGGGGCGCAGGCAAACCACAATGAATTGATCACCCTAGGAATAACTGTTTCTAATAACTGTTTCTTATAACTGCACCCCCAATTACTGATTTCAAGTCAACTTAGTGAGAACCTTTGGAGACAGACTGTTGGAAAGTATCTGTGCTCACTTTACTCAATGCAATCCAGCTTTTAAGTAGGGCCGGCTATGTGTATCTTAATATGATTTTCAACAGCTTCCCCTGGAAATCTTTATGTTCAGTAATATTTTACACAGACCAAAACTGGGATACCAAGGACGTCAAGAGAATATTCATGACTTGGCTAAGAGTCAAAGAAAGATTTTATGGTGACCCAAGAAAAGAGTCAATAAATAGCCAGTCTTTCTTTAGAAATTGTTCTTTAAAAGCTTGATTATTTCTGGTTTCTGGTCAAAATTTACTCCAGGAAGACTAGACAGGCCATGCTGGCCAAAAGCCCAATTGTCAGGGCAGCTGCCCTTGAAGTTGGGAGAAATTTTATTAACAATAAAGTTCCAAGGTCAGAATCTGCAGGTGGGAAAAACTCATGGTTGAAAATTGCCAATAAAAGACAAGTTCAGTGGTCTGTGCCTGCAATCTCAGTGACTCAGGAGGCTGAGATTGGAGGATCGCTTGAGTTTAAGAGTTCATGACCAACCTGGGCAACATAGTGACACCCTGTCTCTAAAAAACAAAAAGAAAAAGAAAAAAGAAAATTGTAACAAACACCGATGAAATCAAACTGAGTCATGCGTATCAATTTGGGTGAAGTTTTCAGGAATCTCTAAATCTATTTTCTTGGTAGCCAGGAAAAACAGCAACAACAACAAAACCTTATAGGGATGAACTCGTTCTCTAAATTTAAACTCCTTGTTTAATACGCTTTTAGCAGGAGATCATCTGAATCTGTTAAAAAGGCACACTTCTCATGATGTTTGTGTTAGTTTGGGTTCTCCCCAAAAACAGAGCCTGAGAAAAGAACTCAGGTGTAGAACATGGGAGGCGATCCCAGGAAACAGGAGAAAGGGAACTGGAAGAATGAGCAGGGAAGGAGAAAATCAATATAAGGAAGGGTACATTATCAGGGTTACTGCCATGGGCAGTGTGGGCTCAGTTCTCTCAGGAACGCTGAAAAAGAAAAAAGTTCTTGTGGGTCAGGAATTTGGGAGCAGCTTGTCTGGGCAGTTATGGCTCTAGGTTTTTCATAGGTAGCTGTTAGATGTTTGCAGGGGCTGTGATCATCTGAAGGCTTGTCTGAGGCTGGGGGATCCCTCTCTAAGGTGACTCACTAATGTGGCTAGCAAGTTAATGTTGGCTTTTGGCCTTAGGCCTCAGCTCCTCTCCACATGAGCCTCTCCACAGGGCTGTTTGATTGTCCTAGCAATACAGCGGCCAGCTTCCTCCAAAACAAGTGATCCAAGAGATAAAAATGGAATACACAATGCATTTTATGATGTGGCCTTGGAAGTCACACACTGTCACTTCTTTCATATACCATTGATCACACAGACCAGACCTGATTCAATGTGGAAGAGGCTATGTGAAGGTGTGAATTCCAGGGAAACAAGATTCTTTGTGGTCATCTTGTAGGCAAGCTGCCACCTAGCCTCAATTTCCTAGCCACCAAGTTCTTGAGAGGATTAAATGAGATAACGCATATAAAGTTCTTTTTTTTTTTTTTTTGAGATGGTGTCTCGCTCTGTCACCAGGCTGGAGTGCAGCAGTGCAATCTCGGCTCACTGCAACCTCTGCCTCCCAGGTTCAAGCGATTCTCCTGCCTCAGCTGGGATTACAGGCACGCAACACCACGCCTAGCTAATTTTTGTATTTTTAGTAGAGACGGGGTTTCCCCATGTTGACCAGTATAGTCTCTATCTCCTGAGCTCATGATCCTCCCGCCTCGGCCTCCCAAAGTGCTGGGATTACAGGCATGAGCCACTGTGCCCAGACTGCATATAAAGTTCTTAATACATTACCTGGTATAGTAAATACTCAATAAATATTAGTTATCACTATTGTTATGAGCTTCTCTTTTCTTTTATCTTCTTTCCACCCAGAGACAGACCATCTTCATAGTAGCTGCCATGATTGTAAATTAGTGTACAGCTGATTGTTTAACTGAATTGAATGTTTAGTTTCAAAGCCTAATCTGGGCGTAACATCTGAGTAGAAAATCCTAATGCAACATTTAAGTTTTTGAAGGGCAGCAGGTTATCTGAAAGCTTGATAGCTCTTTCAGTTTGAAAGCTGTTGTCTGATCATCACCCCTTTCACTTTCGTAGCTCTGGACCCAGTTGAAGCCCAAGGACTTAGCTCTACTTCCTCCACCCCTGGCACCTGCTTGTCATGCTAAGAATTGATCCTCTGAGAGAGGCTGGAGGCTATAAAAATTCACCTGTGTCCCTCACACCCTGGTGGGTTTCCTGATGGGTCTGAATCTCCCTCCCTAACCCACACCCCTAGCTTTCACCAGGACTCTTTGGAACCAGAAGAGCATTCTGCATATTTCTTTGGTTTGATTCCTATGTTTGAGGTCTGGCTGTGTGGACAGATTTTATTACTTTATGTCTCCCAAACTGCTCAAATCCTCACCTAGGTGGCATTTTAACCTAGTTTCCTTTTCCCCAGCTGGTGAAGCAGTGGTGTATGAATAAATCCAACATCCTTGGCAGGAGAAAAACTTTTTGTCTGATTACTAGAGCTACAAAATATCTCCTTTGTCCTGTTGTACTTTTGGGGTAACATGATAGTCCACTCTTTCCTGCTCTTCTGTCTGTATTTGCTGTTATGGACCATATTTGCTTTCTCCATCCTTAGCCATGGCCGTGTTTGTTTTGACATCCATAATATCCTTAGACGAGCGCTGTGGTTCTTAGCCTTGGCTGCTCATTAGAACCACCTGAGAGCTTAAAAACTTCTCAATACCCTGGCTAAACACCAGAACAATTATATAGGGATCTCTGGGCGTGGAATCCAGGCACCAGTATTTTTTTCAAGCTTCCTATGTTGATTCCAATGGGCAGCCAAGTTTGAAGACAGTGATTCTCAGACTTTTTAAACTTAGAACCCCTCACCTCTCTTAAAAATTATTGAGGAGCCGGGTGCGGTGGCTCACGCCTGTAATCCCAGCACTTTGGGAGGCTGAGGCGGGTGAATCATAAGGTCAGAAGATCGAGACCATCCTGACTAACATGGTGAAACCCCATCTCTACTAAAAATACAAAGAAATTAGCCAGGTGTGGTGGCAGGCGCCTATAGTCCCAGCTACTTGGGAGGCTGAGGCAGGAGAATGGCGTGAACCCGGGAG
This sequence comes from Homo sapiens, assembly GCF_000001405.40. Taxonomy (NCBI): domain Eukaryota; kingdom Metazoa; phylum Chordata; class Mammalia; order Primates; family Hominidae; genus Homo; species Homo sapiens. Next base: position 72,280,181 of record NC_000009.12, read on the forward strand.
GTGGAGCTTGCAGTGAGCCAAGATCACACCACTGCACTCCAGCCTGGGCGACAGAGACTCCGTCTCAAAAAAATAAATTATTGAGGAGCCCAGAGTTTTTGTTCATGTCGATTATATTTAGATATTTACTGTATTAGAAGTTAAAACAAAAAGTTTAATTCATTCACTTAAAAGTAATAACAAACCTATTATATGTTAATATAAATAACATTTTTTAAAAATGAGAAATAGCTATATTTTCAAAAAACTAGAACAGCAGCTTTTTTTTCTGTTATTTTTTATTTATTTATTTATTTTTTGTGACAGAGTCTTACTCTGTCACCCAGGCTGGAGTGTAGTGGTGTGATCTTGGCTCACTGCAACCTCCACCTCCCAGGTTCAAGCTATTCTCCTGCCTCAGCCTCCTGAGTAGCTGGAACTACAGGCATGCACTACCATGCACGGCTAATTTTTTGTGTGTTTTTAGTAGAGACGGGGTTTCACCATGTGGTCAGGCTGGTCTCGAACTCCTGACCTCAAATGATCCACCCTCCTTGGCCTCCCAAAGTGCTGGGATTACAGGCATGAGCCACCGCGCTCAGCTACATTGTTTTTAAATAACTTTAATGCCTGGTTTAATAAAAAAAAAGCTTGGATTCTCATATCTGCTTCTATATTCCATCTGTTGGGAGTGCAGCATGTCATGTGGCCTCTGGAAATCTCTATATTCATAATGAGAATAAAAAAGGCAAATTTTTATATTATCATGAAAATAGTTTTGACTTTGTGGACCCTTCTTTGGGTTCCCCAGGCCACACTTTGAGAACTGATGTGCTAGAAGACTGTAGAGTGAATGATGCCAAGGGAGTTAGTTAACAAGCGTCTCTTTTCACCTCACTTTCAACTACCCTTCAGTTCTCCCTGCCCTTATTACTGTCGGCCTCTAGAGGGAGCGCGAGGTCCTTTACGCCAACACCCGCAGGCTGCTGCAGCTGAGGCCAAATTTTAAGTACCTGCAGGAGCTACAACATTAGGGAAGGGGGATCTTGGGTTATAAGAAAAGGAATGAAAGTTTTTCTTTTCCTCCTCCTTTTTGTTCTCCTTCTTTTTCTGTTCCTCGCTCTCCCTCTTAGAATTCCTGAAGCAGTTGACATTTTTCTTTGTTGAGCTTTCCTATTATTCCCATTCAGTTGGTGCAATAAAGAGCAAGACAAGCAGAGATCCGAGAGTACAGGCTAGAACCATGGTTCTCCCCCTTCATATTCAGCAGAACCACCTGGGCAGTTTGTTTAAATGTAACTTCTGGCCGGGCGCGTGGCTCTTGCCTGTAATCCCAGCACTTTGGGAGGCCGAGGCGGGCAGATCACAAGGTCAGGAGATCCAGACCATCCTGGCTAACACGGTGAAACCCCGTCTCTACTAAAAATACAAAAAATTAGCCGGGCGTGGTGGCGGGCGTCTGTAGTCCCAGCTACTGGGGAGGCTGAGGCAGGAGAATGACGGAACCTGGGAAGTGGAGCTTGCAATGAGCCGAGATCTCGCCACTGCACGCCAGCCTGGGGGACAGAGCGAGCCTCTGTCTCAAGAAAAAATAAAGTAGCTTCCGCTGTCCCTACCACAAAAGCTGTTGATTTCATAGGACTAAGGTGAGACTCATGAATCAGCATTTCTAAGAGGACCCCAGGTGATTCTAATCCAGGTGTTCTGAGGACATGGTTTTGAGAAACAGTTACCTGAGAGAAGAGGTCACCTGGGCCTACATATTTCAGGTAAAAGGAGCCTAAAGCTAAGTATACTTCGTGGGAGTGTAGAGTAAGCATGGCCCTCACCCAATGTGGCTAGAACCCTCTAGAACTCAGTATCCTGAATTTTAAACACATATCTCTCATTATGGCTAGAAAATTGCCTTTAAATTTTGCTTGTATCCCCGCTTCATCTAGAGTCTCTTCTTTCCAATGAAAACACTGGAATATGTTCATTGGGACCATCTAAGAATCATCTGAGACCAAGCTGCATGACAAAGCAGCATCAGGTAAAGAAACTGGTGATATTTAACCTGTAGAAAGGAAAATTTGATACAGATTAGGGAGCCATCTTTCAATATATAAAGGCCTACAAATGTGTTTTAAATGACTCTAAAGGTAACATTCAGAAAGTCATTGGTAACTTGGAGACAAAACAATGTTATTTGTTCTACAGAATTTTCTGCAATCACAGCTGCCCAAACAAGAAATGGACTGTCTTGGGAAGGGTGAGTTTATCATCACTGCAAGTATCTGAACACAGCTTGAACAATGACTTGGTAGGGATGACATGGGGGTGATTCAACCACAGGTTAGGTGACTGAAGAAGACTTTGAAAGTCCTTTCCAACCTGGAATATTTGATCTATGCACTGAACAAAATGGAACTTTTTTTGCCCCCTTGTTATCCTACCTATTTCTCTGTGAAAGCCTCCCAGGCAAGGGACACACAAGACCAAGTCATGCTGCAGGTTTTATTCATGGTGGCTGTGACAAATCTTGGACCTAAGTTGAACCAGAATCTATACACGCAGTTTGATTTGAGTCACTGAATTCCCTTCATCCTGAGAGTGCATGCATTTGTTGGGTACCCTGTTCTATCTTTTATTCCTACACCTGCAGAGTCCCTTAGTTCCTTGTACTCATAGTGTGGTCTCAGGACCAGGAGGAGCAACATCACCTGGGAGCTTCCTGGAGATGCAGAATCTCAGGTCCCGCTGAAAGAGACTGCAATTAACCTCTAACTTTGAGTTTAGAGGCAAATGCAATATATTCCCAACACAAAGTAGTCTATAAATGGAAGGCTCTTTCAGGAGAGGAATAGTGGTTTGTTGATCTTTGAGGGCCTTGCTCACAGCCAACTCTCAGAGTGTGTTGATGTGAAGTGGTTTATCAAGCTAGATAAAGAAAGGAGGAGCAGCAGTACACCAGGAGAGGGTAAGTCGAAATGTCTCTTGGGAGTCAGGGAGGAGTTACAAAGTAGCAGAAGGACTCTGAAGATAGTCTCCGATATAAGCTTGATCCACCTCTCTACTTGTCTAGAGTGCATCAAGGTCTCCCTTGACATTATCACTTACAGCAGGCTATCCCATAGGGCTCACCAGGTACACTCAATTTACCAGTTTGTATAGATGTGAATCGGATCAATAGCCACCATGTGGCAGGGCCAGGACCTAATCCTTGTGTGCTCTGCTCTGTCTCCTATACCTAGAGCCAATGCCTCTCTTCTCTTATCCTGTATTAGTTAGCTACTGCTGCATAACAAATTAGCTCAAAATTCAGAGACCTAAAACAATAATCATTTATTATCTCACATACTATCTGTGGATCGGGAATCCAAGGGGAACTTAGCTGGGTGATTTTGGTTCGAGATCTCTTTAAGATGTTTGCCAGGGCTGTCATTGTCTCTACAGAAGCTGGAGGATCTCACTCACATGACGATTGGCAGGAGGCCTCACTTTGTTATCAAATGGACATCTCCGTAACCTACTTGAAAGTCTTCATGATGAGGCAGCTGACCTTCTTCAGAGCCAGGGATCCACAAGAGAGCAAGGCAGAAGCTGCAGTGTATTTTTCCCCCCAGAATATCCTATCAATTACACAAGTCAGCCCTATTCAATATGGGAGGGCATTTTACAAGCTCATGAATACAAAGAGGCCATTGGGGGCCATCTTAGAGCCTGGTGACTACACACTCTTAGACTCTGCTCTCTCACTTTGATCATTAAGACAGACCACTTCTTCAACACACATGTCTACATATATAAACAGTATGTTACAAAAGCATGGCTCATGACACAATCAAAACACAATTTTAAAGTAGCCTCCCACTATTCCTGTAAAATTATTCCATAAAGGTGATTTTCCTAGCCCTTGGTAGGCCCATGACTTAACAGCTCACTCTTACACAACATCGAGACCTACTGTCACTTTACAAGGCAAACATAGTTAATTCATAAATTAGAATATCTACTCCAAAACAAATTAAAATGTTGAACTTGATTTAACTTTGCTTTTCCCCAGATGTCATCTGGTCCTGCTTTAGGCTGAAACTTATAGTTTAAAAAGGAAGTGTATTGTAGAGTGTCTGGTCAGAAAAATAGACACTGCTGTAGAGATGTCAAGAGAGAGGGACTTAATGCAGCACATTGGCTCCAAAGGGAAAAGGCTGAAGGAGCAAAAGAAGGAAAGTGATGATGAAGCTGTGAGCTGGAGCTCATAACCCCACACTTGGTGTTCAACTGCTAGAGATGGGACTGCTGCTGCTGTGGGACCTGCTGGTTCTGCTGAGCAGAAATTCAGAAGGCTGCACTCCCAGCGATGCTGCCAAAACCACTACCAATGCTGCTCAAGGTCACTGTTAACGCCAGGTGATCTGCCTGGCTCAGCCTCCCAAAAGTGCTGGGATTACAGACATGAGCCACTGGGCTTTTTTTTTTTTTTAATTATAGTCATCCTAGGGATGTGAAGTGGTATCTCTTGGTGGTTTTGATTTGTATTTCTTTAATGACCAATGATATTGAGCATCTTTTCATGTACTTATTGGCCATTTGCTTATCATTTTTTCAGAGAAATTTATGTTGAAATCCTTTGCCTATTTTGTTTTATTTTAGAGATAGAGTCTCTCTCTGTCACCCAGGCTGGAGTGCAGTGGCATGATCATAGCTCACTGCAGCCTTAAACTCCTGGGCTCAAGTGATCCTCCCATCTCAGCCTCCTGAGTAGCTAGGACTAAATGTGTGCACCACCACACTAACTTTTTATTTTTTGTGGAGATGGGGTCTCACTATGTTGACCAAGTTGGTCTTGAACTCTTGGCCTCAAATGATCCTCCTACCTCAGCCTCCCAAAGTGCTAAGATTATAGACTCAGAACTGAATCTCAGAAAAGGTGGCAGTACCCTATTCCCATTCCCAGCTCTCCAGCAGTTTATGTGTACCTTGTGTTGACAAAACCTTTTTAATTTTCAGGAAATTATCAACTATTCCTTCAAATATAGTCCTAATTCAAGGATGACCTTTCCTATTCATTATTTTTTCACTCCTTCTCTTGCCCATCTTACCCTGAGAAGGTAAATACCCTGACTTGTCTGGCGTCTAACAGTCCCATGGGAAGAATATGACATTTTCCACAATTGTATTTCAGACCTATGTGTGTAACAGGAGGTTAAAGTTGAAGTTCCTCAAGATATAACTGTGAATTTCCAATGTGTGGTCCCAAATCACCACGTGCAGAGTTTAGAGGAAATCTGGCCTTTGCCTATTTTAAAATTAGTGATTTATCAGTCCTATTGTTGAATTGTAAGTATTCTGTATATATTCTATACAAATCTCTTATCAGACATATTATTTGCAAATATTTTTTCTTACCATGTTGGTTGTCTTTTCACATTTTTGATGGTGTCCTTCGAAGCACAAAAATTTTAATTTTGGCCAGGCGTGGTGGCTCATGCCTGTAATCCCAGCACTTTGGGAGGCTGAGGCTAAGGTTAGGAGGTCGAGACCAGCCTGGCAAATATGGCAAAACCCCATCTCTACTAAAAATACAAAAATTAGCTGGGCGTGGTGGCAGGTTCCTGTAATCACAGCCACTCTGGAGGCTGAGGCAGGAGAATCCCTTGATTCCCTACTCGGGAGGCAGAGACTGCAGTGAGCCGAGATTGTGCCACTGCACTCCAACCTGGGTAACAGAGCAAAAAAAAAAAAAATTAATTTTGATGAAGTCCATTTTGTTTATTTATTTATTTAATAACTTGTGCTTTTGGTTTTGTGTCCAAGAAACCACTGCCTAATCCAAGGTTACAAGGATTTACTTCTGTTTTCTTTTTATGCTTTTATAGTTTTAGCACTTTCATTTCAGTCTATGATACATTATGAGTTAATTTTTTTATATGGCGTAGAAGTCCAACTTCACTCTTCTGCATATGGCTACCCAGTGGTCTCAGTACCAGTTGTTGTCCCAGTACCACTGAATGGCCTTGCACCCCTGTTGACAATCAATTGACTACAAATGTGAGAGTATTTCTAAACTCTTAATCCTATTCTATTCATTTTTCTGTCTACCTTTATGCCAGGACCATACTATCTACATTACTACAGCTTTCTAGTAGGTTTTGAAACTGTGACATCTGAGTTCTCTGGCTTTGTTCTTTTTCAAGATTGTTTTGGCTATTGTGAGTTCTTTGAATTTCTGTATGAATTTTAGGATCACTTTGTCGATTTCTGCAAAAAAGGCAGCTGGAATTTTGATAGGGATTGCATTGAATCTGTATGTCAATTTGGAAAATATTTTTATCTTAACAATATTAAGTCTTCTAATTTGTGAACTTGAGATGTGTTTTCATTTATTTCCATCTTCTTTCATTTCTTTTAGCAAGGTTTTAAAAGGCAGCTATGCTCACCACTATATCAGCAACACCACATGACAATAGTACTTTCTAGTTTTCAGTGTACAAGTCTTGCCCTTCTTTTGTTAAATTTATGGCTATGTATTTTATTCTTTTTGGTGCTATTATAAATGGAATTATTCTTTAAATTTCTTTTGCATATTGTTCATTGCTAATGTACAGAAATATAAGTGTATCTTGTACAATGATTGTACATCTTGCAACCTTATTGAACTTGTTGATTAGTTCTAACAGTTTGTGTGTGTGTGTGTATGCGTGTGTGTGTGTGGATTCCTTATCATTTTTTACATACAACATCATGTCATCTGCAAATGGAGACAGTTTTATTTCTTCCTTTCCTATCTGGATGCCTTTTTTTTTTCTTGCATAATTGCTCTGGCTAGAACTGAAAGTACATTGCTGAACAGAAGTGGTGAGAGAAGACATCCTTGTGTGTTCCTGGTCTTAGGATGGAGCAGCTAGTCTTTCACCTTTGGGTATGATATTAATTGAAGTTTTTCATAGATGTCTTTTGTCAGGTTTAAGAAGTTCCCTTCTATTTCTAGTTTGTTGAATGCTTTCATTATTAAATACTGTTGAATTTCATCAAATTTTTTTCCATATCTACTCTGATGATCATGTAATTTTTGTCCTGTATTCTATTAATATAGATTATTACATGACTGATTTTCAGATGTTGAACATTCATGGAAAAAAATCACATGTCATGGTGTATATTTGTATATGTTGCTGATTTGGTTTGGGTTTGCTAGTGTTTTGTTGAGGACTGGACATGGAGTCTTTGATACATATTTGTTGAATGAATGAATGAATGAATGAATGTTTAGAGAGGGAAGGCCTTACTCATATAGGCAAGACCTACAATACATGCACATCATTTTGGGAAATTCAAGGATATCAGATTAAGTAGCCCTGAAGAGCTTAGCAAGATATATTATTGCAGAATCACCATGTGGAAAGGAGGTAGTTACATTGAAGCAGACAGAACAGTGATCAGAATCAAAAGATGGGGATGATAGCCTTACTTTGCTAATTCCTAGCTAAAAATCTTATGTATTTAACTTATTTTAACAGGCTCCGTTTCTTCATCTGTAAAATGGAGGTGACATGTTGGGGGTAAGCTTGGGAAAGAATTATATTTAATTTAATAATCTTGCAGATACCTTCTAGCTCTAATAATTTATAATTATCTAAAATGCCATGTGAAAAATAACAGATGTTGGTGAGGATGTGGAAAAAAGGGAACACTTGTGCACTTTTGGTGGAAACGTAAATTAATATAACCTCTGTGGAAAACTATACAGAGATTTCTCAAAGAACTGAAAATAAAACTGCCATTCAATCCAGCAATCCCACTACAGGGTATCTACCCTAAAGGAAAACAAATATTATATCAAAAGATACCTGTACACATATGTTTATCATAGCACTATTCACAATAGCAAAGATAAGGAATCAACCTAAGTGTCAATGGATGATTGGCTAAAGAAAATGTGGTAAATATACATAATGAAATACAATGCAGCCATAAGAATGAATGAAATCATGTCTTTTGCCACAACATGGATGGCACTGGAGGCCATTACCTTAGGTGAAATAACTCAGAAACAGGAAGTCAAGTACTGCACATTCTCATTGACAAGTGGGAGCTGAATAATGTGCACTCATGGACATAGAGTACAGAATAATTGACATTGGAGACTCGGAATGGTGGGAGGGTGAGGTGGATGAGGAATGAGAAATTATTTTATTTTATTTTGTTTTTTTTTTTTTGAGACTGAGTCTCACTCTGTCGCCCAGGCTGGAGTGCAGTGGCACAATCTCGGCTCACTGCAAGCTCCACCTCCCAGGTTCACACCATTCTCCTGCCTCAGCCTCCCGAGTAGCTGGGACTACAGGTAACCGCCACTTCGCCTGGCTGATTTTTTGTATTTTTAGTAGAGACGGGGTTTCACCGTGTTAGCCAGGATGGTCTCTATCTCCTGACCTCACGATCCGCCCGCCTCAGCCTCCCAAAGTGCTGGGATTACAGGCGTGAGCCACCGTGCCCAGCGGAATGAGAAATTATTTAGTGGGTACAATGTACATTCTTTGGGTGACAGTTACACTAAAAACCTGGACTTCACCACTATGCAATATATCCATGTCACAAAACTGCACTTGTACCCCTGAAACTTACACTAATAATAATAAAAAGAGAAAACAGCTTACAATGCATTTCCAAAAGTAAAATAAAAATAAAATGCCATGTGAAACTCAATTTTAAGGAGAACATTTTATATGTTTTTGTAGTTCTCATTTAATGTCTCTGGAGTAGTTATGGGGAGAAAGATGATAAATGATTTTAACACAGTATAAAAATGTAAAGTCTATTTATAGGAGCACAGAAAAGAAAGTGGCTAGTCCTCTTTAAGGGAGTATGATTAAAATTAAAGAAAAGATGGCACTTGAGTTGGGTCCTGAGACATGAATAGGAGTTTGCCAGCTAGAGAAGGCGGAGTAGAGAGATGATATTTTTCTGTTTCTGCTACTACATCTCCTAAGTTCTTACTTTAAAATTTTTAAGAGGTAAATATTTTACTTGCTACTGAAATGTTTTTATAAATACTTTGTGAAAGAAAATCCCTTGGTCTAGAAAGGAATTTTGTATCTACAGAGAACTCAATAGTGTATTCTTATCTTGCTGCTGAAGTCTGAATTTTCTGGACTGGGTATGTGATGGAAGTAAATTTGAACAGGCAGTATATAAGTCCACTTTCATACTGCTGATAAAGACATACCTGAGACTGGGCAATGTACAGAAGGAAGAGGTTTATTGGACTTACAGTTGCACGTGCCTGGGAAGGCCTCACAATCATGGTGGAAGGCAAGGAGGTGCAAGTCATGTCCTACATGGATGGCAGTAGGCAAAGAGGGAACTTGTGCAGGGAAAGTCCTGTTTTTAAAAACCATCAGATCTCATGAGACCCATTCATTATCACAAGAACAGCACAGGAAAGACCCACCCCCATGATTCAATTACCTCCCACCAGGTCCCTCCCATAACTTGTGGGAATTATGGGAACTACAGTCTGAGATTTGGGTGGAAACACAGAACCAAACTATATCATTCCGCCCCTGGCCCCTCCCAAATCTCTTATCTTCACATTTCAAAACTGATCATGCCCTCCCAACAATCCCCCAAAGGCTCAACTCATTTCAACATTAACTCAAAAGTCCAGAGTCTAACGTCTCATCTGAGACAAGGCAAGTCCCTTCCACCCATGAGCCTGTAAAATCAAAAGCAAGCTAGTTACTTCCTAGATACAATGGGGGTACAGGCAATGGGTAAATACAACTATTCCCAATGGGAAAAAATGGCCAAAACAAACAAACAGGCCCCATGCAAGTCCAAAATCCAGCAAGGCAGTCAAATCTTAAAGCTCTGAAATGATCTCCTTTGACTCCATGTCTTATATCTGAGTAATGCTGATGCAAGAGGTGGGTTCCCATGATGCTGGGCAGCTCTGCCCTGTGGCTCTGCAGGGTACAGCCTCCCTCTTAACTGCTTTCATGGGCTGGTGTTGAGTGTCTACAGCTTTTCTGGGTGAACTGTGCAAGCTGTCAGTGGATCTACCATTCTGGGGTCTGGAGGATGGTGGCCCTCTTCTCACAGCTCCACTAGGCAGTGTCCCAGTAGGGACTCCATGTGGGGGCTCCAACCCCACATTTCCCTTTCATACTTCCCTTGCAGAGGTTCTTCATGAGCGCCCCACTTTTGCAGCAAACTTCTGCCTGGACATCCAGGCATTTTCATACATCCTCTGAAATTTAGGGAGAGATTCCCAAACTCCAATATTTGATTTCTGTGCACTGGCAGGCTCAATACCATGTGGAAGCTGCCAAGGCTTTGGGCTTGCACCCTCTGAAGCAACAGTCCAAGCTGTACCTTGGCCCCCTTTAGTCATAGCTGGAGTGGCTGGGACACCGGGCACCAAGTCCCTAGGCTGCACACAGCAGAGGGACCCTGAGCCCAGCCCATGCAACCATTTTTTTCCTCCTAAACCTCCAGGTCTGTGATGGGAGGGGTTGCCATGAAGACCTCTGACATGCTCTGGAGACATTTCCCCCATTGTCTTAGGGATTAACATGCAGCTCCTTATTATTTATGCAAATTTCTGCAACTGGCTTGAATTTCTCCCCAGAAAATGGGATTTTCTTTTCTTTTTTTTCTTTCTTTTTTTTTTTCGAGATGGAGTCTCACTCTGTCACCCAGGCTGGATTGCAACAGCACAATCTCATCTCACTGCAAACTCCGCCTCCCGGGTTCAAGTCATTCTCCTGCCTCAGCCTCCTGAGTAGCTGGGATTACAGGCACCTGCCACCATGCCTGGCTAGGTTTTTGTATTTTTAGTAGAGGCTGGGTCTCACTATGTTGGCCAGGCTGGTCTCAAACTCCTGACCTCGTGATCCACCTGCCTCGCCCTCCCAAAGTGCTGGGATTACAGGCGTGAGCCACTGCGCCTGGCCAGGATTTTCTTTTCTATCGCATTATCAGGCTGCAAATTTTCCAAATTTTTATGCTCTGCTTCTCTTATAAAACTGAATGCCTTTAACAGCACTCAAGTAACCTCTTGAATGCTTTGCTGCTTGGAAATTTCTTCCATCAGATACCCTAAATCATCTCTCTCAAGTTCAAAGTTCCACAAATCTCTAGGGCAGGGGCAAAATGCCACCAGTCTCTTTGCTAAAACATAACAAGAGTCACCTTTGCTCCAGCTCCCAACAAGTTCCTCATCTCCATCTGAGGCCACCTCAGCCTAGACCTTATTGTTCATATCACTATCAGCATTTTTGTCAAAGCCATTCAACAAGTGTCTAGGGAGTTCCAAACTTTCCCACATTTTCCTGTCTTCTTCTGAGCCCTACAAACTGTTCCAACCTCTGCTTGTTACCTAGTTCCAAAGTCACTTCCACATTTTCGGGTATCTTTTCAGCAACACCCCGCTCTACTGTTACCAATTTACTGTGTTAGTTTGTTTTCAGGCTGCTGACAAAGACATACCCAAGACTGGGCAATTTACAAAAGAAAGAGGTTTATTGGACTTACAGTTCCATGTGGCTGGGGAGGCCTCACAATCATGGTGGAAGGCAAAAGTCAAGGAGGAGCAAGTCACATCTTATGTGGACGGCAGCAGGCAAAAAGAGAGAGCTTGTGCAGAGAAACTCCCGTCTTTAAATCCATCAGATCTTGTGAGACCCATTCACTATCATGAGAACAGCACAGGAAAGACCCGCCCCCATGATTCAGTTATCTCCCACTGGGTCCCTCCTACAACACGTGGGAATTATGGGAGCTACAAGATGAGATTTGGGTGGCGACACAGAGCCAAACTATATCAGGAAGTAAGACATATAATTTGGGGGGGCCTTCATTTAATTTATAATTTTCTTTTTTTTCAAGATGGGGTATCACTGTATTGCCCAGGCTAGTCTCGAACTTCTGAACTAAAGTGATCCTCCTACCTTGGCCTCCCAAAGTGCTGGGATTACAGGAGTGAGCCACTGTGCTCAGCCTAATTGGTGGTGGGGAGGAGGAGGCTCTTTAAATGATAATAAAGAGCTGTCAGGTTGCTAATAATAATAAAGGGTAATAATAATAAAGATAATAATAATAGTAATAATAATAAAGAGGTAATGATAAAGAGTGTCAGGTTGGTCTTTAACAGAACGACATAGTTCTTTCCAATTTTATTTGTCATGTCACCACTATTCCATCAGGGGGCAAACTTTTTACATGAAGTTCCTTCATAAATAAGATTTCATGTCCTTTTTCATGGACTTCAATTTTTGTGTATTTATCACTGTCATAATTTGCTTAGGGTGGAGGAAGTAGAAATTATGTAAAAGAAGGCTATTCCTTAAATCATAAAGGACAAGAAATCAGAGAACATGTTCCCCAACAGAATGAAAATAGGTAGTAATGAATGCTCAGCAGTAAGACACCATCCACAAAAGCTGTGTTCAGGCATGAAGGGGTAACGTGGAGATAAGGCAATGACTCAGAAAACCCAGAAAACAGAATGCCCTTTGAAAGCATTTTTGGACCATTTATGTTCAAGTGAAGATTGCTTTGACTTAGACCAAATACAGTAATTGCTTGATTTTTTTTGCATTTAGATATCTTTCCATAGATAAATAATGAGCAGTGTATTCATTATGACTACTTGTATACATCATGGTGGGGTAAGATTATTAGACAAGAATTTAAGGGACTCAACTTAGATTTTTCTCTTCCCTCTCCTTACTTATTAACTACTTCCCTTTGCCGGGTCTTATTTTTCTCAAGCACAAAATGGAGATTTTGTCATTTGCTGACCTCACTGGGTTGTTGAGCTAATCAAGTGAAATAACACATATCAAAGAGGCTATTAAAAGAAGTAAGTTGCATACATGTAAGTTGTTTTTAAAACAAGAAACACTTGATGTCGCAACCATCCTCTTGCTGGTAGGAGACCATATTCTCAAAGGCCACAAGTAAGAGTGCATTGCATAGCCTTACATTTCTTGGAGGGATGCCAGCTGCACTCAACACTTTCATGTAAAAAGCATTTATCACTGAGGCACAAGATCTCAGCTAACCAAAGACTTTTTCTCATTGGAATGGCAAGTGCAGGTCTTGTTAGTGAACCGTGTAAGAGTCAGAAACTAGTCCCCCAAAATTATAGCGGTATTTATATACACATTGTAATTCATGAGCACTTGTTCTGTGTCAGGCACTGGGTTTAGGCACAGGGAATACTTCAGTGAACAAAATAGATGAAAATTAAATGTTTATGAGGTTTCTTATTTGCTCATTTAAAAGCCTTTAGTTTAGGGAAGTTTGCAGTTTCTCTATGTACATATTTACTTAGAAATGATGAGGACATTTCGAATCTTTAAATACAAATATTGATTTTAAAAAATTCATCTCACTCTTGGGCAAAGTTTCATGAAGAAATCAGTTTCATCTGTGCTCAATGCTAGTTATTCAGCATCCATTACCGAGGGTCTAAAAAGGTGGATGTTAAATAGAGTAGCTTCTGGTTTAATCTACATCTTCACCATTTTCCAAGATTTTTTCTCTTTTTTTCTGAAAGTTCTTCTCTATCCCCTTCTTACAAGGACTTGAGAATAAATCACCTCGTAATAAGCATTTAATAATAACTAACACCAGGTGCAGCGGCACATGCCTGTAATCCCAGCACTTTGGGAGGCTAAGACAGGAGGATTACTTGAAGCCAGGAGTTCGAGGCTGCAGTGGGCTATGACTGTGCAACTATACTCCAGCCTGTGCAACAGAGAGAAATTTTGTCTCAAAAAACAAACAAACAAACAATTTGCACAGTGCTTTTAATTCACAAAATACTTTTTTCATTCATAATCTCACTTGAGATGTCCAACAATCTTGTTCCTAGACAATATTTCCATCTTGCAGTTGAAGAAACAAAGGTTCAGGGATAGTAAGCAACCTACTCAAAGGTGCATAGCTAATGAGAGGCATTGCTCAAATTCAACATGCATTTTCTGTATCCAGATCTCAAGACCCTTTCCGAAGGCCACCTCTTTCCTGTTGCTTTAGAAAGTAAACACATCACCAGAGTCTTTGGTGTTCCAGCTTCTTTTTAGGCATGCCTAAGGTCAGATTGTCAAGAAATTTGTTATAGTTATTAAAAAGTTATGAGCAAGTGGGGCGCGGTGGCTCACGCCTGTAATCCCAGCACTTTAGGAGGCTGAGGCGGGCAGGTCACCTGAGATTGGGAGTTCGAGACCAGCCTGACCAACATGAAGAAACCCCGTGTCTACTAAAAATATAAAATTTTTAGTATTGTGTTTAGGGTGTGGTGGCACATGCCTGTAATCCCAGCTACTCAGGAGGCTGAGGCAGGAGAATCGCTTGAACCCGGGAGGCGGAGGTTGCGGTGAGCGGATATTGCACCATTGCGCTCCAGCCTGGGCAACAGAAGCGAAACTCTGTCTCAAAAAAAAAAAAAAAAAAAGTTATGAGCAAGTTTTAAAATATTTCCTCCTTTAAGTTTGAGTGAGTTCCTCAATCTGAGAGTCTAAAGGTTAATGGAATCAATAATTAACACTGCTGGTATAAACTATGCCCCAGGTCTACTTCCTTATTTACCCTCCTCTCCAACCCATACTGCAAAAATGCATCAGTGTAAGATTAGGAAAGGGAAGATTAGGAAAGGGAATTTCTTCCAAGTACTCTGTATGAAAGCTATGTTTAAGTGGAAGAACTTTTAAAACTGACTCTGGTTTTTATTTTATTATTTAAAGTAAGAGATATTAATAGTCAGTGAGGCAACAGATAGAGGTCTAGGAGCGAGGAAGAGCACTGATCATCCATTAAAATCACATATCGAGCAAACTGTACTCCAAGGCTAGGAATGGCCAACTTTAGGAAAAGACTCAGAAAACTAGGAAAAAAACAAATAGGAAAACAACTGAGCTGGTTTAGAATGTGAGGCAGAGCTGGGCATTTACCGACCTTGGGGAGTGTGTCGTTGGGTAATTCACATTTTTGAAATTCTGAGTAACTGGCTGGGCGTGGTGGATCATGCCTGTTATCTCAGCAATTTGGGAGGCCGAGGAGGGTGGATCGCTTGAGCCCAGGAGTTCAAGACCAGCCTGAGCAACATGGTGAAACCCCATCTCTACAAAAAAATACACACAAAAAAAATTTTAGCTGGACATGGTGGTGCATGCCTGTAGAGTTACTCAGGCGACTGAGGTGGGAGGATCACCTGAGCGTGGGAAGTCGAGACTGCAGTGAGCTCTGATCATGCCATGGCACTCCAGCCTGGGCAACAGGGTGAGACCTTGTTGAATGAAAAAGAAAAAAAAAAAAAAGGAATTCTGAGTGACTGTGAGTGATCTTCACGCACTTACTGGTGACCACCTGAACAATGCCCAAGGTGGACATTGGATGTGCATGGAAGAAATCAGATAGTGAGGAAGAAAATTAAAGAAAGGAAAGAAGAAAGAGAACAGAAAGACGTAGGATTAGCCATGCACTCAGCGCTCACCGCTCCCCATCTCTGCTATGGATGTCCTAGCCCTGGATTAAGAGGAGATGGGATTGAGAATTTTATATCCTTGTCCTTTTTGCTTCTGTCAGACTCTTATGTTTCCTGGGCCCACAGCAAACATTTATGGGTCCAGGGCAAGAATACAAAGGGGAACCATATATGGCCAAATATGTTATGTCTACATATTTAAAATTTATAAATCAAGTGGACACTGACAAATGGCATATCTTGAAAAATACACCTTTTAATGAGCTAGCAGGTCAGGTTTGAATTGAGAATTGTCAGAATTGTCAAAGTTTTACGTTACAACATGGTGACATAGAGAGAGCTAGCCCTGGCCCTCACTAAGGTATAATGCTTACCTCCCTACTCTTGAACCCTCTGTCCTGAATCAACCATGAAGGAGAAGGACCATATGTGAGTGGCATGGATACCCTGGACCACCCTGGACCACGCATTCGAGCTCTGTCTACACCACACAGGCAGCACCATCTTGGTTATGCTATGGCTAGGAGTTTTCGCACCAGTGGCTCAGTCTCCTCTCCAAAGGACAGACGTGAGGATGAGGTCTTCAGAGGCCCTGGGAGAGGCCTTATGACATTCAGCCAAGGGTGGGAGGGGAGATTGCTGGATTCCAGGTGGGCACATCCATTTGGCCTCATGAATTTCTTGCTCCATTAGGAGAGACGTGGCTTGGGGAGAGCCAAAGCAGAACTCTCTAAATTATGTGCCCAGGACAGGAACTCTCCTTGCCTGGCTCTAAAAGTGATACTGCTATGTCCTGGTGTCCACTTGATTTTCAAATCACACAAAATGCATAGAACGTTCTGTTTCAAACAGCTCTGAAGGCAGGAGCTTATGTGCTGCCATGCAAAATATGCTACCATGCATGTGCTGCTCTGCTGCTTCAGATGGATGGTGCTGGAACAGCATTTGATCGAGAAAACCCAATTCCCGGCATTCTACATGGTCAGACATCACCTAGTATAACTGCTTTTTATTGTCATTATTATTGTTTGACTTTTGCTGGTAGAGTGTTTAAGGTCAAGAATGATTCAATCTTAATTTGTTTTCAGCCATCATGGCTGGCTTCTTTCTTTTGTCTCATTTTTAAACCTTTGAACTAGCTTCATCATTGGGTTAATGTAAAATTAACTGCAGTTTCTGTTTGCTCTGGTAACATGTAGCCTATTGTTTTTAGACACTTTCCGATGTTAATATGTAAAGGCACACTGAGAAACAGTGGCACATTTCTATTCTCTCCAAGTATTCTTAAATTGTTTTGAATAGAGATCCTTGGGCTGTGTGTCAAGATATTCATTCTTTTCAGCTCTTGGGCAGCTGGTGAGGCCTGGGTTGGTTACAGATCTGTGGCTGGTGGCTGCTATCTTCTAAAAGCCTCTTTCATTTACCCCAATTACCAACAAAATCTTACTGTTTTCTAAACGTTCAGTGAAGTTAAAGAGGTTAACGAGCTTTGCAAAAATAATTTTGCTCTGCATTTATCTGTTAATACATATATTTAAGGCCACTCTAAATTAGTAATATAAATGATATTGATATTTCCTCCAATTTATCAGTTTATTTGCTCACCTCAATCTTCCAAAATGCGTTTCCTCCCTCCTCCTCTCAGTTTTTCCTGATTCTACTTATCCTTCAATGCCTGCCTAATGTATTCAATCATCAAACATGAAGCTCCTGTGTTCCAGGCTCATGCCCACCTTCTTCACGATGCCTTCCTTGACCATGCTAGTTCACCATGGGCTTTCCCACTCCCTCTATGGAACTCATAAGGTGTTTCATTTCCACTATTTATTTGCACTCAGTGCCTTGTAATTTTAGTTCTGTTTTCACATGTATACACATCTTCCCAATAAAGCTATAAGGTCCTTGGGGAAAAAAAACGCTACTTCACACACATCCTTGTATTTCTCACTCCACCTACTAAAGTGTATTTACCATCTATATAAAATCTGTTGACTAATTGATCGTGACTGATAAATATCACTTACTGAGTACAGCGGTTAAGAGCACAGCCTGTTAAGATCAAATGGAACTGGTCTTAATGCTGACAGTGCCACTTGATAACCATGCAGTCTTAGGCTACTGACTTAACTGTTTGCTCATCTGTAAAATAGAGATCAGAATGGTATCTCCCTCATGGAATTGTTTGAGAACTAAATGACATCATACCTAAAAGAAATACCTGGAAGAGTTAGCATTTGGAGAATGTTTGATGACAATGACTCTAATAATAACATCCCAGGCAAGGTGATAAACCCTTTACGTGAACAGCAGTCCCTCCTTATCTGCAGGGCATATGTTCCAAGACCCCCAGTGGATGCCTGAAATCATGGACAGTAAAAAACTCGATTACAGTTTGAGGTGCAGCAGCAAAACTAGCATGAATTTCTTTTCCCTTCACAATTTTAATGACAGAAGATTTATTGTTACAGTAGAACTTAGCAGCTTCAGCCTGCAATTTTTTTCTGTCTTTATTAAGTTGAGAACTTTCACCTTTTCACTTAAAGGAAGCACTTTATCACTTTGGTTTATCCAAATTGCCAGCATCACTACTCTTGTTCTTTAGGTCCATTAGTAAGTAAAACAAAGTAACTTGAATGCAAGCATGGTGATACCTCAAAAGATTAGTCGATCTGATAACTGAGAGGGCTACTAAGTGATCACGGATGTGGAGCATACACGGAGTAGACCTGTTGGACAAAGGGATGATTCTCGTCTTGGGGTGCGAGATTTCATCACACTACTCGGAATCACAAGCAATTTAAAACTTATGAATTGTTTATTTCTAGAATTTTCTATTCAATATTTTCAGACCTCATGGACCACAAGTAACTGAAGCCCTGAAAAGTGAAATCACAGATAATGGGTGGGGAGCCTACTGTATTAATGATTTAACTCATTCCTACAAGGTAAAAAGTATTATTATACCTATTTTATAGATAGAAAAACCAATCATGCCTGTAATCCCAGCACTTTGAGAGGCCAAGGCAGGCAGATCACCTGAGATCAGGAGTTCGAGACCAGCCTGACCAACATAGCAAAACCCCATCTCTACTAAAAATACAAAATTAGCTGGATGTGGTGGTGCATGCCTGTAATCCCAGCTACTCGGGAGGCTGAGGCAGGGAAATTGCTTGAACCCCGGAGGCAGAGGTTGCGGTGAGCCAAGATTGTGCCATTGCACTCAAGCCTGGGTGACAGGGTAAGACTCGGTCTGAAAAAATAAAAATAAGGTAGGTAAGTATGCAGTCCAAGGTCACAGAACAGGATTTAAACCCAGGAAATCTGACTTCAAAGCCTATTTCCTTAACCAGCGCAGGATGCCAAGAAATTTTAAAGAGTAGTATCAGGAACTAATGTCATTGTTCCCTTCAAGGTGCACATTGAACAAATATGTCAAGAGAGTACAAGGGTTTATATGCAAAAGAATCCCACCCACCCCAAACTGGAATTGGGATTCAGATTTGTCTG
Source organism: Homo sapiens (assembly GCF_000001405.40). NCBI lineage: Eukaryota > Metazoa > Chordata > Mammalia > Primates > Hominidae > Homo > Homo sapiens. The sequence goes on from NC_000009.12 coordinate 72,299,142, forward strand.
AGCATGTGAATGACCTAAAAGAAGGTCATGGCCAGAAGTCAGAATCAATGAGGTTTTTGGCTGAACCCGGAGTGGGGAGGAATAACATGCCCTAGTCCTTGATGCTGAGAGATAAGGGGAAGGAACAGAGCATGTCATTTGGTTCTACACTGTCCATACCCTGTAGGGAAAGGGGCTGTAGACAGATGATGAAGCAGCCGTTTTCACGAGGGCCGCGGAGGCACAGAGGTGTAGGCAGCCTGGCTGGAGGCCCGGTGACTGGATGAGACATGTTGTAGAATGAGTGGTGTTCTCCCCACTGGAGGGGCCTGGCTATGCTGCAGTGCAGGCTGCAAAAGGGACATCCTAGGCACTAGGCAGAGCACCCTGGGCTCAGACACTCAGGTGCCCACTGGGGTCTCAGGTACGGCTGGTGGTGGAGACCGATCCCAAAGTGGTTTCCTGGCAGATCAAGAGTGGAAAACCTTGAAAGTCTTGAGCACCTGAAAGATACTTCCTGGGATTGATATTGAGCCCTGAGTTATGCAGATGAATGCAAGATGGTGAAATCTGGGTTACTATCTGTCATGGGCTGAATTGTGTTCACCCCTTCAATTCATATGTTGAAGTTGCCATCCAAGTACTAAGCAGGCCCGACCTTACTTAGCTTCTGGGATCAGACAAGATTGGGCGTGTTCAGGGTGATATGTCCGGAACATAGGTTGAAGTTCCAACTCCCAATACTTCGAAATTTGAAGCTAAGGCTTTAACAAAGGTGATTAAGGTAAAATGAGGCCATTATGGTGGAGCCGTGATCTAATATGACTGGTGTCCTTATAAGAAAAGAGCAAGACACCAGGAATGTGTGCACACATAGAAAAAACACAGTGAGAACACAGCCTGTGCAAGTCAAGGAGAGAAGCCTCAGGAGAAAACAAAACTGCCAAACCCTTGATCTTGGATTTCCAGCCTCCAGAACTGTGAGAAAGTTAATTTTTGTTGTTTCAGTCACCCAGACTGTGATCTTTTGTGATGGCAGCCCTAGCAAACTAATATACTATCCCTAAGAAGATCTGTTTCATGCTCTGAGGCTGGTGAGGCCTGGGCATGAAGGCACGGTGAGGGCAACTTGGGCTAACCCCATTTGTAACTCTCACCATATATATTTAAGCCAGGTAGTATCACTCTTTTGTAGAGTAGGAAATCAAGATTCAGAGAAGATAAATAACTTGTCCAAGGCCACACAGCTTCTAAGTGATAAAGCCTGGTTTCAAATCCAGGTCTTTGTGACTCCCAAATTCATACTCCCAAATTCTACATGAAACTGCCTATTTATTATCTCCCACACTGTCAACAGAGATGTAATTTACCTACATACTAATCACTACATGATAACAGGACTGGCACATCTCATGTTGCTCTGAGAATGCAAAGAAAACTGGTTCTTCATTTACAAATTGACTACAATTGACTGTGAGGTAACATAAAATCCAGCAATATGTATTAGCAAAGGAATATTTGCTTTCTCAAAAACACTTTTTAGGACCCTTAAACAATTGCTGCTTAATGCCATAAGATGATCTTACTAAAATGATGCAGAGTGGAGCTTGAGGAAGGAAATAGATAAATGGGCCCATTCCTGAGTATGTGTGTACTGGGCAAATGGGGAGAAAAAGGACATGGGGCAAGGCAGGAGGGGATGTCGGGATTCCTCCACATTCCTCAAAGTCAGAGACTGTGTCCTTATCACTGTCACATTCCCGAGGGTCTGGGAGTATATGCTCTTTCTAGGTATACTTGCTGATTGACCGACGGAACAAATGAACACGCAAATGAATGAATTCAGTCTTCTAATGAGAAGAAAAAAATTCTTAGGCCTTCAATGACCTAAATTCATCAAAGCATTTTGGACTTTCCTAATTTACTTTCTGTTTCATTTATCAAGTGAGATGGAGTTTCAGGGGAAGTAAAGAATCAACTGAAGAATTAAACCATAGACTGAACCTGGGCTGAAAAGGCATTCTTGCCTGTATATCTGAATAGTATTTGATATGGGTTGGTATTTGTCCCCTCCAAATCTCATGTTGAAATGTAACCCCCAAGGTTGGGAGGTGGAACCTGGTAGGAGGTGTTTGGATCATGGGGGTGGATCCCTCATAAATAGCTGAATGCTATCCCATTGGTGATGAGTGAGTTCCTGCTCTGAGTTCACACAAGAGCTGATTATTGAAGAGTATGGCACTTCTTCTGTCTCTCTCTCTTTCTCCTTTACCCGCTTCTTCCATGTAACATCCTGGCTTCCCTTTCGCCTTCCACCATGAGTGTAAGCTTGCTGAGGTCCTCCCCAGGAACAGATGCCAGCACCATGCTTCCTGTACAGCCTGCAGAACCATGAGCCAATTAAACCTCTTATCATTGTAAATTACCCAATCTCATGTATTCCTTTATAGCAATGCAAGAACAAACTAATACGGTGCTACTGAGAATGTATCTCCTTGTCACCCCCTACAATCATCAGAATAATCAGCTCTACCCTACTACCTCAGATGAATGTGGAATGTGTTTATTTCAGGCAGGTGTTCTTGGCCTGTATATGGTGAACAACAGAGACACCAATGGCTCAGAAGATGGAATACAGCAATAGTAAACATGGGCAGAAGTAATACAAATCTTGTAAGCCAAATGTAATTTCTTCAGGCTGCTGATTTTCAAGAACTGTCTTCAGAGCTTCTCTATTATTTTAATTATGTTAAAAATAATTATCCACTGAAAAAAATGCAACAGAGCCCCTGTCCCTACCTCAACAAAGAAAAGTGTCTAGTAAGGTTATAAACAGGGCAAAACAAAGCAAGATGTTCTTAAAATTTTCAGGACTTTACTTAAGCAAACACTTGAATATCCTTTGCTATAATAAAAATGCAACTATTCATGAGCAATCTATCTAGATTTTGATATAATACTGCAGGAAGAAGGAAAGTGTTTTCTCTCTCTACCTTGGCTTACTATAATTATTACTTATTGTGGTAGCAATAATATCTTGTTCTTCTTAGATGTTATTTATCAGTTAGTATGAAGAATATAATACTTTTTATTTTTTTTTTTTTTTTGAGGCTGAGTCTCGCTCTATCGCCCAGGCTGAAGTGCAGTGGTGTGATCTCGGCTCACTGTAACCTCCACCTCCCGGTTCAAGCAATTCTCCTATCTGAGCCTCCCAAGTAGTTGGGATTACAGGTGCCCGACACCACGCTCGGCTAATTTTTGTATTTTTAGTAGAGATGGGGTTTCACCATATTGGCCAGGCTGGTCTGGAACTCCTGACCTCAAGTGATCCACCCGCCTTGGCCTCCCAAAGGGCTAGGATTACAGGCGTGAGCCATGGTGACTGGCCATGACATGCATTTTTAAACAACTAGATCTCATACAAGAAACATGGAAATAACTGCGATATCCACTTATTTTGCAAATATCGGTGGATAGTGCTGCATTTAAGATGATGGGAATGGGCTTTCTGCATTATTACTCAATTAATTAATTTAACAGCCCCAACCACATTATAAAGGACAGCACCTTGGCCAGGCACGGTGGCTTACACCTGTAATCCCCAGCACTTAGGGAGTTCGAGGTGGGAGGATCACTTGAGGTCAGGAGTTCAAGACCAGCCTAGCCAACATGATGAAACCCCATCTCCACTAAAAAAAGATGAAAATTAGCTGGTTGTGGTGGAGGGCGCCTATAATCCCAGCTACTTGGGAGGCCGAGGCAGAAGAATCACTTGAACCAGGGAGGCAGAGGTTGCAGTGAGCCGAGATCACACCACTGCACTCCAGCCTGGGCAGCAAGAGTGAGACTCCGTCTCAAAATAAATGAATAAATGAAGGACAGCACCTCACAAATGTTTTCTTTGTGTAGGAGAAGCAAGGGAAAATAATATAGAACTATAGAACAGACAGCTGTGAACAGGCCCTCTGCTAATTTGATTTATAATCACCTAAAATACAAGAAACATCAGATGCTCTTAACTGGAAATTTTCTCTTCATTAGAGAAATATGCATTGCCATATTTTTATCTAAGAACCAGTATGGAGTTTGTAGGGAGTTTGGGGACGGCTCTGTGCAAAGTTAATCATAGCCTGCTCAGTTGATTATAGTATGCATTCTGTTTGCTTGTCTCGTTAATAGAGGGAGGCTTCAACTGCGTGACATGAAAAGGCTGGACGTGCCAGAGAATTACGTATTGTGTTATTTGTTAAACTTTAGAACCACAACCAATGCTTAATGCTGAAAACCTCTAATCAGCATTGGATTGTTCAGACTTAAAGCTATGTTTGTAATAGTAACAGTTAGTAGGATGGATTGCAAATTAAATAGAAACATACATTGTAATTGAAAGCTCTTTAAAAATTCCCCAGATGGAGTTAAAAGGTAATCACTTGATGAGTTCATTGGGAAAAAATGGAAAAATATTTATTAAAATTATTCAATTACTAGAACCCTCTCTGTCCCTAAAGACTAATGGGGGATATCAACACAAAGTAACTCATTCAAAGGTATTATAGGCCAGGTATGTGGCTCACGCCTGTAACCACAGCACTTTGGGAAGCCGAGGCGGGTGGATCACCTGAGGTCAGGAGTTCCAGACCAGCCTGACCAACATGTTGAAACCCCATCTCTACTAAAAATACAAAAATTAGCCGAGCGTGGTGTCGGGCACCTGTAATCCCAGCTACTTGGGAGGCTCAGATAGGAGAATTGCTTGAACCGGGAGGTGGAGGTTACATCTAGTGCCATTAGAATTTAATAAATGTTAACTGATGGAAAAACTTCCAAGGTAGGGTGTGGTGATGGGAGTAGAGAAAGCACATGTTTTTCCTATTAAATGGTAAATGTCCAATTTGGGGTTAACTGGTAACTTCAGAGAACTGTGAGTCAGTTGCGTTCACGGAGGCCTAGCATTTTGCACAGGCAACTGCATTAAGCAAAGCAAAGTGCATGCATTTTGTTTTCCTTTGGGTATGTCTGGGCTTTGGGAAGCAGATTTCTTGCATATCAGTAAAGTGAAAGAGTTTGTTAATTTTGAAGTTCCTTATTTCAAGTCATTTTTGAAAAATATTTTACTATTATCTGTTTTTCACTCCCTGTGTAGATTTTTATTTGTTTGCCTTTTTGGTTCCTGTTTAACCAACCCAAAGTTAGAATTGGCTGAGAAAACTCTTACTAGCAAGTAATGTTATTGTCAAATAAATAGACTTAGGGATAATGTCAGCCCTAGTTAGTTGGGGTCACCCTGCCTCTTAAGATCTAGAGGACATAGGCTCAATCCCCCATACCAAGACTTGCGGAAGTCCAACTCAGTCTTCAACAATTCCATGCATTGCCAGAGGGCTTACATTCTCATGATCAGTTCTGGCTTCAAACTCCTATTTTGCTGAATTTGTTGAGTTTAGAGATAATCTTTTCATTGCCTCTTGTGTTCCTTATTCTGTATCACCTCAATACAATGTAGATCCTGGCCAGCCAGCCAGCCTGCCTTCCTCTCCTCCTCATCCTTCTTCTTCTCCCCCATCCTCTCTCTTCTCTTGTCTCTCTCTCTCTCTCACTCTCTCTCTCTCTCTCACATACCCACACCCACACCCACACACACACACACTCACACAGGCATTTTTATATGTAGTCAACTTTGCTGGAGTTTGGGAAAGGTAAAAGTAGTTTGCATAAAATGTAAAAAACATGAATACAATATTCATCATCCTTGTCCTTGTTCTTAAAAAGCAAATCTTTCATTCCTTTTCTGCCACAATTCGGGCTCCAGCCTCCCTCTCTTCCTTTTCCCCTCCTTTCTATGCCCACTCTCTTTTAAGAGAAGAAAAAATTCCTCTCATTCTCTTACAGGGGACAACTTAGCCCTCCCAGAAACTTACTGGGTCATTTTGACTGCAAGTGACAGAAAACAAAGTTCAAGCTGCTTGACACAAGAGGATCTACTGAGCCTTATAACTTAAAAGTCCAAGGGTGGATCTTGTTTCGGGCGTGGGTAGATAAGGGAGCTCGGCCGTGTCAGCAGATCTGATTTCTGTCTCAGTGTGTTGGCTCCACCCTTCCTGATTCTGGCTCCCTGTCTCAGCAAAACTCTCCTTGCTTTACATTGGGCCTACCCCTAGGCCTGTCAGTGTGGGCTGGGAATGCAGCACGCTCATTGGCTTAGGCCTCATTCCCATCATCCAACCCTGGCTCCAGGAGGATGGGATTAGTGTGACTCAAACACGTGGAAAGGAGTGGTTCTTCTGAGGAAAACCAGCTGAAGTATTACAGAAAGAGGAAATGCTGCAGAGACCCAGCCGGAAACAGTGCTGGCCAGCTCACGCCTGACCCACCCTTATTCTAAGCATAGGGTCTGCCTCTGAAGAGCTAAAGACTTCCTGAAATTTAAAAATTAGTGCTTTTATTTGCTTGTCCTGCTAAGACCGTAGGCAAAGGCCATCCTCCTCCCATTGACAGTTTAGAGTGGGTAAGTTCGTTTTTATAGATATTCTAAAATGCCCTGCAGGTACCAGAAACGTTTTATATCTTGATGGTAGGGGTTACACGGGGTATACATACGTTAAACTTTATCAAGCTGTACAGTTAAGGTTTGTGTACTTTACTGTATATGTAGTTTAGTGTACAAGCTGTACCTCAGTTAATTTTATTTTGTAATTTCCTGCAAGATTAGCAGCAAAAGCGCATGTGATGTCGAGTGCAACACTCAAGCCCATGATCTTTGGTTTGCCTTTATACTAAGCCTTATTCAGCCAGAAGCCAAGAAATAGCCCAGCTGAGGTCACCAGGGTAGAAAACCCATATGGGTTTGGGATTAAGTCCTATTTTGTATTAATATGGGTATATTTGCCTGAAGTGTCTTCTGGAACCTATATTTAATTTGTGTCCCTCAGAAACTGAGTATGTTGACACAGGAAACATTTAGAGACTGGGGATAGCCTGAGAGTCAATGTCTATAACTAAGGCTTCTAAACATTCCCCTAAATTATTCAGGTGAACATTACAGTAGTCCCCTCTTATCTGGGGGGATACCTTCCAAGCCCCCCATTAGATGCCTGAAATCAGATTTTACCAAACCCTGTACATACTATGTTTTTCCTATACATACATAACAATTATAAAGTTTAATTTATAAATTAGGCACAGTAAGAGATTAACAACAATAATAATAAAATTAAAAAATTACAACAATATACTGTAATAAAAGTTATGTAAGGCTGGCAAGGTGGCTTATGGCTGTGAACTTTGGGAGGCAGAGGCGGGAGGATCCCTTGAGCCCAGGATCCTGGGCAATTTGGCAAAACCCCATCTCTACAAAAAATAAAACACTTAGCCAGGCATAGTGGCGCATGCCTGTGGTCCTAGTACTCAGAAGCTGAGGCAGACGGATTGCTTAAACCCAGGGGGTTGAGGCTGCAGTGAGCTATGTTTGTGCCATTGCACTCCACTGTGGACAACAGAGCAAGACCCTGTCTCAAAAAAAAAATTATATAAATGTCTCTCTCTTTCTTTCAAAATACCTTATTGTACTGTACTCACATATTTTCAGACCACAGTTGACCTCAGTTAACGGGGAACTATTGTATTCAAGGCAGAAAGATAGTTTGCCTTCTACCATAAAATGGTGCTATTCAAAGTCATCATTCCTCAGTGAAACATCACATTTGACAGTCCTTTAGAGCAGATTGTAATGGATTTAGAATTGGAAGATCCACCTTTAAGTCCTGGCCTTGTCCTTTACTGGCTGTGTGGCTTTGGGCAAGTCACTTAATTGTGGCTGAGCTTCAGTTCCACATCTATAAAATGATGATATGGGAGGTTCCTGTCTTTCAGGGCTGATCTGCAATACAGAGATGACACATGCAAAGATCTTTTGTGAAATGGTAAAGTCTCATTATTATCCTGATCCCCCCTGCCCATTGCCTTTGAGAGCATTAATCACGTTTTTTTTAGTGCCTCTTTTGCATTTATCTTCTCAGGCAATCTCTTGAATGAATTTTTCACTCCACAATTACCTCTAAGGTTAAGTGATTCCCAGGAGATTGTCCAGCAGCATCTTGCAGGTTGCCAATACATCAGAAGAGCTTGCGTGAATTTCATCTTTCATCATTTTTTAGATGCTATCTTCATGTAACTTAATCTTGTCTCTCTGAATCTTTTGCAGTTCAATCTCCTAATTCACCCTGCTTACAATATTCCCCTTTGGAATCTCATTATCAGCTGTTGCCAACTAAGCAAAGGCAGAGTTTCTTGATGTCTCTTCATCTGTTTCCATGTTTGTATTATTCTTTGATTATACAAGTAAAATAGATAAGGAATAATTGTTGATGTTACAGAGAAATGGCAATTTTCTTTTTGAAAGGTGAGATTATTCTTACATACAGAAAAGCTTACCATTCTTCATGAAGTTACTGGAGAAAATGATAAAAGGGGAAATTTAATGGGAATTGTTCAAATATTTGAGAAATTAACTTTCACCTGGTAGACGCTCTCTACATAAACCTAAAAATAATTTTAGGTTTGGTTAAACCAAGTAGTTGGGATTACAGGCATGTGCCATGATGCCTGACTAATTTTTGTATTTTTAGTAGAGACGGGGTTTCCCCATGTTGGCCAGGCTGGTCTCAAGTGATCCATCTGCCTTGGCCTCCCAAAGTGCAGGAATTACAATTAATGGGAATTGTTCAAATATTTGAGAAATTAACTTTAACCTGGTAGATGCTCTCTACATAAACCTAACCTAAAATTATTTTTAGGTTTATGTAGAGAGCGTCTACCAGGTGAAAGTCACTATTTTAGGCACATTACTTGCATTTCTTATCTAATTTAATCTCCATCACCATTCCATTAGTTAACTATTGTTTTCTTTCTTCTACACATGTTGAATCAGGTTAGCTTGTACAATGTCACAGTAGGTAAAATGGAAGAGCCATACTGGAATAAAAATGCATTTAAATCCAGGCCGGGCATGATGTAATTCCTGCACTTTGGGAGGCCAAGGCAGATGGGTCACTTGAGACTAGCCTGGCCAACATGGGAAACCCCGTCTCTATTAAAAATACAAAAATTAGCTGGGCATCATGGCGCATGCCTGCAATCCCAGCTACTTGGGAAGCTGAGGCAGGAGAATCGCATGAACCCAGGAGAGGGAGGCTGCAGTGAGCCGAGATTGCGCCACTGCACTCCAGCCTGAGGGACAGGGCGAGACTCCATCCAAAAAAAAAAAAAACAAAATCCAAAGCCTGGGATTTTTCCATGAGATATTCTTCCATGGCACTTTATTTTATAGAGTTTGGGTGAATCTCCAACCAGCCAGAGATAAAAGTTTTAAGCCTTGGTAGTTGAATATTGACTGGTTAGCCACATAGCTTGTGCTCAGGATTCATATACTTCCCCTTAACTAGAATGTAAATTAGGAAGAAAGGGGGGTTGAACACATGGCTCAGGCCTGTAATCCCAGTGCTTTGGGAGGTTGAGGTAGGAGGATTGCTTGAGTTTAGGAGTTTGAGATCATCCTGGGTGACATAGGTAGACTCTGTCTCTACAAAAAAAAAAAAAAAAATTAGCCAGGTGTGGTGGTGCGCACCTGTGATCTCAGCTACTCGAGCCCAGGAGGTGAAGGCTGTGATGAACCTTGATAGTGCCACTGCACTTCAACCTGGGCAACGGAGCAAGACACTGTCTCTAGTAAATAAATAAAAATAAAATAATTAGGAAGAAAGGAATGAAGGAGGAAATGAAGGAAGGAGCAAAGGAAGGAAATGGTCACTTTTCTGTTTCCCTGGAGGATTGCTGCAGACTAACAATGCCAGTCTTACATTGCTTCAGTAAGAAGTTCCATTGTTTTAGGAAGATATCCTAGAAAATAGGTTACTCAATATAGGGATGGACCAAGGAATTAATAGAATTAATCTTAATGAAAATTATGAAGTTAACAGTCTACCGAAGACAAACAATTGCCACCTTTTAGGACAATAGGGATCTGGACTCAAAAATCTTTTGGGAAACTATAATTTTATAATGTAATTACTTATTTTATATTAATTTAAATGTAGGCAAGTTAGAAACTATGAGAAAGCCATCTAAGTATTCCTCACGGGGGCACATCTGTTTTATGAGTCTGCAAACTCAAATGACTAAAATGGCACAGTTATCAGCATGTTAACATGACTAAAATTATTGACATGTTGAGAGACATACAGGTGCGGATGTATTAAATTAGCATATTGCTAGAAAAAATATATGATTAAAAGTGGATAACAGGGCTTTCCATCTTTATTCCTTTGGGAAAGCAGACATTGTTATGCACTCTCAAGTCAAAGATGACCCTGATCCTAGACTCAGAGGCACCTGGGGAATTTGCTGGATCAGGCAGTGACTCAGATTTACCGTCCAAACTCATCCCTGGTCTGAGCAGCTCCCTGCATCAGCTTTCATGACCCTGCTGTTGAATCATGGCAGCCAACAAACAATCACCACATTTGTGGGACCTTTTTTTAGCCCCTCTCACCTGTGGCTCCCAAGATCCATCACCTAAGATTTACAAAATAGAACACACAAAGATCAAAGGTCAGCTTTGAAATATAAAAGCATTGTGTCCAAATGTTAAAAATAAGGTCAGCCATAAATCATGTTGGAAAGAAGTAGAATGTCATAAACACAAGAGATTACAAATCATAATTCACAGCTTGGAGCTCCACAACCCTAACAGAATTAACTTAAAAGCAACAACAACAGTAAAGGTGATGACCACAAATAACACAGGTCGGAGATCTGAGGTTTGGCAGGAAAAAGCCAGATGTGTTCAGAGTTCAGTGGAAAAGGTCACAAGCCTAGACAGACTAACTAGGTATCATAAGAATGTCTGTTTACCTTTTTTATCTTGGTAAACACTATATTTATAATTATTAGACTTTTTGCTTGTTTGGTTACTGAAGGTCATGCTAGGACGCGAGAGAATGACTTATTTGGAGGACCCTAAAAATAAAATTCTACATGCTTAATTCAAGACATTCCTACTATGTTAGAGATAAAATACTGGAAATCCTAAAGAAGAGAAGAATAAACTTGCATCAGGTTCTTCTGCTGTCACTTCGCAATGCTGAACTATCACCCAGAATTCTTTCAATATATGATAGCACATCACTGACACCAAAAAGAATAATGATTTGGCCGGGTGTGGTGGCTCACACCTGTAATCCCAGCAATCTGGGAGGCCGAGGCAGGCGGATCATGAGGTCAGGAGATCGAGACCATCCTGGCTAACATGGTGAAACCCCATCTCTACTAAGAAATAAAAAAAAAAAATTAGCTGGGCATGGTGGCGGGCACCTGTAGTCCCAGCTACTTGGGAGGCTGAGGCAGGAGAGTGCCATGAACCTGGAAGGCAGAGCTTACAGTGAGCCAAGATCATGCCACTGCACTCCAGCCTGGGCGACAGAGCAAGACTGTGTCTCAAAAAAAAAAAAAAAAAAAAAGAAGAAGAACAATGATTTAACTATAAGTTAGATATAAGTTATAACCACAAATCTAAATATCAGCTTTCTTGATCAACTGCACAGCTTATAATGATTTAAAACCTACTAATAACTATGTATCTTATTTTCTTGCAATAACACATAATTATAATAGGTTAATATTTATGAATCACACTGAGGTTCTCGGATGAAGTGATAAGCAAGTAAGTAAATATTACATAAATAAATAATTACCTGAGCAGTTAATGCCTCTGAAGTTGTGGATTGTAAATTTGAGAATACTAATTGCCTTATGAAATTTTGGCTCACAGATAACATGGGAAGTAGTGCTGTGTAATATGTAATCAACTCCCCTCTAATTTGACTTTGAAACCAAGTGAAAGAGAAAGAAGAAAATTAGGTTAATGTCTACCTATTTCTTTTTTACATATGATTGGGGACATTCTGAACACACAATGTCAATTCAATATGATTGATTTAAGAACATGGAAAATTAAATGGTTTGATCTTTTTCCATTACATGTTCATATGCAGCCAATACATGAAAATAACTTTTAAATAGATTTAAAGTGTCTGATGGCCATTATAGGAAGAAAGAAATATATGTGGAAGTAATTTGTTCTTTGAATCATATTCAGATAAGATGGAAATATTAAATACTGCAAATATCCAAAAATGGTATAGATATAACCTGATTTTTGCAATTTTCTTTTTTTTAGGTATAACATTTTAATCCTTTATAAATAGGAAGAAAAATGGAAAAACAATGAGGAGTAGGAAATCACATTTCTAGTTGTCTTTTTAAACCATAGCTTTGAAAGCTCAGAGAAGGCAAGAATCCAGTTTGCTATACAATAGAAAGCATTGAAGAATGTCATAGGCTTACTTTTTCCCCATTCAACATTTCTCTGGATATTCACCCATAACACTTAGGAGCAGATAAAAAAATTCTTTTCTAACTTGACTTCTTTAAAATGACTTATGGTAAAATATCTTTTTTTTTAAGATGGAGTTTCTCTCATGTTGCCCAGGCTGGAGTGCAGTGGCGCCATCTCGGCTCACTGCAACCTCCGCCTCCCAGGTTCAAGTGATTCTCCTGCCTCAGCCTCTGAAGTAGCTGGGATTACAGGCATGCACCGCCACACCAGGCTAATTTTGTATTTTTAGTAGAAACGGGGTTTCACCATGTTGGTCAGGCTGGTCTCAAACTCCTGACCTCAAGTGATCTGCCTACCTTGGCCTCCCAAAGTGCTGGGACTACAGGCATAGGCCACCGTGCCCCACCAGTAAAATATCTTAAATTACACTAGAATCCAAAGGTTTATCCTTGTAGTCCCTCACAAAAACAACTCTGAATTTTATTAAGAGCCAAATGAGCCTTGAATCTGAGTCCAGATCAAACACTAAGAAATTTGGTTCATTTGAGTGGCTTCTTTATATACACTTGCATTTTCTAAATTTTCTATAATGGACATATACCACTTTTACAATCAGAGGAAAAAACAAAACAAAACAAAACAAACATTACATAAAGAAGTTTAGTTCAGTTGTCAAACTTGCTCAGGGCCAATAGAAATGAGAGGATAAGCCAGGCGCAGTGGCTCATGCCTGTAATCCCAGCACTTTGGGAGGCTGAGTGGATGGATCACTTGAGGCCAGGAGTTCAAGACCAGCCTGGCCAACATGGTGAAACCCCATCTCTACTAAAATACAAAAATAAATAAATAAATAAGCCAGGTGCGGTAGTGCATGCCTGTAATCCCAGCTACTCGGGAGGCTGAGGCACAATAATCCCGTGAACCCAGGAGGCAGAGGTTGCTGTAAGCTGAGATCGTACCACTGTACTCCAGACTGGGCGACTGAGTGAGACTCTGTCTCAAAAAAAGAAATGAGAGAATAGACTAGAGTTCATGGCGTAAGTTTTTGCAGAAGCACCACTGCGTGAGTCTGTACATGGCTTTAAGAACTGTTTCTTATGTTTTATAGCAAACATTGTGGATGATGTAAATGAACACTATTACTTCTTCCCCTTTTATTTGTGAGCACTGAAGGATGTGTGCACTTACACGGTTTGCTTCTGCATGGTGGTTAAAAAATAAATTATCCATCAGTTTCACAAACAATGTGAAAGTTGCTTTACATAAATCTGAAGCTGAGTTTGCTCTGGACAGTGTTAAGCCATCTAAGAATTCTGCTAGGAGCAGATGTTCAGTCCTATTAAAGTGAGCAACGACGAACTTCTCAACTGAACATTATTATTTTAGGGAGTTTAAAGAGAAGCAACACAGGCTCATACGAATTAGAAGAGACTAAATCCACATAATGCAGTAGACTCTCAGTTTAGTACCAGCTGTCATTCGTACAAGCTCTGTGACTCTGAAACATTCACTTAACCTCTCTGAGACTCTGTTTTCATTTATAAAATGATGATGATAATAATAGTACCTATTCAGAAGATTACTGAAAAGACTAAACTAGATAAATTGCTTAGGACATTTATTAGCACATGCAAAGTGCTCCAACAAATATTTACTCTTATAAAAACTTGTACTGTCTTCTCTGCTGACTTGACGGTGGTGTTACATGAAGAGCAGAGTCTGAATGGTTTTATTATTATTATTATTAATTAATTAATTTATTTATTTATTTATTTTTGAGGCAGAGTTTCACTCTTGATGCCCAGGCTGGAGTGCAATGGTGTGATCTCAGCTCACTGCAAACTCTGCCTGCCTCCCAGGTTCAAGTGATTCTCCTGCCTCAGCCTCCCAAGTAGCTGGGATTACAGGCATGTGCCACTACGCCTGGCTAATTTTGTACTTTTAGTAGAGACGGTGTTTTACTATGTTGGTCAGGCTGGTCTCAAATTCCTGACCTCAGGTGATCCACCCGCCTCGGCCTCCCAGAGGGCTGGGATTATAGGCATGAGCCACTGTGCCCAGCCTGAATGTTTTAAAATATCTTTACTACTTGGTATAGTAGGTTGGACATATCACGTGCCCTTACTTCTGTGCTAAGAGTATTATTTAGGATTAGAACCTTCAACCAGGTCCTAAAATGATGTCACCTAATTAGTTACTCATCCTAGGTGTGGCAAGTAGAACTTCCTAGTACAAATTGGAGAGAGCCTATGTTTGTGTTTAAGACACATGTCTTAGTCTGTTCAGGCTGTTAGAACAAAATACACACACTGGGTAGCTTATCAACAACAGAAACTTATTTCTCACAGTAATAGGGGCTGGAAAGGCCAAACTCAAGGAGCTGGCAGATTCAGTGTCTGGTGAGGGCCCTGCTTGCTGGCTCATAGATGGCACTTCTTGCTGTGTCCCCATAGGGTGGAAGAGGCAAGGCAGCTCTTGGGAGCCTTCTTCATAAGGACACTAACCCCATTCATGAAGGATCTGCCTTCGTGATTTAATCACTCCCCAAAGGGCCCACCTTCAGTTACCATCACATGGGTGATTAGGTTTCAACCTACGAATTCTGGGGAACACAAACATTCAGACCATAGCAGTGCTAGATGGTGTTTCTAAAGGAAAAATAGTGCTCCACTGGGGCATAAAAATCTGTTTATAGGCTAGGCATGGTGGCCTGTAATCCCAGCACTTTGGGAGGCCAAGGCGGCAGATCATGAGGTCAGGAGTTCGAGACCAGCCTGGCCAGCATGGTGAAACCCCGTCTCTACTAAAAATACAAAAAGTTAGCTGGGCACGGTGGCGCCCGCCTGTAGTCCCAGCTACTCAGGAGGCTGAGGCAGGGAAATCGCTTGAACCCAGGAAGTGGACATTCCAGCCTGGGCGACAGAGCGAGACTCCGTTTAAAAAACAAAACAAAACAAAACAAAACTGTTTATAATATTAATAATAAATAGTTCCTGAATGTTCACTTGGAGTCAAAGAGCTGCTAACAACTAGGCCCACATTCTCATTGAATTCTCACTACCACCTTATGCAGCAGGTACTGTTTTAATCCTGAGAGAAAACTGGGGCTCAAAGAGGTTAAGTAACTTGCTCACTGTCACATAACAAGTAGATGGTGCACTGGACACTTCAGTGCCTACTCACTCCTTTACAAGGGTTCTGAGCCATGATTTTTGTGTGGTAAAGATGAGAGGCAGACAGCTGTTTATAGAATTGGAAAATACTTCTATCTTTCCTTGATACCTGCACCCATCCCCCTTTCATCCACATTGCAGTTTTTGCAAAGTCAGTCAGTTAGGAGGGAAACATCCATTTAATTGAGGGGAAGGAGAGTATTAGCCTCATCCTTTTTTCTAAGTGGTGGGGGAAAAACCTCCACTGAGAGAGAGAAGAACAAGAAGAAAAAATTTAACCAGCAATTTTGTTCACTTGAAGGCAGAAACAACCACGGTTACCCTAGAAGTAAATCCAGAGCTGCGGGACGCTGGAGGACAAAACCAACCTTCCAGGGAAGCCGAGGAGAAGTCATGCCTTCAAAAGGTGTCTGCCTTTTTTTTTTTCACCCTCTCTCCTCTAACCTGTTTGTAACTGGGAAATGAAATAGTTTTGGTTTGCAAGCTGTCGCCAGGGAGTGGAGCAAGACTTTGTAATAAACAAGAGCAACTGCCAGAGCCCCCAGCGAGCCTCTCCAAGGCCAGACTGCCAAGAAAAGCTGGCAGTGTGACAGCAAGTTTCATTCAGCGTGGCCGGTGGTCACTGAGGAGCGACCATGAGGAGGATGGCCAGAGGGGGTACCCCCCAGTCTCACCTTGGGGAAGAGTACAGCCTCCTATTAGTGAGCTGTGTGGGCTATTAAAATTCCCCCAGGCTGAGTGTTTCAGGAAACACCATAAATAAATAAAATTGTCTGTGTGTGTGTGTGTGTGTGTGTGTGTGTGTGCAATTCTCTAGAGAAAAGATCTAGAGCTTTCACCAAATTCCCAAGAGCCCACGACCCTTACAGCAGAAGCCAAACTCAGAATTAGCACACACTTAGGTCTTCTGCAAAAGAACACCAAGCTCACCACTTTTATTTCTGGAAACTGAGCCTAGGCGGTCAGCCCACTCTCCTCTTACAAAACCCCTAGGCACTTAAGAGACCACAGGGGAAAAAAAAGAACTCAACCCCTTTTCTAATCTAAACCTAATCCTTCTTAAACCTTGCCTGACCCGGGTTACCAGGAATCCTGCCAGTGCCAAATGATACGATGTTTATTCAGCTCATGTCTTAGCCCGCTGCTCCTGAGCCACAGAAATCAAAGGGGAACATTCAGCCACCACCTGCTGATCAACGTGTAAACAAAGGGGTAGTCAAGACTGAGGAGGACCAGCTTTTGAGGACAATCACTGCGTGTTGCTCCAGCTCACATAAAGGCACGGCTCCTAAGGAACAGGCTTGAGACATGCACAAGTGCTGTGCCAAGTAGTTCAGGAGCCTGGTACAGCTGTTCCCAATATGCCTTTACCTCCTGTTGCCTCTTCTAACCACAATAGGGTGTGGATGACATAGTGCCCTTGCTCCCAGAAGAAACTGGGAAAGTTACAACTCATTAACCAGTTAGGTTAGTGTTGGAACAGTGCTTGCCACATTATTCTGAGAAGCCTCAGATCCGTGAGGGTGATGTGGAGCTCAGAACACATGGCCTGACCCCATGTGGGGTTTTACTGGAGCAGTTGTTTTGATCTGTCTTACATCTGGGGGATCTGCAAGAGATTTCGAGGGATGAGGGCCAGTTCCCTTGCTAAAACTTAGAATGTTTAAAAAAAAAAAAAACTCCCTTGTACTATTGAGCTTGGTACATCTTTCCTTGAAAGGAGCTAAAGTGAAATAACTTATAGATCCTGACATGCAATGAGCTGGGTTTTTTTCCAATTTTCTTTGCTTCTTGTCTCTGAACATATGCCTCCTTATAATTCTTCCTATATGTGTTTGATAGCATTGTTCTCTGAGTAATAGTAACCATGAGAAGAATATCTAACATTTATTCCATGCCTATTGTGTGCCATGCCACATGCTGGGCACTTTATGTGCCCTTATCCTACCGGACCCCGCTGCAGCCCTGTGAGTGGATGGTCCCTCTCTTCAGCTCTCAGGTGACACAAAAACAACAACAACAACATCCGCAACAGCAACTTCTTCAGTTCATTTAGTTGGTAAATTCTGGACTCAGAACTGCAAGCTAGGCAGTAACTCAGAGGTTGAGTTGACTTGATGTATAATGTCACCTTTAATGTCTACTGAACAAGAGATGTGTGTGTATAAGTAAGACGTAAATTATTTTTTCATCTTGAAAAGGAATGTGCTCAATAGAGAAAATCTGAAGTTAAAAAATAAAAAAACAGGAAGAAAAAATAACCCATGATTTCCCAACTCCAAGACCACCAACTGTTAATGTGTTAATGTTTGCGCATATTTCCTCCCAGTCTATTTTTATGCATAATTTTTAGCCCTGCATATTTAAAACAGCTGTGATTGTGCATATTTTATTTTGCTTTTGTCACTTTGTATGACAATATAATGTATGATGATGTTTTTCATAATATTTCAAATTCTCTATAATTTTTACTGGCTAAATATTAGTCTTTTAAGTGGAGTAATTCAGGTTGACAAATATTTATTGAGCACCTAATATGTCCCAGACCCTGTGCTCCACCCTGGGAACACACAGATATATAAAATTCTGTTCTTTTCTTCAAGAACTAGCAGTCTAGTGTAGAGCAAAGAAGGTAACTAGATAACTATGTAGTTATAATAATAGCTACCACTGGCTGGGCATGGTGGCTTATACCTGTAATCCCTGCACTTTGGGAGGCTGAGGCAGGCAGATCAGCTGAAGTCAGGAGTTTGAGACCAGCCTGGCCAACATGGTAAAACCACGTCTCTACTAAAATACAAAAACTAGCCAGGTATGGTGGCGGGTGCCTGTAATCCCAGCTACTCGGGAGGCTGAGGCAGGAGAATCACTTGAACCCAGGAGGTGGAGGTTGCAGTGAGCTGAGATCGTGCTGCTGCCTTCCAGTCTGGGTGACAGAGCCAGACTCCATCAATAATAATAATAATAATAATAATAATAATAATAATAATGATAGCTACCACTACTGAACATATATGATGTCCCAGGCACCATTCACAGGTATGAACTCACTGAATCCTCAGAGCAACCTTATGAGTAGGGATGATCACTCTGTTCTTTTTAATAGCTGTTGAGACTGAGGCATGCCTTGCTAATAAGATGGCATTGCCCAGTGTGGCAGGTTGAGTAATGGCTCCCTGAAGATGTCCACCTTCTAATCCCCAGTACCTGCAAATATTACCTTGCATCGAAATTACCTGTAAAGTAAAATGGTAAAAATGGAATATAATCTTACATGGAAAAAAGGGATTTTGCAGGTATGATTAAGTTAAGGATTTTTTTTTTTTTTTTAAGATGGAGTCTCACTCTGTTGCCCAAGCTGAAGTGCAGTGGCGCAATCTCAGCTCACTGCAAACTCCACCTCCCAGGTTCAAGAGATTCTCCTGCCTAAGCCCCTGAGTATCTGGGACTGCAGGCACGTGCCACCATGCCCGGCTAATTTTTATATTTTTAGTAGAGATGGGGTTTCACTATGTTGGCCAGGCTGTTCTTGAAATCCTGACCTCAGGTGATCTACCTGGCCTCCCAAAGTCCTGGGATTACAGGTGTGAGTCACCATGCTCGACCTAAGTTAAGGATCCTGATACAGGAAGATTATCCTGGATGATCTGGGTGGGTCCAATGTTGAGGAGAGTCCTAATAAGAGGTAAATAGTAATGTCAGAGTCACAGAAGGAATGTGATGATGAAAACAGAGAAAGAGAGAGAGAGAAAGGGCAGAAGAGAAGGAAAGAGAGGCTTGATGCCACACTGCTGACCTTGAAGACTGAGGAAAGGACCGTGAGCCAAGGAATGCAGGCAGCCTCCAGAAGCTGGAAATGAATTCTCCTCTGGAGCCTCCGGAAAGAACAGAGTCCTGTTAACGCCTTGATTTTACAACTTTTGACTTCTAAATTTATGTTGTTTTAAGCTATTAAGTTTGTGGTAATTTGTTATAACAGCAACAGGAAATAAATACACGAGGATTAAAACCCAGGCAGTTTGACCCTAGTGCCATCGTTCTTAACTATGGTCATATATGAGGTTATTAGCTATGTCCAGGGTGCTATGTGAATCTAGAGAAATAACACTTAACAGAGAGATAGGGAAGGACAGATAGTGTCAGCAAGATGACAATCTAGCTCTCTTAAGTGGGGCAGGAGTTACGAAGGCAGTGAAGGAAGGAAGGATAAGGAATTGAATTAACATAGAAAGATATGCATGATATCATAGGTGAAACTATTCTACTATTATGTATTTGTTTCCCCATTTCTGTTTTTAGAAATATATACATGAGTTTATTTATATTTATAATCATATGTGCAGATAATATGCTCTTATAGTGCTCTTTGGGGAGTGGGTTTCTGGGTAAATGTAAGAGAAGGCTTTACTTTTTGCTTATAAATTTTCACATTATTTGAAAATTTCATCACACATGTATTATGTTGGGCTTACTTTTTTGTAAAATAAAGTATGTGTAATATATCATTTTTCAAAATTGGAGAAAATGATATGCATTGCTGGGATGCAAATTTTTATGTATAATATAAAGCTTTGTGCTTCTTTAGTATAATTTCCTTAGTATGAAAATTTCCTAGAGGTAGAAGTGCTGAACCAATGGATACAATATTTGGAAAACATATTTAAAAAAAAAAGATATGGTAGACAATGGATAAGCCAAAATGAATGTATGAAGGGAAAGAAGATATTGAAGTTGGTAAAGAGAAGACATGATAGTTGCCTACTTGTATGTAAAGGCAGAAACATGGTATATTAGTTTGCTAGGACTGACATAACAAAGTACCACAAACTGGGTGCCTTATACAACAGAAATTTATTTTCTTACAATTCTAGAGGGTAGAAGTTCAAGATCAAGGTGTCACCAGAATCAATTTCTTCTGAGGCCTCTCTGCTGGGCTTGTAGATGGCCGCCTTCTCCCTGCGTCTTCACATGGTGTCTTTCTGTAGATGTCTGTGTCCTAATTTCCCCTTCACACAAGGATACCAGGCATATTGGATTAGGGCCCACCCCAATGATTTCATTTTAACTTAGTGACCTAATTAAAGACTCTGTCTCCAAATACAGTCACATTATGAAGTTTTCGGGTTAGGATTTTAACCTGTGAATTTTGGGGGAACACAATTCGCCTTATAACACATGGAAAAGAAAGCTCCAGAATCAATACTAGTGATGAGAATTTATCTTCACTATGAGAAGTAAACTTTGTTATATATATGTATCTATATGTATATATATACAAACACATATATATACATATATACACACACACACACACATATATATATACATATATATATATATATTTTTTTTGAGATGGAGTCTTGCTCTTGTTGCCCAGGCTGGAGTGCAATGGCACAATCTCTGCTCACTGCAACCTCTGCCTCCCGGGTTCAAGCAATTCTCTTACCTCACCCTCCCAAGTAGCTGGGACTACAGGTGCCCACCACCACACCTGGCTAATTTTTTGTATTTTTAGTAGAGACCGGGTTTCACCACGTTGGCCAGGCTGGTCTCAAACTCCTGACCTCTGGTGATCTGCCTGCCTCAGCCTCCCAAATTGCTGGGATTTTGAGACTCTGTCTAAAAAAAAAAAAAGGATGGACTGGACATGGGAGGGAAGTCCCATAAGATGATCATAATGGAGCTGAAAAATTTCTATCGCCTAGTGACATTGTAGCCATTTTGACATCAAAGTGCAATGTACTACTCAAGTGTTTGTAGTGATGCTGTTGTAAACAAATCTACCACACTGCTAGTCATATAAAAATATAGCACAATTGGCCAGGTGCAGTGGCTCACGCCTGTAATCCCAGCACTTTGGGAGGCCGAGGCAGGTGGATCACAAGGTCAAGAGATCAAGACCATCCTGGCCAACATGGTGAAACCCCATCTCTATAAAAATACAAAAATTAGCTGGATGTGGTGGCAGGCGCCTGTAGTCCCAGCTACTTGGGAGGCTGAGGCAGGAGAATTGCTTGAACCTGGAAGGTGGAAGTTGTAGTGAGCCGAGATTGTGCCACTGCACTCCAGCCTGGCAACAGAGGGAGACTCTGTCTCTCTGTCTCTCTCTATATATATATACATATATAGCACAATTATGTACAGTACATAATACTTGATAATGTAATAAACAACTTGCTGGTGTATGTATTTAATATACTATATATATATATACACACACATATTTTTTTTTTTTTTTGAGACGGAGTCTTGTTTTGTCACCAGGCTGGAGTGCAGTGGTGCTATCTCGGCTCATTGCAACCTCCGCCTCCTGGGTTCAAGCGATTCTCCTGCCTCAGCCTCCCAAATAGTTGGGATTACAGGCGCATGCCACCACGCCCAGCTAATTTTTGTATTTTTAGTAGAGACGGGGTTTCACCATGTTGGCTAGGATGGTCTCCATCTCTTGACCTCATGATCCACCTGCCTCAGGCTCCCAAAGTGCTGGGATTACAGGCGTGAGCCACCGTGCCTGGTCCTATACCATACTTTTAATCATTATTTTATAGTGGACTCCTTGTACTTATTTTAAAAAGTTAACTGTAAACAGCCTCAGGCAGGTCCTTCAGAATGTACCCAGAAGAAGGCATTGTTATCATAGGACGTGACAGCTCCATGTATGTTATTGCCATGAAGACCTTCCAAGTGGGACAAGATGTGGAGGTGGAAAGCAGTGATATTGATGATCCTGACACTGTGCAGGCCTAGGCTAAGGTGTGTGTTTGTGTCTTAGTTTTTAACAAAAAATTTAAAAAGTAAAAAACTAGTAAAAATTCTAAAAATGAAAAAAAGCTTATAGAATAAAAATATAAGGAAATAAAATATTTTTGAGCAGCTGTACAATGTGTTTTAAGCTAAATTTATTATAAAAGTCAAAAATTTTTAAAAATTAAATAGTTTAAAAAAGTAAAAATGTTACAGTAAGCTAAAGTTAGTTTACCTTTGAAGAAGGAATAGGTTTGTAGCATAGGAGCAATAGGCCACACCATATAAGCTAGGTGTGTAGTAAGCTATACCATCTAGGTTTGTGTGAGTACATTCCCTGAGGCTAACACAAGGACAAAACCACCTAACAACACATTTGTCAGAAGGTATCCCCAGTGCTAAGTGACACATGACTATAGTTTGCCAACCCTGATCTAAAGCTGTAATTCAAGAAAACTTAAAATATTTACTAGTTTGAACATAAGTATGTAGTGAGCCCAGACTGATTAATTATGAGTTATACTCATTTCTTTGTTGATTTGTTTAATAAATGCTGTATTTCTGAGTGATAATCATATAGTCTGGTCCCTTTCCAATAACTTTATACCTATATTCTATTATGAAGATGTAAACTCTGAACTTTAGTTTAATAATAGCATATTTCTGGACCAGGAATTTAGGTTTTTAAAAAGTTTTTGCTACAAATACTTAGGTTAAATCTGTCACAGAAATGATGTATCACATGCTATAACTGCAAAATAAGGGACAGAGAGATGAAGGTTAAGATGATGCATCCCAGAGAGTTGGTCTTTCATTCTGCTATTCATTCAAACAATATTCACATGTCAACATGTGCAAGGCACTAGAATGCATTCCTTGGAGAATTCCAGGATGACATAGACATAAACATGATCTTCAAAGTCTCCAGTGCTTTCTTTGGATAAAATGAGAATAGAATTGCCCTGGCCTTGGGAATTAGTTTAGGGAGAGCACATGACCAAGCTAGAACAAGTGGACTCTTGCCATGAAATTTTAGCCTCAAGTGGAATACCTTCGCTGTAAGAGCATGCAACTATGTCATTGAGGAGACAGTTCATTCGTTCCTGCCCTGTGCTACATAGAGTTGCCCTTTTTCCAAGGATGTTTGGTTTGCAAAGGGGATTAAAAAGAAATCATGCTGGAAAAGTAAGTTGGAGTGAGCTGTGGTGAGCCTTCAAAACCAGAGGGAGGAGCATGAACTATATTCTATAGATAAAAAAGCTTCTTCTAATACCATAATTGATTTTAGTGGGTTAGCAATAAACCAGGTGAATACAACATCCATGTCCATGATGTGCTAAAGACCAGCCTGAGTTATGCTAGGTAGAAGGCTGATTACAGATTGGAAGTATTTGGCATTCCGTGCAGATTTTCCTGTTCTGCTGCTCTACAGCAGGGTTTCTCAACCTCAGCACTGTAAGAATTAAAGAAATAGGAAAGAAACATGAAGGGTGGCTCGACAGTCAACAAGGACAGGTTTATTTTAGAAAACAAACCTGAGAGGGGCTTCTGGCCGAGTTAGGTCAGAGCCCACTCTCTTACACACTAAGAGGTTTTAAGGATTCAGGGTGGAAGAGTTTATCAGAGGCTTGGACTGCTTCTGTGTCTCTTTGTTGTGCTTATCTGGGAGGGAGAGTTGTGTGTCTGTTCCCATACATCTTTCTGCAGCTGCAGGCATACCCCCCAATTCTGCTTTTAGCTTCCCTAACTTAGTGCACCTGAAGGGAAAGGAATGTGCTTATTGGGGCCCACTGTTTTACCGGGGCCCATTGTATGAGGGCGAAGTTTGGCAGTTACCCAAGAGCCTTTCCCCCCACCTCTGTTTATCTGTGTTTTACTGTCTGCTCTTTCTGGCTGCTTGTAGTTAGAAGAGAAGTGATTTCCTTGAAATGCATGACACTAGAAAGAGAGCTGGAACTTAAAGTGGTGGTGTTTGTCCAACATGACGGTGCTCCTGCTCTGTCAAGCACTGGTGACATTTGGGCTGGATAATTATTTGTTGTGGGAGACTGCTCTGTGTCTTGCAGGAGGTTGAGTCTCCACCCACTAGATACTACCAAGTAGTACCACCTCTCCTGCTACAATAGGAAAAAATGTCTCTAGACACTGGCATGTGTGCCCTGGAGAGTGGTATAGTTTCCTATTGCTGTGGTAAGAAATTATGACAAAGTTAATGACTTAAACACAAATTTATTCTCTCACAGTTCCAGAGGTTGGAAGTCTGAAATGAGTCTTATGAGACTAAAATCAAAATATTAGCAGGGCTGGTTCCTTGTGGAGGCTCTGAAGGGAGAATCCATTCCCTTGTCTTCTTTCAACTTCTAGTAGCCACCTATATTCCTTGGCTTGTGTCCTCATTTACCTCTTCAAAGTGCATCTTTCCAAACTTGACTTCTGTCATCCTATCGCCCTCTCCTCCACTCTGACTCCTTCTACCTTCCTCTTAGAAGCACTGTCGTGATTCTCTTGGGCACACCTGCATAACCCAGGCTCATCTCCTTATCTCAAATCCTTAACTTAATCACATCTGCACGGTGTTTTTGCCATGTGAGGTAATGTTCACAGGTTCTGTGAGTTAGGATGTAGACATGTTTGGGGGCCCATTATTCAGTCTACCACTAGGGCAAAATTGCCCCATGTTGAGAACTACTGCCACAGAAGAATGGGGCCAGATAACCTAGATTTGAGTCCCAGCTGCACTTACCTACTAGCTGTGTGACATCAGTTTTCTGTTTTTTCTTTTTTTTTTGGTGGGTGGGGGAGACAGAGTCTTCCCCTGTCTCCCAGGCTGCAGGGCAGTGGCGAGATCTTGGCTTACTGCAACCTCCGCCTCCCAGGTTAAAGCAAGGCTCCTGTCTCAGACTCCCGAGTAGCTGGGACCACAGGCGTGCGCCACCACACCTGGCTCATTTTTGTATTTTTAGTAGAGATGGGGTTTCACCATGTTGGCCAGGCTGGTCTCAAACTCCTGACCTCAGGTGATCCACCCGTCTCGGCCTCCCAAAGTGCTGGGATTACTGACGTGAGCCACCACACCCGGCCAACATCAGTTTCTCATCTGTAAAATGGAGCTAGTAGTAGTACTTACCCCATGGAATTTTTTTTTTTGAGAAATAAATGAGATAAAGCACACAAAGTCAAGCAGTTATCAAAGTCCTTGTGATATGGTTCTTAATACTTGTTACCTATTGAAAATAAAAGTAAAGTTACATTTAGGATTTGTAAATATGTGGATTAACTTCATGGACAAATGTAGAAAATGACAGTGGTCTCTAAGGAACAAGCCCCTGGCTAACTTGGAGTAAATAGCACAATCATAATTGTTTAATTATGAACATGCTCTAATTCTCATGCCACTCTTACAAGGTATGTGAGGTCACACAAGAGTTTCTCCAATAAGTTTTTATATATTTATTGAAATGTACTAAAAGTTTCTATTTTATGCTTTTTACATGTAGTAACTCATTTAATGCTCACAGCTACTCTGAGACATAGATAATATTGTTATTCCCATTTTACAGATGAAGGAACGAGGGCACAGAGAGATTCGAGTTGTCACCCAAGCTCACATAGCACCAGTGACAGAGGTGAGATTTGAATCAGGCAGCCTCTGTCTAGAGTTCCCTTCCTAACCTCCATTCTATACTGCTTTCAAAGATCCAGCCCTTCCCTCAAATCACGTTTTCTTACTTAGACTAGGGTTTGATTCATGTTTACTCACTGGGAATAAAGGTCAGTTAAACAGAATGAGAGAACAGGAAAGTCTTTCAAAATGATGCTTCTGTCTACTTACATTGTCTGTTACTTTAACAACTTAGGGATTCTTGGAGCAAGTAAAGAACCAAATATAAAGACTGCTTTGTGGGAGGTAGCTTGGATCCTTCATCATTTTTTTTCCCCCCATAACTCCTGAGTTCCACTGGAGACACAGATTCTCTGGGGGTAAGATTAGCGGATTCGTATTTTAACAGACCTCTGGCGGTTCTTCTCTATGCTAAAGTTTGAGAACACTGCTTTCAGCATTTCTAATCTCATCTCAAATTCATCAGGGAGCTGTTTCCTCCTTCATGAAAAAATCTTTGACTTAATGATAGCTACCCAGGCCTACCTTATTAGCTAAAGGGGGCATAGAGACTTAACTCTCAGTGGTTGACAATTATTGTAAAGTAATTCTTGCCGTTATTTTTCTCCCCTAAGGGTAAACTTAGCAGCAAATGGCATACTAGTAACTTAACCAATTGAAAGGGTAACAGCAAAACTAACAACCAAGTTTGCTTTTGATAGGTAGAATTGGCTGCCTATAAGGTGTGACATGAAAGTTGAAGGAAGGCTCACTTTTGCAAATATCTTTCCCACTGTTCTGCCAGGGGGAAGCAATTTTTTGGTTTGGGTTCCCCTAAATTCCAAATATGTTACCTAGGAGGAGTAATAAGTTATACATTAAACTGTTATGATTCAATCACAGCTTTAAAAAGATCGCAAAATTAGCTCTCAGGTTACTTAGCAAATAACCAATTAAGGTCTTGAGAGGATAATATTTGGGATGGGAAAATTTAGGTGGGTAGAAAAAGGCTGAGCAAAGTCAAGAATGTAGGCTGTTACCAAAGGCCAAATGGCAATACTGGACCAGCATATCTTCTTCTGCTATTTCCTTTATGCCCCTGAGGGTTCTTCTGAAGCAGGAGTTGGCAAACTTTTTCTTTTCTTTTTCTTTTGAGACAGAGTCTCACTCTGTTACCCAGGCTGCAGTGCAGTGGCATGATCTCAGCTCACTGCAACCTCCACCTCTGGGACTCAAGCGATCCTCCCGCCTTAGCCACCCGAGTAGCTGGGACCACAGGTGCACACCACCACACCCAGCTAATTTTTTTGTATTCTTGGTAGAGACAAGGTTTCACTATGTTGCCTAGGCTGGTCTCAAACTTGTGAGCTCAAGCGATCCGCCTGCCTTGGCCTCGCAAAGTTCTGGGATTACAGGTGTGAGCCACCACACCTGGCCGCATACTTTTTCTATAAAGAACCAGATAGAGGCTGGGCATGGTGGCTCACGCCTGTAATCCCAACACTTTTGGAGGCTGAGTCGGGCAGATGACCTGAGGTCAGGAGTTCAAAACCAGCCTTGACCAATATGGTGAAACCCTGTCTCTACTAAAAATACAAAAATTGGCTGGGCATTGTAGCATCTGCCTGTAATCCCAGCTACTGGGGAAACTGAGGCAGGAGACTCGCTTGAACCTGGGAGGCAGAGGTTGCAGTGAGCTGAGACTGCACCATTACACTCCAGACTGGGCAACAAGAGGGAAACTCCATCAAAAAAAAAAAAAAAACCAGACAGAAAATATTTTAGGCTCTTCAGTCATGTGGTCTCTGTCGCAACTGCTCAACTCTGCCATTGTAGTGTGAAAGCAGCCATGGACAATATGTAAACAAAACAGTGTGGCTGTGCTTAGTTATGAATCCTAATATTTGAATTTAATATAATTTTCATGTTATAAATTTTTAATTATCTTGTTTTTTCTCAACCATTTAAAATATGAAAATTATTCTTAGTTCAGGGCACATATAAAAACAGATGGTAGGCTGGATGGGCCAGTTTATTGATCCCTGTTCCAAAGCAAAATCAATTTGCTGTTTTCAATACATACTCCATGCTATCCTACTTCTTTACATTTGCTTTCATTATTCCTTCCACTTACGTAGAAGGAGCCCTACACACCCCAACCTACATGCCCATATGTACCCATCACCTAGTTCAATTATTAGCTTATTTTCAAAGTAAACTCTCATCCTCTAAGTGCCTTCATCTATACTTCTCTGATGGCCTTGATCATGGCAGATTTGTATTACTTTGTGGTCTGTGATTTTTTTTTAAATTTTATTTGTTTACGTATTTATTTATTTTTGAGATGGAGTCTTGCTCTGTTGCCCAGGCTGGAGTACAGTGGCACGATCTCTGCTTACTGTAACCTCCGCCTCACGAGTTCAAGTGATTCTCCTGCCTCAGCCTCCCGAGTAGCTGGGACTACAGGC
Source organism: Homo sapiens (assembly GCF_000001405.40). NCBI lineage: Eukaryota > Metazoa > Chordata > Mammalia > Primates > Hominidae > Homo > Homo sapiens. The sequence goes on from NC_000009.12 coordinate 72,327,498, forward strand.
ACACACCACCGCGCCCAGCTAATTTTTGTATTTTTAGTAGAGATGGAGTTTCACTGCGTTGTCCAGGCTGGTCTCAAACTCCTGAACTCATGATCCTCCCGCCTTGGCCTCCCAAAGTGCTAGGATTACAGGCATGAGCCACTGTGCCCAGCCAGGATGTTTTATTTTTATATCCTCCATGGCACCGAGCCTAACAGAGTTAGCAAAGTGTCCTAAGTCAAGGAAGAACCATCAGCATTTAGGAAACAGCATAAAGATTGTACCCGGCCAAAAGTGGAATGAAAGTAGTTAAAAGAGAAGTGAAAACGTTTCTGAACACCTATAGTGGTTTGAATGACAGCCTCCCAAAAGATAGGTCCTTGTTCTAAAACCTGAACCCGGACAGGCGTAGTGGCTCACGCCTGTAATCCCAGCACTTTCAGAGGCCAAGGCAGGTGGATCACGAAGTCGGGAGTTCAAGACCAGCCTGGCCAACGTAGTGAAACCCCATCTCTGCTAAAAATACAAAAATTAGCTGGGCATGGTGGCGTATGCCTGTAGTCCCAGCTACTCGGGAGGCTGAGGCAGGAGAATCACTTGAACCTGGGAGGCGGAGATTGTGGTGAGCCAAGATCATGCCACTGCACTCCAGCCTGGGCAACAGAGTAAGACTCCACTCAGATAATAGACAGATAAATAAATAAATAAATAAATAAAACCTGGACCCTGTGAATGTGACCTTATTTGGAGAAAGGGTCTTTGCAGATGTAAGTAAGTGAAGGATCTTAAGATGAGATCATCCTGGACTACACCCAATGATAAGTGTCCTTAAAGAGACAGAAGAGAAGACACACAGAGAACGCCATGTGAAAATGGAGGCAGAGATTGGAGGGATATAGGCACCTGGAATGCAGAGGGAGTGAATTCCTGCCAACACATAAATTTCAGACTTCTGGGCCCCAGATTGTGAAGAATAAATTTCTATTGTTTTAAGCCACTCAGTTTGTGGACATTTGTTACAGAAGCCCTAGGAAGCTAATACAACCCTCACCACCTGCTTTCCCAAGTTGTGTTAACAAATATCTAATATTTATTTAGCACTTGTTATATTCAGCTTTAAATAGATAATTACATTAAACTTTCACAGCAATCTTATAAAATAGGCATTATTATTATTCCTTGTACAGATGAAGAAACTGACATCTGGAGAAGTTGAAGTAATTTGCACAAAGATTCACTTGGCTAGTAAGTCATGAAACCAGAATTGAACCCAAGCAATCTGATTCCAATTCTCTTCTCTTTTTTAAAAAAAATTTATATATATACATTTGTTATTATACTTTAAGTTCCAGGGTACACGTGCACAACGTGCAGGTTTGTTACATATGTATACATGTGCCATGTTGGTGTGCTGCACCCATCAACTCGTCATTTACCTTAGGTATTCCTCCTAATGCCATCCCTCCCCCTCCCCCCACCCCATGACAGGCCCCGGTGTGTGATGTTCCCCACCCTGTGTCCAAGTGTTCTCATTGTTCAATTCCCACCTATGAATGAGAACACGTGGTGTTTGGTTTTCTGTCCTTGAGATAGTTTGCTCAGAATGATGGTTTCCAGCTTCATCCATGTCCCTACAAAGGACATGAACTCATCCTTTTTTATGGCTACATACTATTCCATGGTGTATATGTGCCACATTTGCTTAATCCAGTCTACCATTGATGGCCAGTCCTCTTCTCTTAATCACTGTTACCTGTTAGGTTCTTAATCATTCTCCTTACATTTCACATACCTTAACAGAGAGGAAGAAATGTTGGTTAATGACTTCCTTCTTTGGGGAATGATATTTCCTAAACTGGATTTCTGCTCTCCCAGCTACTCATTCTTGGTGAACAAGCATAGAATAGTCTACTGCTCAGGTCAGGACAACAGAATCTCTCTCTGGGTCTCCTGCCCTTCATCCTTCTCTGATTCCTAAGGTGGGGGAGCTTGGAAGCTTTATGTTAGCCTTTAAAGAGTATGGCCTTCATGAAAGTCTGTTCCCCTGAGCAGCTCTATTTGAATGCATTTAATAACTGTAGCTTCTAGTTTCCAATAAGGAAAATAAATAAGAGGAAACACAACTGCAGGCAGCACTGGGATGATGTCAACAATGGAAATATCAGCATGGTTCCTGGAAAAGTCATGGAGAGCAAAGTGCTCAAGAGCCATTGAAATCCTTTCATAGGAATAGGTTCTGAGGACCAAATGTTGTTAGAGTCTTCAGGGAAGCAAGATAGCACAGTGGTTAAGAGCATGAGTGCACTTGGGTCTAGGTTTGAATATCCTGGCATTATCACTTACTAGCTCTGTGACTGAGCAAATAACCTTGAGTCTCAGTTTTCTCATCTTCAAAGTGGGGAATAAAAATATTACCTACTTCATAGGTAATATTTATGTAGAACACTTGCACACGTAAGCCCTCAATATTATCAAAGTGTTAGCTGTTAAATTGTGTATGAAAGTCTTGAATGAAGGTTTTCACTCACCGCCTTTTCTCTCACCACCACCCTTACTCCTTTCCCTTTTACTAAATATAATTTTGCCACTTTGGCTGGGCGCGGTGGCTCAACGCCTGTAATCCCAGCACTTTGGGAGGCCGAGGCGGGCAGATCACTTGAGGTCAGGAGTTTTGAGACCTCCTGAAACCTCATCTCTACTAAAAATACAAAAAATTAGCCGGGTGTGGTGGCGCATGCTCATAATCCCAGCTACCAGGGGGCTGAGGCAGGAGAATCACTTGAACTCTAGAGGTGGAGGTTGCGGTGAGCTGAGATCGCACCATTGCACTCCAGCCTGGGTGACAAGAGTGAAACTCCATCTCAGGAAAAAAAAAGAAAAAAAAATTTGTCACTTCATTAACTTTTGAGTACCTCTATGGAGACCAAAAGTAAGTCAGCAAGAATAAAAAGAAGAATGCACAAAGCTTACACAAACTTTCCTTGAAAAATAATTACAAAAATAAAAAATGTTTTCAGAAAAAAGAAATTTTACATTACCAAAATCAAGATTATTTTACTCTATTCTAACCCAACAGATACAGGTTATTTCATAACCCCATTATGTGGAAATTTAGGTAGGGCCATTTTCATCACTTAATTCCTCTCATCCCCCACTCCTGCTGCCTCCTAGAAGCATTCATTATCTCAAGATAATTTCACTGATTATTGAGGCATTATTATTCTGTCGCTTCTATTGTGACCTCTTCATTTCTGAAATCACTCCTTTGCTTCAAAGATGACACACTGGTAAGGATACTAATTTTCCCCTACTCTTGTATTAACCAGGTCCCATAGCCCCAGCATCTGAAATTTGAAAAACCAGAATGTATAATACCATTAGTAGAAAATAGCATATGTAGCAGTCATTGCAACAGCCATTTTGCTGATAACACTTCATGCTTTCTTATCACTGTTTTCTATCACCATTACTTTCAAAGCATTTTCTGTCTGCTTGATACAGATTACATGCATATGGATTTTTGTATAGTAATGCTTATGGAATATAGTATTATATACTCTTCATATTTGGTATTATTTGTTGATGGATTGAGACCCAGGGAGCATTAAATAACTGCCGAAGCTAGTGCAGTGAATTTATTGTGAAACCTTGAATCCAGAATCTAGATTTTGACTCTCCACTCTTGAGCTTATGGTAGAACTATATGCCTTAGCCCTTGCAAGCAACAAAGAGTATCACTGGGCTTTAACATAGTTACTATAGTACCTCCTTTTCCTTAGTCTGCTTAATTCTATCCCATCCTAAAGAACTTTATCTTGGTCTGTCCTGTCACTCTGTCTTCCCTGCAAAGTTTCCCTTCATACCTTCATTCTTTCCCTTACCCTACTGGCATCTGATTCCATCTTCAGCCACTCTACTAACCACTGTTATCGTCAAAGTCAGCGATGAACGTCTTGCCAGATCTCCATGAGGCCCCTTCTCAGTCCTTAATTGATTCCATATTATCTGAGATGATAGAGCATGGACACCTTCTCAAAATTCTTTTCTCCCGCTATTTAGCCTTGCTCACCTGTTCTGATCTTTGCCCTGTGACTGTTCTTCTGAAAACTCCTTTTTGTTAGTAAAGATTTATTGAGCATTACTGTGGAACAGACATCATGTTAAACACTTTACCTGAGTAATTTAAGGGTCAGCCTTTCTATCGTGCAAGAATCATCTTTCCCTAATTATTTTTTGGGAGCTAGGTGTGTGTCACATTCCACTCCCATGTTTATCTGCACTGCTGCTTGCTTCATCTCTGTCACCAGCCCCTAAAGACTGTGAAATCTGAACACAGATAGTTACCACTTTGATGGGTCCCAAAATGTGTAAATCAGAGATTTGGAGATTTTTTCAACTTTGGGAGGAAAAATGTGGGACATGGTAGTCCGGTCCTTACAGGGGCACACAAAAGATAGCTTCCCTCATAACAAAATTAATTCATGATACCATAGATCCCAAACAGTTTTTCTGAAAACTCAGTTATAGGATCTGAGTGATGTACGAATGAGTGTTAAAGGTTTTTACATGTGAAGGTGTTGTCCTTCATTGTGGCTCTTGCATTTTGCTAGAGGCCAAAAAAAAAACAAACAAACAAACAAAAAAAACAAAAAACAAAAAATCCTTTTCCAAGGAAAAATTCCCTTCTTTAAAGGGAACTACATATTGAAAACTTATGTGGGAGGTTTGGGTGTCCCCAGTCTTGGGTCACTACCCAGAAAAAGAGAGCATGCTAGAAAGCCTTCAGGCATTCTACAGGAGAAAATCCCATGTTTAGGTTTTAAAGCCCCTCTATTTTCCCCCTGATCCTTTCCTGTTATTCTTTGCTACCCCAATTGTCTGTCCTCTTAAACAATGATTCCAATATTCCCCAGACCTGGGATATGGGTCTGGTTTTTTTGAAACAGAAAAAGCAATTACTCCATCACAGAAATGGTGTGTGATATGAGAGAACCAGATTACAACATCAGTCTTCTCTCAATTCTCCACCCCCTCATTCCTTACAAAGGGATTGTTCTTGCTCCTTAATATCTCTGGAGTCAGCCTTTGGGTGTAGGAGAGCAGCTCGGGAGAGAGTGCTAACATGAGCAGAAATGGCTTGTCTCTGTTCAGGATTCTAATGCAATCCAGGTCTCCCTGCGTTGCTATGCTGTATACATTCTCCATCCTTACCATTATGCAAAGCCATATAAAGACCCATCCGCCTCGATGTGCTGTGCCCCCAAATACAAACATGAGGACTTTGACCTTCATGTGTTGTGACTTAGCACAGACATCACACCCAACTTAAGTTTTTTCTTTATTTAACATTTCCTTCACTCTGAGTGAACGTTCTGTCTCCTTACATACTTGGAACCATCTAGATTCTCCTTTCACTTAAATGATCAAAAATGCTCAGGATTTTGCCTTAAAGAAAACTTGTCATTTGGCTTCTTTGTCATCTATTGATTAAGATTGGAAGCTATTTGGTCTTAGTGACAGTCTCTCGGCTTTGCTACAACACCTAATACAAGAATTCTCCACTCATTAAATCATAACCCCCTTTGGCTGAACTTGTTCAAGGAATAAAACAAATGCTTCATCACATAGAATTGTGATTTCTTAGCCAGTATAAGATTTAATGGGCATTTTTTAGTCACGGTTATAGTTACTGTTTACCAACCTTAAAAATTAATTTCAGTATTGTATTTCATTTAGTCATCTGTCCCCTTTAAAAATGGCAACAAATAATACTGGAAGATAGCTTTTCTTGGGTTTGTTTATTGGATTATCTTTAAGAGCCCTGTTTTTGTATTTATCGCCAGGGCTCAAGCACAGTCAAATCATCATTAATTAAAATGTGCAAGGCACCTACAAGCAGCATAAATAAATCAGAATGGAGAGGCCAGCCTCGTCTGAGTGTCTTGCGATGTGGGTTAGCCTAGAGGAAAGGCATGCTCTCTGAAAATCAGAAAAGAGCTTTTTCCACCCAGTTAAAAGCAAGGAAATATGAAGCCACTGATTGTCCAAGAGAAAGGTCTTTTCAGGCCCCTCCAAGGGTTAACTTTATGACAAAATGAAAGATTATCCTCTGCCATCTGTCGCTGAAACCCTGTCTCCATTTTATATTCAAGCCTTGGAGCAAAGAGAAACTAAAGGAAATGGAGAGACTTTAAATGTAACTAGGAGCTGTTTCATAAGTTGATTTCTCATTTGTCTTCATCAGAAAGATTTCAAGATTGGGCCATTTAATAGACTCTCACTGACATCTGAGGGGAAGATGAGCAGTCAACTGTTGGAGATACTTGGAAGAGGAATGCATTCTGCTGTGGGGATTGATGGGAAAATAAGGAGGAGACAGAACTCTAGGTCGTAACATGGAGACTGATTAAACTAAAAGCCCAAGAAGCCGGTGCTTCTTGGAACAATGGCTTCTGTGGCCCTGTGGAGGCAGCATCCTGCATCCATCCAGGGAAAGACAGGTGGCGCTCTACAGGGAAAGGTGAAGTGGCCAAGGTGGTGTTCTTGAGAAAGGCAATTGTGAGAGTCTTCTCACATTGTAGGGGTTCAGTTCTGAGGAGAAAGAACATTTGTCAATGAAACAAACTGTGAGGAAATCACAGCCTTTATGATGAAACGACCTTCTCAAAGCTTGATTCCTCCGGCTCCATCATTATCATTTACCAGAAGTTCATCTGACGGGTGTGTTGCGCCTCAGTGAATCTCAATGGTCTCCCACAGAATTTCACTTGAGAAATGGGATCTGAGGGCCTGGTGTGGTGGCTCTTGCACGCCTGTAATCCCAGCACTTTGGGGGGCCGAGGTGGGCGAATCACCTGAGGTCAGGAGTTCGAGACCAGCCTGACCAACATGGTGAATCCCTGTCTCTAGTAAAAACACAAAAATTAGCCAGGCATTGTGGCTCATGCCTGTAATCCCATCTACTTGGGAGGCTGAGGCAGGAGAATCACCTGAACCTGAGAAGCGGAGGTTGCAGTGAGCCAATATCGTGCCATTGCACTTCAGCCTGGGTGATGGAGTGAGATTCTGTCTCAAAAAAAGAAAGAAAAGAAAAGAGAAAAGAAAAGAAAGAAATGGGGTCTGCAAAGAGTTTTGTTTTTTCAATTCATCGATGCCTTATGAAGTAGATGGGCTGTTAGTTCCACTCTAGTGCAAGAACCACTCCCTCTTTCCTCTCCGCCTCAGAGTTTACCTATTTATTCCAGAAACAAAGGCACAGACGTCATTGTCACGTTGTGCACTTGAATTTCAACTCCGAACTGACCACAGTTAAGCTTGAAGCAAATTGAAAGACTCTGGGTAGATAGTATGGGAAAGTCTAAACAAAACATTGGTGGCCAGGAAGAATGCCTCATGGTGACATGTAAGGAGGCCAGCCAATGCCCAGACAAGACAAGGAGAGCCTCAGGAAAGACAGGTTAGTGGCCACACCCTCTGAGTTCTCATCCTGTCCTATTGAAGAGGAAATGAGTCTCTGAATAAGAGTCTTTCTCCTCATCTAGAATCCTAAAATGTTAAAGCTGGAAAGAACCTGAATATACTGTCTAAAGCCAAGCCTTCATTTTACAGGTGAAGAAAACTGAGGGTCTTAGAGGTCAAGGCACTAGTCTGTGGTCACACAGCTGCTTCACGGCAGACCCAGAAGTAGCCTGCGGTTTTCCTGAGGCTCAGTTCACATCTCTCTGCTCTGAGGAGCCATTTATTTTATTTTAATTCTTTTAAAAAATGTATTTTATTTTTAATGGATAATTAATAATTGCATATATTTATGAGGTACAATGTGATATTTTCATGTATATGTATTCATTATGGAATAATTAAATCAAGCTAATTAAGGAAGAATAATTTATTTTTCTTTCTTTCTTTTTTTTTTGAGACGGAGTTTTGCTCTGTCACCCAGGCTGGAGTGCAATGGCCCGATCTCGCCTCACTGCAACCTCCACCTCCCGAGTTCAAGAGATTCTCCTGCCTCAGCCTCCCAGGTAGCTGCTCCAGGCGCCCACCACCATGCCTGGCTAACTTTTGTATTTTTGTAGAGACGGGGTTTCTCCATGTTGGCCGAGACGGTCTCGAACTCCTGACCTCAGGTGATCCGCCTGCCTCAGCCTCCCAAAGTGCTGCGATTACAGGCGTGAGCCACCGTGCCCAGTGAACAATTTATTTCCTAATCATCATGAAGAGAAGAAAAATAATTATTTATTCTCTGTTCATGTAAGTATGTCCAAGTAATTTATTAAGGAGTAAGAAAAGAGGACTAAAACCCTTAACTAAAAATGAAGTAAAAAGTTTAGATTTCTGGCCTTGCACATGTAGTTCCAGCTACTAGGGAGGCTGAGGTGGGAGGAGAATCACTTGAGCAGAGGAGTTCAAGGCCATAGTGTGCTGTGATCGCACCACTGCACTCCATCCTGGGCAACAGAGCAAGATGCTGTTTCTAAAAATAAATAAATAAATAGAAATTTAGATTTATAAGAAAAATTATCTTGATTATTGACTGCAATGTTACTTTTTTTTTGAGATGGAATCTGGCTCTGTCGCCCAGGCTGGAGTGCCGTGGTACAATCTCGGCTCACTGCAAGCTCCGCCTCCCAAGTTCATGCCATTCTCCTGCCTCAGCCTTCCGAGTAGCTGGGACTACAGGCGCCCACCACCACGCCCGGCTAATTTTTTGTATTTTTTTTAGTAGAGATGGGTTTTCACCGTGTTAGCCAGGATGGTCTCGATCTCCTGACCTCATGATCTGCCCGCCTCAGCCTCCCAAAGTGCTGGGATTATAGGCGTGAGCCACCGCGCCCAGCCTGTTACTTTCTTTTTAATAAAATTCTCTATTATTTCTAGAGTATGGCCAGACATGGTACATAAACCTTCAAAAGTGTCCTGGCGTGTCCATCTCTCCTCCTACCCAATAAATCACGTTATTCTCATCTCCATTTCCAGTTACCCTCTGAAATTTCCCAATTCTGGTAATATTCCCTTTAAATGTTAGGAGAATGCAAATTCATTTTTAAAATTCCTGTATCCACTTAGCAAATTATAGCTAAAGCTAAAATTTCAATACTTCATCAATCTTATTTCTAAATAGAAAACAGGTAAGTACAGGCAAGTCTGAATTATAGAACTTTTTGAAAGAAATTTAATTGACTTAATTACAACAAATGAGTTTACAAGATATAAAAAAAGAGATGTTGGGAGTGGGCGGCTGGATAAGAATGAGCTGTAATCACCATAAGAATTATTTTCATTTTTCTAGGCTGGCACTGTGCCTCACATCTGCAATCCCAGCATTTTGGGAGGCCAAGGCGGGCAGATCACTTGAGGTCAGGAGTTCGAGACCAGCCTGGGCAACATGGTAAAACCCCATCTCTACTAAAAACACAAAAATTAGCCAGGTGTGATGGAGTATGCTTGTAGTCCCAGCTACTTGGGAGGCTGAGGCAGGAGAATTGCTTGAACCTGGGAGGCAGAGGTTGCAGTGAGCCAAGATGGTGCCACTGTACTCCAGCTTGGGTGACAGAACAAGACTCCATCTCAAAAAAAAAATTATTTTCATTTTTCCTAAGGAAGAAATTGGCAAAGTTTGTTTGCAGCTGGAGCACAGTCTTAAAATCTTTGCCACATTATTGTCATGCTTAGCAAATACAAAGTATTCCCACCTCCACCAACTCCCTTAGGACTCAGACTGTAAGATTTACAGAGCTCTGAAGAAATGTCTTCCTTTTAAGACTATGAATTTATGGAAGCATCTGAAAATTAAAAAGCACATAAAATAGTCATTTGCTAAATGCATCAAACCCTCGGGGGCTCTAATGAACAGTTGTGTTGAACTGGATACATAAAGCTTTCCATTTGTTGTTACCTCCAAAATCCTTGTCAAAGTTGTCATCATCCTGAAGGCCTGACTCATTTTTAGCGTATCTGAGCAGGCTGTTCCTATCTGTCAGTTATAATTGTTCTTCTCATTTCTCTAGTCATTTTGGTGAAGTTTCCCCCGGCTGCACAGCCCACCACACCTCCTCCCCCAGTTGTCCCAACTGACACACCTGGATTTGGTATTTGCTAAGATGTCCAGTTGTGAGCTCCCCCACTTCATTCCGGATGTGGCTCATCACAAACTGGCCACTGCTCTAGATTCGCCAGATTGGTGCCACTGAAACCTTTTTCCTTTTTAAAGAATTTTATATGAACTGATGAGGTTTCTTCTAGATGATTTTCCCCATATGTTGTTACATTTTTTGTGAATAAAATAACCAATAATTCCTGGTGGACAATGCAGGATGTTTTAATAACTTTATTAGCTAGTTTCCCAACTTTGGAGTACATAGTTACTATTTTTTCCTCTAAAGTAGGTTGGGCACATTGGCTCACGCCTGTAATCCCAGCACTTTGGGAGGCCGAGGTAGGCAGATCACCTGAGGTCAGGAGTTCGAGACCAGCCTGACCAACATGGGGAAACCCCATCTCTACTAAAAATACAAAAACTAGCTGGGTGTGGTGGCATGCACCTGTAATACCAGTTAGTCAGGAGAGTGAAGCAGGAGAATCGCTTGAACCCAGGAGGCGGAGGTTGCAGTGAGCCAAGATCATGCCATTGCACTACAGCCTGGGCAAGAGCAAAACTCTGTCTTAAAAATAAATAAATAAATAAGTAAATAAAGTAAATATGTTCTACCTGTTTAACACCAGAGGGCTTGGCACATGGGAGTCACTCGCTGCTTTTTGTTGTTGTTGTCACTGATTTTTCTCTTTCTTTTAAGTATTTAAGAAAATAAGATGCTGGGCTGGGCGTGGTGGCTCACACCTGTAATCCCAGCACTCTGGGAGGCCTAGGCAGGCGGATCGCTTGAGGTCAGGAATTCGAGACCAGCCTGGCCAACATGGTGAAACTCTGTCTCTAGTAAAAATACAAAAAATTAGCCAGGCATGGTGTGTGCGCCTGTAATCCCAGCTACTCAGGTGGCTGAGGCAGGAGAATTGCTGGAACCCCTGAGGCAGAGGTTGCGGTGAGCCGAGATCGCCTCACCACACTCCAGCCTGGGAGACAGAGTGAGACTCCGTCTCAAAAAAAAAAAAAAAAGAAAAGAAAAGAGAGAGAGAGAGAAACAAGCATGGTGGTGAGCCAGGCACTGTGAAATGTGCTGGGGAATACAAAGATGAGCACATCACAAACAGTCTTTGATTCCAAGGGCTTTAAATACACAGTTAGTTTTCTTACCGTTAGATGATGCTGTAAACTTGCATGATCCGTAGCCTGCATTAGGGAACTGGGCCATGAAGTAGTAATGCAGTGGAACCTCATCCATTTATTCACATCACACTGGGTAGGCTCTCCTTCCTCTGATGACTATGCCACTGGAAAATGTGGTCCCAGAGTCACTCTAGCAGAGAAATGAGAGGAAGGAGTTTCAAGCGGAACGTTTTCAAGGGTCAAACTTAGAAGTGACTTACCTTCATTCTACCCACCATTCCTGGCTCAGACTCTGACACACAGCTAACTGCAAGGAAACCTGAGGATTGTTATCTTACAATGTGCAGAAGTAGAGGAACTGGGGTGATATTAAAGAAAAAATGATTTGCGACATTTGTGAAAATGGTAAGGTGGACTTTATTCAGGACCATCATGATAGGTATAGCAACTACCGAAATGGAGTTGCACAGCAGTGGAGGGAGATTGGACTCAACTCTGTGTACAGCAAGGAAAAGTGGGAATGTATAGCCAAGAAGCACAGTGGATGGAAAAAGAAATACAAGGAATGGTTACTAAGAGGAAACATCAGAGGTAAGAGAGGATTCTAGCTAACCGACCTAACAGGGTTCTTGCTGAAGGGAGATCTTCAGCAAGAAGAAGGGTTCTTGCTAGGGTGATCGGAAATCACCTGGGGGATGGTGAGAGATGAATTTGGTCAGAAATTAAGAGTGATCAGATAGCAAGGATGAGGGATCATGGCTAAACTAGCTTAGCAGAATTCTTGCTAAAATCAGGCTCTTGAGGACAGGCCCAAGCGTGGGCCCTGTTGAAAACGAGCTCAAAGGGGCTTGCTAGAATTTTGTCAAGAAGAGAGTCTTTGTCAGTAGCAAGCACTTAGCATTGTTTCTGTTGCATAACCAGAGATCATTTCCTCTGAATGTTTCATAGTGTGTATCAACATGTAAAATCAATGTCAATATTTCCCACAACCATGGTAAACTAAATGTTTTTGTGGTCATAATGGAACTTCTCAAAGAGAGCTATTTATTCCTTTATTGAATCTGTCACATCAAAGAAGTGGTGCACATTGATAAAGTTTTTATCTGTGGCTAAAATCTTTGTAACTAATATTCATGTAAAAGCATACCTGAATTATAGTCAACATAATTGTTCTTTCTGCATCATATTTTAATAGTTAAAGCAAGATTCTTTGGCCACACTTTCTAATTCTTCTTTTATTTATTTATTTATTTTTGAGACAGAGTTTTGCTCTTGTTGCCCAGGTTGGAGTGCTATGGCGCAATCTCAGCTCACCGCAGCCTCCGCCTCCCAGGTTAAAGAAATTCTCCTGCCTCTGCCTCCCGAGTAGCTGAGATTACAGGCATGCACCATTACGCCCGGCTAATTTTGTATTTTTAGTAGAGACGGGGTTTTTCCATGTTGAGGCTGGTCTCGAACTCCTGACCTCAGGTGATCTGCCCACCTCAGCCTACCAAATGCTGGGATTACAGGCGTGAGCCACCACGCCCGGCCCACACTTTCTAGTTCTTATTGTGTCCTCAATGTAGTTGGTTAAATTGTGTCTCCCAAAAAGATATGCTGGAGTCCTAATCACCCGTACCTGTGAATGTGACTTTATTTGGAAATAGGATTGCAGAGATAATCAAATTAAGGTGAGGGTACACTAGAATAAGGTGTGCTTTCAATCTAATGACTATTATCTTACTGAGAGAAAGAAGATGGAGATTTGGATACAGACACACACAGACTCACAGGAAGAAGGCCATGAAGACAGAGGCAGAGATTGAGATATGTAGCTGCAAACCAAAGAACTTTAAGATTTGCTGACAACCATAAGAAATTAGGAGAGAGGCACGAAATGAATTTTTTCTTAGAGCCTCCAGAAGGAACCTACACTGCTGACACCTTGATTTTCTTTTTATTTTATTTTATTTTATTTTATTTTTTTATTTTATAGAGAGGGGGTCTTGCTCTTTTGCCCAGGCCGGTCTTAAACTCCTGGGCTCAAGTGATGCTCCCACTTCTCTCCTCCAAAGTGCCGGGATTACAGGTGTGAGCCACCATGCCTGGCCAACATCTTGATTTCAAACTTCTAGCCTCAAGAACTGTAAGAGAATAAATTTCAGTTGTTTTAAGGAACCCATCCTGTGGCAATTTGTTACAGTAGTCCTAGGAAATTTGTGCTCCACTTACAAAGAATCTGGTCTTTAAGTGAGAGAGATGCCATCTTTAGGGTCTTACTTTGTGCAAGGCACTGTTAGACATTGGTGATTCAAAGAAAGTGCAAGGAGCTTATAAACTACTGAAAGTGAAAGACATGTAATTAGATATATTTGAATTCAACTGTGGAAAAGCATTTTCGTCTTTTAGAATCCCCAACCCCAAAAAAGAATATAAAAGATTGTGTTATACGTTACTACTTCTTATTCTTCCTCTAATAGTCAAACTACTCACTTCAATTCAATACTTATCTATTGCCTAACTATAATCTTTTGAGACATTAAGTATATTACTGATATCATACAAACTATGATACAGGAAATATCCTATTTGTTTATGCTCAGTCTTAAGGGAAAGTTATTGATGTGTTTATTAACACTTTTATGATTTAGAATGTTGCCACAAGCTAAAAAGTGTGGAACAGTTGATAATTTTTGGAAATCAATTCATATCCAGAAAACAAGGGCAAATCAAAAACAATTATTCATGATGCAGGTTGGTTTTTGAGGTCAAACAAAACAGTTGTTTTGTGTTTGAGATGGGATGTCCAGCTTAGAATATCTCTGCCTTAGTCTGTTCAGGCTGTCTCAACAAAACACCATAAGCTGGGTTGCTCATTCACAACAAAAATTTATTTCTCACTGTTCTAGGGGCTGGGAAGTTCAAGATCCAGGCCTCAGAAGATTTGGGGTTTGGTGAGGGCCATCTTCTCACTGTAGCCTTACATGGTGGAAGAGGTAAGGCAGCTCTCTGGAACCTCTTTTATAAGGGCACTAATCCCTTTCATGAGAACTCAGCCCTTATGAACTCATCGCCTCCTAAATTCTCTACCTCCTAACACCATCACTTTGACAATCAGATTTCAACATATGAATTTGTGGGAGTCACCAGCATTGAGACTATAGCAACCCCTTATTAGAAATAATTCATGAGGAACTGAAACTGTTAGGAAACCACTGTGTAAATGCTGGGAAACAAAGTCAGATAAATAATGCTGATAATTACCTGACTGCTTTTGGAACTGTCCTTTTTTGTGAACATGAGACTACATCATTGTCAGTTGATTGCAGAAGAACCACTATGATATTATAATGGGGTCCTGACTCCATGACTGTGTAATTCATGGCTTTCTAACGGTTTATTATTGACCTAACTTTGCAGCTCCCCTAGATCCCCTAACTCCACCATCTTGGGTTGCAACCAATGACCTGTTATTGCAAAACAGGTAATCTCACTTAGATAAGTATTAATCAGAGGGGCTTGACTTCCAGAGTTCATTTCAATGGTTTTCAACTCATTTGTAGAGTTTAACATCAGTAGCCCTTTCTCTTCCATAGGAGGGAGATGAACCATCCTGTTTGTTCAATAATCAGTGAGAGCGTGGCTTTAACGTCTCTTCCACTCCTTTCTAGTTCAGGTCTTTCTTAACTTGATGGAGATAGCTTGGGCCAGGGAGGGCAGAGTGAAGATGAGATGGCAAAAAAAAAAAAGTTTTGATCAGCAGCATTGACTCTGTGCTAAATACTGTGCTCAGCTCTTTGGATGTTATTTCATTGAAATGGAAAGAACACTGTAAAGTTGTCTTGTGAGGCACACTTTCCTGTTGAGGAAATAAAAGCATTAAATAACTTGCCCCCAAATACAAAGCTATTAGGATTGAAACAAAGACTTGAGCCCGGGATCTATCTAATTTCAAGGTCCTTGTTTTTTTTCTACTACATTTCTCTTTGAGATACAGTTACTCAAAGGTGTCCAAACTTCAGTTAATGTCAACCTCTGCCTCACTCTGGTCCTGGTGCCTTTCCCATGTTCCTGAGAAGATCATGTGGCACACTTCTCTAAACGTCTCTGTGCCATATCTCTTGGGATCAAAAGGCCATTCCAATAATTCTTCTGCATTTCTTAATGTATGCTCAGATGGCCCTGGTTTGCATTTAGAGAAAGGAAGCTAAGACCTTGGTGATAACTAAATATTTATATCTATTTTTTGATTATGTGCTTGTATTTAATTAAGTGGGTGCCTACTGTTGTGAAAATACTTTTGAATACAATTCTGAAGTTGTGCCAGGGAACTCTGACAATGGGTATGCTGGGAGCTGTCTGATTTCCTTGTCCTAGACAACTCATACAATGCAGTAGAAAAAGAATTCTTTATTCCCACTGCCTTTCCTTAGCCCTTCTTCAGAGCAGGGGAAGTGTGACTGTAGCTTTAAATAGTTTAAATAGTCCTTCAAATACGGCAAATAAAACAGTATCAATGAAAAAGAAGATAAAATGAGTGGATTACTCATATGAGTTTCAGTTTTATCATTCAGTTTCACAGAACTCCAAAGAATAATGTGATTAAGTGGTTTCTTTTTGCAAGGATTTTCCAGGTGAAAGATCTGAGCTATATATTGAGGAACCATAGGATTAAAATAGACATGGGTTTGCTTCTATGACAGCATTTTGCAAAATAACATGACCAGGTACTATTGCTCATGCCTGTCACCCCAGCACCGTGGTCAAGGCAAGTAGATCACTTGAGGCCAGGAATTCAAGACCAGCCTGGCTAACATGGCAAAACCTCATCTCTATTAAAAATACAAAACTTAGCCAGATCTGGTGGCACATGCCTGTAATCCCAGCTACTCAGGAGGCTGAGGCATGAGAATCACTTGAGCCTGGCAGGCAGAGGTTGCAGTGAGCCGAGATTGTGCCACTGTGCTCCAGCCTGGGTGATAGAGTGAGACCCTGTCTCAAAACAAACAAACAAAGCAAACAAAAACACACACACAAAAAAACCCACCTCTGATGTGACCCATGGATAGAAAACAACAAATTAAGTTTTAATGAGACTATATATGCTTGTACTTTAAAATGGGGCTAATTCATAGATATAGAAAACTATACTTATGACAGTTCATATAAATGAGCCACTGGACTGTCCAAATTTACCTCTTTTTATTGTATGGACCTAGTGAGTGCAGTGGTGCGATCTTGGCTCACTGCAACCTCCGCCTCCCATGTTCAAGTGATTCTCCTGCCTCAGCCTCCCGAATAGCTGGGATAACAGGCACCAGCCACCGCATCCGGCTAATTTTTGTATTTTTAGTAGAGATGGGGTTTCGCCATGTTGGCCAGGCTTGTCTCAAACTCCTGACCTCAAATGATCTGCCTGCCTCGGCCTCCCAAAGTGCTGGGATTACAGGCATGAGCCACCATGCCCAGCTAGGAGAAGTATATCCTTTTTTTGTTGTTTGTTTTGTTTTTTTGAGACAGAGTTTCCCTTTTGTTGCCCAGACTGGAGTGCAATGGCGCAATCTCGGCTCACCGCAACCTCCGCCTCCTATGTTCAAGCGATTCTCCTGCCTCAGCCTCCCGAGTAGCTAGAATTACAGGCATACGCCACCACCTCTGGCTAATTTTGTATTTTTTAGTAGAGACGGGGTTTCTCCATGTTGGTCAGCCTAGTCTCAAACTCCCCATCTCAGGTGATCCGCCTGCCTCAGCCTCCCAAAGTGCTGGGATTTACAGACATGAGCCACCATGCGCGGCCTAGGAGAAGTATATTCTAATTAACAGAGTCACTTAGGAAGAGCTGTAAAAAATAAAGATTCTCCCACACATTCTGATTCAATGGGAATGAATCGAGATCCAAATATGTGTATGTGTGTGTGTGTGTTTTTTGTTGTTGTTGTTGTTTTGAGACGGAGTCTCGCTCTGTCGCCCAGGCTGGAGTGCAGTGGCGCCATCTCGGCTGACTGCAAGCTCCGCCTCCCGGGTTCACACCATTCTCCTGCCTCAGCCTCCCGAGTAGCTGGGACTACAGGCACCGCCACCACGCCCGGCTAATTTTTTTTGCATTTTTAGTAAAGACGGAGTTTCGCCGTGTTAGCCAGGATGGTCTCGATCTCCTGACCTTGCAATCCGCCCGCCTCGCCTTCCCAAAGTGCTGGGATTACAGGCATGAGCCACCGCGCCCGGCCGTTTGTTTGTTTTTAACTCTCCAGTTGATTTCGGAGAATGCTAAAAGATTTAGGCTACCTTTCTAAGCATGATTTAGGAAAATCTCATCCATTTTCAATATTTGGATCCAATGGATTAGGAGGTATTATAAACATTAGAAGAGTTTCAAAGACTGATTCTAAGGCATCCCTCCAGCAATAGCAAACTAGGGTACAGGTTCAGGGAGAAAGTATACAGCAGAAGAGGGAACACTTAGTAATAAACAAGTGCTGATGTCCTGAACAGACTCAGACTAAATTTGAACTTCTCTATTATTTTAGCCTTGGAAATAGTAGGTTATAGATGATTTAGTTTCTCTCCATTACACAGAACAGTACCTTGACGAATCAGCCAGGACTATAAGAAAATATTTGGACTTACATGATTGAGACAATTACTATGTAAGATGACACACTTGAAACTCATATTTCTTGGCTTGCGAACACATGCATCATGTAAAGCATGATGTCTTAAGACCCTGATCTGAGTTTGAGAGGAGTGGGAGAGAAATATCAGGAAAAAGCAAACTAAATGTCAAGGCAAGGTTATTTTTAAAAGGACCAACCAGAGGACTACATTTGTGACCCACCAATTCATTTTCTCCATCAGTTCATGGACCATTGTTGTTGCCTCTAATAAGAGGCATGTGTTTTCTCCATCAGTTCATGGAACCATTGTTGTTGACTCTAAAAAGAAGAGAAAAGGTATTTCATTCTTTTTCTTATATTGTCTTAGAGAAGCAAGGCAGATTTGGTATTCTTGGCTTGTGTAACATGTATTTCTCTCTTACAGTGCTCAAGTATCTTCACAGGAAGGCCATTTAGATGGTGGGTCTTTGAGTCATGGATCTCTCTTTAAAAATTCTACCAAGAAACACAGACACCAAATTTTGCATGCAATTTCAGGGACTTATGGACCCCAGCTTGACTTGTCAGCCTCACAGGAAAACTAGTGGTGGGATTTCATTTCCATTCTACCAAATGAATTTCAGTTGATTAAAAAATGACCAATTGTTACACTCCATAGATCAGAATCTAGCCTTTTATACATCTGTGAATATAATCTTTTGCAGAGATTATTAGCCCTGTTGAAACTAATTTTTTTTTTTTTTTTTTAGATGGAGTCTCTGTCACCCAGGCTGGAATGCAGTGGCTTAATCTTGGCTCACTGCAAGCTCCACCTCCCGGGTTCACACCATTCTCCTGCCTCAGCCTCCTGAGTAGCTAGGACTACAGGCGCCAGCCACCACGCCCAGCTAATTTTTTTTTTTTTTTTGTACTTTTAGTAGAGACGGGGTTTTACCGTGTTAGCCAGGATGGTCTCGATCTCCTGAACTCGTGATTCGCCCACCATGGCCTCCCAAAGTGCTAGGACTACAGGCGTGAGCCACCATACCCGGCCCTGAAACCAATTTTAAAACACTGAATCTCTATCAAGCCCTCACAATGTGCTTACCACGACTAAATGTATTTATATACATCATTTTAATTCTTAAAGTCTGCATAGATGAATGCACTAAAATACTCAAGAGTAAGTAACTTTTCTAGAGTCACACAGTTTTTGAGTCACAAACTTCAAAGCCAGTATCTAACCACCATCTACTCCTTTGCTTTCCCACCCTAGAAGGAAAACTTTACTCTCCACCTACTATGGTTACAAATTTTGTAAGATGTGTTTTCCCTGGTAGAAGAGGCTTCAAGTAACAATCTACACCTAATAATATCCAACATTAATTTTGAAATTCTGACCATTGATCTTCATGAAGTTCAAAAGGAATTTACTTTTTCAGTTCTAAAATTAACACGACCAATTTAGTAATTCAGAAGATTATTTTTGTCCATTGTACTAGCTTATGATCTCCTTGAAAGCTGAAACTATGAATGCCTCACTTATCCTGCTCACATGTGGCACGCCTAGGCCTTAGGAAGATGCCCAGTGTCAAATACAGGAATGTGTTTGCTCCTCTCAGTTCTCAATGGCTTCCCAGAAGATACCATAGCTTCCCACAGATGTAAACCAGGAGAATCCTCTTGTAACAGCTTTAACAGGCCTGTTTCATTTTATTTCTACTGAGTAGCATACATCTAGCTCATTTTAAAATCCAGCTCTTGATCTTTAGTTTTAAAAATATGTACCACTGGCTGGGCATGGTGGCTCACGCCTGTAATTCCAGCACTTTGGGAGGCAGAGGCAGGTGGATCACCAGAGGTTGGGAATTCGAAACCAGCCTAACCAACATGGAGAAACCCCATGTCTACTAAAAATACAAAATTAGCCAGATGTGGTGGCGCATGCCTGTAGTCCCAGCTATTCAGGAGGCTGAGGCAGGAGAATCGCTTGAACTCGGGAGGCGGAGGTTGCGGTGAGCTGAGATTGTGCCATTGCACTCCAACCTGGGCAACAAGAGTGAAACTCTGTCTCAAAAAAAAAAAAAAAAAAAAAAAAAAAAAAAAAAATTGTGTAACACTGGCCAGGCGCGGTGGCTCACGCCTGTAATCCCAGAGGCAGGTGGATCACATGAGGTCAGGAGTTCGAGACCAGCCTGGTCAACATGGGGAAACCAGGTCTCTACTAAAAATACAAAAATTAGTGGGGCATCATGGTGCATGCCTGTAATCCCAGCTACTTGGGAGGCTGAGGCAGGAGAATCGCTTGAACCCTGGAGGTGGAGGTTGCAGTGAGCCAAGATCATGCCATTGCATTCCAGCCTGGGCAACAGAGTGAGATTCCTCTCAAAAAAAAAAAAAAAAAAAGAAAGAAAGAAAGAAAGAGAAAAAAAAAGTGTACTGCTGAAAAACTAACTTTAAAGTTTGAAATGCTATTATTCAGTACCAGGTATTATGTTCAAACCAATGTGGGGGCTTCCGTATAAGGGGCTACACATCATTGGGCAGATTTGATTAGCTGTGACAATTGTTTAGAGTCCTTAAAGAAGGCTTTAAGCACAGTCTAGGAGTGTACTATGTGATACGGTTTGGATATTTGTCGCCACCCAAATCTTATGTTGAATTATAATCCCCAGTGCTAGAGGTGGGCCTGGTGGGAGGTGAATTGATCATGGGGGCGATTTCTTATGGCTTAACACCACATACTCTTGCTGTTGTCATTGTGATAATGAGTTCTTGTGAGATCTGGTCATTTATAAGTGTGTGGCACCTCAACCTTCTCTCTCTTCCTCCTGCTCCCTCTTTGCCTTCCACCATGAGTAAAAGCTCCCTGAGGCCTCCCCAGAAGCAGATGCTGCCATGCTTCCTGTAGTCTGTGGAACTGTGAGCCAATTAAACCTCTTTTCTTTATAAATTACTCAATCTCAGGTATTTCTTTACAGCAACACAAGAATGGCATAATACACTACGTAATAATAGCCACATATGAGTAGTGAGCACTTGAAATGTGGCTAGTCTTAATTGAGATATGCTCTAAGAAATTGAAGATAGTACATATAGCACATTTTAAAATGTGGCTATTAGAAATTTTTAAATTACATGTTGGCCTACATTAAATTCTATTGGAAGCCGGGCGCAGTGGCTCACGCCTGTAATCCCAGCACTTTGGGAGGCCTAGGCAGGCGGATCACTTGAGGTCAGGAGTTTGAGACCAGCCTGGCCAACATGGAGAAACCTCGTCTCTACTATAAATACAAAATTTGCCAGGTGTGGTGGCACATGCTTGTAATTCCAGCTACTTGGGAGGCTGAAGCAGGAGAATTGCTTGAACCCGGGAGGCGGAGGTTGCGGTGAGCCGAGATCATGCCATTGCACTACAGCCTGGGCAACAAAGGTGAAACTTCGACTCAAAAAAAAAATATATATATATATATATATAGGAAGGCACTGGTAGGGAATTTAAAGCACGGCTGTTGGCCCAAGAACCATTGGTAGACAGCATTCTAAAGAATTAATTAAGGCCAGGTGTGGTGGCTCACCTCTGCAATCCCAGCACTTTGGGAGGCCAAGGCGGACGGATCTCCAGAGGTCCGGAGTTTGAGACCAGCCTGGCCAACATAGTGAAACCTCGTCTCTACTAAAAATAGAAAAATTAGCTGGGCACGGTGGTCCATGCCTGTAATCCCAGCTACTCAGGAGGCTGAGTAGGCAGGAGAATCACTTGAACCCAGGAGGTGGAGGTTGCAGTGACCTGAGATCGTGCCACTACACTCCAGCCTGGATGGCAGAGTGAGACTCTGTCTCTAAATAAATAAATAAAAATGAAGTAATTAAGCATTTTCTATTTTTGGTAAATTATTGATTTTATAGAATATTTAATGATTTTCAATACTTTAGGTTCTCAGTTTATCAGTTTGTAGATTAAATAAGTAATTTTCTTAGATTCCCTTCTGATTCCTAAAATTTAATAGGGATCTTTGAAAAATAACCTCCCCAGTCCAGAAAAATTGTCAAAAACTCCTCTAGTTTGGACAAAATGTAGAGTTTGAGATGTCTTAGTCAGTATTTAGTCAGATATGAGAGCAATCATGATGTTTCTGGCCTAGAGAGTGGGAAGACTTTCCGACCACTCTGCATATGTTCATAGGGAGACTGTATTTTGTGGTTGTTTTATAAAACAAACCACATATATACTTGGATCGCTTCAAAGCCAAATAGAAATGACTATGTATTATCAACTCCTTAGAGAATTTAAAATAGCAATTATTAAAAAGCACAAATAAAATAAACTGCTGGATTGGAGTGCTATTCCTTTCACATGCTTTCAGTGTTTCCTAGGAGCAAATTCACATCATTTCTAGGTTTTGTTAAACACATTTTAATTTTATTAAACCTAAACCAGATCTTGTTTATTAGGTTGTTCTTGGCAGGTGTTATATAAAATGAAGTAAATTGTATTTAAGAACCACAGAGTAAAAAATAAAATCATGACCTTAAAATGGAAAATTTTGGGTTTATACTATTCTTTTAAATCCATCAACCTGAAAAGTTTCACCAAAATAGGAGAATTAGTCACCATGGAAGATAGATCCCTGTAAGGAGATCAAATAAAGGTAAACCTATTCTGTTAATCTTCTCTCCTTTTACTTCACACCTTCACACCCTGAATCTTCACTAATGTAATCCTCTTAGTATTTTTTACTAGTTTTTCTTTTTTTCACTTAGTATTTTTTACCAGTGTAATCTTCTTCTTTGTATTGAGTCACATAATGGTTACATCTGTTTTTCCCTGAATGGACACCAGTTATAAGTGGGATGCTTGCTGTTACCATGGGTCCCAACTTATCAAGTAAAAACTGCTATCCTTTAATCCACTTTAAAAGCCTATCTTTCATTCAAAGACTCAAATAAAAGTGCCTATCACTCGAATGCTAAAGGACCATGCCTGAATATGAATGCATCACATTTTGATGGCTATAGATTGCACCCACTTCTAATAGGTATCATCACTTTATTTATCAGACTTCTGAAGTCTCATGTTATTTTTGTCATCTGATATAATCTAGCCACTGATAAAACTGGTTATGCTACCCCAGATATGCAAAGCAATCTAATTTTCATGCCAACCAAATAAGCCACAGTATAACTAAAAACAACTTGTTTACGCATAGACAATTTTTGCAGGCATTTTAAAATATAACACAGATGCTAAAGGCTAATGGCTCGGATGGCAGATTATTCTTATTTAAATATTACAATTTTTGACTGTAGAGTTACTTTTACAATATTAGTGTAAAACTTAACATTAGAAGCCAAATAATTTTAGTATGTGGATATTATTTATAAGACCTACTATGGGATAAATCTAGGGTAGGGGTTCCTCAGGAAACATGACCCTACTAAGGAAGAACTTTTCTCATTAGGGTGGACATGAAACCACAACACCAAGATGTGTAAGAGTTTTCTTTAGAGAAATGCTTGAGGTTCTATAATAGTAGACAAATACCACACAACAGAAAATCTAAATCGTATTTGTCAACTGGTATTGTAGTTGCATGTATGAATACATTTTTAGTGATGGGAAGGGACAAGAGGGCAGAAGCATATTACATAGCAAGGACCAGCCAACATTTTTAATTTATCCTGGATTATATTCACAAGATCAGTCTGAAAAATTTACCCAGACACAAGTATTTAAGATGAGGTCATTAGGCTAATTTATTTGTATTTTTTTTCCTGGCTGATGCCTGAGCTCTACAAGGTAAGTGCTTAATGTTATTTTGTTAATAGTTCTTGCACTTATCTAAAATTTAAGAATGTGTAACAAGGATTTCCTGTTAACTTCTGAGTTGACTGAAAAATTACCCCAATTCCTGAGCAGCTTTGGTTACATTATCAATATATACAGGCTGAGGTCCTGTGGTGTCAATAAAAATCATCATAAAAAATGTATTCAACACAGATTAGCCAACTAGAAAATAATCTGTAACTTCTTTCATCTTGCTCTTAACTACTTAAGTATCCTTAGCAACATCCCTACCCATAATAAAAGGAAAGTGGCACTTAGCAGTTGCAGACAAAATGGAGTCTTACATTTATGGCACAAAACAAAACAAAAAAAGTCTTACATTTATTAACTTTACTTCTATGGCTGTAACAGAAATACTCTGGAAGAAAACACAGAAACAGTCTTTGCTTTTATATAAATTTAAAACCAGCACTTGTGCATAGAAATAGCTATAAAATATTAAATGGCACTTTTGTATTCTGTTGTACTTTTTTTTTTTTTTTTACATTTGCTACACGGTATTTATTCAATGACTGTATATTTAGTCACCACCTCAACCACTGCTAAGCTCTCTTCATGTCTATCTGTACCAGTTTCCCATCTTAGACTGTGATGTCAACTGGCAAGGGCTGGCTGTTGGCCGATTCACCATGACTGACATGGTGCATGTTCACTTGTTTTTAAAGCAGATTGTACAAACAGGAGAAACAAACAGGGGAAACTGTATTTCCAGTTTCTTTTTGTTAACAGCCTGTTGCCTCACCCATGCAAACTCTTCTAGCTAGTTTAAGGCTACATAATCTTATTGCTAATCAACCAGCAACCATACCTATCACTCTCCAAAATTATAAGTTAATACTTATGGACAAAAACCACTATTGAGAACTTTGCATTCAAACAGACAAGAGTCGGCCAGGCGCAGTGGCTCACACCTGTAATCCCAGCATTTTGGGAGGCCGGGGTGGGCGGATCATGAGGTCAGGAGATCGAGACCACCCTGGCTAACACGGTGAAACCCTCTCTCTACTAAAAATACAAAAAAACCCAAAAAACAAAAAACATTAGCCAGGTGTGGTGACGGGTGCCTGTAGTCCCAACTACTCCGGAGGCTGAGCCAGGAGAATGGCGTGAACCCGGGAGGCGGAACTTGCAGTGAGCTGAGACCATGCCATTTTACTCCAGCCTGGGCGACGGAGCCTCTGTCTCAAACAAACAAAACAAAACAAAAACAGACAAGAGTCAAATCAAGTCTTTGTACATATTCAAATATTTACATGTGGAAAAGATTAAATAACCTTTCTAAATTATGAGTTACCTAAAATGTATGTGTGCCTTTGAAATGGAGGATATGGGACAGCTTGAGAGGCTTTGCTTCTCAGTGTGTATTGATAAATCCATGTGAATGTTATTACCAACCCCCAAAATACAATAATAGTATGCTTAACATCTTGCTATTATTAGATTATTTCCCCAATTTTAGTTATTTCCTAGCAACTTTATTTAATGCAGATCTCTTGCAAAGAAAGCCTTACGGAAAAGAATGATTCTAATGACTTTAAACTGCAAGTTTAAATAACAAATCTTTATCTTTTCACTATACAACTTGATGTAACCAATCCTGTTCTCAAAGTTTTCTTCCCAAGTTATGGAAACCATTATTCCAGAACATTAAGACAATAGCAAATACAATGTGCCAGGCACAGTTTTAAGTGTTGTCACCTTCACACTCCTGAAGGTGGTTGCTGTCTTCATTTAAGAGATGAAGCAGTCCAAAGTGGACCTAAAATAACTTGCCCAAAATCACGGGCTGGTTCCAGGGTCCCTCATCTTAATCACTATGCCATAATGCTCAGAAACAGCTTTCCCTCACAAACTAATTTTCCCCACGTTGTGGGAAGCCTACCTAGGATCAAACCTGAGGCTCTAGTTTTACAGATCAGGCACACTGAAGATGAGGTTTTCAAAAAGGACTCACCCATTTATACTGCGAATTCATGTGGTCACAGCCTAACAAAACTTCAGGTCATGGGGGTGTAAATATTTGTCTGCTTATGTAAGGGAAACATGGTATATTATTAAATTGCTTAATATCTGTACATTTCAAAGGACTTCATGGCCTTGCATTCAGGTTTGAATGCAAGAATTTGGGTAGAACTGAGTCCTCTCAGGTGCCTTACACACTGATTCCCTTTCTCCCCAGTCAATGGACAACCCTGACAAATCTTTGTTCTGATCTGGTTTAATGTTTCTTGTAAAACAAACAAACAAAAAAAAAACAAAAAAAACTGATTGGCCGGGTGCGGTGCCTCACGCCTGTAATCCCAGCACTTTGGGAGGCCGAGGCGGGCAGCTCACCTGAGGTCAGGAGTTCAAGACCAGCCTGACCAACATGGAGAAACTGTCTCTATTAAAAATACAAAAATTAGCTGGGCGTGGTGGCTGGTGCCTGTGATCCCAGCTACTTAGGAGGCAGAGGCAGGAGAATCACTTGAACCCAGGAGGCAGAGGTTGCAGTGAGCCAAGATTACGCCATTGCACTGCAGCCTGGCCAAACAAAAATCTATCTCTTGCTACTACTCAGACCTTCAGAGTGATGGAGTCCGAGGGCTCATCTTACCTTCTCTATACCACTCTTACTTCCATTTTTAACTTGAAAAATTAAGTTGCCCTTCTAAATCTTCAACTTCTAAATTTTCAACTCAATTGTGACTTTTCATATTCAGAGAAATACTACCCTATGTCAGTATAGGAACTTTGACATACATATGTACCTCCCTAACTTGAAGCAAAAGTAGCAGCATGCAAAGAACTGACAGATAAAACTAGGGTATTTCCACCCCAAACTCCATCACAGAGAAGCAACAGTTGCACTCTGGTAATCATTTACCCCAGGTAAAGTCAACATGTACCTGTCACCCCTTGTTCTTTATGATCTGGCATAAACGCTACAGAGACCAAGTCCATGGGTGAATCTCTGTATTAGAGCCAAACCCAAAACAGAAATAAAACAGAACTCTTTTTGTAAACTAAGTCATACCTACTTTCTTCTTCAGAATTGTCATAAAACATCATCTTTTACAACATGGAGAAGCGAGGTAGGCCATAATTGTTCAAATTTCATCTTTCTCAAATTTTAAAATTGTTTTAATCCCAAAGGTGCCTATTGAATTCTTCAAAAATAAACTGCCTATCAGGTATCATACCTGCAAATGCTTCTAATATCTCTTGATTATCACTTGAACAAGTTCAGCGATGGCAAAGGAAAAAAAATTATATAGCCATGTAAAGTAACATTTTCTAATTTTCCCCCTTTAGGACTCCAACTATGGCTTAAAAACCCAATGAACAAGTGAAGTTTCCCTCTGTACATGGCTTTTATTATTTACATAATACAATATAGCATCAATGCTGAATAGCATGATTATGTGCAATACATAAATATGAACTATCTGTACACATCTGCAGGTCTAACTCAGAACTAAGGTACATAAAATTGAAAGCAAAACTGAATGCTTTAAGAATAAAAGTAAAAACTAGGACTGAACATTGCAATAAATCAGAAGTAGTGCCTCGTGTACATACTTAACTATTTACAGATGAAAACAGGCATTACCACAACACTAACTATACTCATTTATATATAAAAAACACAAGTTTCATACATCACAAAAAACCTTCCATTATAACACAGAAGTGATTATTACCAGACAAGCATCAGTGAAGTATACTGCCTTTTCTAGTTGTTATTGTACAATGCTGTAGATAATGCAGCCCATGCAATACACCCAAGAACACTAGAGTCCTACACCCAAGTACAATATGATAAAGCAGCCCTCTGCAAGTGGTGCTGGATACCACTAAGAAGTCTACTGCAGCCATGTTGGTTATGATTTTCCATGCAGAAGGGTACAGTTACATTAAGAACTGAAGTCTTTTAAAAAGCTTTAAACATTCTTTCTTGAACCAAAACATTCGACAAAAGATGCACATGAAAAATTATTCAGATACCTTTGCAACTTAAAATTCAGATGCATGTTATTCAATAGAGCTGCTGTATGTGAAAACCAAACGTAGAGTTTAAATTTCTTCTTGTAAACAAATTAATCCTAGTGCAGTTCTGTGCTACACATTTTTAGCAATGAGTAATGCAGACATCTTCTGGTGCAGGCCAGTACAATAAGCTTCAAAGGTTATCTCAAGACCCTGTTGTTGGCTTGATGGTTTTACTTATAACCAGTTTCGATGTTTACCTTTCACAGAATGTCTTATTTGACAGCTTTAGATGACCAATTTAACCAGGCTTATATATGGCGCCAAATACTGGTTTCACGGGAAAGAAGGTCTGATCCTCTTTATGAGCATTTCTTCCTGCTTCCAAAGAATATGTTGTGAAATTAAAGAGGGTGAAGTTTAACTATGGTAGAAGTAGACTGCCAGTCCTTTTCTGGTGTACCATTTTAAAAAAATACAGGCACATAACACTAGCCAAAGATTATACCTTGATTACATTCCCAAAAGGCAGATATGCTGCAAACATGCAGAGATTTCATTTATTTTGTTTGGCACATGGGAACTACATTTTGTTCCTATTATCTGTGTGTTTCACTTTGCTGTGCAGATTTTCATCCAATTTTTTTCAGGGGAGGGCATATACATTTGTAGGGCTGTATCTATCCAATTCTGCCTGTAACAAACACCCAAACATCCTAAAATATCAATTATAAGACAGACAAGTGTAATGTAAAACTCTGGAGAACATCAAAGAAAAATGGCCATGCATCTGCTCTTTAATGTTTTCCTACGATATATTAAAATAAAAACAAAGTTTCAGTCTCTTCACAAGAAGTAATTTATATTCTCTGAATTTTTTCAGCCACAACAACTGGATTCTCTTTTCTGATTTTTGCTGCAGCTTCTGCTTTGTAATCATACGGACAGTTGTGCTTGTCAGAGTAACGGTGAAGTCCACAAAACAAATTTCCACATCGGCAGTCAAACCCTGTACAAACGAAGAAGTAGAGTCATTTGAGAACTTGAGGCAATTAAAAGAAAAAAAAGCCTTAGTCACTATAGAAAAGGAACCAGATTTTCATTGCTTTGTAACATAAAAGACAGTGAACTCTTTTCTTCCACTTCCTGGTGATAAGACACAGTCAACTCTTACAGAGTCTATCACGTTAACCTGGAAAAGGAACTTTTAACTTCCTTTGACATGGTGAGAAATTCAAATAACTATGTTCAGTCTTTCCTTGCAAGGGCAATAGCGAAGTGTTTGGTAAGCCAAACCACGTGGAGAAAACAAAATGGGCTATCTGCCAGCTAATTTCTCCCAGATGCTCTCCCTCTATCGACTCCTGTAGATGCAACGCAGGATAAAATTTACACAGGCTCTGGAGTTAGGCTAAGCTGGATTCAAAACACAGTCCTACCATATCTTAAGTAATGCTTCCTCAAGTGAAAACAACCATCAAGGTCTGAGATTTGAAGGAGACAAGAAAAAAAGCACCAAGAACATTCCCTGCATAGCTCAAAGTAGGTGGCGCTTACTGTTAGTTCAGTAACATTTTCCCTAGGTATACAAAAACTTTTTATCAATCTAATAAAATAAGAGGGCCTGAGTTAATAGTTTTATATGATTAGGAGACAAATGGAAGTAAAACCCAACTTCTTTCCACCCCAATACCACCTCCTCCACCTTTCCTAGACTACAGCTAGTCAGGCTTTTTTTTTTTTTTTATGTGTAAGACCAACTAGTCTCTTAGGGAGTGACCAAAAGCTCCTTGTTAACTGCAGAAGTAAAACATACATTGTCTTGTGTTTTGTAATACCTGTAAGACCAACTTTCTTTCTGCACATGAAACATCTGTTTTTCTTTGGTTTGGGCAATTCAGGAGCTTTTTCTTCACTCTGAGAAGTACTGGGCTGAGAAACTGATGGACTGGGCTGAGTGACAACTGAAAAGGACAAAAACACAAATTTGTCAAGCATTCACTGGCTAACATTTTTAAGTCAAAAAAGGAAGTATTTAAGAGAAACAGGAAGATGCCTGATAAAAATGTTTATAAGTATTCCTTGAAAATACAAGCTTTAAACAGAATCTTCCATTTTAACATCAGAACTTGATTCAAATCTGAGAAATTCCTGCCAATCACCATACTACTTGCTTCTCTAATTTTGTAAAATGATCGCTTCACTCAAGAAATTCCTTTAAAACACTGGTAACAGCCAGTACTAAAAACAAAATCCTAATTCTGTTTTAAAGAGCTGGGAGATGTTAATCATATGCTCAGTTTTTCCACGTTATAATTTCCTAAATGCAAACTTTTCAATCAGGGCAGTTCAAATTCATTACATCACAGTAAATAACAGTAGCCAACTTTGATTTTATGCTTATAGGAAAAAAAATCCTGTAGATATAAAAACAGCAAATTTTGACAAATAAAACTCAAACCATTCATCCCTAAATCAACGTCAGATCCAAAAATTCCAAAACAATCATTTTACCATTTTCACAGGTGCACTAAACATCATAGGAAGACTTGAAAGATTTTTTTAAACCTTGGTTTTAAAAACAGATCGGCAAACAGTCTTTAGAAACTACTCGAGAAGTATTGATTTTAAACTATTAAGGATTCCACAGGCAGAACAAGAATCTTATCTAAAATGGGCATCCACTATCGACAGAGATAGCATCTACAAACAGTCCCACCGTTTCTCCACCTAAAAAGGCTTTAAGTTTCAGTGTACACATGGCATCAATAAAATTTCTCACAATGAACAAAAAATACATTACTGTACTAAAGCCCACACTGCCACTAGTTCTTTAACACAAAAATAACAAAATTTATATCTACTTACATATAATTCAACTACACCTGAAACACTATAAACTCAGGTTTTAATATTAATCCAAATGTAACAATAGCAAATTTATGTATGCAATGCTGAAATTACTGCCCAAATATGCCAGCACCAATGCTATTAGCATATAGACAAGCTC
The DNA here is from genome assembly GCF_000001405.40 of Homo sapiens. NCBI lineage: Eukaryota > Metazoa > Chordata > Mammalia > Primates > Hominidae > Homo > Homo sapiens. The sequence continues at coordinate 72,358,103 of NC_000009.12, forward strand.
CTACAACAAGCTGATTGATTTAATGGCAATTTTCTCTAAAACTCTGCCCAAATTTATAATTCAATTGCATTAGCAATGAATCTACTGGGAGAAATAGCCTAATATTAGACTAAACGAACAATATTCTACCTACTGCTACTGTGACAACATTAATGTTTATCCTGATGTCATGAGGATAAAGAATAATCTAGGGGAATAGTTGTATGGGGTAGAGGGAGGGTGTCAGCCATTTCTTTGGCCACATCTGAAAAATGAACTACGGCTCCTGAGACAAGGGAAGAAGGGGGAATAAGAAAATGACACAGAAAAGGCAAATAGCAGTGAATCACAGAATGCCTACTAAGTAATAATAAATGCAGACTAGCTCTAACCCAAGACTATTCTTCCAAGGTCAGAGTAATTTTGTATTTAAAAACCAAAACCAAAAACAAAAACCCAAACAAAGGCATCACGGGCAAACTAATGTGGTCAGTTTAAGGATGGAGCTCATTTCAAAATGCCAAATATAGATTCACCTGCCAAACTTGAGAATTTGGCCTTAACTTTGTAAGATTAATACAATAAACAAACTTGACTGCTGTTAGCAAAAGCCAGCCTCCAAAGCAGACTGTATAACCACTGACAGTATTTTTTCACAACAGAAGTTTTATATTGCATTTAATCAGCACTCTGCCAAAAAAGAACAAATTGATAAAATAAGCTACGTGCACTATATAAAGCACAGAAATCTTTTTGTTCTAGGGCCTAGTACAGGTAATTCAAGTCAGTCTTCTTCCACCATCAGGGCACTTCTGGTTGTGCTATATAAGCAAAGTTTCCAAAGTCACCATATCTCATGAAAACCAAAATGCCTTTCCACACTGAGTTTCAAACTCCCACAAAATATGATAGGAATATTGTACTTCAAATAAGTTCTAGTGTTCAAATATGTTGTTCTACTTAAAAGTTTTCCACAACATTGACAATATCAAAACTAAAGTTACTGCTTTTGGTTATAAAATTATTCCTTATACCCTTGAAATTTAACTTCATCAAGTTTTTAACACATCCAATCTCCAGATTACAGACTTTGCCCATTATGCACAAGGGTAGTGCAGGGGATGAGCAGAGAAGAAACTGAGAATAAATATGACTATTTTACACTTCAAGATACTCATACTCAAGATACTTTTAAAGATAGTAGTTCTTTGCTTGGCCTATATTTTATGGCTCTCCCTCCTCTTTGGTCCTTCAATGGGAAGGAAAGAATCCCCCCACCAGCCATTTCTTGCACTATCAAATTCAGAACTGAACAAGTATTAAATGAAAAACATACCTGGCTCTGACACCTCTGTTTTCGGGGTAGTTATTTTGTCCTCTCTTGAAATGCTCATTTCTGTCATTTGCTGAGTTACAGGCAAGGCAGCCACAGGCACATTTCTATTTGAGTTCAAGCAAACAATTTTTAAAGGTGTTAAGGGTACTTCTTGAGACAATGAATAAGTTGTCAGTTCAACTTTAAATTATAGAATATTTCCAAAATGAGCAAATGGAGCTAGATAATCTAAAGTTTAAAAAAAAATTGGATGCCCAGCACAAATGGTTGAGAAAAAAGTTTGATAAATGGCTCATGAACTCGAGGCTGCATTTTGTATAGGTTACCATATTTTACAACCAGCTAGGGATTTTTAGCTGTGCCTGTAACTTGTTTAAGGGCAAAAGGGCAGCTCTGCCAAAACACCTTGTCTGGCCCAATAATATTCTACAGTCTCACTCGACAATCCCTAAACCTCAATTACAAAGAAATAAAAAAGCACAGCATTTCCAACACAGTATCCTTGAGGGGGTTAGGGAGTCAGGTGTAAGTAACACACATCTTTACTCAATGACTTAAGAGTCATGTATTAAAAGACACTGAAATCCTCGATTGCAAAGCCAAGGGTATCTATTAACTTATTATTGGACCAGTACAGACATCTTGATTTCTTCTTTGTAATATCATAAAAACTCTGAAACGTTCAATCTTACCTTGATTTTTCAGATGTGCTGCCAGCAGCACCTTCACAGTTGTTTAAGCTAGTGTCTGCTCTCTGTACAGATGCAGAATCTGAGGTAGGACTGTTGGAACCACTAGCTGTTCCTATTTAAAAAAAGGATTTGTAAGGAACCAATGAACACTACAAAAACTCACTTAGTATCAAGACGTAGTAATAAATACTTGCATTTAATTAGGTTAGTGATATAAGCATTCACTGTGCTGTAATCCTATACTTGAGTATCCAAACAAAAAATATTAAAAAGTCAATCCAATGAACACAAGTGTGAAACAAAATAACCCCAAAAAAGAAAACTGAAAAGCTATAAGATGCTTGTAGATAGTCATTCATTCCTGATCAGTCATGTCAAGCACTTGGGCTGTTGCTTGAATTTCAAGCTCTTATCAGGTGTTCTCTCCATGTGCTTTCAGCATTCTCAGCCCCAATTCTTGGTTCTGTATTTCTGTCCACCAGTTCTTTCAAATGTGTTTTTCCTTGGAAATAACTTACCCATTGGGCTCATTCTGCCACTATTTTGCTGCCTCTGAAGATGTTCTTTGTAGCAAACTGAACACATTCCATTTGTCCTAGGATTTCCATAAAAGCCACATCCTGTGCTACACAGCATGGGCCCCGGGGTCTGGTTAGTCTCCTGAGCCATATTTTTCTGCTATAGATGAAACGAAATTTCAGAAATTAGTGTTATCACCAAAATATAGTCTAATATAATCATCGGTATACCGTTGTAATTGCTACGCAAGTTTTAACAAAAGCCCAAATTCCGTTAATCATTAAAAAGGGTGGGCAGAGATAATTATCAATATTTTGTTGCCTTTATAAAAGCAAACTGTTTTAGGACCAAAAAAAAACCCAAAAAGAAATTTTATCAATTATTAGGGTATTTTTACCTATCACTATTCTTGGTTTCAATTTATGAAAAGGTCTGTTAGCTCTCAGGGTTATGTTTTAATCAATTTGGGAAACTGGTATCTTTAACTTTTCACTCTGCTGCACTACAGGCAGACCATTTCAAATGTTTTTACTTAATTGGCTAATCACAATTATCACTGAGTCTTGATATTTATAGGTAGTTCTTTAAACTGGATGAATAAAGTTTTCTTAAAACACCTGTACATATCTGGGCTTCATCAGTAATTTGACAAATCTGCTGAGGCAGAGCATCTGTACTTTTTAATGCTGAAACATCTTCATATAAGGCTGAAAAGAGAACTGGTAGCCCTTCCTGCTACCCTGGCACCAACAAGTAAATCTCTAAGAATTTAGGGTCAGCTGGTTTACGAAACTCCTTTTACGTTCTCCATTTGAAGTTTCAGAGTATGTCAAAGCCAGTGCCTAGGAACCTGCAATACACAAATTATGAACCAGATTTCTCAGCCAAAGGCACTATTAATTTTAACAAGTGCTTGTCTTCCTCATACCAGAAAATAATAAAACCGTTCCAAGCTCAAATTCAATGTATTAAAGTCAATATATACACATAACCTTTAGTAATGGTTAATATTCAATGCTGGGTTACCAGAAAAAGCTTTACATAGCAAGCATTTGTTTCCAAGGAAGATTTGCTTTTCTAAAAGTCTTGTTAAAACGCTGTGCTAAATTATTAATAAGTTTTCCTCTGGATGAGAAAATACATATTAAAGAAAAATTATTTTAAAATAAAGTTGTGGAGGGTTTTCATGTCATCTTAAACATGTATAAGCATATGTACAAAAAGCATATTTGAGAGCATTTGCTTAAAGGAAAATTCGTGTGCTGTAACTTGTGGTCAGTCATTTTTTCCAACTACATACTAGAATACACTTTTTAGTGAGTTATTAAAAAACGATGTTTTAACAAGTATTAACTACCAAAATTAGAAGATGGGAGAAGGGGACTAACCAATTTTGACCTGGCCAGACCCCTGGTAATTATTCCCCAAAACATTTTATCTTCCCTTTTGTAAGTAAAAGTGCACCATACAAATATTAAGACAATCTAGCTTGTGTGGAGTGACCAAGATCCACAACTTACTTTTAACAACAGTATTAATTTAGTTGACACTGTCTCTTTAAATATTAACTGGAATTTAGCTGACTCATTTTGGAGCAGGGTAGTGTAAACATTTCAACATCACTTAGGAAGTTTATTAATAAACACTTTCAGCTGGGTTTTTAAATGAGCATAATAGGAGCAAAAAATGCTTTCAAATGATAAATATGTATGTATTTGCATGCCCACCACGCACAAAATATGTGTGAATGTTTGCCCTATGCATGAAAGTTGGGTCACTCCTTAAAACCAGTTTAAGTATGCTAGCTTACATTTTCTACACTGAGGCCCAGTCTCATGTGACATTGGCTTTAAAGTTTAAGGCCAAGCGATCAACCTACCTAAGTAATTTTAGTTAATCTGATTCTTAAAATATTTGTTTTAGATAAAATGGAGGATACTCCATCTAAAGATTTCACACACTCAGAGATAACAAAGTATTCCAACTTTGCTTCAGAGAACATGTCTACCTTCATTTCATTATAAATAACTTTCAACTGCGAGACACACAAGAGGTACCAGGACATGAGTCTTCTACATGGGTTCCCATCTTTTAGATTTTTTTCCCCTAGAAAGCCAGCTTTTAAATGCCATCACATGTGCACAGCTTGCTTTAATATTTCTCAGAAGCTCAGATCACATGGGAGGGCGCTTCAGCCTGTCACAAGGCTGCAATGTGACAAGCTGAGCTGGATGGAGGCTCTCACATAAAGCCTAGTCAACAGGGGCCTCTGAAATCAGCTTCTATTTATATCTCAAAGCCTGCCAACTCCTACACAACCCCAAGAACTAAGGATGCAGCGTTCATATATCTAACATAAGAAAACAAAAAAAGGGCTGCTAGTTTTTTCCTAATGTAGGAAAAACTACAGAACAATCTCAATCTAGAAGATGAAAGCATAGTCAAAGCTAAAATGGTCAAGGTTGTTGATAAAAAACTAAGCACAGTGGAGACAGTGTAAAAAAGAATCCTCATTTAGTGAGGATTTAGGGGATGAAGTGGGGGATGTGTGTTCCCATTAGGTATTGCATTCCCCTTGTATTTTAGAAAAAAATACCATTACTATTTATTGCCTTTAAAGTAATTAGCAACTTGAGCATGCACGTGTCAGCTCTATCAGGTATAGCTAGAATGCAGATTTTATAAAGTTTATGGCTTCCTCTAACTTACAGCTTAAAAAAACACCCGAGTGTAACTGAACAATTCTCCAATTCCAATTCTGAACAAAGAGCTTTTACACCTATGGAATACAGTTCTTTCAGGTGCACATGATGTGATGAGATGGCATGAATTCCCACTCACCTGGGAATGGAGACCTGAGTTCAAGTCTCTAGTCTGCCACTAAGTCAGTGACCTTGGGCAAGTCCTTACTTTCCAGATTTCAGTTCCCTCTTTGCCAAATGGAGTAGAATTGACTTTTAAAGGCTCCTTTTCAGGGCCTGGGAGATAGAAAACAGGAGACAACTACAAAGAATCCTTAATTTTTTAGGGGGGTGTGGGGAAACATTTTAACAAAAAACTTCAAAGATAAAATTGCAGTATTTTCACCAACTGAGTTCTGAAAGCCTACTCTTTAAAAAAAATCCTAAAAATAAGGAATAAAATACATTCGTTTATGTTTTTAGAAGTCTGTATCTAAATCCCAGGTTTAAGAACGGGGATGTGTGACCTATATGTTCCTTTATCTTGGTATCTCCTTAGATGCTATCCCTTAGGAGACACTCAATCAATAAAGATAATCCGACCCTTCCCCGAAAACACACCTCCACGGAGTGCGTGGAAAGCGAGCAAAAAATTTCACATTCATCAGCCTAAATGCACCAAACAAAGGAGGTGTTCCATTTCCTCCATGAAAACGGATCTCAGGATAAAAACGCAGCGACGTCGAGAAGCCCAAAAGACGACGCCGAGAACCCCCGGCCCCATGTTCCAATGGATTTTGGAACAAGTTCGGGTCCCACTGATACCCCATCCCCCTCTAAGCAAAGGCCTCACTCAATAAAGCCCAACAGGGCCCTCTCCGAAAACCACTGAGTCATGCAGAACAGCAGCTCAGCAGGCCCGGCCAGCCCTTCGCCTGCAGGCCCCACGCGGATCCCCGACCCCCGACCCCCGACCCCGAACGGCTCCTCTTAGGGGAGAGCTAGGGGGGGCTGCAACGGGCAGGGGGCGCGGCCGCCGCCTCGGCCTCTTTGTTTCTCTGGGTCGTGGTGCCCACGCCGGGCGCCGCCGCGGAGGCGAGCGGCCTAGAGGCCGGCCCCGCAGAGGCGGCACGCCGTGCATTGTTTCCCGACCGTGCTGTGGAGCGAGCCAGGGACGCCGGGAGCCAGGTCTCGGGCCACGACGACAGGATGACGCCTCCGTCTTTGTGCTTCCTGGGCTGGCGGGCGGGCTCCCCTCCCCCGGACGCCGCCATCCGCGGCCTGCTCCGGCTTCGCCATTGGCCCGCGGCGCCCCGGTCCCTTCACTCCCGCCCCCGGCCCGGCAACAAGGAGCCCGGCTCCCACCCGCAGCCCCGTATCACTCACCCTGCAGGGTCCCAAATGCGAAAGCCGGGTTCGCGCGCGAAGCCGGCACGATGAGGCCGGGCCGAGGCCTCCGGGAAGGCTGAGCCGGGCGCCCTGGTGCCGCCGCCGCGGGCCGGGAGCGGGTCGGAGCAGCAGGCGGAGGTGGCGCCGCCGCCGCCGCGGGGTCTTCCTTTGTTCCTGCAGCAGCGTCGAGCGTGGCCGGGACACGCCGGAGCTCGGGAAGTGGGAGGAGGGAAGCGAGGGGGGGCCGAGGAGGAGGTGGAGGGAGGACCGGCGGCCGCAGCGGCTAACGCTGCTCGAGGCGCTCGCCTGTCGTCGCCTCACGCCTCCACAGGCCGCAGGTTGGGCGGACGAGGAGGGCGAGCGGACCGCGCGCCGCGAGGCCTGGGGCCGTAAGGGCCCGCTGATGGCGCTCTTCGCCGCTCCTGCCACCGCCGGGGAAGCTGCGCGGCTCCCGGGAGCGAGCGAGCCCGCGTAGGAGATGCACACAGCTCCGCGTCCCGGCCGACTAACGCACTCGCCGCCCGGCGCCCGGGCTGTGAGGGAAAAGAGGGGGAGGGGGCGGGACCCGTGCGTCAGCGAAAACCCCGGCGGCGGCGGCGGCGGCGGGGAGCGCGGTGACGTCGCGGGCCCAAGGCCACGCCCCCGGTGCCCTGTCAGTAGGTCCAGGAGGCGGGGCCGAGACGGGTTGCTGTGCCTTCTCGCGGAGCCCAGCCACTGGCCTGGCAGTCGGCCCCTAGGGTGGAGCTGGGAAGAGCGAGTCCTGTGGAGGATGCGTTTCTATTTTTAACCCAATTGTCCGCCCTCAGCCTCCCTCCTTCGGATTTTCTCATTCAAACCCGTTTTTCGCCATCCTAGTTCTCACGCTTTGTCTCCAGCCCTGGGCAGACATTCCCTCCCCCAAGAATCGTAAGGATTCACCCCCAGAAAAGGAAAAGAATTGCCTTATGGCTTCGAGGTCTTTTCTGTTTATGAAACCTCCTCACTCCCCACACCCATTTTGAGCTCCGAAGTCCAGCCCGAGCGTGGCCCTGACGCAGCTGGCGGCGTGCGTTCGCTCGCCCAAGGTCACGGGTGGTTGTGCGGAGTGAGGAAACGCGCGGCCGCCCAGGGCTGCCAATGCCCCGGCGGCGCTGTTCTGAACAAACTGTTTTGGCCAGCCTGTGAAATCCCTGGAAATTGACGATTCCAGCAAAGCGTCGTGAACTGGGAAAGCACCAAATGTTCTACTCAAAAGCCGCGAAGGGACAAAACAAGCTAGACCCGAGGCCCAGATGAAGCGGGAGGAGGAGGCTTGCGAGAGGAAGTTCAAGGGGGGAGGTACTAGGCGGGCAGTTCAGGCACGAGGCACAGGTCCCCCATGGGTGAAAGGATGACTTTACCCGGAACACTGGGAACCTTTTCAGAGCACAAACAAAAAACATTTTCAACTGACCGCTCCAAGTGAATTTCAGTTCAACTCAAAATAACAAAATTACTAAGTCGGAAAGGACTTCTGAAATTTTCTAGTAAACAACGGTCTAACGAATACATAGAAATGATGTTTAGGGTTTATATTAGCCACATATAGAATGGAGAAGAGGTCCCTTCAGTGTTTCTCAAAGTTGGTAATCAGAAAAAAAATCACCTGGGGTGATTAAAGATTCCTACGCATCTCCCCTGGATATGGTTTTGGTTGTTCCGGGGTGGGAGCGGGGGTGGGGGGGGGCCCATATTGCGCTTCAGGTGGTCCTTATTTATAATCTGTATTTGGGGGAATGCTATACTGATAGCTTGAGCCACCACTGCCAAATCAAACAGTTCTCCGCCACAGTTAGCAAAGTACCTGGAGCATAACAACCTTTTGTTTTGTTTTTTAACAAATTCGGGTTTATTACTGTGATCAATTAATGTATTAGAGATTTAAGTAGTTTGGGTCACTGGTCCCACGACCACTGCAATTTATTTCCTTAAATTAGCAGATGAATTAGTAAAAAAAAAAAAAAAATAGCAGCTACCATTTACAGGCCATTTTCAGTGCCAACTATTTTCCATTTAGGGTCTCATTTTATCCTCACAGCAATTCACTGAGATAGGTACTATTATCATGTCCCTTTCTACAGATAAAGAAACAATGACTAAAAAGGCTTGCCCAGGGCACTGAAGGGCAGGGAGGCAATGGAGGTGATTATTATTGAGAACAAAAATAACTTGAATTTTAACTTGAATTTTTTTCTTTCTCTAGAATTGGAGTTATAGTGAGTGAAACAAGATAATTCCTGAAGAAGCATACTTTAAAAAAAGTCTAAGGGTAATGAGGCAAGCTCATTATTGAATAGTGTATTCCATAATATTATGTCACCTTCTGATAATTCATCTTCTCTATCACCCATTTATAATTTTCTCTGAGACTGTTTCAATCAAGAATGTTGCAGGTATTGGACCTAAACATACCAAGATTCCTTTTTAGCAGCTATTTTCTAGTGGTTCTCAAAATGTGGTCTCCAGACTACCTGGGAACTTATTAGAAATACAGATTCTCAGGCCCCAGCACCAAACCTGTGGAGTCACAAACTGGGGGTTAGCACAGCCGTCTGTGGCTTAATAAGTCCTCCAGGTGATTCTGATGCATACACAAGTTTGAAAACTATTGACTTAACCCTACCATGGCATCAGGTGACCCCTCTTTTTTTCAGATGGCTCACACCATGTGAAAGGGAAAAGTTTAAAAAAAAAAAGTCTCATATTACTGGTGTAACAGATTAAGGGATATACTTCTAAGAAGGTTTTTGTTTTATTTTTGTTTTCTTATATTTTAAATTTTCACTTGCACTCCAAAGACAAACTGAATTGCTAAACACAGAATATATAAGAGAATGCTTCTAATATAACATGCCAAAGGGCTTTGCTCTATAGTCATTAGGGAAGGTCAACTTTGGCCTGAAACCAACCTCTGTAAAAAAGATAATGAGTAGCCAGTCGTGGTGGCTCACACCTGTAATCCCAGCACTTTGGGAGGCCATGGGGGGTGGATCATGAGATCAAGAGACTGAAACCGTCCTGACCAACATGGTGAAACCCTGTCTCTACTAAAAAATATACAAAAATTAGCTGGGCATGTTGGTGCGTGCCTGTAGTCCCAGCTACTCGGGAGACTGAGGCAGGAGAATCACTTGAACCCAGGAGACAGAGGTTGCAGTGAGCAGAGATTATGCCACTGCACTCTAGCCTGGTGACAAAATGAGATTCCGTCTCAAAAACAAAACAAACAAACAAACAAAAAAACAGATAATGAGCAAAGTTGGTCGTGCTCAAAATGTGATATTGGTTAGGTGTGGTGGCTCACGCCTATAATCTCAGCACTTTGGGAGGTGGAGGCAGACGGATTACCTGAGGTCAGGAATTGGAGACCAGTCTGGTCAACATGGCCAAACCCTGTCTCTACTAAAAATACAAAAATTAGCTAGGCGAGTGGCAGGTGCCTGTAGTCCCAGCTACTCGGGAGACTGAGGCAGGAGAATCACTTGAGCTGGGGAGGTGGAGGTTGCAGTGAGCCGAGATTGTGCCACTGTGCTCCAGCCTGGGATAACAGAGCGAGACTCTGTCTCAAAAAAAAAAAAAAGTTTTGCACATTTGCTACTTTCCAGGCACTCACTTAACTTGGTGCTGGGATATACATTCATGTAAAAAAAAAAGATGTTACCCTGTTCTCATGGATCTTACTGTCATTTGGGGAGAAAGATATTATCATATAATATATAATTATGAACTGGTAAATATTTTGAAAGAAAAGCATAGAATGCTATGGGAGCATATAACCAATCATAACGGATCTTGAAAACTCACCCAGGTCTGAGTTCCAACCATCCCCATGGCCAAAGGAGCCAGGCTTATTTCCTTAAAGTAGGTAACCTGGTAGTCTGCTTAAGAACTCAGGTAAAGTCATTGCAGGTTCTCTTACACTTTTCTTTGTAAACTAGGCCTGGAAAGGGGATTGATGATGGGAGAAGAGCAAATGTAATTAAATTTCTTAGAGAAAACTGACATCCCTTAAAAATAGCAATATAAGTTATTAGTCCACTGTAAAATGTAAAAGACCTGAAGTTATTTTATCTTGACATATAAGTTCCTATTATGGAGACAAGAATTGCTGCTATGACATTATTATAATACTTGGTCATAAGTAACTATTCATTTTCTGTCTGTGCTTGAGTAGAACATGGTGAAGCACAAAGCCTTTTCTAGGGTCTTAAAAACTTCAGAGTGGCCGGGTGTGGTGGCTCATGCCTGTAATCCCAGCACTTTGGGAGGCTGAGGCGGGATGATCACCTGAGGTCAGGAGTTTGAGACCAGCCTGACCAACATGGTGAAACCCTGTCTCTACTAAAAATACAAAATGAGTTGGGTGTGGTGGCGGGTGCCTGTAATCCCAGCTACTCCAGAAGCTGAGGCAGGAGAATTGCTTGAACCCGGGAGGTGGAGGTGGCGGTCAGCGGAGATCACGCCATTGCTCTCCAGCCTGGGTAACAAGAGCGAAACTGCTTCTCAAAAACAAAAAACAAACAAACAAACAAACCCACACACAAAAAGCACAAAACTTTGATGTGTCACTGGACGTTCACATAGTGCCCTTCCTCCCTTTCGTTCCCAGCCCCTTCCCAGATTTCAAAGATCAAGGTAAAGGACTGTTTTATAGAAGTATTTTCAAAATAATTGGCTAAAAGGATTATAGTATTGTATTTAGAGCAAATCCACTAATTTAAAAATTAAGGCTGGGCGCGGTGGCTCACGCCTGTAATCCCAGCAGTTTGGGAGGCCGAGATGGGCGGATCAGGAGGTTAGGAGATCGAGACCATCCTGGCTAACGCGGTGAAACCCTGTCTGTACTAAAAATATAAAAAATTAGCCGGGCTTGTTGGCGGGTGCCTGTAGTCCCAGCTACTCCGGAGGCTGAGGCAGGAGAATCGCTTGAACCTGGGAGGTGGAGGTTGCAGTGAGCTGAGAATATGCCACTGCATTCCAGCCTAGGCAACAGGCAAGACTCTGTCTCAAAAAAAATTAAAAATAAATAAATAAGAAATTGATAAAGCAAGTTGCAATTTCATTATTATATAGACCTTTTGGTAAATTAAAATTCTTAATTATTTTCTCTGAAAATAACTTGATCAAAGAATCTTCAAATAAAAGACATAGATATCTTACCAGATTAGAGAAGACTTTCTGACACTATCTAGATACTATCAACGTAGCATTAAACAATTTTTGAGACTATTTGAAAAACTAAAAGCTTTTATTGTTTTTAATTTTCTTATTATTTTTTTTGAGATGGAGTTTCTCTCTCGTCGCCCAGGCTGGAACCTCCATCTCCCAGGTTCAAGCGATTCTCCTGCCTCCGCCTCCCTAGTAGCTGGGATTATAGGCTCCCGCCACCACCCCCAGCTAGTTTTTGTGTTTTTAGTAGAGAACAAAATCTGGCAGTCTTGTCTTGAACTCCTGACTTCAGGTGATCCGCCCACCTCTGCCTCCCAAAGTTCTGGGATTAAAGGCGTGAGCCATCGAGCTGGGCCTGCCTAATCGTTTATGTAAATCAAGAACTTAGGTTGAAGGAAACTGATGATTTACTATGTATATATATTTTGTTGTAAACACCATTTAAGAAACAAAATATTTTGGTCTCAACTCTTAAGAAATTTTTTTTATTGAACAAGCTAAGTGTGGGTTGTTAATCTCAGTAGTTAGCTCTGGGATTGTCTCAGAAACAATACTTTGGGGCTGGGTGAGGTGATTCAAGCCTGTAATCCCCGCACTTTGGGAGGCAGGAGGATCATCTGAGATCAGGAGTTCGAGACCAACCTGGCCAACATGGCGGATCACCTGAGGCAGGTGATAACCTGAGGTCAGGAGTTCAAGACCAGCCTGGCCAACATGGTGAAACCTCATCTGTACTAAAAATACAAAAATTAAGGCTGGGCATGGTGGCTCACACCTGTAATCATCGCATTTTGGGAGGCCGAGGTGGGTGGATCACCTGAGGTTAGGAGTTCAAGACCAGCCTGGCTAACATGGTGAAACCCCGTCTCTACTAAAAATACAAAAATTAGCCAAGCATGGTGGCGGGTGCCTGTAATCGCAGCTACTTGGGAGGCTGAGGCAGGAGAATCACCTGGGAGATGGAGGTTGCAGTGAGCCGAGATCGTGCCACTGCACTCCAGCCTGGGCGACAGAGTGAGACTCCCTCTCAGAAAAAAAAAAAAAAGAAAAGAAAAAAAATTAGCTGGGCGTGGTGGTGTGTGGCTGTAATCCCAGCTACTCCGGAGGCTGAGGCATGAGAATCGTTTGAACCCAGGAGACGGAGGTTGCAATGAGCTGAGATTGTGCCACTGCACTCCAGTCTGGGTGACAGAGCAAGACTCCCTCTCAAAAAAAAAGAGAAAAGAAAAGAAAAAGAAACAATACTTTGGAGCATATCATAACCTGGGTTCATGGGTGGTGGGGTTGGCCAGGAAGACAGGAATGGTGTCAGTGATTTAGTTAGAGCCCAGCAACTGTGCTGTTATAAAGCTTAGGCAGGAGGCAATTGTTCCTAAGGTCCTATTAGCCAGCAGAAAAAAAGCTAGAAACAATTAGGGAGGTCAGGATTCAGACAGAAGACTAGCATGAGAAAAGTGGGTAGGGTGGGCCTCTGTCCTGGAGCAATCTAAGTTCTAGGCAGAGAGCCAAGGCAAGTATCTTAAGTTTGTGTAATGTCTTTCCACCTACAATGTATATTCAAATGTATTAATTTGATAAATTCTCACAACAGCCTATTGAAATAACTCTTATCTCTCCTTTTGCTGGAGGAGTTGACTGACTGAGGCTCAGGGCAAAGTTATATATCCTGTCCATTGTCATATATCTAGTGAGAGTACAACCTTCTGTTCTTTGGCACAGTGTTTGTTGCCTCTTCAGGATCACTTCCCCCTTTAAATTTATTTCATAATTATATTTACCATTAGAATGTTAACCTTTTTTTTTTTCTGAGAGGGAGTCTCACTTTGTCACCCAAGCTGGAGTGCAGTGGCGCGATCTCGGCTCACTGCAACTTCTGCCTCCCAGGCTCAAGCAGTCCTCCCACATTATCCTCCGGAGTAGCTGGGACCACAGACACGTGCCCAGTTAATTATTTGTATTTTTGGTAGAGATGGGTTTCACCATGTTGCCCAGGCTGGTCTCAAACTCCTGAGCTCAAGCAATCTGCCTGCTTTGGCAGATGGATTACAGGTGTGAACCATGGCGCGAAGCCTAGAAAGTTAACCATTCTTTTTTTTTTTTTTTTCTGAGACAGAGTCTCACTCTGTTGCCCAGGCTGGAGTGTAGTGCCATCATCTTAGCTCACTGCAACCTCTCCCTCCTGGGTTCAAGAGATTCTCCTGCCTCAGCTTCCCAAGTAGCTAGGACTACAGGCACATGCCACCATGCCCTGCTAATTTTTTTGTATTTTTAGTTGAGATGGGATTTCACCATGTTAGCCAGGATGGTCTCGATCTCCTGACCTCATGATCTGCCCACCTTGGCCTCCCAAAGTCCTGGGATTACAGGCATGAGCCACCGCACCCGGCCATACCATTCTTATCTTGTGTATCGCTCACCTCACCCAGCAGTCTCTAACAGGCAACTTCTGTCTCTTTTGCTAGCTCCAGCTTATCTGTCCATCTCCTAAATGTTGGCATTTTTTAGGTCTAGGTCCCGGGCACTCTTTGTTTTTTCACTGCTCATACTCTCTCAGAGCGACTTTACCCACCTTCATAGATTCAAATGAAGTACTCAAAGGAATGAGTATCTGTACTCATCCCTTGGCTTATAAATGGTTTATTTATGAATTTTTCACTTACAAAGATATAGCTATTTGTATTTATTTATTTATTTATTTTGAGACAGAGTCTCACTCTGTCACTCAGGCTGGAGTGCAGTGGCATGATCTCGGCTCACTGCAACCAGCCTCCTCGTTCTGGACTCAAGAGATTCTCACGCCTCAGCCTCCCCAGTAGCTGGGATTATAGGCATGTACCACCATGCTTGGCTAACTTTTGTATTTTTAATAAAGACAGGTTTCACTGTGTTGGCCAGGCTAGTCTCAAACTCTCTGGCCTCAAGTTGTCCACGTGCCTGAGTCTCCCAAAGTGCTGGGATTACAGGCATGAGCCACCACACCCAGCTGACAAAGGTATATCTATTTTTAAAATTTTACTTACAAACATTTTTCAACTTAATCCAGAAAACTCTTCTTTTTTTTTTTGTTTGTCTTTGCATACTGAAGTTATGCTCTGTCATTGGAAGAGAAATGTATAGCTAACCACTACTATTGTTAGGTAGTGAATAAGTGGGAGTAGTGAATAAATATCTAGAAATAGATATGAATTTATATTTATTCCATGTGGATCAATGGCTCTAGAATGAACAAGATAAAGTTTGAACCTGGGAATTTCAGAGCCAGTACTTCAGATACTGGTATATGACTGATTTAAGTTGTTTTTGTATTATAACTTACAACATCATGACCAACTCTAAATGTGAAGCATATAAATATGTAAGGGAAAATTCTTTTTATTGAAAAATTAAAAGTGATAAACTGAAGCAGGACAAATAAATAAAAACATTAGCTTCACCAAAGAAGATATACAGATGACAAATAAGCATATAAAAAGATGCTTCACATAGGCCGGGCATGGTGGCTCACGCCTGTAATCCCAGCACTTTGGGAGGCTGAGGCAGGAAGATCACGAGGTCAGAAGATCGAGACCATCCTGGCTGACACAGTAAAACCCCGTCTCCACTAAAAAACACAAAAAAATTAGCCGGGCATGGTGGCGGGCGCCTGTAGTCCCAGCTACTTCGGAGGCTGAGGCAGGAGAATGGCATGAACCCAGGAGGTGGAGCTTGCAGTGAGCCGAGATCGCACCACTGCACTCCAGCCTGGGTGACAGAGCGAGACTCCATCTCAAAAAAAAAAAAAAAAAAAAAGATGCTTCACATTATATGTCATCAGGGAAATGCAAATTAAAGCAACAATGAGATACCACTATGTACCTATTAGAATGGCCAAAATCCAGAAAACAAACAACACCAAATGCTGGTGAGGATGCAAAGCAACAGAAACTCTTATTCGTTGTTGTTGGGACTACAAAATGGTAGTCACTTCGGAAGGCAGTTTGATGATTTTTTATGAAGTTAAACATACTCTTACCATATGATCCAGCAGTCACACTCCTTGGTATTTACTCAAAGGAGTTGAAGACATGTCCACAAAAAAACCTGCACACAGATATTCATAGCAGCTTTATTCGTAATTGCCAAAACTTGAAAGCAACCAAGATACCCTTCAGTAGGTGAATGGAGAAATAAACTGTGGTACATCCAGATAATAGAATATTATTCAGTGCTAAAATAAACGTGTTATTAAGCCATGAAAAGACATGGAAAACTTGAATGGATATTACTAAGTGAAAGAAGCCAGTCTGAGGTCCGGGCGCGGTGGCTCACGCCTGTAATCCCAGCACTTTGGGAGGCCGAGGTGGGCAGATCACGAGGTCAAGAGATTGAGACCGTCCTGGGCAACATGGTGAAACGTCATCTCTACTAAAAATACAAAAATTAGCTGGACGTGGTTGGCGCACGCCTGTAGTCCCAGCTACTCGGGAGGTTGAGGCAGTAGAATCGCTTGAACCGGGGAGGCAGAGGTTGCAGTGAGCCGAGATCACACCACCGCACTCCAACCTGGCAACAGAGTGAGACTCTGTCTCAAACAAAAAAGAAGCCAGTCTGAAAAGTACGTACTGTTAATTTCAACTATATGACATCCTGAAAAAGGCAAAACTATGGGAACAGTAAAAAGATCAAGTGGTTGCCAGGGGATAGAGGGGAAAGAGGGAGGAATATGCAGAACACAGAGGATTTTTATAATAGAGAAACTACTCTGTGTGATACTATAATGGTGGCTACACGTCATGATCAATTTATCCAAACCCACAGAACCTACAACACCAAGAGTGAACCCTACTTTAAACCAAGGACTTCGAATGATAATAATGGGTCAATGTAGGTTCATCAGTTGTAACAAACATACCACTCTATGGGATGTTGATAATGGGGAAGGCCATGCATGTGTGGAGGCAGGTGTATATGGGAAATCTCTGTACCTTTCTCTCAATTTTGCTGTGAACCTAAAATAGCTCTTAAAAATAAAGTCTATTATTAAAAATAAAGAAATAAGTGGGATCCCTCAAATTCAGACAAGCTTTGATTGTCACCCCAAAAATTAAAAAACAATTAGGTCTGTTAAGTGCTTGGATAATATAAAATTGAAAAAATAAGAGATTGTTAGGTTTTTGTGTTTTTTTTTGTTTTTTTTCCAGACAGAGTCTCACTTTGTCACCCAGGCTGGAATGCAGTGGCGAGATTTTTTTTTTTTTTTTCCAGACAGAGTCTCACTTTGTCACCCAGGTTGGAATGCAGTGGTGAGATCTCGGCTCACCACAACCTCTGCCTCCCGGCTTCAAGTGAGTCTCCTGCCTCAGCCTCCCGAGTAGCTGGGATTACAGGTGTGCACCACCACACCCAGCTAATTTTTGTATTTTTAGTAGAGACAGGGTTTCACTATGTTGGCCAGGCTGATCTCGAACTCCTGACCTCATGATCCGCCTGCCTCGGCCTCACAAAGTGCTGGGATTACAGGCGTGAGCCATCACGCCTGGCCTGTTAGGTCTTAGTAATACTATCGCTGAACTGTGTCTAAGGCTAAGCCTAAATTGTTGGGATTTCCTGAAGCTTTTGATGCTGGAGAGAATGCTTCCTTGAACTTCCTAATTATATAGCAGAAGGTGATGTCTTTGAAGCCTTCACGAAGGCAATTGAGGGAGTCCAGCGAACTAAAGAGTAGAGTTCAATGGGCATCACAGATTTCAGATTCGAGAATATTAGTCTTAGGTTATGGGATAGATTGCAGCTGTAGACTATTGAGGTACTTGATAATGGCACAGAGGAACTTCAGAATAACTTCAGTATCTGTCATTATCATCGTATTTGAAGAAAACTGATCTTTTTGGGGAAACAAATTCCCTGAAATCCAATGCTCTCTTGTACTTTTTATTGGATATAGAAGGATGGTCCATATCAGTCTCCTCCAGCTTTCCCAAAGATCAGAGAAGCAGAGAAGATTTCTTTGTTGCTTTCTGTGGAGACCTGAAGACCACCCTGTGCAGTGGGTCTGATAGAAGGAGGCACTGACACCCCAGGTGCACTTGCAGCTTCTCTTCTAGTCCAGTTCCTTCCTTTCAGGAAGACTTCTCTTTCTCCATCCTTTTCTGGCTAAGAGGTTTAGAAGCTAAGAGATTGAGCAGCCTTCAGGATGAAAGAATGAAATAAAGGATTCCTCCATGTTGGTCAGGCTGGTCTCAAACCCCATCTCTACTAAAAATACAAAATTAGCTGGGCATGGTGGCTCATGCCTGTAAGCCCAGCTACTCGGGAGACTGAGGCAGGAGAATCACTTGAACCCGGGAGGCAGAGGTTGCAGTGAGCCGAGATTGCACCATTGCACTCCAGCCTGGGCAACAAGAGCAAAACTCCTCAAAAAAATAAATAAATACATACATAAATAAATAAAGGATTCCTGCAATAGGAGTTAGATGCAACTGGATGACTTCTAAAGTCCCTGGCAATTATAAGACTGTGATTTCTGGCCAGGCACAGTGGCTCACACCTGTTATCCCAGTACTTTGGGAGGCTAAGGCAGGCGGATCACGAGGTCGGGAGTTCAAGACCACCCTAGCCAACATGGTGAAACCATGTGTCTACTAATGATACAAAAAATTAGCCGAGCATGGTGGCATGAGCCTGTAATCCCAGCTACTCGGGAGGCTGAGGCAGAAGAATCGCTTGAATCTGGGAGGCGGAGGTTGCAGTGAGCTGAGATTGCACCATTGCATTCCAGCCTAGGCGACAGGGCGAGACTCCATCTCAAAAAAAAAAAAGACTGTGATTTCTTTGAGTGCTTATTTAAATAGGTAAATTTATGGTTAATTTAATGTTTTTAAAAAAATTTCATTCGTTTGTAGTCACTTGACCTTATAGTTAAGATAGAATATTTAAAGATGTTAAAAAGACAGAATTTTACAGTAAATTAATTTTTTTTTTTTTGAGACGGAGTCTCGCTCTGTCGCCAGGCTGGAGTGCAGTGGCTTGATCTTAGCTCACTGCAACCTCTGCCTCCCAGGTTCAATCGATTCTCAATCTCTTGACCTTGTGATCTGCCCGCCTTGGCCTCCTAAAGTGCTGAGATTACAGGCGTGAGCCACCGTCTCCATCCAGTAAATCAATTTTGAAAATAAAAACCAATACAGCAACATGACTACATAAAGATTAAAGGAACTATATGTGTTACGAGCAAATAATGTTTAGTATTTATTTTGTGCTTACTTTGTGCTTTTATATGCCTTATCTCTAATTCTTACAATAATTCTTTGAAGCAGTGATGATCATCCTCTTTTGCAGAGGCAGAGCTGAGGCACAAGGAGATAAGTAACATGTTTAAAATTGTATAGTTGCTATCTGAGAATGAAGTCAAACCCAGGTCAGTCTGACTTCCAAAGTCGAATTCTTTCCAATATAGTAAGTGCCTTTCCTAAACCATTGACAGTTGCAGAATTTTCGACTTGCAGTGAATACTAGAGGGTCCTCTCCAGTACCCCACCCAGCATAGAAGTCTTCTAAACAACATCTCCAGACCGGGTGTGGTGGCTCACGCCTGTAATCCCAAAGCTTTGGGAGACCGAGGCGGGCAGATCGCCTGAGGTAGGAAGTTCAAGACCAGCCTGACCAACATGGAGAAACCCTGTCTCTACTAAAAATACAAAATTAGCCAGCCAGGCGTGGTGGCACATGCCTGTAATCCCAGCTACTCGAGAGGCTAAGGCAGAAGAATTGCGTGAACCCGGGAGGTGAGCCGAGATCATGCCATTGCACTCCAGCCTGGGCAACAAGAGTGAAACTCCATCTAAAAACAACAACAACAACAAAACATCTCCAGCATTCAGATTCTGTGCTGGTACCGCTAATACTGTGAAAGGATTTGCTCACAAGGCAATCTATTCCAACTTCCCCAGAATCCTGAGATAAGATTTAATCAGGCTGGGCGCGGTGGCTCACGCCTGTAATCCCAGCACTTTGGGAGGCCGAGGCAGGCGGATCATGAGGTCAGGAGATCAAGACCATCCTGGCTAACATGGTGAACCCCCCCCGTCTCTACTAAAAATACAAAAAATTAGCCGGGCGTGGTGGCGGGCGCCTGCAGTCCCAGCTACTCGGGAGGATGAGGCAGGAGAATGGCATGAACTCGGAGGCGGAGCTTGCAGTGAGCAGAGATCGAGCCACTGCACTCCAGCCTGGGCGACAGAGCGAGACTCCCTCTCAAAAAAAAAAAAAAAAAAAAAAGGAACTTTAGTGTTCCATTTAAATATATTCCACCACTATTAAGATACCATTGGGGCCAGTCATGCTGTCACCTGTAATCCCAGCACTTTGGGAGGCCGAGGTGGGCAGATCACCTGAAGTCAGGAGTTTGAGACCAGCCTGGCCAACATGGTGACACCCCATCTCTACTAAAAATACAAAAATTAGCCTGGCATGGTGGCAGGTGCCTGAAATCCCAGCTACTCAGGAGGCTGAGGCACGAGAATCTCTTGAACCGGGGATGGGGAGGTTGCAGTGAGCCAAGATCGTGACACTGCATTCCAGCCTGGGAGACAAAGTGAGACTCTGTCTTAAAAAAAAACAAAAAAACAAACAAAAAAACAAAAAAAAACATTGCCAAAAAACAGCTAACAAATTTTATTATAAAAAGACTTACTGAGAGATCATGCTCAACAGTGTGGCTATTTCTTTTCTTTTTTTTTTTTGAGATGGAGTCTCGCTCTGTCACCAGGCTGGAGTGCAGTGACACGACTTCGGCTCACTGCAACCTCTGCCTCCCGGGTTCAAGCAATTCTCATGCTTCAGCCTCCCGAGAAGCTGGGATTACAGGCACGTGCCACCACACCCAGCTAATTTTTGTATTTTTAGTAGAGGCAAGGGTTTCACCATGTTGGCCAGGCTGGTCTCCATCTCCTGACCTTGTGATCTGCTTGCCTCAACCTCCCAAAGTGCTGGGATTACAGTCATGAGCCACCACGCCTGGCCCAGTGTGGCTGTTTCTTTCAGTTTGTACTTGGGTATAATTTTGTGGACACTTTACTGTGGTCAATCCTTGTTATCAGTTAGTGAATTATTTGCCCTATACCTCATCTACAGCAATCCGGATACTTTGGCACTTGCAGCAAACTGTTTTTCCTCCTTTTTTTTAGAAGGATGTTAGGTGTGAGGGAGAAGGAAGAGGAACAAAATAACGACAGAAGAATTGAGTAGAATTCTTTCCTCCAGCTGTTTTTTTTGTGTTTTTTTTTTTTAAATTACAAAGTATTAATAATTTATGAACAAACTCTTTGTAAAAATTTTAAGCAACAAATAATTTTTTTTTGAGACGGGGAGTCATCCTTGTGATTTGTTTAAATACATAAGGTTTTGCTATATGTGTTGTTTTGCAACATGCGCCTTGGGGATCTTTCCATGTAAATTATTTACCTTATTCATTTTAACAAATTGCAGAGTATGAGTGGAATGTAATTATTTTAATCACTATCCTACTGATGGATATTCAGGTTGTTTGCATTTCTTAGCTATGATAAACAATGTTGATAAGAGCATAAGAATGCATTAATATTAATTATTTTCATTTTAAAGATACCATTGGGGCATGGTGCTGGTGGCTCACATCTGTAATCCCAGCACTTTTTTGTTTTTTGTTTTTTTTGAGATGGGGTCTTGCTCTGTTGCTGAGGCTGGAGTACAGTGGCACCATCTTGGCTCACTGCAACCTCTGCCTCCTGGTTCAAGCGAATCTCCTGCCTCACCAGCTAATTTTTGTGTTTTTAATAGAAATGGGGTTTTGCCATGTTGGCCAGGCTGGTCTCGAACTCATGACCTCAGATGATCTGCCCGCCTTGGCTTCCCAAAGTGCTGGAATTATAGGCATGAGCCACCATGCCCAGACTCAAAAATATACATTTTTTACCTGGGCTTTGCTTGTGCTCAAATTTTAGTCCTTGTGGGTAGAAATAATTTTTAAGATGGAAAATAAATCTTACTAACTTAACTGACTGTAAGTTTTTAGTATTTTCTTTCTCTCCCTCCCTCTCTCTTCTTCCTTCCTTCCTTCTTTCTCTCTCTCTCTCCCCTTTTTCCTTCCTTCCTTCCTTTCTTTTTCTTTCTTTCATTCTTTCTTTCCTTTTTTTCTTTCTTTCTTTTTCTCTCTCTTTCTCTCCCTTCCTTTCCCCTTCCTTCCTTCTTTCCTTCCTTCCTTCTTTCTCTCTCTCTCCCTTTCTTTCTTTCTTCTTTCTCTCTCTGTCTTTCCTTTCTTTCTCTCTCTGTCTTTCCTTTCTTTCTCTCTTTCCCTTATTCTCCCTCTCCTTTCTTTTTCCCTCTTTCTCTTTCTTAACCTTTGAAAATACAATACATACAGGACATTTAAGATTCACTAGAAAAGAATCAGCAGCAGAGGAGGAGAAATCCTGCGTCATTTCTCCCCTATCCATAGCTAGTTATTTTAATAACAATAGGTGGCCAGGCATGGTGGCTCATGCCTATAATCCCAGCACTTTGGGAGGCTGAGATGGGTGGATCACTTGAGGTGAGGAGTTCAACAACAGCCTGGCCAACATGGTGAAACCCCGTCTCTACTAAAAATACAAAAAAACTAGCTGGGCGTAGTGGAGGGCACCTGTAGTCCCTGCTACTCAGGAGGCTGAGGCCCGAGAATCACTTGAACCCAGGAGGTGGAGGGTGCAGTGAGCCGAGATCGCATCACTGCACTCCAGCCTGGGTAACAGAGCGAGACTTCGTCTCAAAAATAAATAAATAGATAAATAAAATAAGATAGGTAACATTTGCTAAGCACTGATTATATGACAGTCTTTGTTGTCACCATTATATATATTAATATAAACTCAATTCTCATAAGATAATTAGGATGTAGTCACAACTATTATCACCATTTTGCTAATTTGGAAATTGTCAGTGGAAAAGTGAGAGAACCTCCACATGGTGTACCTCAAAGGCCTGGACCTTGAGGCCTTATTCATCGTGTGGTAAAAAGAAACAGAGCAGCTCTATCAAGGCACAGTGTCAGCGTATCTCAATCAGGAACTGTTCCACTCTTAATGAGGGTCCAAGTTAGGGTGATCAGCTCCTCTGTTTTGCCTGGTACTTTCCCAGTTTTAGCAGTGAAAGTTCTATGTCACAGTCAACCTCTCAGTCCCAGGCAAACCAAAATGGTTGGTCATCCCAGTCCAAGTAGTGTTTGTTTTGAGGGAAGGTGGGTTGGAATGTATCTGGAGCAGGTGGGTGGTATCCCTATTTAATAGTCAGTAAAGAGAGTTGACAGGACCCTCATTCACTAAAGTGAGTATCTTTTTGGCCAGGCGCAGTGGCTCATGCCTCTAATCCCAGCATTTTGGGAGGCCAAGGCAGGCAGATCACCTGAGGTCAGGAGTTCGAGAGCAGCCTGGCTAACATAATGAAACCCCGTCTCTACTAGAAATATAAAATTAGCCATGTGGTGGTACATGCCTGTAGTTCCAGCTACAGGGAAAGGGAGGCTGAGACAGGAGAATCGCTTGAACCCGGGAGGCGGAGGCTGCAGCGAGCTGAGATGGCACTACTGCACTCCAGCCTGAGCATAAAAAAAAAAAAAAAATTAAGTGAATATCTTTTGATAAATCCACCATATAAATAGTAAGCCAAGACTGTAGACTTCCCTTCACAAGGTCACTAGAATACTTACTCCCTGTGAGACAGGAAAAGATTAAAAGGAGATGAAGCCTACACCTAGGTTGCAATCTAACATATCAGAGGTGCTGTTATGCTAAGGGGTGCTAAGTGTGAAGAGAGACGTAATCTCACAAATTTTCTTTTTTTTTTTTTTTTTTTGGTTATCTTTTGTTTTAGATCTTTTTTGTGTTTTCTTTTTCTTTTTTTTTCTTCTTTATTTATTTATTTATTTATTTATTTTAATCTCACAAATTTTCTGATGGCAAAAGTTCCTACCTTTCCTTTTTCGGCTTTTAATGTCAGGCAATTTAAATGCAATGTCCCGCATCTATAGACCTACAGAATAGTCTGACTTTCCTTGTTTCAGCTGGTCAATAATCCGGGCTACTGCATTATTGATGTGGCACAGATCTAAAGTAGTATGTGCCTGTGTGTTTGTGTGTGAGTGATCTGAAATTAACCTCATTTTACCAAAGATAATATATCCCTTTAAGATAACATTTTAAAAAGGAAGGATTGCATTTTTTCTGACTAATCTTGACATATTTAGAGTTGCGAATAGGACAATTTGAAAAAAAAAAAACTCAAGTTAAAATTGCAAACGGATCAGAAAACCAGGAATCAGTCATGTTTCTTAGCAGATGGTGGGTGCCACGAGAGGGAAGGATGGAACCATGGTCATCCTTACAAAAGGAAACACGAGACATAGGTTTATTTGCTAAGATTTTATAAAGCCTGCCATAAATCTCATTTGAAAATTGCTCTACCTAAGAAGAGATGCTAAAAATGGCCTGCTCCCTGAAATACAAATAGAAGAGTAAACCAATGTTCACATTGTAGTACCGGTTTAGCTCTGAAATTACACTTAACACAGCACAAAGTGACAGAGCAAGTGACATCATTGACCAAAACTACATGGACAGAAGTCCTACAAAGCTCAGGGCTACTGCAGTGCAAGGTCATTGATTTTGCAACAATTTGTTTCTTTTCTGATTTAAAACAAAAAAGTGATTTTTATGCACCAGGAGATCTAATCTATTATGACGTTCATCTTTTAACAGTCATCATTTTTCTTGGAACGTGTCATACTATGTAATCTGAGCAATAAGAACATCAGAAACTGACTGGGAATGTGGTGGGAGATGTGGCCCTGAAAACACTGGAAACACATTGTCTCCAAGGCGAGGGTCACAGGGGAGTGAGACAGTGTTCTCCATAAGAGATGGGGATGTTCTGAACTATAATCAGACAAATAAATTACAAAATTCACCACCTCAGACTTTTTGATGGAAGAACTAAGGAATTAGTTGTACTCTTTGATGCCTTTCTGTTTGCCAAAACAATGGCCTTTCTGATTCTCTTCAGTACATATTGAACGCCTATGACAGGACTAGCAGCTGGCACCCTGGAGACCAAGGTTAAAGATGATCTGGACTCTTCTCCAGAGGAGCTTATGTCTTCCTGAATTCACCCCCTACTGCTCTCACCCGTGCTCACTTTATTCCTGCCATTTGGTCTTCTTTGCTCATCCTCAAACATGCCAACCCCTCTCTTGCTTCAGCACTTTTTCTTTTTCTTTTCTTTTCTTTCTTTCTTTTTTTTTTGAATCAGAGTCTCGCTCTGTTGCCCAGGCTGGAGTGCAATGGTGCAAACTCAGCTTCCTGCAACCTCCACTTCCTGGGTTCAAGCGATTCTCCTGCCTCAGCCTCCTGAGTAGCTGGGAGTAGAGGTGCTTGCCACCACGCCCAGCTAATTTTTGTATTTTTGGTAGAGATGGGGTTTCACCATATTGGCCAGGCTGGTCTCAAACTCCTGACCTTGTGATCTGCCTGCCTCTGCCTCCCAAAGTGCTGGGATTACAGGCGTGAGCGACTGCACCTGGCCAGCACTTTTTCACTTAGTGTTTCTTCCTGCAGAATAGCTCTTGTCCCAGATACCTCACTTAATTTATTCCCTGCTTAAAGGTCACCCTCACAAGGAAGACCTTCTTTTACCCACCATATAAAAGAGCACAAACACATATATACATACACCCACAGATACATACTTTTTCATTATTCTTTAATACTATTTTACTTTTCTTCATTTCCTTTTTTTTTTTTTTTTTTTTTTGTGAGACAGAGTCTTGCTCTGTTGCCCAGGCTGGAGTGCAATGGCGTGATCTCGGCTCACTGCAACCTCTGCCTCCAGAGTTCAAGCAATTCTCCTGCCTCAGCCTCCCGAGTAGCTGGGACTACAGGCACCCACCATCATGCCCAGCTAATTTTTGTATTTTTGTACAGACGGGGTTTCACCATGCTGCCCAGGCTGGTCTTGAACTCCTGAACTCAGGTGATCCACCCGCCTTGGCCTCCCAAAGTGCTGGGATTACAGGCATGAGCCACTGCCCCCCGCCCACATCCATTTTTTTAATCTTATCAGATGAACATTTTTTTTTTTTGTTTAATGTGTTTCCCCGCTATCATGTAAGCTCTATGAAAACAGAAAATGTATTGTTTATTACTATATCCCTGCTGAATAGAACAGTAGCTGGCATATCATAGATATTCAGTGAATAACTGTAGAAAGAATGCATGAAATGAAGTGGCTAAATAGGCTGCTGTACTATTCACCGAAGGTTGGTCTGACTCAGTATTTTCATGTTCCTAAGTCCTGAAGATCATGAATCAAATTCTAAGTGCCCTCAGAAACCTCAAGGTTAAGCTTTATTCTACGTCCAGCAAATGGCCATAGCATGAGTGATGGTAAATGATCATCAGGTTTTCATTTCCCTCCCACTTCTCTTCCTCTTGTCTCCTTCAACTACAAACTGCTTTTAGCAGGTTTTTTTTGTTTTTTGATTTTTTGACAGGGTCTTACTCTGTTTCCCAGGCCAGAGCACAGTGGCACCATCACTGCTCATTGCAGCCTCAGACTCCTGGACTCAAGGGATCCTCCCACCTCAGTCTCCTGAGTAGCTGGGACTACAGTCACGTGACACTGCACCTCGCTATTTTTTTTGTATTTTGTAGAGACAGGGTTTCACCATGTTGTCCCAGGCTGGTCTTGAACTCCCGGGTTCATGTGATCTGTTCACCTCTATCTCCCAAAGTGCTGGGATTACAGGCATGAGCCACTGCGCCTAGCAGCAGTTTTATATAGTGGGCTTCTACAAAAGATTTCTTGTAAAGGTATAGTCCTACTTAAGCTAAACAACAAGAACCAAATACCAGAAAACAGAAAAAAGAAAAGCAGTATTTGGGGTAGAGTTAGGGAATAGGAAGTTAATTCTTTGCTTTCTTACTTCTATGATTATTTCAGTAACCTGTCTGAACTAAGTGAGTGAGTCAGCCCTGAACTCACAGACATTCAGCTTTCTCTAATATAGAACCTGAGGAGGACCATAAGAGAAAGGAGGAGTTTATGTTTTAACTATTTCAGAAAATAACTTTTAAAGGTAATACTGTGTTAGGAAATTTTCATTCTAATCACTTTATATTTCAATGTTAGAGGAGTTGAATCAAATGCAAGTCTTGTTAACATATGAAAAATCTTTCCTGAAAAATACTTTTAGAGATCAAATTGGCATCGTTAGCAGGGAAGCTATTAGAAAAACAACGGTACCCAAGATTTAAACAATAAAAAATTGTTTGGCTTCTTACCAGTCGTCCACTGTTGACTGTTGAAGTGAACAGCTGTGAGCTCTGTGCTCACAGTTTTCACATGGCCTACATGTCCTTGGGGGAATCCTACAGTTGTCATTTAAACAAACATATCTTTGTCATGTTTGGAAAGCCATCTAATTTAATTCTGTTGGGATAGTGTGAGCCTGGGTTTGAACTAGGCAATTGGAAGCATTTAGTCGAGCTCAGAGCACTGTAGGAATTGAGGTACTCCTTGTCCTCGACATCTACTACCTGAACTCCCTCAACATACTAAGTGCTAAGTACCATCGTTGGGGAGAGGGGTGATTTTAACGAAATATGAGATGTGTTCCTGTTGCCTTCTTTGTACAGTCAAACTTGCTATAAGAGAAGTTTGTTTATTTTTTGCATTACTTTGCTAAACACTGGCTCCTCAACTCCAACTCTGCCTCAATAGTATTTATGTTCTTCAGGAGCTGCCCTGTTGTTTTCAGGATCTACTCATTTTTGTGTATTCTGTACAAATCTTCAACAAATCACTAGAAGTAAATTTGAAGAAAATTGCATTTGGAGTCAGAAGACCTGGACTCTGGCCGGGTGCGGTGGTTCATGCCTGTAATTCCAGCACTTTGGGAGGTCGAGGCAGGTGGATCACTCGAGGTCAGGAGTTCAAGACCAGCCTGGCCAACATGGTGAAACCCTGTTTCTACTAAAAAAACAAAAATTAGCTGGGTGTGGTGGCCTGTGCCTGTAGTCCCAGCTACTTAGGAGGCTGAGGTAGGAGAATAACTTGAACCTGGGAGGCAGAGGTTGCAGTGAGCCGAGACTGCACCACTGCGCTCCAGCCTGGGCGACAGAGCAAGACTCCAACTCAAAAAAAGAAGACCTGGACTCTAAGTCTGACTTAAGGCTTATTCTATCAACAAATACAGATGTTCCTGGACTTACAGTGGGGTTATGTCCTGAAAAACTCATCATAAGTTGAAAATAGTGTATATCAAAAATGCATTTGATATTGCCTAAGTCAATCATGATGACATAAAAGAAATAAGAAAAATACATTTACTAGACCTATCTAGCTATGGTTACTAAACACCATTGCTTAACCTAGCCTATCTTAAGTGTGTTCAGAACTCTTAAATTAGTCTACGGTTGGACAGAATAATCTGGCAACACAGTACACTGTAGAGTTGATTGTTTACTGTTGTGATTATGTGGCAGACTGGGAGTTGTGGCTCTCTGGCACTGCCTGGCATTGCATAACTTAGCATACTGCTTTCTGTTGAATGTGTATTGCTTTTGCACCATCATAAAGCCCCAAAACCCTAAGTAGAACCATTGTTAGTCAGGGACCATCTGTAGTAATAACACAACCACCATAGAATTGTGTTGGGGACCAAGTGAGATCATGTATGTAAAAATAATTTGTAAACAGTAAAGATTATACAAAATAAAATGTATTAAGCTGTATTTCATTATGCACCCCTCTCAATAGTAAATATTATCTACAGAGTCAGGTCCACATACAATGGCCTGTTAGAAGTCCTCTGCAACAGGGCCTATCCCTCATACCTTCTATATGAAACCTATTCTTCAGACAGTCCAAGCTTTCACAATTCCCTAAAGAAAGGATTACTTTTACATATCTATAACCTATGTGAACACAATTCCCACTTCTTAGAATGTCCTTCCATTTAGGTTTCCAAATTGAAACTCCACTCATTTTTAAAGGTTTAATTCAAGTACCATTTCTTATTAGTTTGTATCAGGCATGTGTCACTCGTTATACCCATTACTGTATTGTAGAAATGTGGAGCCAGGTGCGGTGGCTCACACCTGTAATCCCAGCACTTTGGGAGGCCGAGGTGGGCGGATCACAAGGTCAGGAGTTTGAGACCATCCTGGCTAACACGGTGAAACCCCATCTCTACTAAAAATACAAAAAAATTTAGCCAGGCGTAGGTGGTACATGCCTGTAGTCCCAGCTACTTGGGAGGCTGAGGCAGGAGAATGGCGTAAAACCCGGGAGGCGGAGCTCGCAGTGAGCCAAGATCGTGCCACTGCACTCCAGCCTGGGAGACAGAGTGAGACAGAGCGAGACTCTGTCTCAAAAAAAAAAAAAAAAAAAAAAAAGAAATGTGGGTATACATGCATGATCTCCCTATAAACAGGAAGCTTTCTGAGTAAGTGAAAGTATTGTGCCTAATTGATGTTTTTTGATTTTTTTTTTTTGAGACAAAGTCTCCCTCTGTCACCCATGCTGCAGTGCAGTGGCACAGTGGCGCAATCTCGGCTCGCTGCAGCCTCTGCCTCCTGGGCTCAAGCCATTCTCCTGTCTCAGCCTCCCGAGTAACTGGGATTACAGATGTGCACCACCACGCCAAGCAGACTTTTGTATTTTTAGTAGACACGAGGTCTCACCATGTTGTCCAGGCTGGTCTCAAACTCCTGACCTCAGGTGATCCGCCTGCCTCAGCCTCCCAAAGTGCTGGGATTACAAGTGTGAGCCACCGCACCTAGCCTATGTCTTTTGATTGTTTAAGGTGCTTTGAATAGCCTTGGCATTCAATGTATATTTGCTAAAGGATAGAATAAATGAATAAACTCAGAATTAGAAACTTGTTTTATATGCCTGTCTTAATCTTTTTTCTGTTGCTTATAACAGAATACCTGAATCTGGGTAATTTATAAAGAAAAGAAATTTAGGCTGGGTGTGGTAGCTCACACTTGTAATCCCAGCACTTCGGGAGGCCAAAGTGGGTGGATCATTGGAGGTTAGGAGTTTGAGACCAACCTGGCCAACATGGTGAAACCCTGTTTCTACTAAAAAAAACAAAACATTAGCTGGACGTGGTGGCTCACACCTATAATCCCAGCTACTTGGGAGGCTGAGGCACGACAATCATCTGAATTTGGGAGGCGGAGGTTGCAGTGAGCCGAGATTGTGCCACTGCTCTGCAGCCTGGGTGACAGAGTGCGACTGTGTATATATGTATATACTGTGTATATACATATATACACAGTATATATATATGTACTGTGTGTGTGTATATATATATATATATATATATATATATATATATATATATATAGCTGGGTATGCTAGCTCAGGCCTCTCTTTCTCTTCTTATAAAGCCACCACTCTCACTCCCATGATAACCCATTAATTGGTTAGCCTATTAATCCATTAATTTATTAATCCTGAGTAGATTAATCCATTCTGGAGGGCTCTGCCCTCATGACCCAGTCACCTCTTAAAGGCCTCTACATCTTAATAGTACCACATTGGGGATTAAATTTCAACTTTAGTTTTGGAGGGAACAAATATTCAAACCATAGCAATACCTTTTTTTAGATGCTATAACTGGATACTATAACTATGTTTATGGTCATCTTCAATGGGCATGTAAATCTATTTGGTGGAACCCATTGGACATTCAAATGGTTTTGTGTGAATTTTTTTTTTCTTGTCTGGGAAAGATGGTTATAGAGATAAAAACTTTTTTCCCCTAAAAGATTCTGTTAAATTCTGCATGAAATCTCCCTGGAGAATGGAGTCATTTGGAGAATGTATTTTATTTTCTATTTACTTTTCAATCTATAAAGTCTGTTTTTATCTGTTATTTCTTTTCAACCTCACAGCAGTGGCGAGACACATGTATTATTCTTCTGTTTGTAAATGAGAAACTTCTGACTCAAAAGTTTAGTGACTCAACCAAAGCTTTGGAGACCACAAAGGCAGAGCCAGGCCTCAAACCCAGGTCTTTGGATACCAAAGCCAGTGTTCTTTCTTCTATACCACAGCTGCCATCTGGCAATTGGCAAAAACTTACTTTATTTCTTTTGTTTCTCTTTAGGCAGGAACAGCTCTGAAAATATACTTAAAAAATTAAGTCACTTAGGTTATTTTTTCTTTTCAATATGTCATAATTGGATACTGTGTATAGATGATGTGATGAAATAAGTCTCATATAAGGCTCTATGTGTATATTTCTCCTAAGATGCTCTTGCCCTGAATTGTGTTTTTGAGTCTCAGGGAATGTATTCATTGCTGTGCCACTTGATGTAGTCACAGGAAACCTATTCTGATAGAAAAAGCCATCTGTCTTTAAAACACCTTTTTTTTTTTTTGAGATGGAGTCTCACTCTGTCACCCAGGCTGGAGTGCAGTGGTGCAATCTCGGCTCACTGCAACCTCTGCCTCCCTGATTCAAGCAATTCTCTGCCTCAGACTCCCAAGTAGCTGGGTTTACAGGCTCCCACCACCACACCTGGCTAATTTTTGTATTTTTAGTAGAGACGGGGTTTCCCCACATTGGCCAGGCTGGTCTTGAACTCCTGACCTCGTGATCCACCCACTTTGGTCTCCCAAACTAGGGGTGACTCCTAGTTCAAGATGGCAGTGTGAGCACACTCATTTATTCCTCTCTCCCATGACTAATTTAAAATAATATCAGGACAATAAAAAAAGACATAGCCCACAGAAATGAAGAGAATTGCAGGTAGTAATGAGCAGATGAGAAGAGGGAAAACAGAGGCTTTAAGAGGTTTATAAGAAAGCAGAGAGGAGGCTGGGCGCGGTGGCTCACGCCTGTAATCCCAGCACTTCGGGAGGCTGAGGTGGGCGGATCATGAGGTCAGGAGATCAGACCATCCTGGCTAACACGGTGAAATCCCGTCTCTACTAAAAATACAAAAAATTAGCCAGGCGTGGTGGCGGGCGCCTGTAGTCCCAGCTACTCGGGAGGCTGAGGCAGGAGAATGGCGTGAACTCGGGAGGTGGAGCTTGCATTGAGTGGAGATCGTGCCACTGCACTCCAGCCTGGGCGACAGAGGGAGACTTCGCCTCAAAAAATACATAAATAAATAAAAATAAAAATAAAAATAAAAGAAAGCAGAGAGGAAGAAGAGGAGGCACCTGCACTCCAGAATATGAGAGAAGGCAACAACAGGGATAGAAGTCACGAAGTTGCCCTGAAGAACGCTGGAGAAACTTTGGACTCAGAGCTGGAGCCTCAGTCGAAGATGTCCAATAGCTAAATAGCAGGAGTTCTAAAAAGACAAAACACTCATGATAGAGACGAAGGAATTGTCAAAGAAAGAGTATTTCCATAGCTACAGGGAGATCTTCAAAATCAAAGGATCGTGGCCAGGTGCGTTGGCTCATGCCTGTAATCCCAGCACTTGGGAGGCCGACGCGGATGGATCACCTGAGGTCAGGGTTCAAGATCAGCCTGACCAACATGATGAAGCCCCATCTCTACTAAAAGCACAAAAATTAGCTGGGTGTGGTAATCCCAGCTACTCCAGAGGCTGAGGTAGGAGAATCGCTTGAAACGGGAGGCAGAGGTAGGAGAATCGCTTGAATCGGGAGGCAGAGGTTGCAGTGCGCCGAGATTGTGCCACTGCACTCCGACCTGGGCAATAGAGCCAGACTATGTCTCCAAAAAAATAAAAATGAAAAAAAAATCAGCTGGTCCTGGTGGTGTACACCTGTAATCTCAGCTACTGGAGTGGCTGAGGCAGGAGAATCGCTTGAACCCAGGAGGCAGAGGTTGCAGTGAGCTGAGATTGTGCCACTGTATTCTAGCCTGGTGTCAGAGTGAGACCCTGTCTTAAAAAAAAAAAAAGGAAGAAGGCCCACCTTTAGGGACCTCATGATGAAATCTCAGAACACCAAAGATTCTAAATGAAAATTTACATCCATGCACCCTTACTTGAGAATGTAAGCCTGTAAAATGAGGGTGAAAACCAAGAAAAGAAGAAGACGTATGATTGGGTGGTAATGAATTTAACCTTGTCCCAAAAGAAATGGCCTTTGTCTTGAGCTTTTGGGAGTCATCTCTAAGCCCTTGGATCCTCGTGTCTGACAGGAGTGTCTTTGTTTGCCTGGAGGGCTTTGGCTAGCCAGACAGTAACAGATGTGATTTAGGGTGGAGCTTTGATCCATGCCAAAAATGTGATTTAAGATGAGAGCTTTGGGTCACACCTTGAGTGACTGGAGACTGGAAACTAAAATTAGCTATGTGAATAGTCAATCATGTTTTTGTAATGGAGCCTCAATAAAAGCTCTGAACACAGAGGCTCTGCTGAGCTTCCCTGGTTAATGATAGCCTGTGCTTATTGTCATACATCAATGCTGGAAAAGTACTATGTCCTGATCCATGGGGAGAGGAAAATGGAAGCTCTGCATTTGGTTCTTTCCTAGACTCTGCACTATGCACTTTATCCTTTGACTGATTTTAATCTATATCCTTTCTCTGTGGTAAATCTTAACTGTGAGTGTAACTCAGAAAGTTCTGTGAGTCTTTCTAGCAAATTATCAAAACTGGAGATGGTTTGGACAACTCCTCAAACTTGCAATTTAATGAGGATGGTCTTTTTTCTTTTGAGACAAAACCTCACTCTGTCAGTCAGGTTGGGGTAGCTGGGACTACAGGCACATGCCACCAGGCCCAGCTAATTTTTTATCTTTTGTAGAGATGGAGTCTCAGTATGTTGCTCAAGCTGGTCTCGAACTCTTGGGCTCAAGTGATCCTCCCAC
This sequence comes from Homo sapiens, assembly GCF_000001405.40. Classification (NCBI taxonomy): domain Eukaryota; kingdom Metazoa; phylum Chordata; class Mammalia; order Primates; family Hominidae; genus Homo; species Homo sapiens. The sequence continues at coordinate 72,391,738 of NC_000009.12, forward strand.
CTTGACCTCTCAAGTGCTGGGATTACAGGTATGAGCCACTGCACCTGCCCTGAGGGTGGTCTTGTGTGGGCTGTGTTCCCTCTAACTTTGCAGTTGTCTTAAGTCTTCCCAGGGCTATACGAATGGTAGTACTAGCTTAGAGGAATATTAAAACAGCATCCAAGTATAGGGCTGTGTTCCCTCTAACTTTGCAGTTGTCTTAAGTCTTCCCAGGGCTATACGAATGGTAGTACTAGCTTAGAGGAATATTAAAACAGCATCCAAGTATAACAGTTGTGTGACCAAGAAGAAAATTAGTCTAATTTAGGAGAGTAATCAGCAGACTTACAGAAGTCTATTTTCAAGGAAATGAATGGAGTATATTTCAGATAATAGCTGCTGCTAATGAAAAGTTGCAAAATATTAGGATATGGTGGAAAAAAACCTATGAGTCTTAACAAAGCAAAAATGAATAGCCAGAAACTCTAGCTAAATCATAACATTTACCAGAATGTCATGTTCCAAATATGAAATAATTTAAAACATGATCTTTTTCAGCCATTGGTAAAATATTAGAGAGGATAATCTATTTAACCTTGGTGCTAGTGTATTTTCTTTTGAGTGACACAATGATTACAGGATCAGAAATGTAGTCAAGGGAATGTAATTATTAGCACTCTCTGGCTCTGTGATGAATAATGTGATGAATAGTCATAATAATGCAAAATTTGTTTATTGATTATCAGCTTTTAAAATAAACCGATGCACAAAGCATGGAGGAGTTAATCCTGATTAAGGACAGAATGTAAACACTCTCAGCTTTGATGATGTTAAAGTAAAGCTCTAGCTGACAGATTTTGGAAAATGAAAAGTAAATAGGGAAGAGGGAAGAAGTGGTAAGGATGCAAATGCTCTCATTTTATAAAATGAGGCATCAAGAGAATCTGTTGAAAATTGAAATAGTAATGACAAATTAAATAGCAATGACAAAAATGATCCTGAGAGCAGTGTGGAAGAGGATGTTCTATCTGGAAAAAATAGAAAATGCTGAATTCACTGCACACTGTAAACAAAAATATTAATTCCAGGTAAATTATAGACCCTTTCAAAGGCAAAACAGTAAGGCTTTAAAAGATAATACAGAAAAAATAGATTCATAATCTCTATATGGGAGAGTGATTTTAAAACATATTAAACATTAAGAAGCCCCAACCTTTAAGATAAGGATTGATGAATTTGATTACAGTGAAATAAGAACATTAAAAATAAAATAGTGGGTGGGGGGCGATGGGAGGGACCTTAGAGGATAGACCAATATGTGCAGCAAACCACCATGGCACACGTATACCTACGTAACAAACCTGCACATTCTGCACATGTGTCCCAGAATTAAAGTAAAATTTAAAAAATCGTAAAAAGGCAAGCCATGGACTTGAAAATATCTGGAATACATGTTTAATCAATATTTGTTATAGCCAACAAAGGACCCATATCCAGAATATCTGAAGAGCTTATACACCCCAATAAGAAAATACAACTTAATAGAAAAATGAGCAAATAGTTTTCAACAGCCACTTCAAAACAGGATATAACTAGTTGATCAATAAGCATATGATAAGATATTCAATCTCAGCCACCAGAAAAACACAAATTAAAACAGTAAAGAGGTACCACTACACACCTCTCAAAATAGCTAAAATTTAAAAAGACTGAAAAAGAGCAAGGATTGCTCCTGGAACTCTCCTCCACTGCTGGTGAAAAGAGAAACTAGCTTAACCAATTTGGAAAGCAATTTGGCTTTATTGATTAAAGTTAAAGATACCATACCTCATGACCTAGCAATTTCTCTCTTAGGTATATATCTAAAAGAAATATATGCCCATGTGTACCAGGAGACATGTATAAGAAAATTCATAACAGCTTTATTCACAATAGCCTAAACCTGGGAACAACCAAAATATTCATCCATGGGAGCATGGATAAATAGTTGTAAGGCTCTCTCTCATGGAATTCTATATAGCAGTGAATATTAATGGACTGCAGCTGAATGCTACAATATTAGTGAATCTCATGAACATAATACTGAGCTAAGAAAAGCCTGATGCAAAATAATATATAGTGTATGATTCTATTTACATAAAATTCAAAAACAGGTGAAATTATAGTGTTGAGTGATGCATCCTTGGATAGCAAAAATATAAAGAAAAGCAAGGAAGTTATTACTAAAGAAGTCAGAAGAGTTTTATGTTTTAGGAAAAGGGAGTGAGTTATGCCTTGGAGAGGCATGCAGGAACCTTCTGGGGACTGACACTCCTTTATTTGACCTGAGTAGCCATTTCAGGGAGGTTTGCTTTGGAATACATCTCTGCTTTATGTATTTTTTTGGCGTGTGACCTATTTCACAAGCTGAAAAGAGGATTTAAATAAAAAGAACTAGTGGTTTAAGAAAGTTATTTAAATAACAAAGGTAACCAATGGAGAAACTAAAATAGTGCTGTAACTGCTAAAAATTGAGAGATGTAGACCAGTGTAATAAGCTAACTTCTCCACTGTGGTCACAGGAAGTTAATAAGAAAATTTCCAAATTGATACACATATTATGAAATAAGAACCCAAACCAACTGTAAAAGCGTTGTTCTCTGTTATGTAATTTCCTTCTTAAAATAATGCATACTTATTAATTTTATAATCAAGAAAAACTATCATGTTATATTAACATTTTTATATTTTTTAAACATCTGTGTGACTGAACAACCAGATTAGAAACAAACAAATTTGTTGACTGAGTTAACTTAGTTTGAGGAATTTTAACTTTTTAGTGAGTTGTTTTGTAGTGCCCTAAATATTTATTGAAACAATTTTATATATTCAATGTAAAAAATTCTCTTTTCTCTGTGTAACTTTCAGATCACTTGTGAGAACTTTGAGAAGCATCCAAAGAGATTGAAGAATTTTTTTGTTTTAGTAGCAAAATCTTACTTATTGTACAATTATTTAGAACTGTGATAGAAGAGTTTTTATTGTTGCCTTTCCTGACTTCAATTCATTTTAAAGGCATTTTTATTAATAAATAACATAATGTGCAACGGCTTTCATAAACCACTCCCACTCCCACCCCTGTGTCATCCCCGTAAAACTAAACAAACCAACTGAAATCTCTGCACTTCTACAAAAACTCAGTATGATGTCCCTCATAAGAATTAATGTAAGGAACCAGGGTCGGTGGCTCACGCCTGTAATCCCAGCACTTTGGGAGGCCGAGGCGGGTGGATCACCTGAGGTCAGGAGTTCAAGACCAGCCTGACCAACATGGAGAAACCCCGTCTCAACTAAAAATACAAAATTAGCCGGTATGGTGGCGGGCGCCTGTAGTCCCAGCTACTCGGGAGGCTAAGGCAGGAGAATCGCTTGAACCCGGGAGGCGGAGGTTGCCATGAGCCGAGATCGCGCCACTGCACTCCAGCCTGGGCAACAAGAGCGAAACTCCGTCTCAAAAAAAAAAAAAAATTAATGTAAGGAAACAATGTCCTCATCACCCACCATTTCACAGCTGCTGCATTATACTTAGGTGGAAGTGTAGCTTTTATTTTATTTATTTATTTATTTATTTTATGAGACGGAGTCTTGCTCTGTCGACCAGGCTGGAGCGCAGTGGCGCGATCTCGGCTCCGCCTCCCAAGTTCAAGCCATTCTCCTGCCTCAGGCTCCCAAGTAGCTAGGACTGCAGGCGCCCGCCACCACGCCCCTCTATTTTTTTGTATTTTTAGTAGAGACGGGGTCTCACCATGTTTGCCAGGATGGTCTCGATCTCCTGACCTCGTGATCCAACTGCCTCGGCCTCCCAAAGTGCTGGGATTACAGGCGTGAGCCACCGCGCCAGGCCGGAAGTGTAACTTTTAATATCAAGCACTCACATTTTAACGTGGCTTTTTAACTAGGGCAAGACCCTACAGATCATTTTAATTATCAATATAAGTCCATTTGAGCTCACTGATAAACCACACGAGAGAAAAAGTTGCTTTTCAAATAAGGAAAGCCTTTTAATTGCTTGTCTGCATTTACTTTTTTAAGATTAGTTTTTGTTTTTAAAAAGAAGCAGATTTAGCCTGAAAAACATATGCAAATTTTCCTTCCAAAAGTGCTTTATTTAAAAAAAAAAAGCTTAAAAAAAGTAGTATGAAATAGGCAAATATTCTTCCAATATAAAAGAAAAGGAATTTGAAAGTTGAGATTCCACTTTGTTAAATTAACTACTAAAAATATGATGGATTAAACTTTGAGACTCTTGGAAAGTGTTACCATAATATTTATGATGAAATCATTAATTTTGTAAAGGGAAAACATTCTTGTTCCAACTCAGTAGTTCTTTTTCACTTTCTGGCTAACATAGAAAAATAAATATGACATTGTTCTGAGGAATCTGTTGTCCCAAAGCAATTAAGAAGCAAATCAATGAAATATTCTTGTAAATCAAAGCAGTTATCTTCTTATTTTTTATTGTGTACTTTGAACTCGCTTTTTAGGGAAGCATGTTGAGACATCTGAATTCCTTTGCCTTTAGATTTTGGAACTATTTTGGTCTTATTTCAATTGTTAACTATCTCTCTGCTTGTAATGTCTCAATACTTTTGAGTGTTCACAGTAAAAAGAATAAAGGCACCCACTGCACTCATTTATGACATGGACTGGACAGGAGCCACTCAAATGTCCACGCTGAGTTCTGGCAAGTCACATTGCCTCTGGTCTTGTGTTTTGGTTTGGTGGGCACACTTCTGTCCTTGTTCACACTTTCAATCCACATTTCCAAAGAACGGCCATTTTAATCCACCTGTGCTAAAAACATTGGTTAGGTCTTCTTTCTCTAAGAAGGTTGCATTTCAGGTATGAGATTTAGAAAATAACTATAGGCATAAAGGTCAGCCAATCTGTTTTCAAAACAGGGCTGACAAGTAAGCAGGTGCAGGCACTAAGTTCAACTTACAAGTGTAAACTCTACTTCAAAATCAGTTCTGAGTCATCTGCTCTGTCTGTTAGGCACTCTTGTTTACAGTACATCTTTAGCCTTCTCATGTAGCAATACTATTGGTAAGTGGTATGCATAAGAAAAAAAACAACTTGATCTTGACAAAATGTGTACCCTATGTGTGGTGAAGAGACGTTTTGGAAGGTCTTGAGCAATTTTTTAAAATGCCTGTGTGTGTGTACGTACCCTTTATGTAATATTTAATGACTCGTGTTCTAAGAGGGTGTGTTTTTCTTTCTTAAAGAGCTGGCAGCTGGCCTATCCTCTTAGAAATGGGAAATTTCTTAAGCTAATTTGCACAAGCAGGCTATGTGTTTTGACGACGAAGCTGTAACTCTTTGTCCAGACAGTATTGCCAATTATCTGTGAATATCCTTATTAAGTAAAGACTTCAGAAAAAAAAAAAAAAGCCAGATCTTTTTATTAGCTTGTTTTGCATATAAGCTTTCAGGATAGTTGTATATTAATGTCACTTCTAAAGAAGAAAGGAGTTATTTAAAGGGATGACCTGATTATCTTGATAAAGAAAATATTAGAGCTGCAACCCATTTTCTGAAAAATTGGCCTTGGATTTGAGTGCAGTCCGGAAGGTGAAAATTTTGAATTGAATTTTAAACTCTAGGACAATAAAGTTTGAGCCAAATCATTTACTCTTTCTGTTTCTTAGTTTTCCAATCTGTTAAATGAGAATCAAAGCATTTATGTATATTTCTTCTTATAGGGAAATAAAGCATTGGTAATTGATTAGAAGGTACAAATCAGTGCACATGCATTTGTTCTGTCTGAAATACTAAGCCAAGCATCATCTTCATCTGCTCCTTCCTTATGAGACCAATGTGCACCCTTGGGGTCATCACATATCTTATGGCAAGGAAAAGCCCTCTATCTGTAGTGAGACTTCAGAGGTAGAAATAAATTTTTGTGCCACATAGAGCTCAGATAACCAGGAAACAGCCAAAATAAAGATAGATTTTGTGAAAATTATGTTTCATGTTTTTGAAAATTTAAGAGCATTTTCTCAGAGAGAAAAAACATGCATGGATGGGGGCTAGAATCAGAAATAAAGAAGGTGAAGAGGTTGTAGCAATCACTCTTCTGACGGTCTTTAAAACAGAAAAATAAAAATAAAAATAAATAAAAATAAGCAAAAAATGTAATTCCCCAACAGATGAAGGAGGAATTGGTTTTGTTACTTTTTAGAGGTCCTTTTAGTTTATAACATGCTGATGTGGGTTATTACATCAGCCACCAATTAGCATATGAAGTGCCAACATATATGCCAAGCTATGCACTATGTGTTGGGAACTGAAAAGTGAGTAAGAGGCTGGGAGCGGTGGCTCACGCCTGTAATCCCAGCACTTTGGGAGGCCGAGGTGGGCAGATCACTTGAGGTCAGGGGTTCAAGACCAGCCTAGCCAGCATGGCAAAACTCTATCTCTACTAAAAATACAAAAATTAGCCAGGTGTGATGGCACACACCTATAATCCCAGCTATTCGGGAGGCTGAAGCAGGAGAATCGCTAGAACCCGTGAGGTGGAGGTTGCAGTGAGCTGAGATTGCACCACTGCACTCGAGCCTGGGTAGCAGAGTAAGACTCTGTCTCAAAAAAAAAAGAGTAAATAAGAAACAATTTTTGCTCTCAAGGTCTTCTTAACCTTTCATGGCAGAGAAATACATACAAATAATTACAATACTATGTGATAAGTGTTAGACTAGTGGCAAAAACCTGTGCTGAGATTACGAATTTTGCCTGGGCTGGTTGGGACTGAAGAAGTAATATTTGTGCTCGGCCGTGAAGACTGAGGGGAGGTTAGGCATGGCAGGTCATCCTAGGAAGAGAATACAGCTTGAACAAAGACATGGAGAAATGGATGCCATTGGTTTATGGGAAATATTTTAGAGACGAGGTAAGTGTTTGAGCGTCAGGCAGTTCCAGGTTTTTAACCCAGCTATGTGGCCATTCACTGGCTCTATGATTTGGGGTACATTACTTGGCCTCTCTGAACCTCAGTTTCTGCATCTTTAATATAGGGACATTATTGCCTATCCTGGCAAGTTGCTGTGAGCATTACATGAAAAAATAAGTATAAAGGGCCTGACACAGTGCAAGGACATAGTAGATGTTCACTAAATGATCACTGTTACCCTGTCTCCTTGAGTGGGTTGCAGCTATTAATATGGAACCACATATAGTTGTGACAAGTCTTCTGTGAAATGGAAGTAACACCTACTTTCAGGGTTGTTTTGAGGATGAGAGGTAGTATCAGACAGAGGTCCAATAATGTGCTCAAGAAACAGTAGTTATGATTACAATTATTATAACACTTCTCTTTGAAAGACCAAAAGACATGCATATTTTACTTATATTGAATAAATTATGAATTTGTGTGTGTGTACAGAATTGTACTTTCTGCTAGACCAAAGCAGAAACTTGCATTACCTTGAAGGTAATGTGTCATATTAATGAATATGTTTTAAAATAGAGAACTCAGAAATAAGACTACACACCTACAACCATCTGATGTTCAACAAACCTGACAAAAACAAGCAATGGGGAAGGGATTCCCTATTTTATAAATGGTGCTGGGAGAACTGGCTAGTTATATGCAGAAAATTGAAACTGGACCCTTTCCTTACACCTTATACGAAAATTAACTCAAGATAGATTAAAGACTTAAATGTAAAACTCAAAACTATAAAAACCATAGAAGCAAATCTAGGCAAAACCATTCAGGACATAGGCATGGGCAAAGAATTAATGATGAAAATGCCCAAAGCAATTGCAACAAAAGTAAAAATTAACAAGTGGGATCTAGTTAAACTAAAGAGCTTTTGCACAACAAAAGAAACTATCATCTGAGTGAACAGACAACCTACAGAATGGGAGAAAATTTTTGCAACCTATCCATGTGACAAAGGGCTAATATCCACAGTCTACAAGAAACTTAAATTTACAATAAAAAAGCTAACAAACCCATTAAACAGGGCCCAAAAGACATGAACAGACATTTCTCAAAAGAGGACATTCACGCGGGCACCAAACATATAGAAAAAAGCACAGCGTCACTGAAATGCAAATCAAAACCACAGTGAGATATCATCTCATGCCAGTCAGAATGGTGATTATTAAAAAGTCAAGAAACAACAGATGCTAGCAAGGCTGTGGAGTTTTTACATGGTTGGTGGGAGTGTAAATTAGTTCAACCATTGTGAAAGACAGTGCGGCAATTTCTCAAAGACAGAGAGGCAGAAATACCATTTGACCCAGCAATCCCATTACTGGGTATATACCCAAAGGAATAGAAATCATTCTATTATAAAGACACATGCATGCATATGTTCATTACAGCACTAATCACAATAACAAAGACATGGAATCAACCCAAATGCCTATCAATGATAGATTGGATAAAGAAAATGGGGTATATATACACCATGAATACTATGCAGCCATAAAAAAGAATGAGATCATGTCCTTTGCAGGGACATGGATGGAGCTGGAAGCCATTATCCTCAGCAAACTAGTGCAGGAACAGAAAACCAAACACCGCATGTTCTCTTATAGGGGGGGAGCTCAACCATGAGAACACATGGACGTATGCAGGGGAACAACACACACTGCGGCCTGTTGAGGTGGGTGGGAGGAGGGAGAGCATCAGGAAGAATAGCTAATGGATGCTGGGCTTGATACCTGGGTGATGGGTTTATCTGTGCAGTAAACCACCATGGCACACGGCACTATGTAATAAAGCTGTACATCCTGCACCTGTAACCCAGAACTTAAAAGTTGAAGATTTGGGAGGCCGAGGCTGGCAGATCTCAAGGTCAGGAGTTCAAGACCAGCCTGGCCAATATGGTGAAACTCCGTCTCTACTAAAAATACAAAAATTAGCCAGGTGTGGTGGTGGGTGCCTGTAGTCCCAGCTACTGGGGAGGCTGAGGCAGGAGAATAGCTTGAACCTGGGAGGCAGAGGTTGCAGTGAGCTGAGATTGCACCAGTGCACTCCAGCCTGGGTGACAGAGTGAGACTCTGTCTCAAAAAAAAAAAAAAAAAGTTAAAAAAAAGGAATATGTTTTACATGTAATCTAGTATAAATTAACCATGTTTGCTTTTTTCATTTCTGTGTTTCTGCACTGGACACCATACCAGGCACCCAGTAGATGTTTAAAGAAATAGCTGCTACATGAATTAGTCGGTAGCTCTCTAGATGGCTTTCTCAAACACATTTTGTTTTTAATGGAGGAAAAGAGTTTTAGATCCTGAAACTGCCTTTTGAAAACCAAGTTTCCAAGCCATTTGAACAGTTGTGGTGAGGATCATGCTGCTCCACAATCTGTGCCTGGAGGATGCACTGGTCCAACCCGTAATTGTCATTGTAAACAGTTATTATATCCATGATGATTATTATGACATTTCTAATAACTATGATTGTAGAGTTCAACCTAGTGTTATATCAATAAACCTAGACCAGAATGTCTTATGAGTTTACTTCATACTTCTTCTTTTTGGAACCTTATTGAGATGACAGAAATGGTAAAAAAAAAATCGAGCACTTTTTAGTTTCCCAAAGAACCCTTCTTACCTTTATCCTCTGTCCAATTGCATATGCTTCTGAGAGGTTTTGTCCCCATAACCGCTTTAGAAAACTTCTCTTTCTAGCTTTAATTATAAGCATTGATAATAATAGAGATGGTTACATGTAGGGTGGCTCAAGCTTGTTAAAATGACACTGACTCTCTGACTTAAAAATACTGGATTACATAAGGAAAAATCAGCATGGATGCACTTGAACTTCCTTGTCACAAAATGCAGCTACAACCTCAAAGTACAAATTATCCCTTCTGCCGGCTTCTAAGCAGAGCTGTGCCTAAGCCATGACACACAAAAGCACTTTTGTCTTACTTTCAAAGCACTGTTTAAAAAAAAAAAAAAAAAAAGATTCACAACTTTCCTTGAAAATCTATCTGTTCTTCAAAAACTTATTTGGTTCACAATCTAAAAACAAAATTTTTGTAATGTTGTAAATTTAGCATAGGTCCTCTTGTTTTTTTCTTTGTAGAAAAGAAAATATACGTATATAACCAACATTCTTTTTATTGTAATCAGTTATTTGGCCTAGATTTAGATTCCTTCAGCTGGTGGAGTTTGAAAATCTTTTCTTTCATAGATTTGAAAACTAGTGAATTTAGTTGGGAATTTATACTCTGTAATTTTAAGAAGCTCTCTGGCTTTTTCTCAAACTTGAATCTACTTTTAGTTGAGACATTTGATATTTTAGGTGCTGCCTTTAGGGTTCACAGCCATTACTATCCTGATCCTTCATGTTCAATTGCTCTTTTCCTCATTGTCATTTTTTCACTGAGTAGCTACTATTAGGCTAGACATCTAAATTGGATATTTATTTATTTATTTGGGACAGAGTCTCGCTATGTCACCCAGGCTGGAGTGCAATGGCGTGATCTCAGCTCACTGCAACCGCTGCCTCCTGGGTTCAAGCGATTCTTCTGCCTCAGCCTCCTGAGAAGCTGGGATTATAGGCGTGCACCATCATGCCTGGCTAATTTTGTTTGTATTTTTAGTAGAGACGGGGTTTCACCATGTTGACAAGGCTGGTCTTGAACTCCTGACTTTGTGATCCACCCACCTCAGCCTCCCAAAGTGCTGGGATTGCAGGCATGAGCCACCATGCACGGCCTAAGATGGCTATTTTTGTAGGCCAAAAAAAAAAAAGACAATCATAAATAATTATTGAACACATACCATGTACAAAGCAAAGGTTCAATTATATGGAGAAAGAAATTCAAAGGCAGAATATCAAACAACAGCATTTCAAAGGTTCACTCTGTACTGTCTGAGTCTAATTTTCTATTTGTTAACAATGTTTTATCTGGCACCTAACTTTTAAAAATTACTTGTTTGTAAACCATGTAGTGAATTAACCTGACCAAAAAAATTCAGCAAAAAATTTTCTTAAAGTTTGTAGGTTTAAGAAATGAAAAAGTTGTGCAAATGTGTCGAAAAATAGTTAAATGATATGAAAATCCTTAAAATAAAAACTTAAAGTTCTTTTCTTACCACCTGGAGTAAATTGTCTTAACAACTTTTATTTTACTCCAGACCTCTTTTTTTCTTTATTTTGCATATGAAATAAAATCTGCAAGTTTTTTTTTCCCACTCAGAATTACGTCATGGACAATTCTTTTATATACAAACACTTCTGAAATCAAGAAGAGCCAACATGTCTACTCTTAAAGGGCCTTTAAAAAAATCACTTCCCATATTCAATTGCTTTTTAATTGAGTACTTTTCAAAATTAGCCTTCATTATTGTAATTGCCCAAAAACATTAAAAGAAGGCATATATCCTCAAAACACTTTCATTTAAAACCATCTTTTAAAGAACATAAGGTACATGAAGTAACCACGTGATTTTGGCACAGTGGGTTGAAAACAAAACCAAAATAGTTACTCAAATGTTTTATCTATGCTATACCAAATAAGAGCGGACTTAGCATTCTTGAAAAGAACAAACTATGCTCCCAGGGAGCACAGAGGTGCCACGGCTGATAAGAAATAATGTTGGTGTCATCTTAATTCTAGAAAAAAATTAAAAGAACTTGGAATTTCTACATTAGGTTCACCTTCCCTTTAATTTTTTCTTTTTTCTTTTTTTTTTGAGACAGAGGGAGACTCTCGCTCTGTCCCCCAGGCTGAGTGCAATGGTGCAATCTCGGCTCACTGCAACCTCTCCCTCCCGGGTTCAAGCAATTCTCCTGCCTCAGCCTCCCAAGTAGCTGGGATTATAGGCACCCGCCACCACGCCAGGCAATTTTTTGTATTTTTAGTAGAGACAGGGTTTCGCCATGTTGGCCAGGCTGGTCTTGAACTCCTGACCTGAGGTGATCTGCCCCCCTCAGCCTCCCAAAGTGCTGGGTTTACAGGCATGAACCACCATGCCTGGCCTAACTTTTTCTTAAATCTTTGTCATCTTTTACTGCTTATTTGCTGATGAGCACAGGAAATCAAACGAGTAGGTGGCATACAAATTTTAATAGAAAATCTCTGACATAACTCACTGCATTTAGTTTAACAACCTTTTAGTTAAGGTAGAGTATAACATATATATGTGTGTGTATATATATGTGTGTATATATATGTGTATATATGTGTGTATATATGTATATACATGTGTAGATATGTGTGTGTATATATATGTGAATATATATATATATAAAATAGAGTAATATTTTCTGCTAGTAAAAGTTCTGCCAGGGGAAACATAAATATATCGGCATTTTATAGGTTTCCACAAAAAAAATTAAGTTTCCACCATCTAACAAACTTCAGAATACTGTCATGTGGCAGACATTCTGCACTGAAATCAAAATGCTTGCTGTTTCTTCTGAAGTGAAGAAGGAGGTTGCACTGCATGATCCCCCCAAAATCTCTTCTCAGGAACACTTGTTCTTAAATTTGTTTCCTCCATGAGATACAGAAAGAGCATACTATACACCTGTAAATACCAGTTTATTGAGGAACTCAAGTATCAATTCCATTGCTAGCAACGGTGTTTTTTAGGTATCTTTTCTGTATCTTCCAACCTACAGGTATACCCCTAATGAAGTAAAAATAACATGCACATCTGAACACATAAAAATGTAAACCTGATCTTTCCAACTTTAATTATAAAAGTGTTTATTATTTTATTCCTTTATATTGCAAGCTCTATTAGTGAACTTAAAATGTGTGAAATTTGATTTAACTGAAACATCAACATAGCTATTTTAAAGCTCTGTGTACGTGTACCAAAAAATTACAAATTGTAAATAGGATCAGTCTAGGGAAATTCAGGCTTCATTTTCTTATGGTGTGGAAGGTGAACTTGAAAGTCTTAAGAAAACATATGGTTCCTGTTTTCCCACTTCTACATGAACATATTACCAATTGTATAGTGAAAGCTGAAGTATGAATTATTCAAGACAGATTGATGAGATGTGTGGGAACCTTACTTTTTTTTCTGTTGAAATGATTAATAAAAAGGGTTTTAAAATTACCTAAGACAAAATAATGTATATTAAATATATATTATACAATATATTTAATATATGTATTTACATATATTAAAATGCATGATATTCAATATATGTATTTACATATATTAAAATGCATGAAATGTGTTTACATATATTAAAATGCTTGAAATGTATTTACATATATTAAAATGCATGGAATGTGTTCCTTCCCAATTTCTTTGGTCATTTGATATTAGGATCTGCCTGTAGGCTATCTCGTTCACTTTTTTTTTTAAGCTGAAAGAAGGAAAGGTCAAAAATACTCTTAGCATTGCCGAACTGATCAAGTATTGTCACGTTCTGCATTGATAGAAATCTAAGTGGAGTACTGGGTGCTCAACCTGAATCACTGTGAGGCCATTTTATACTGATGAGTGATTTTTATATAGTAGGGGCTCAGAGTGCAAAACTGCATTGTCTCTCCATTTCTACCTTTGGAAAATATTTTAATGATTAACAAAAGTGGTTAAAAAAAACAAAAAAAGGCTTCTACTAATAGATCTGGGAGAATTAAACCAGAGTAGATCATCAGACTATCTCTTTATAAAATATATTAGCCACATTCATTTATTATTAACATGTATTATTTATTTGCACAAAAATACATGTATTCATTGTAAAAAAAATCCAAAACCACAAGTAAACAACACTATCAAATTACCAATGGCACCTGGGGAGATTACCACAATAAATACAATAAATGAATGTATGTAGCAGAATAAGTTGGCCAGCGAATGATCTTTCCTCTCTTCTTAGGTGAAGGAATTATTAGCCTTACATTAAAGGAAATAAAAAGTTGCCAGGTATGAGCTACCAGTGAGCAATTCCTAAATCCACCTGTTGTCCTTGAAAGATCAGTTAGTTCTGGCCACTAAACTTAATGTCTGAGTAGGAGGGTAAGATCAACTCTTTCTTGTGGGAGAGTCTTAAAGGAAGGCTGAGCCCTGAGGGAGGAATAGGGGGAAGAGAAGAGTTTCAGTTCTTAAAGTAGTCAGAAGAGCTCTGACCTGGTCATCAGTAAGACTGAATTTAGATCGTTGCTCCTAACCATTGTGTGACCCGGAGTCGATTATCAATCTCTCTGAGCATCAGTTTTCCTATTAATCAAATGAACGGGTTGAGATAAGGAAAAGTCTAAGGTGGGAAAGAGATTGTGGAAATGTCTAAGACATAGCTTCTACAAATTTAGTTGTAAAAATGGGCCCAAGAAAGAACACTATTTCTAGATTGGGGTGATGGTGGGGGAACGAGGGAGATGAGGATGGAGAGAACCTTAGCAGAGGGCTCAGCTAAAAGTCTGATCTTGTTCAACACCTTCATTCAGGATCTAGAACTAAGCTGCCCAATATGGCAGCCTTTAGCTACATGTGGCTACTTTTGGAATTGAGATGTGCTATAAATGTGAAATACACAATGAATTTTTAAAATAGTACAAAAAATCTAAAATATACCTGTAACAATTTTAAGACGTTGATTAAATGCCAAAACAATAGTTCATTGGATAATTCATTTTACCTGCCTTTTTTTTTTTTTTTTTAGTCAGGGTCTTGCTCTATCACCCAGGCTGGAGTGCAGTGGCACAATCCCAGCTCACTGCAACCTTTGCCTCCCAGGTTCAAGGAATTCTCATGCTTCAGCCTCCTGAGTAGCTAGGAATACAGGTGTGTGCCACCATGCCCGGCTAATTTTTGCATTTTTAGTGGAGTCAGAGTTTCACCAGGTTGGCCAGGCTGGTCTCGAACTCCTGACTTCAAGTGATCCACCCACTTGGGCCCCCCAAAGTGCTGGGATTACAGGTGTGAGCTATGGTGCCTGGCCTACCTGCTTCTTTAAAACTTTTTATTGTGGCAACTAGAAAAATTTAAATTACGTGTATTTCCATTGGATGCTACTGATCTAGGCTCTAATTTTAAGAAAATACACTTTGGGAAAATGTGCAATGAATAATCTCTACATGGATGTGGAAAATGTTGCGATTGTAAGAATGGTGTAGTAGAATGAGTGTCATCAGGAATTTAAATATTAAGTAGATAAGAGAAAAGCAGGAAAATAGGAATGACAACAATACTTGAAGGGGAATAATGATAACAGGTTTGCAAACTACATATGAACCTGAACCTCCGATTGACAAAAAGCAGTTTAGAGCTAGTCTGGTGCAGAGAAACAGGCCAGAGAGTCATGCCTTGTTTGTGGTAGTTGATTCTTTTTAACTGAGCCTGTCTGCACTTGATTTAAGTAAGAAGGTAGGGATGGGAGAGGGGAAATTAACAGGGTATGATTTACAAAGCATGTTTATAGATCTTACAAATTGGCTTCACTAAAGGAAGGAGTTAATACATGTCAATAAATGAGTACAACTACTATAATATGCATAATGGCGTTTGCTAAATAGCAACTCTTCTTCCTGGAAAATTTCCTTTACCTCATACAGATGAATCATTTACTTCCAGAAAATAGTACACTTACTGTAGGCTTAGTTCAATCCTAGTGATTAAATTCGGCTAGCCAAGTCAGGTCAGATTTCATGGTAACATGACAAAAGGGAGAATAAAACTCTAAAAGGACATTGAAAATGTCCTAAACACCATATCCAATGGCTTTTCACAGTCTTCATCCTTCTAAGCTTCAGAGCACCACTTGACAGCAATAACCTTCTCTTTAACATTTTCTTCTCCATTGCCTTCCAGTGATGTGATGTCTGAGGTCTTTTCTTTTCACTCTGACTTGTCCTGACAGGGAAGCAGTATTGATTGAAGAACAAAGGTTTGTGGGTTGTAGTGAGAACTTGGGGTAATAGTTTCTGTAAAGTGTGTAGTAGGTTCTCAATCAATTATAGCTATTAGCTTTTGTTATTACCTTTGACTGAATATTTTCCTTCACCCAAGCCTTACATTTACGTTCTCTGTTCTTCATATACTACAGAATTGTATTTACTTCTTTTGTTTCAAATGTTACCCCTTTATTAATAAACAGCTGCACAATGTCACATCTGAACCTGTCTGTGAATGCATGGTGTAAGTATTTTTATTGTTTTTTTTTTAAGGCCTGGGCAGTGTATGACAGGCAGAAGCTTCTTTCTTCCAAATCTGTGTGCGTCTAAGAGACTCGATGTCACTCCACCTCCCCATTTTTGCCAAGTGCAGCATCACAGATGTGTGTCTGGGTCTTCCTCCAGTCCTTCAGCATTACACTCCCCAGAGCTCTATGAATACAATGGAGGCTGGGATGCCAATACATTCCAGCATGATCTTAGTTTGGTTTCATGTGGGACTTCTAGTGTACTACGACATTCTGATGATGGGTTCAAGGTAACTTTCTATGACTGGCACAAAAATGAGAGAAATTGTGTTATAGCTTTAGCTGTGGGGCTTTGGGCAGGTCATGTCACCTCTCTGGCTTAGTTCCTTTATTTGTAGGATGAGTGATTTAGACTTGATCTCAACACTTTCTCGTGCTAGGATGCTGAGTTTCTTGAAGACAATGGGCACGTAGAGGATAGCAAAGCACATGATATTCTTGAAGCTTTCAAATGAAACAGTGTTGTTCAAGGCAGGATAATGGGAATAGATTGCATTCCCAAAAATGTTCACATTAGGGATTTTTTTTTTTTTTTTTTTTTTTGAGACAGAGTCTTGCTTTGTCCCCCAGGCTGGAGTGCAGTGGTGCAAGCTCCATCTCCCAGGTTCACGCCATTCTCCTGCCTCAGCCTCCCAAATAGCTGGGACTACAGGCGCCCGCCACCATGCCTGGCTAAATTTTTTTGTATTTTTAGGAGAGACGGGGTTTCACCGTGCTAGCCAGGATGGTCTCAATCTCCTGACCTTGTGATCCACCCGCCTCGGCCTCCCAAAGTGCTGGGATTACAGGCGTAAGCCACCACACCCAGCCGGGGTAATTTCAATAGCTATTACGACCACAGGATTGCCATCCCGACAAGCCTCATATACTTGTTACTATTTTTATCACTGAAATGATAATTTATTGGTCATTTTAATCATAAAAGTCCTGCTGATTTTTAGTTTTGTAGATTACATAATGAAAAAAATCTTCTTTATTTATTTAGGCGCCCAGTACATGTTCATTGTAAAAATTTCAAAGAATAGAGAAAATTTTTTTAAAGGCAGTAAAAATCATCCCCAAATTCTGGCCACCTGGGAGTAATAATTTATAAAAATTTGGTTAGTGTTCTAATGTATGTGACCTTACATAAATTAGAACAAACTATTAATGCTGTCTTGTAACCTGCTTTCTTTCTTTGTTTTTTGTTTTTGTTTTTGTTTTTGTTTTTTTGAGATGGAGTCTCACTCTGTCGCCCAGGCTAGAGTGCAGTGACGTGATCTCGGCTCACTGCAACCTCTGCCTCCCAGGTTCAAGAGGTTCTTCTGCCTCAGCCTCCTGAGTAGCTGGGATTACAGGCGTGTGCCACCATGCCTGGCTAATTTTTTGTATTTTTAGTAGAGACGGGGTTTTGCCATGTTGGCCAGGCGGGTCTCAAACTCCTGACCTCAGGTGATCTGCTTGCCTTGGCCTCCCAAAGTGCTGTGCATTTGGCCTATAACCTGCTTTCTGAAAAAGTTTTTGGTATATTGTAGATATCTTTCTTCAGTAGTGGCCATTGATTTAGAATCATCTTTTGTAATAGCCATATTCCATTGTCTGGTGGATCCATAATATATACCATTATATATTTATTTATTCCTTTCATGATGGATATTTAAGTTATTTCTAATTTTCCACTATTATAGATAGAACTGTGATGAACATCAAGTCATATCAAAGCTTACAAACATATTGAAACACGCTTATTTTGAAATAAGAGCAGAGTTATTTTGTTAGGCAATTAAGAGGCAGTCAGTAAATATACTTTGATAATGATTGTCCCTGCGATGCCCTAATTCCTGATTTGCAATAGATTAATGCACTGTCACCATTATTTTCCAAAAGGTTAGAAACTTACACTTAATCACTGTAACTAAAAATTAATTTTATGCTATTAGAAATGATAAGGTAATACAAAGTATCCTTTCCCCAGCTGAAACTATTATAGTTATTTCTAATTCAGCCAGCCCTTATGAAAATAATAAAACATGTATTGGCTTCTTATCTCATTTGAATATGAAGGTTTATTGTCATTCATGTTAAATGTTGTTTTTTTTTTTGTTTTGCTTGAGTTAATAATACCTCAGAGTTGGACTAACACCATCTCCTTTTGTTAATCATCGACTGCCAAAAATTCAAAATCCCAAGCAGATTGAAGGAACAGTATAAAGTAATTTTCAGAGGTTTATTTTGGGAATGAATTTACAGAATATTTGCTTTTTTATCCTAGTACCTCATACAGTGCCTCGGACATAGTGGGCACTCAATAAATATTTATTGAAGAATGAATGAATGAAGCACATTCAATTTGTGACTTAAATAATGGTGAATATCTGAACCAATGGGGCCAACTATTTCTACAACTAAAATAATCCATTGGGGTTACCACAGAATTGACTTTCTACACTTAGAAATAAGGTGAATGTTTTCCACTAAACATAACTCACCAGTTTTATCATTCTTAATATTCATTGTTTATAGAGGGAGTTGGAAAACTGTCTCCTGCGGGCAAAGTCCAGCCTGCTGCCTATTTAGTACAACATGTGTGCTAAGAATAATTTTAAAAATATTTTTAAATGGTTGAAAACAATCAAGAGAAGAATAATATTTCATGGCAGGTAAGAATTATATAAAATGTAAATTTACTGTCTGTAGAGAAAATTTCACTGGAATCCTACCATGTTCATTCTTTCATGTATTGATGAAATTTCATGTTTTATGGTTGAGTTACAACAGTGGCATTGAGTAGTGACCCACAAAGCCAAAAATATTTACTGTCTGGCCTTTTACAAAAAAATTTTTGCCAACTCCTAGTTTTGACCCAAAACTGTTTCTTGGGGACAGGGATGCATTTTGAGTTACCAGCATTATCGAATGCTAGAGTGACAGCAACCTTGGCAAAGGCAAGTCAAGGCAGTATGTCTGTTTTGTTAACTACTAGAAAATCGTAGTGGTAGTATATTCTCTTTTCTTTTTTATCATCTCTGATTGAGGAGACCAGTCTCTTTTTTTGAGATGGAGTTTCACTATTTTTGCCCCTGCTGGAGTGCAATGGTGGGATCTTGGCTCGCTGCAACTTCTGCCTCCTGGGTTCAAGTGATTCTCCTGCCTCAGCCTCCCAGGTAGCTGGGATTACAGGTTCACGTCACCACACGAGGCTAATTTTGTATTTTTAGTAGAGATGAGGTTTCACCATGTCAGACAGGCTGGTCTCAGATTCCTGACCTCAGGTGATCCGCCCACCTTGGCCTCCCAAAGTGCTGGGATTACAGGCATGAGCCACTGTGCCCAGTCTGAGAAGACCAATCTTATGCAAACCTCTTACTGGGCCCAGCAATTCAACTGTGACCCCTCTGGCCTCTCTGGCTTCCCTCCAGAACCCTGCCTGCCCCATGGTTGTATAGGCTGGGGACACTAATGACTCCCCCAAAAGCCTGTCAGGATTTTAAAAATTGGGCTCTTCGGAACTTCTGTGGAAAATTGAAGAGGTTTGTCTATATCCTAAATGTATGAAATTATTGAATTCTTACATGAATTTTAGTTTGAGATTTTAATTTTAATTAGTTTCTTCTACAGTGGAGATACTCATTTGCACCAAGTTCCTGAGAGTAACTAAAGATCACGTGAAGAAATAAACAGTTCAATTATTGTTATTCTTTCACAAGATCGCTATAACACTGATTATAAAAGAGAGAGATGTTCTTACAGACACATGCTCTTTATTTCTGACTACCTAACAATTGTTTTTAATAATGGCCATTTCAAGCTGTCCCAGTTGTAGCATGGGTCATTTGCTATACGTATTGTATTAGGATTCTCCAGAGAAACAGAACCACACACATACACACACACGTGTGTTTGTGTGTAAATATATGTAGACATATGTAAAAATATGTAAATATATATAATTTAAATTATAGAAATTACATATATATTTCTGTATGTGCATATATATGTATGTGTAAATATATGCATGTAATTTCTATAATTTAAATTATATATATTTTTAGTTTTCATTACAGTTTTCTAAAAAAATTGGCTGATGAGATTGTGGGCACTGGCCACTGTGAAGTGTGCAGGGCAGGCTGGAAATTCCAGCAGGAGTTGATGTAGTTTTGTATCCAAAGGCAGTCTGGAGGCAGAATTCTCTCTTCTTCAGGTGACCTCAATCTTTTCTTTCAAGGCCTTCAACTGATTAGATGATGCCACACACATTATGGAGGGAAATCTGCTTTACTCAAAGTCTACCAATTTAAATGTTAATTATATATACAGTATACCTTCCCCGCAACATCTAGGCCAGTGTTTGACCAAACAAATGGGTACCACAACTTAGCCAGTTGACACTTAAAAGTAACCATCACACCTATGTGAATGCATACATATAAACATATATATGTATGAAAGACATATATATAAATAAGTGCATGTATGACACATCTACTACCTTTCTCTTTGAACAATGCTGTGAAATTTATTTCTAAATTTAAGAATAGCATGACTTTAAAATCACAAGAGTTTAAAGCACTATTGGATACTCAATGTGACTCCTCATGTTCTCTTTTAGTGTAAGTTTAACGGTCTTGTCCAGATTCTATGAATGTTCCATGGATATGATACTGTGATAGGTGGAATAATAACCTCCAAAGATGTCCATTTTCTAATCCTGAAATCTGCCAGTATGTTACCTTTGGTGGCAAGGGGGAATTGAGGTCACAAATCAGCTGACCTTAAAGCAGGGAGATTATCCTGGATTATGCAAGTGGGCCCGCTGTAATCACAACAGTTCTTAAATGTGGAAGGAGAGGCAGAAGAGGAAGTCAGAGTAATAAGAGGTGTTCTAGACTGAATTATATCCCCTGCCCAAATTCATATGTTAAAAACATAATCCACAATGTAATAGTATCTGGCAGTGGAGACTTTGGAAGGTAATTAGGTTCAGATGAGCTCCTGAGGGTGGGGCCTTCATGATGGGATTAGTGTCCTTTGAAGAGGATACCTCAGAGAGTGTGCTCTCTCTGCCTCTCTAGCATGTGAAGACACAGTGAGAATGTGGCCATCTGCAAGCCAGGAGGCATGCCCTCATCAAAACCTGATCATGCTGGCATCTTCATCTTGGAATTTCAGCCTCCAGAACTATAAGAAAATAAATCTCGATTGGGCATCAAGGTATAAGAAAAAAGAGAAAGAAGAGAAAAGAAAAGAAATGTCTGTTGTCGAAGCCACTCCACCTATGGTATTTTGCTATGGCAGCCTGAACTGACTATGAGAGGCTGTGAGAAAGACTTGGCCCAGTGTTGCCAGCTTTGACAACAAAGGAAGGTGACCATGAGCCAAGGCAGCGGGCAGCCTGTAGAAGCTGGAGAAGTCAAGGAAATAGATTGTCCTTTAGATCTGCTAGAAAGGAACACAGCCTTGCTGACACCTTGATTTTAGCCCTGTGAGATCCATGTCATGCTTATGACTTAGAGAACTGCAAAATAATAAATTCGTGTTGTCTGAAGCCACTAACGAGTGTGGCAGTTTGTTACAGCAACAATAGACAATGAATACAGATACTAAGAATCAGATAGGCAGGGCTGACTACTAAATATTTCAAGGAGTTAAAACATGCAAAAGTTCACGCTAAAGTTATTAAAACTAGAAATAAAAGTGCTTAAAAATGTTTGCTAGCAACTGCCTTGTACATAACATCAACAGCTACAGTCATTTTTTTCTTGCTGTTTGCGTCAATCCAGGGCACTTACTTCAAAGACTATCGAGAGAATCTCATTGGTGCTCACATTTTAGTATTATTGAATAATTTATAAGGATTAAATCAAGATTTTATTTGCAACTAGTTGCCACATGCAAATTTTGGAGCAATAAATTGACTGCTGTAATCTTTATATAATTAATTTTTTTTTTTTTTGAGACGGAGTCTCGCTCTGTCACCCAGGCTGGAGTGCAGTGGCGCGATCTCCGCTCACTGCAAGCTCCACTTCCCGGGTTCACGCCATTCTCCTGGCTCAGCCTCCCCAGCAGCTGGGACTACAGGTGCACACCGCCACGCCCGGCTAATTTTTTGTATTTTTAGTAGAGACGGGGTTTCACCGTGTTATCCAGGATGGTCTTGATCTCCTGACCTTGTGATCCTCCCGCCTCGGCCTCCCAAAGTGCTGGGATTACAGGCGTGATATAATTAATTTTTTTAAAAGTTCTATCTGCTGGGGGCAGTGGCTCACGCCTGTAATCCCAGCACTTTGGGAAGCCGAGGCAGGCGGATCATGAGGTCAGGAGTTGAGACCAGCCTGACCAACATGGTGAAACCCTGTCTCTACTAAAAATACAAAAATTAGCCTGGCGGTGGTGCATGCCTGTAATCCCAGCTACTTAGGAGGCTGAGGCAGGAGAATCGCTTGAACCTGGGAGGGAGAGGTTGCAGTGAGCCGAGATGGCGCCCCTGCACTCCAGCCTGGGCGACAGAGCGAGACTCCATCTAAAAAAAAAAAAAGTTCTATCTTAGCCTAAGTCCTAAAAACAGATAATAATTGTAAAAGAATTCAGTATTTGATAACATTATAATAGCCATGCTTAGTTCATGCTAAGGACATCTTGTTTTATTGAATTATTCTAATCACCCTGTGAAATAGGGGTGAGGCATAGTATTCAAAACGGGGGAGGTGGCAGTCTGAACCCAGGCAGGCTGATTCCTGAGACTGTGATTTAAACCATTTCACACACTGCTACACACATGGAAACTAAATTATGTCTGTAATTGTAGGCTTCACATCCAGTAAAGTAAAAAGGTAAACAGAATTTTTAAAGAAGAGGGTGAAGGCCGGGCGCAGTGGCTCATGCCTGTAATTCCAGTACTTTGGGAGGCCAAGGCGGGCAGATCATCTGAGGTCAGGAGTTAGAGACCAGTCTGACCAACATGGAGAAACCCCGTCTCTACTAAAAATACAAAATTAGCTGAGCGTGGTGGCGCATGCCTGTAATCCCAGCTACTCTGGAGGCTAAGGCAGGAGAATTGCTTGAACCTGGGAGGCGGAGGTTGCAGTGAGCCGAGATGGCACCATTGCACTGCAGCCTGGATGACAGAGCGAGAGTCCTTCTCAAGAAAAAAAAAGAAGAGGGTGAAGTTATCAGCAGCATTCTAAAATTGTCTATCTATTTCTCTATCTTTCTACTTATCCATTGACCAATTTGTTTTGGTCTAAGTTGAAAAGGAAGATTCCCAAAATAGGTTGGATTATAAATCATAAAGGAAGTGAACAAAGGCCTTCCTTTCCTCCCATCATCTCTTGTCTTTTCCCAGAGAAACCTTAACAAAAGGAGATTTATTCCAAAATTTAAAATATGTTTTTATGACATATCTCCCTTCCTCTTGCCATCCAGGATGAAGAAAGCAGTTTCTGGAGTTTGGCTACTGACCACAGGCCATTTGCATCACCCTAAAATAAGCAGTGCTGTGTAATATAGCAAGTTTACTAAGACAGAAACCAGAAGATATGGTTCTAATCTTGACATGGACATGAAATGTACTCTCTTCATACTCAGTTTTTTCATCTAGAAGATGGGCATACTTGTTCCTACTTTTCTGGATTGTTTTGAAGATTAAATAAAATAACATAACATATTTATTGCTTGCATGTAGTGTAGGGTTTTGTTAGGAACATTGTTGGGAATATTGTTAGGAATATGGGTTTTTTCCCCTTCTTTCCTCCCTCCTCCAGAATCTTTTAACTTTTCCCCTGTGTTCTAGATGCAGGGCTGCCACTCATTAGCTTTGTGGCCTAAGGAATGCTTAATCTTTGTGACCTCTTAATATTTTTTTATTTATAAAATGGGGAACAAAAAGATTGGCCTTGGCTGCCTTGAGTAGCTGTTTGTTTGTTTTTTCCTGTCTTCCTTTCCTTTTTATTTTTCCCAGGATCAAAAGAAACTATATCTATGGGCTTGAGGACTAAATCACTATTTAGCCGTAAATGAGAATGCTAATAAAGAACTTGGAATGCGTTATGTAATTCATAGCAAAACACTTTATATGCATTCTCATTGAAACATACAATATTCTTAAATTTCAATTTCTTCTTATCTTGCACCTACTTGAAACTCATCAATTATTCTCATTATCTTTAGAATGAGTTCTGAATTCCAACAAATCCTTCATGTAGGCTCTGCCTATGTCTTCAGCCTCACCTGAAACTCCCTTCTCAACCAACTTAGTCTTCTTTAAGTATTTCGTAATATACTATTGAGTTCCTTACCATGCCAAAGTCTTTCCCTATGCTGAGAACTGTTTTCCCTTTCCCTCCTTCCTGTCTGACCACCTTCTTAGCCTTTCAAATCTCACTCTAAAAGTGACTTCCTCTAGGAAGAATTATCTGTCCTCCCGACAGTTTTCTAGGGGACTACATCAGTTGCCATGTCATCTACACTCAATTCTTGCTCATCACTTTGTCCTTGGCATTTGTTGCCATGTCAATTCAATACTTGTTTGTGTAATTATTTGATATCCATTCCCTTGAAAAGTTATATCTTGTTCACCACTATCTCTCTAGTTCCAAGTACAGGCTTAGAACATTTGATTTGTTCAGTCCATATGTATTGAATGAATAAAAGATGACTTTTTTTTGGGACAGGATCTCATTCTGTTACCCAGGCTGGAGTGCAGTGGTGCTATCTCAGCTTACTGCAACCTCTGCCTCCCGGGTTCAAGCAATTCTCCGTAGTAGCTGGAACTACAGGCGTGTGCCACCACACCTGGCTAATTTTTGTATTTTTAGTAGAGATGGGGTTTCATCATGTTGGCCAGGCTGGTCTTGAACTCCTGACCTCAGGTGATCCTCCCACCTTGGCCTCTGAAAGTGTTGGTATTGCAGGCATGAGCCACTGCGCCTGGCCTTGAATGAATAAAGGATGCTTTTCCAAATGATAAAACTAAGATCTCGAGAGGTTAGGTAATACACCCAAGCTCAAACTGGTGACCAAGGGGAAAGCCAGCCCTTGGATCCAGATTCCATGATGCCAACACTTCTGCTAATATATATATATATATATATATTTGTTTGTGAAAATAACTGATTTATTGAAGAGTCTATAAAATTTAATAAAATTAGACTTTAACGAGTCTAATAAAATTATAATTGAGACATGTATCTTCTTTTTAATATTTAATTGAAAAATAAAAATTGCATATGTTTATAATATACAACATGATGTTTTGATATATGTATTTGTTGTGGAATGGCTAAATCCAACTAATTAATGTAACCATTACCTCACATACAAATTTTATTTTTAAGCATTATCAAAAAGTGAGTCCTTTCTATATCCTCATCTGAAAGTGCCTCAGCAAGGAAAATATTTTTTTAAAAATTGGGAGGGTAGAAATATGATGATGGTTCTTAAACTATTATCAGAGGAATATGGACAAAGGGAGGCAGAAGAATAGCCTGTTCTATGAAATTAGAATTGAGGGGCTCCATAATTGTTCTTCCTATTATGAGAGGTGTGTGAATGGAAATTTCAAAGAATTCCTAGATTATTAGATCAAGATTGTAGTTGGCTGTAGTTTCAAAGTTTCACTGTTTCTAAAAATTCTGTAGTAAATAGCCATCAGCTTGCATTTGAATATGCATAATAATTGTCCTTAGGAATGAAGGTGTCCCTCTCAATTTCTTCCTTTGTGCGTGTGTGTGTGTGTGTGTGTGTGTGTGTGAGAGAGAGAGAGAGAGAGAGAGAGAGAGAGAGAGAGAGAGAGAGAGAGAGAGGGTCTGGCTCTGTCACCCAGGGTGGAGTGCAGCCTGGTGAAATCTCAGCCTGGGGCTCAAGCCAACCTCTCACCTCAGCCTCCTGAGTAGCTGGGACTACAGGCATGTGCCACCATACTTAGCTAATTTGTGTGTGTGTGTGTGTGTGTGTGTGTGTGTGTATATATAAATATATATATAAATAAATATAAATAAATAAATATATATATATATATATATATATATATATATATATATATATATATATATCTTTTTTAAGAGTAGATGGGGTCTCACTCTGTTGCCCAGGCTGGCCTTGAATTCCTGAACTCAAGGGATCTGCCTGCTGCCTGGCCCTCTCTCAACTTCTGATCCAACTTTTAAGTTTCAGTTCTTACTTGATCAATTGTCACAAAAGGATAATTGTATTAGTTTTGTTTTGTTTTGTTTTGTTTTTTGAGACAGAGTCTTTCTTTGTCACCCAGGCTGTAATGCAGTGGCGCGATCTTGGCTCACTGCTACCTCCGCCTCCTGGGTTCAAGCAATTCTCCTGTCTCAGCCTCTGGAGTAGCTGGGATTACAGGCGTGCACCACCATGCCCAGCTAATTTTTGTATTTTTCGTAGAGACAGGGTTTTGCCATGCTGGCCAAGCTAGTCTCGAACTCCTGACCTCAGGTGATCCTCCTGCCTCGGCCTCCCAAAGTGCTGGGATTATAAGCGTGAGCCACCACACCCTGCCTCTGTTATGCTTTAGTTGTGAGAATGTGGGGAGTTGAGGGACCAGGTCCACTGGGCCTGTGGAAAGACAACTGGGGTGCTAGAAGTAGTGGCTGTTTACCAACTGGTGGAGAAATACTTTGATATCTTAACAACTAGTATAGTAATTCTGAGACAAGCCAGATGAATAGATGAATATCCATCTTGGATACATATGAGGTGCTAAACAATCCATTTTGAGTGTACTAAGCCCAGTTTGACTTTCTGGAAGTCATTTTTAAGGTTGAGCTCAATCAACAGGATGGAGTAAAGGATCACAGATGTGTGCTACACTCAAATGTGCGAGCAGAAAGAGTGCGAGGACTTCTCTTTCCTTGATTTTCTAGAGTCTTCATTGTTTTCTTCTCAACAGCGGGGTGTTAGGTGGGATGGGGCTGGGGGAATGGTCTTTGAGAAGATATAAGCAGGAAAGTTATCTGAAAGCAGCTTGCAGAAGGCTGGGGTATACGGATAGGGTCAGAGAGAGGCAAGAGACTGGGACATCAATCAGGATGCTCTTGTATGAATCCAGGTATAAGAGGATAAAGGCCTTAATTAGAGAAGGTGTAATAGAAATGGAAAGAAAGAGATAGATTGGAGAGAGGGAGGTTGTGGACTGTATCTAAGAGGCTTAGGTGATACAAATACCCACTGTCCACTATCCTAGCAGAGGAAAGAGTTTCCCACTATTGGCACCCAGTCAGTCCCAGCAGATAGAACTGCAAATACTACTTTTTCTTATCTCAGTTCATGAGGAGAGCTTTGTATCAAAGCTTGTTCGATCTTCCTAAGGCCCAGAAAGGAGAGAATGCCTTCAGAGAAGACCTAGAAAGTGGCAGAAGCATGAAAGAGACTTCTTCCTTATATTAGCTGCTTTCAGTCAGCGTTAGGAGTGTGTTGGAGGAGGCAAGGTTGGTGGCTTAGGGGGAGCTGGTGCAAGTAATGAGCCTGGCTGAGGCTGTGTCAGCATTTGTACACTGACTTAAGGTATACATGAACATTAAAAAGTAGAGTTATCTATTATAATATAGACGAAATGAGTTAAAGAAAAATGAAATTAAAAGCATAGAAGTTATATAGATGTGGCAAAATCTTGAAGGTGGTATGCACATCACTAAAGTTTGTGAAATGCTGATGTAAAGATGTAATCATTGGCTGGGTGTGGTGGCTCACACCTGTAATCCCAGCAGTTTGGGAGGCCAAGGCAGGTGGATTACCTGAGGCCAGGAGTTTGAGACCAGCCTGGCCAATATGGTGAAACCCCATCTCTACTAAAAATACAAAAATTAGCCAGGCGTGGTGGTGGGCACCTGTAATCGCAGCTACTCAGGAGGCTGAGGCAGGAGAATCGCTTCAACTCAGGAAGTGGAGGTTGCAGTGAGCCAAGATCATGCCATTGCACTCTAGCCCGGGTAATAAGAGTGAAACTCCATTTCAAAAAAAAAAAAGAGAGATAAAATCATCAAATAAATCTGACTAGAACTTGGAGTCAAGAGACCCGAATTTAATTCATGACCATGAAACATCCATTTTAAAGCACTGATTTTTGACCAAGGGCAAGTGGCTCGTGCCTGTAATCCCAACACTTTGGGAGGCTGAGGCAGCAGGATCACTTGAACTCAGGAGTTCAAGACCAACCTGGGCAACATAGGGAGACCCTATCTCTAAAAAAAAAAAAAAAAAAAAAAAAAAATTAGCCAGGCCTGGTGGCCCACCCTATAGTCTCCTCTACTTAGGAGGCTCAAGCAGGGGCCCACTTGAGCCCAGGAGGTTGGAGCTGTAGTGAGCTGTGATTGCACCACAGCACTCCAGCCTGGGCGACAGAGCAAGACCCTATCACATACACAATGTTAAAATAAAATAAAAAGACCAATTTTCGGTGTGGTAAAATGGGAAAATAATCACCAGTTCTTCTTATCTCTTAGTCTTGTCATGAGGTTCATTTTAGTCTCATTTGTTTATTTGCTCAACAAGCATTTATCAAATTTGGGCTGCCTGTTTGTAAGAAAGAGCTTTATAGTTAAAATAATTACTGGAAGGAGATATAGGTTTTTGAAATTTTTTCACAATGACCTGATATGTAAGTTTAAACTCTTGAGGGTGACCCTCATTTCCAAAGATCGCCAGAATAGATTTGAATTAAAATGAGATGTTTCCTTTCTCCAGCAAATATGAAATGAGTGTTAGTAGATAAGGGCATTAACATTAGAAATAGAAGGTGTCATTTTTCATTTAGTAACTTGAACACATAGAAAATCCACCTTTAACACATTATTATTGTTTATAAAGTGTTGGCAATACACATGGTACCTTGCAAAGTAGAAGTAGAAATGACAAGATCCTTTCCCCAAGGAGCTCAGATCATAACATTGTTGAACAAATCTACACAGCACAGCAGTATTGTGCATAATTGAGCTGATATGGTGGGAGAGGTCAGACTAGGGCTGTGGGCTGAAGATGTATAAAATGAGCCATTTGAAGCCAGGGGTTTGGGTGCTGGAAAGGCAGGAGGAAGGGTGTGCTTCAGACTGCTCCATGGTATCAAATAAAAAGTGTAGACAAAACAGGAACATAGAAATG
This sequence comes from Homo sapiens, assembly GCF_000001405.40. Lineage (NCBI taxonomy): Eukaryota > Metazoa > Chordata > Mammalia > Primates > Hominidae > Homo > Homo sapiens. Next base: position 72,420,986 of record NC_000009.12, read on the forward strand.
TGAGTCAAGTGTGCCCACTTTTTGAGAAGTTGCTCAAAAAGAGTGCATTAGACTTGATTTCTTTTCTCCCTTGTCATTTTAAGCAGCAGCCTGTCTTAGTCTTTTTATGCTGCTATAACAAAGTGTCTGAGACTGGGTAATTTATAAAAAACAAAAATTTATTTCATATGATTTTGGAGGCTGGGAAGTCCAAGATCAAGGTGCTTACACATTTGATGTCTGGCTGAGGACCTTCTTGCTGCGTCCTCACATGGTGCAAAGGGGAAAAGGGCAAAAGAGGGATGAATGCTATGTCCTCACATGGCAGAAGAGACTGAAGGGGGAAAAAGGGTCTAGCTGGTTCCCTCCAGCTCTTTTACAAGGTCACTAATCCTATGTATGAGGGCTTTGCCCTCATGACTGAATTGCTTCCTAAAGGCCCCAGCTTTTTTTTTTTTTTTTTTTTTTTTGAGACAGAGTCTTGCTCTGTTGCCCAGGCTGGAGTGCAATGGCACGATCTTGGCTCACTGCAGCCTCCACCTCCCGGGTTCAAGCGATTCTCTTGCCTCAGCCTCTGGAGTAGCTGGGATTACAGGTGCCTGCCACCATGCCTAGCTAATTTTTGTGTTTTTAGTAGAGACGGGGTTTCACCATGTTTGCCAGGCTGGTCTCGAACTCCTGACCTCAGGTGATCCCCCTGCCTCGGCCTCCCAAAGTGCTGGGATTACAGGCGTGAGCCACCGTGCCCAGCCAGCCCCAGCTTTCTAAACTATCACACTGAGGTTGAAGTTCCAAAATGAATTTTGGAGGGACACATACATTAAAACATAGCAAAGCCCTTGGAAACTTCTTTGCCTGAGCTGCACCAATGAACATAGTTTTCTTCATGTCTGGTTTATAGATGAAGGATGAGAGTGGGCAGCAGGATATGCTGCCAGGGATGTTCGATAGCAGGGTTCACAGTAAGGGGGAAAGTCACAGTCTATATAGGTTTTGGCAATAGGACAACAAGTGCGGTGAAAAAGGGAAAGTTGTCTGAATCTCCATGATGTTTCTTTTTTTTTTTTTTTTTTTTTTTGAGATGGAGTCTCGCTCTGTCACCCAGGCTGGAGTGCAGTGGCGCGATCTCGGCTCACTGCAAGCTCCGCCTCCCAGGTTCGTGCCATTCTCCTGCCTCAGCCTCCCCAGTAGCTGGGACTACAGACGCCCGCCACCACGCCCGGCTAATTTTTTGTATTTTTAGTAGAGACGGGGTTTCACTGTGTTAGCCAGGATGGTCTCCATCTCCTGACCTCGTGATTCGCCCGCCTCAGCCTCCCAAAGTGCTGGGATTATAGGCGTGAGCCACCGCGTCCGGCCTTAAATCCCCATGATGTTTTATGCTTGGCATTGATCATGCAGCCCTGCATGCTAATGGAGCTGTCAGAGTAAGTCCTTTGCCCTTTGCCTAACGTTATCTCCACCACTGTGTGTTTACCCTCTTGTAGCCAGAGTTGGTATTAAATCATCATGACGTCCTTTCCAATACACTTCTGAGTCCTCTAATTTTCTCGTAGTTTGAGTTGTAATAATAACAACTAATATTTGTTGCACACTTAGTCTCTGCCAGGCAGTGTTCAAAGCACTTTACATATAATACCTCTCTTATTCCTTATGAAAAGAATTAGTAGAAAACTCCACTTTGTAGGTGAAGAAATGGAAGCTCAAAAAGATTAAGGGATTTGCTCATGGTCACTCAGCTATTAAGTGGTAGAGTGGGATTTGAGCTCAACTTTTCTTGTCTCTGTCCTTCTTTTTGACCACCTAACTACTACTGGCTCCCAGGAGGCCTCATTGAAGCTGGAAAGAGGTGGGGATTGGGAAAAATGGAATTGCAGACTCAGAAGCACCTCATAACATCATCCCTTCTTATTGCCCACTCCCAGAAAGCATCCCCTGGATGTCATCTTTGACAATTGTCACTTTGCTTCTCCTCAGACACTACAGGTGATCCAGAATGTGGTGCCACATGAGGCAACCTAGTCCATTTTTAGACAGCAGTGATTGTCACCCAGTTTTCCCATATTTTGAACAGAAATAATTTATCTCCCTAACTTCACCTACTTGTCCTAGTTCTGTTTTCTGGAGCTCTACCAAATAAAACTATTTTTCTTCTGATGGATAAATTTAAGTATTTGTAGATGCCAGGGAATTTGGAACAGTTTCCTACTACACCCCAAGCTCCTTTCCCTATTTGCAGAAGAAATGCAGGGGTTCATTCTCCACTTGGGCCAGTGCTTTGCGTTCATTTCTGTGAGCAGCTTATTATGTGTGCCTATTAACCCAGAAGGACACAATTGTGCATAGGAAAGTAGCTTTGTTTTACGGTTCAATTGATTGGAACAATAAGTACACCTCTGTGTGGTCTTCATAGTTTATTATGATTATGATTATGGTTATGATTATTTTGAGATGGGGTTTCTCTCTTGTAGCCCAGGCTGGAGTACAATGGCACGATCTCAGCTCACTGCAACCTCTGCCTCCCAGGTTCAAGCGATTCTCCTGCCTCAGCCTCCTGAGTAGCTGGGATTACAGGCGCCCACCCCCATGCTAGGCTAATTTTTGTATTTTTAGTGGAGACGGAGTTCGCCATGTTGGCCAGGCTAGTCTCAAACTCCTGACCTCAGGTGGTCCACCTGCCTTGGCCTCCCAAAGTGCTGGGATTGCAGGAGTAAGCTACTGCGCCCAGCCCATAGTTTATTATTTTACTTAATTTTTTCAAGACATTGGCTTTGAGTATGGCCCTGTTAGGCCCTGGTGTTAAAATGTTAGACAAGTCATTTATGTCTTTTGTGAAAACAGGGCTAAAATGTAATGGGAAAAAAAAGTGCAGTAGTTTTGGGTGTCACATGAGGGAGGGCCTTGAAAGAGCAAGGAGGTGCCCGGCATGGGCTCCCTGGGTGGAGGGTGAAGCACTGGATACTTTCAAGGACCAGTAGGCTGGTACCATCAAGGGAAATAACAAAATGGGATCAATTTGGCAATGATTTGTGGTACTTCTGGTTCAATTTGAAGAGGGGTGAAGATTACAGAGTACATACAGATGAAATTATTTCTGTTAAATTAGGCATAATAGTTATGGAAGCTGTGAGTTGTTTATGTCTTATTTGCATTCTTGATAAAAATTTCCAGGAGGCCCAGGGAGTTCTGTGTTTCAGTGAAACCCTTGCAATTTATGAAGACTATTTCATCTTTAGGATCTTGTTACCAGAACTGACTCTCTTTTTCTTGGGGAAAGGGTGCCTCCCCTTCCTCTGGTGGATTTCACTATTTTGTGTTGAAAAGTAAATTTGCCTAAACTTGGTAGGCCACTCCCAGACATATGACTGTGGGAAGGATCCTTCCTCTTTTGAAGCTTGAATTTCCTCATCTGTCAACTAAGGTTCTTTCCAGCTCTGAGGATCATAAGCCCTCTTCTTATTTTGGTGTGATGTTTTCCTGATATATAAAGGCCCAGTAATGTGATATATAATGTGCCATCAATGACACATTCTCCTGGCAACATCTATGGTATTGCAGATTAAGTTATTGGCTGTAATTCTTCATTCCCCTGTTATAGTAATATTATACATTTATATCCCTGTCATGGGTTTATTTTATTTTATTTTATTTTATTTTTTGAGACAGAGTTTTGCTCTGTTGCCCAGGCTGGAGTGCAATGGTGCGATCTTGGCTCACTTCAACCTTCGCCTCCCAGGTTCAAGAAATTCTCCTGCCTCAGCCTCCTGAGTAACTGGGATTACAGGCAACCGCCACCATGCCTGGCTAATTTTTGTATTTTTAGTAGAGATGGAGTTTCACCATGTTGGTCAGGCTGGTCTCAAACTCCTGACCTTAGGTGATCTGCTTGCCTTGGCCTCCCAAAGTTCTGGAATTATAGGCATGAGCCATAGCGCCCGGCCCAGCCATAGGTTTAGAGTAGGAAAAGTGTACTTTCCAGCTCCTTGGCTTTAGGCGTGGTTGTGTGACCAGTGGGCTGTTAGCAGATGTGATGAAGCAGAGGCTTGAGCTGTGCTTGTGCACGTTCCAGGCACTGGTCGCAGAAAAATAAAAGAAATGTAGAACCAGACCAAAATTCTTCCCAAAGCTTAGAGCCCAGCCTAGATCAGCTGAATCCCTGTAGATGCTTGAGTGAAAAATAAATACTTTATGTTTTTGCTGCTGAGATTTTGTAGTTGTCTGTTTTTTTTTTTGAGACAGACTTGTTCTTGTGGCCCAGATGGGAGTGCAGTGGCATGATCTCAGCTTCTGTAACCTCCACCTTCCCGTTTCAAGCAATTCTCCTGCCTCAGCCTCCTGAGTAGCTGGGATTACCTGCCACCACACCTGTCTAAGTTTTGTATTTTTAGTAGGGGTTTCACCATGTTGGCCAGGTGGTCTCGAACTCTTCTGTTGTTGTTGTTGTTGACACGGAGTCTTGCCCTGTTGCCCAGGCTGGAGTGCAATGGTGCAATCTCAGCTCACTGCAACTTCCGCCTCCCGGGTTCAAGGGATTCTCCTGCCTCAGCCTCCTGAGTATCTGGGATTTCAGGTACGCACCTCCACGCCCAGCTAATTTTTGTATTTTTAGTAGAGACGGAGTTTCACCATGTTGGACGGGCTGGTCTCGAACCCCTGACCTCGTGATCCACCCACCTCAGCCTCCCAAAGTGCTGGAATTACAGGTGTGAGCCACCATACCCAGCCAGTTGTCTGTTTTATAGGGTCAATTAATCATGAAAGTCAGCACATATATATATATATATATATATATATATATATATATATATATATATATATTTTTTTTTTTTTTTTTTTTTTTTTTTTTTGAGACACAGTCTTGCTCTGTTGCTCAGGCTGGAGTGCAGTGGTGCCATCTGGGCTCACTGCAAGCTCCGCCTCCTGGGTTCATGCCATTCTCTTGCCTCAGCCTCCTGAGTAGCTGGGACCACAGGCACCTGCTACCATACCCGGCTAATATTTTTGTATTTTTAGTAAAGATGGGGTTTCACTGTGTTAGCCAGGATAGTCTCAATCTTGTGACCTCGTGATCCACCCGCCTAGTCCTCCCAAAGTGCTGGGATTACAGGCATGAGCCACCGCACCCAGCCTTATTTGTGTATATTTTAATGAACTCCTTAATGCTCTTTAGTGACCAACTTTTTCATTTGATTTGCATTTTTGTTTCACAGGGGTTTCAGTCATTAAAATAAAGGTGGTTTTTAAAAATTCAATCTATTTATTATACTTATGAGTGGAACTCCAAATTTCAGAGGCTGAAATAACTCTCATTATCCTGGTAAGCTACCTGAATGCAGCAAATTTTGAGTTTGAGCACACACTAGGAGACAGAGCTATTGAACTGTGCACTGCTTACTCCTAATACTGACTCCTAGTTCTCAGCCACAAACTCCATCTGCAAGATTAAATAGCTGGCATTTATTTACTGGTGCCCAATAGGGGGAAGGAATTGTGGCACAAGAAAAGTAGCATCAGCAGTCTTTGGGGGCTTAAAATTAATGGATTTTTTTCTACCATGCTGTGTTCCAAAATTAATCTGGTTTCTGCCTGCGATGAACTGACACAGACTGTTGTTTTATGGTTATTTAAGGCACAGAATTTACCCTCCACAATTAGGCTTTACCCTACTCTTCCATTATAAGATTGAACAACATGATCCCCTGTTTGTATCTTTGAAAGCTATGAGCTGAGGTGCCCATTAGCCCCAGTATACTCACTCCTCTGCCTGACTGCTACTAGGTCTTTTGGAATTGATAGACTTAAAAACTGTGTCTCCAACACATTGTTACGCTTGCTGGGGGAAAGTGAATACCATTTAAGATACTCCTACATAACCAATGCTACTACAGTTTTACATAGTTCTTTCAGAATTCAGTTTCATTGTATCCTTCATCTTATCTGATAACTTTCTCTTGCTAATTTTCTGAAAGTTTTCCAAGCTCAAACTTAGAATGTTTAGTCTATTAGCTCTTTATGGTAGAGGTGACAAAAAATGACTGGGGATGGAAGGGACCTTATGGTGAGACTGAAAAGTCATTTCAGTCAAACATGGGTTTTGAGCTTGTGTCTTCTTTCATAATAAGGAAGAGATTTCCACTCTACTGATGTTGGTTGGTATTAGTGTCCCAGGTATGAACTACACTCTTTTATATTTGGATAACAGTTCAAGGCAGAAGATAACATAGGAGAGAGCAACTTTTTTTTTTTTTGAGACGACGGAGTTTTGCTCTTGTCACCCAGGCTGGAGTGCCATTGGTGAGCCTTGGCTCACTCCAACCTCTGCCTCCCAGATTCAAGCGAGTCTCCTGCCTCAGCCTCCCAAGTAGCTGGGACTACAGGCGCCCGCCATCACGCCTGGCTAATTTTTGTATTTTTGGTAGAGATGGGGTTTCACCATGTTGGCCAGGCTGGTCTTGAACTCCTGACCTCAGGTGATCTACCTGCCTCAGCCTCCCAAAGTGCTGGGATTACAGGCATGAGCCATCACCCCGGCTCAGGAGAGAGTAACTTAATCTTCCTCAGGAGATACAAGATACTTGCCCAAATCATCTTGGGATTCATACATATTGCGTGTGACTGTTCCAATATGGGAACCTGTTATGGGCATGACATAGTAAATATTTTAGTTAAATAATGCAATAAAAATAGAAAACCTGATCTGGTGGAAATGGGATCATAGCATGGAATCTTGAAAATTTGTTTTATTTATTAAGCACTCTCACATAAGTTACTGCATTTATTTCTCAAAACAATTCTATGAGTATAGTTATTATTATACCCATGTATCAAGGATCATACCCTTGTTTAGAATACCTTGCAATTCATCTTCACCTCATGTCTATAGGTCTTTTCTGCCTTCAGATCAGAAGACACTTAGAAGATAAAGCTTTAAGTTTTAAATTTTTAGGTATTCCCATGAAGTACCTATAACAATATGATGATGAAGCCATTCTGACTCAAAGGCTCAGGGATTTGCCAAAGATCCCACAATTGGTGAATTGCAGACTCAGAGATTCAAACATTTGCCTAGGCTAATAATATTCTTTCTGTTACATCATAACTGGTTTCCTGAAATCCTTGTAAACACTTATAAACTTATTGTATTCTGTTTTTTATTTTATGTTATTACATTTTGTATGTCATGTATATTATACTGTATGACTTTTATTAGATTCATATGCGTGACAGCTTAGTAAGTTGACCTGAAGATGCTAGTGGTGCTCACTTACTTCTTTCTCCCTGAGTGGACACTATTTAAAGGAAGCAAAGCAATGTTCTGCACCCATAAGATCTTCCTATCAAGATAGGGAAATTAGGCATACAGATTTGGAGTACAGAAAAATTCCTACTAATTCCTATGTGGTTGATCTTTCAGACTGAAATTTTACATTAGAGAGGAGTTTCATTATTATTATGCAACCATGACCAAAGTAACATTCCCTTCTCTCTTCCAACCTTCCCCAATCTGGGAGTTTCAGGGTATTACCCTGCATTCTTTTCTAGGCTCTCAGACATTATGTTGTAGGAAGCTAAGTGAAGGAACCCCTGAAATGTGAACAATTTTGGCTCTGAAGTTATTTCCCTAAACTATGCAAAGAAAAACAATAGGAAAGATTTTCTAATCTTTTGGCTCTTAGTCCTCTCCTAAGTGGGGAACTGAATCATTCTGAGTAGTGTATAAAATTAATTATCGTGGCAAGAGTGTTGCCAAGCTTGTGGATTCCCAGAGATTGAGGGTGGGGTGATTTTTGCCTTCCAGCCATACTCATATTTTTTCATAAATATGTTTAAAAAGTACCCACGAGCTGTTTTCGTTTTCACTCCTATCATGTCCTCAATGTGGGTCCCAAGGAAATTGACTTTACTGGGTCTTAATTTTCCTTAAAATAATGCACTTATTCATTTATTTTTTTGAGACACAGTCTCCCTCTGTCACCCAGGCTGGAGTGCTGTGGTACAATCTCAGCTCACTGCAACCTCTGCCTCCCCAGCTCAAGCTATCCTCCTGCCTCAGCCTCCTGAGTAGCACCACAGGTACACCACCACACCTGGCTAAATTTTTTGTATTTTTGGTAGAGACTGGGTTTCATCATGTTGCTCAGGCTAGTCTGGAACTCGTGAGCTCAAGTGATCCACCTGCCTTGGCCACCCAGAGTGCTGGGATTTCAGGCATGGACCACCGCATCTGCAGCTATTACTGCTGATAGATCTGACTCTCCACCAATGCTGCAGATGTGAAGCTGATACTAAAGAACGTTGAATTTAAAGTCTATTTACCCTTATTTCAAAAACATTCTTTTTGTGGTTCTTTGAAATAGCAATCTCTCTTAATGTATTTAAGCCTTTTCTTACAGAGAGAGAGGAATAGAAGAGAGAGAAAGAGAAACACTAGGGAGGAATGATCTGTCAATAATTACATATCATTTATTTATCTGTCAACAATAAACTTAAGAATTAAGAGCCATTGTCAACAAAATATTCTTTGAAAACAAAGTGAAATCATTTCTGAAAACATGAAAATTTAGCATGATTTATGATGCAAACTATTGACATTTGATTTATATCTAATAGCTGAAAAATACTTATCTTGTATACATACTTGCTGATAAAGGTTTAGAATTTTGGGATACTATGAAAAATCATGACACGGAAATAATATTTAGTGCTGCAGGAATAAGAGTAGAGAACTTCCAATATGAGCCTCCCTCTCTGTCAATGCTTTATCCACAAAGGATGTAATATGATGCCTTGGTTATGAGCCTGGATGCTGAGACAGCCTACTTGTTTTGTGTTCTACTTTTGCTCCTCTTACTACCTGTGTGACTTTGGTCAACTCACTTAACTCCCCTTGCCTTGGTAAAATAGGGTTCCTATTAATATTTACCCCATAGAATTATCCTGATGATTTAACAATGTATGCAGAATAGTGTTTGATATAAAGTAATTGCCCAATAAATGCTAATTATTATTATTATTTTTAAATTTTACTTTAAGTTCTGGGATACATGTGCAGAATGTGCAGGTTTGTTACATAGGTATACATGTGCCACGGTCCTTTGCTGCACCTATCAACCTGTCATCTAGGTTTTAAGCCCTGCATGCATTAGATATTTGTCCTAATGCTCTCCATGTTGATAAGTAAAAATTCCATTACATCCCTGGTCAATTTTTTTTTTTTCATCTTAAAGTTACAACTGGCTACTTTCTTTAAAGTTTAGAAGTACATTTTTTATTTTAAAAGTAATGAATGTGTATTATAAAAAACTAGAAAATTTAGAAAAGTATTAGAAAATAGAGAAAATCACCCATAATTTAATTATTCATGGTGAATTTTTTCCCATCATTTTTTTCTATTTTTTTAACCTCTTCTAGTTCTCTTTTATCTCAAGCAAGTTTTTTGTAGTATTACTGATTTTTTTTTCTCTCTCTGTGACAGGGTCTTGGTCTCTCGTCCAGGCTGGAGTGCAGTGGTACAATCTCAGCTTGCTGCAACCTCTGCCTTCTGGATTCAAGCAATTCTCGTGCCTCAGCCTCCCAAGTAGCTGGGATTACCAGTATGCGCCACCACGCCTGGCTAATTTTTGTATTTTTAGTAGAGACGGGGTCTTGCCATGTTGCCCAGACTGGTCTTGAACTCCTGAGCTCAAGTGATCTGCCCGCCTAGGCCTCCCAAAGTGCTGGGATTACAGGCGTGAGCCACCTTGTAGTACTATTTAATCTGTTGGCCTTTCTACAGAATCCCAGATATAATACGCTTCTATTTGTAATACCTGGCTTTGTTTCAGGGGTGCTATTTTTTCTACGCCCCATCTCCCTCTTCATCCTCAACCCTGAAATTTCTGATGCAGGCTGAGAACATTAGAGTCTGGAATAAATGAGTATCTTTAGGAGTGCCAGACATTGCTTCTAAGTGAAAAACATTTCCTTCCATATACATTTACTTGACTAGATCTTTGAAGAAGCCCAGTGGTAGTTATAATTCCCAGTCTTTTCTAGTAACCAGCAATAACTTTCAGATACTTTTTTCTCCTGTAACATTCTTCCTGTAAGTACTACGCACAGATCACTTAATGTGGCAGTAGATCATAACATTTTAATTTTTAAGCTCAGTGACAGAATTGTCAGGTGGTTAATGAACCGAAGTTTTGTGTCCATTTGGCCTGGGATTAAGCTCCAGTTTATCACACTTATCAGTGACGTGATCTTACAGAGGACATTTTATCTCTCCAAGACATAGTCTGGTTTTTAAAAAATGTAGATAATAATGGGATTCCATCAATCATGGTGCATGTTGTGAGGGTTAAGTGAGATGATGGTACAGAGGTTATGAGCACAGACTCTGGACCCAGTCTGCCTGGATTCAAGTCCCGCTGCTGCTGCTTAGTGGCAGTGTAATCTTGGGCAGGTTTCTAGACTTCCCTGAGTTTCTGATTGCTATGTTAAATGCGGATAATGACAGTTCCTATTTTGTAAAGTTGCTATGAGAATTAAGTAAGTTAATGCATGCAATACATGTAAAACACTCATAATAAGGACTAGCTCATGGTAAGTGCTCAGCTGATGGTAGTTGTTGTTGTTATTTTATTTTATTATTTTTATTGGCATTTATAAAGCCTGGCCCATAGTAAGTTCTTGGCAGATTGTTTGTTCTTATGACTTGTCTGGACTTGTCAATGTCCTCTGTCCTTTTTTTTTTTGATGGCTACCTTATTAGGATAGATAAATAGGGCCTTGCCTTAAAGTGAACACTGGAAACCTTTGAAATTTGCAAGTCGAGAAGAGTAGTTGTTATCAATAACTATTCACAAGATCAAATGGATTTTTTCTTTTCGCCACTTACTCTCCATCAGCTAGAAAAAGAAAGGGACACTCTTCCCATTGCCCATGCATATTTCTCCAGGAGAGGACAAGAGCCTGAACACCTGGACCCAAAAAGATACTTAACCTCTATTTCTACTTCAATAGAAATACAACATTTATTCTTATTTTTTTCTTTCTAAGAAAAAGAAGAGCTCAGAATTTTCAGCAATTCCAGTTTGAGAAATTTTTTTTCCTAAAGAAAATAGAAAATATTTGCTGCTTGAGTCTCCATCTTATGCATATAAGAAATTTGGTATAAAAATATATTGCTTGCTGAGGAACACATTTAACTCAGAACCCTGCATGCTGAAAAAACTGGGAGCATATGATGATAACAGAAGTAATCATTTTGGGGCAAGTAATTCTGGTGTTCTGTTTTTCATTTTTTTTGTTGTTGTTGTAGTAGATTTTTTATTTTTTATTTGTATTTTTTGAGACAGAGTCTCACTCTGTTGCCCAGGCTGGAGTGCAGTGGCACAGTTTTGGCTTACTGCAACCTCTGCCTCCTGGGTTCAGTTGATTCTCATGCCTCAGCCCCCTGAGTAGCTGGGACTACAGGTGTGTGCCATCACACCTGGCAATTTTTTAAAAATATTTTTAGTGGAGACAGGGTTTCCTTATGTTGGCCATGCTGGTCTCGAACTCCTGACCTCAGGTGATTCGCCAGCCTTGGCTTCCCAAAGTGTTGGGATTACAGGCGTGAGCCACCGCGCCTGGCCTTTTGCTGTAGATTTGATAAGATATTGGTATTTAACAGAAGGAACAGAAATATGGTAGATGATCATTGTTCCATGCCATTCATTTGTATCTATACTGGTACATCATGCACCACATACAAAAAAACTGTAACTACAGGTAGTTGATCTGAAGACCAGTTAGTACAGAGTAGGTCTTTTTCTCTGAAGTAATGACAGAAAGGATTTCATTGTATTTCATTTCAGAAATAGAATTTGTGATGGATTAGACAAGTGCTGGGCTGGAGCTTTTATTTTTAATAATTTTTATTCAATTTCTGCCATGTGCCAGCTGCTTTCACAAATGCCATTTTGCCACATAGTCTATGAAAAAAGAATTAGTTATGCAAATTAATAATATAAAAAGAAGTGTAGGGAACATATTAAGTCCCTACCGGGGGCATATTACTCCTATATGATTTAAAATAAATGCATATTTCCTTACATGTTATTAAGATTCAGAATTTAGTATTTCAGATTTGTCTACCTCCATGAGATTGGACTTTAACATGTGATCATTGGAGGTAATTTCTTATGGTAATATACATCTAGATAAATGTGTTCTAAGCACAGGTCAAGCCCCAGTTTTACCACATACTAACCAAGCCTCATTTTCCTATTTATAAGACTAGAATAATAATACCTACCATCAGGGTTATTTTCAGGATTATGGTACATAATATATGAAAAACCAACCTGTAAGGTGATATACAAGTATTAGGTATCATAAATAATCAAATATTTAAAATATTATCAGCTTGAACTAGCTGCTTGAATCAAATACTTTTTATCTACCCCGGACCTTAGTTACAGATTGAATGTGCACCAAGTGCATTTCACTGAGTATGGGGTTTCTCATTTACATTCAATATTTCTTTTTGGGCAAGACTATTAATAAGAAGATAATAACTGTGCATATAGATATTTAAGTTAATACTAACATAGGAAACTACACTTGGTAATAATACATAGTAAGAGAAAAAAGAAAGAATAAGATATTACAAGGACTTGTTCTAAATCTATTTTGGCTCAGTACTCCCACAGCTTAAAAATGTTATTTTTTCCCATTCTTTTTTTTTTTTGAGAAGGAGTTTTTGCTCTTGTTGCCCAGGCTGGAGTGCAATGGCGCGATCTTGGCTCACCGCAACCTCTGCCTCCCGGGTTGAAGCGATTGTCCTGCCTCAGCCTCCTGAGTAGCTGGGATTACAGGCATGCACCACCAGACCTGGCTAATTTAGTATTTTTAGTAGAGATGGGGTTTCTCCATGTTGGTCAGGCTGGCCTTGAACTTCTGACCTCAGGTGATCCGCCCACCTTGGCTTCCCAAAGTGCTGGGATTACAGGTGTGAGCCACAGCACCCAGCTGATTTTTTCCCATTCTTTTCTTCATAATTGGGAAACACCTTTCAGGCCATCCCTACACCAGGACGGCATAGCTAAACGAAGCACGGAGGGCTATGGAATTCTAGTTACATTCCACTGTGATAAATCAGACATCTGCTATGAGAGGCGGTGAAGCAGACTGGCTAAGCTCATGGAATCAGACTTTGCTTCACTAACCTTGGGCAAATTATCCTGTCCCAGACTCGAGTTATTCACCTGTAAAATGGAAATGATGTAGCACTTTCTTCTAAGAAGAAGGTAAGGATTACACGACAAGTAAAGCTACACTTTTCAAACTTTGATATGTACCCAAATCACCTGGGGAGCCCATTAAAATGCAGATTCTGATCCAGTAAGTGGGGAGGGGCCTGATAATTGACATGTCTACAAGCTGGCATGAAAAACCACCACTGCCACCACCAAAACCCAGTGGGCCTAATACCCCACTTTCCCTGTCTCAGATGTTGGAGAAGGAAGTCTTCTCTCCTGTGTAGGCTACAGGAGAAATCCATAGACGCTCAAGTGGCTTCCAGGCATATTACATGGTTTCCATTTTTTGAAATATTAAGATATATTTTTCTAATTTTTTTTTTCGAGACAGAGTCTTGCTCTGTCACCCAGGCTGGAGTGCAGTGGCACGATCTTGGCTCACTGAAAACTCCGCCTCCTGGGTTCAAGCGATTCTTGTGCATCAGCCAACTGAGTAGCTGGGATCACAGGCGTGCACCACCACGCCTGGCTAATTTTTGTATTTTTAGTAGAGACAGGGTTTTATCATGTTGGCCAGGCTGGTCTTGAACTCCTGACCTCAAGTGATCTGCCTACCTCGGCCTCCCAAAATGCTGGGATTACAGGCATGAGCCACTGTGCCTGGCCTGATATTTTTCTAACTATATCTGTGAAGAAGAAGAAAGCAATCCAGAGTGGTATAAAAAATAATGTAAATATCACCTTCCCAATTTTGTTGCCCAGAGGCAGCAATAACTGAAATATATATATGTATATATCTATTCAGTTTATAGCTTTCTATTGCTATATAAGAAATTATCAAAAGTCTACCAACTCAATTGGGTCCCCTGCTTAGAGTCTCACAAGGCTGAAATCAAGGTGTTAGCCAGGCTCTCATTTGGAGGCTCTGGGAAAAAATCCACCTCCTGCCTCTTTGAGGTTGTTAATTATTTTGTGGTTATAGGATGAATGTTCTTGTTGGCTGGGGGTTGTTGTCAGCTCTTCGAGATCAGATCCTTTCCATGTGGTCCCTTCCATCGCTCCATTTTGAAGTCAGTAAGGTACACTGAGTCCTTTTTGCACTTTGAATTTCTGATGTTCCCTTTTGCTATGAGGTCTGCTACTAAGGGCTCATGGGTTTAGGTCAAGCTCACCTGATAATCTCCCTTGTGATGAACTCAAAGTCAACTGGTTAGCAATCTTGATTACATTGTAAAATCCATTTTCTAGTAATGTAACATAATTACAAGTATAACAGAGAACAGAGATCATGGGGACATCTTAGAATTCTGCCTTCCACATTTAAAATATGAAATTATGCAACACTTTTTCTTCTGAAAGCTTTTCGTCTCTTCCATGCTGTGCAGATGTTTCTCATTAAATATACATAAAACCTTTTTAATTGCCTTTTTAGTGCTGAATAATATTCTTTTGTAAAGGTCTATCATAATTTAACAATCTCTCTACTGATGTCTGTTTAAATTGCTTCCATTTTTAAATTATGAACGTTGCTGTCATATCAAGACTGCTGCTCTACCTTGACTAATTATCTCTTTAAGATAAATGCTAGTTGAGGAATTGCTGATCAAAGGGTGTACACATTTAAAATATTGGTATATATTTCCAATCTGCCCCCTGGAAAAGTTGCATCAACTTACATTCCTGTTAACAGTTTCTTAACACTTTGGGAGGCTGAGGCAAGTGGATCACCTGAGGTCAGGAGTTCGAGACCAGCCTGGCCAATATGGTGAAACCCCGTCTCTACTATCAATACAAAAATATTAGCCAGGTGTGTTGGTGGGCACCTGTAGTCCCAGCTACTCTGGAAGCTGAGGCAGGAGAATTACTTGAACCCGGGAGGTGGAGGTTGCAGTGAGCCGAGATCGCACCATTGCACTCCAGCCTGGGCAACAGGAGTGAAACTCCATCTCAAAAAAAAAACAAAACATCAAAAAAACAGTTTATTAAGATTGCTTGTTTCCCTACATACACTCTTGCCAACACTGGATTCTCACAATTCTTTTAATGTTCACTAACATAGAGATGAGGCATATCCTATTCTCTACTTACTATTTCTTGATTATTTGTGGGATTGAACATCTTTCCCTGCTTTTATTATCCACATATGTTGCTTCATTTGAGAACTGTCAGTCATTTTCTTTGTCAGGGTTCTTAGTTATAAGCAACAAAAACCAACTATAGTTAACCTAGGTAGAAACAGATTTTGCTGGAAGGATATGGGAGAGCTTAGAGAATCGATGAGAAGGTTGGAGAACCAGGCTTGGTAAAGGAGGGCTAGGCACTGGGAAATGCAATACATCTAATACCACAAGAGAGGACAGTTAATATGTTGTCATTGGTATCCTGTCTACAACCTACCACTGCTGTCTTGGAACACTCAACACTACTGTGAATAAGTTCTCACTTGCTCCCGTCTTTTCACCATTCCTCAAGACTCAGAGTCCCAGGTGGAGGCACTTGACTGACTGAGTCTATGTCAGATGTCTGAACGGGATAGTCAATGGATGAGTGGGGGATTCTCTGGCCCCTTTGGCTTCTATAGTAGAAAATGGGGGCTTACTTTCTACCAATACTTGCCTGCATTAGACGGCCATTCAGATGCTGGGTAGCCCACCCTCAAAAAGACAAATATCATTTCTTCATTTTTTCTATTGCAATTTTTTTTCTTATTTATTAGATATTTTTAATATTGGGGGTATTAATAGTCTGCAACATGTGTTGCATATATCTTTCCTTTTATTTTTTCTTTTTCAATCTTATTTATATACTGGATATTTTTGTGGCAAAGAAGCCTTTTAAGAAAAGTGACCCCAACCAGTTCTTTCCTACAGAATCCAGTAATCCACATGGCATTGTTTCTTAATCAAACAAACCCTGCTGTCCTAGCCACAGTAGATTAACCAAGGAGTCTGTTTATGGAGAAAGGTGGTTTGTTACACCAAGATTCTTTGCTTTTGCTTTTCTTTGTTTTCTACATAACAAGATTACAGCATACTGAATGATACAGAATTCACCCAAGTTCCTTCTTCTGGAAGTTAAAGACGTTAGTCAAACAGAAGAATATGGGTCATTCAAGCTTGGATTGCAGTCTTGAGTGTTGAGTTATTCCTCTGAAGCTCCTAGAAGCCTGCAGCCCAACACTGGAACACCTAGGACCTAGAGGAGGAGTGTGGCTAATGATGAATTTCTTATTTGAGCCCACATTCTTTTTTCTTTTTTTTTGAGATGGAATCTTGCTCTGTTGCCCGGGCTGGAATGCAATGGCACGATCTCGGCTTACTGCAACCTCCGCCTCCGGGATCAAGCAATTCTCCTGCCTCAGCCTCCCAAGTAGCTGGGATTACAGGCGTGAGCCACCACACCTGGCTAGTTTTTGTATTTTTAGTCGAGACAGGATTTTGCCATGTTGGCCAGAATGGTATCGAACTCTTGACCTCCAGAGATCAGCCTGCCCTGGCCTCCCAAAGTGCTGGGATTACAGGTGTAAGCCACGGTGACAGGCCTAAAACTAACATTTTATTTTTTAATTTAATTTTATTTTTTTGGAGATAGAGTCTTGCTCTGTCACCCAGGCTGGAGTGCAGTGGCATGACCTCGGCTCACTGCAACCTCCGCTTCCTGGGTTCAAGTGATTTTCATGCCTCAGCCTCTGAGTAGCTGGGACTACATGTGCCACCATGTCTGGCTAAGTTTTTGTATTTTCAGTAGAGATGGGGTTTTACTATGTTGGCCAGGCTGGACTCAAACTCTTGAGGTCAGGCAATCCACCCACCTTGACCTCCCAAAGTGCTGGGATTAGAGGTGAGAGCCACTGCACCCAGCAGATAACTTTTTTTTTTTTTGAGACGGAGTCTTACTCTGTTGCCCATGCTGGAGTGCAATGGCAAGATATCCTGAGCCGATATTCTTATGTAACTTTGTAATAAGCCTTCATAATATAAGTGATTTGTGAGTGTGGCTTTTCCCCCCTAGTATAGTTAAGAGCTTTTATCATTATAAACCTCTTACTGCTTAAACAATTTAAAAGAAATGGTGATGTAACATGGGTAATTCTTTCAAGTGTTTGCTCTTACAGATATTCCTTGATAGCCAGTTTTAGAATTTGTTAGACATTGCGTTTGTCAAAAAAAGTTCTTCCTCAATGCTTACCCTAGCATGCTCTGGCTTAACTAGTTCCCTCTTGAACCAAGGAATACTATGTTTTGCTAGAGTGACCCACAGTCCTTCTTCTTCACCAGACTCCCTTAGATGGGGTTAAAGTTCTTCCTTTTCCAGAAAGACTCAGTATGAGTATTTGCAAAGCTCTGAAGAGATGTAGTTGAACCTCATATATGCCTTAGATCAAGAAGTGAGTATGGTGCCAAAAGAAATTAATTTCCATATAAAGCCAGGAAGAAAGGTTGGGCTCATAAAGATAACCAGAACATGTTTCCAAAAGACTCAGTGGGCAAAGAAACCCATATTTACAAATCAATACTTTCCAAAGCTCATAGAGAAAAATAAATAATGTTTTCAGGGTAACATGGTTTTCTAAATGTACTACTTTCAATTAAGGCCTGTAAGTAGTCCCCAATGGTGCTTCACGAAATTCCTTTGTGTGTTCTCACCAGGTTTATTCTAAACTCCTAGTGCACAGTAACCTTTTTTTCTCTAGTTTTGTCAAGAGATACACATGGGTAGAAAATTCCCTCTTTGATATTTTTTCTACATTGGAAAGATCCACTTCTCAATAGTGGGTGAACAATTTGACCAGACCATTTTCCCACCAGTGAGTTGATCTCTAAGATACTAAGCTACAATTCCCTGTTGGGCACTCTATTGAAAAAATATGCAGAAAAGAGCCATCCATGTGTACCAAATAGACAAATTGAAAGTACATGTCCTCATCTAGGCTAAAATTTGATTGGCCTTTTTAGCAGATTGTTAGTGAAGATAGAGGCTCTTGGAGGTGGCAAGTGTGAATGTAAGTGTATGTACCTGTGCATGTGTGTAACATTTTTCATGCTATGCATTAATTTTGACTAATGATTTCTCGGAGTTGCTATAATCCCTTTCTCCCACTCACGGAAAATAACTGGACTCTGTTCATTTGACTATTTACTCTCAGAAAATGAGTCAGGGAGGGGTAGAGAAGTAACTCAGAAGGAATTTACAAAGTGGGCAGAAGAAATTTAATTTTAGCTTCGAAAATTTTAGCTTTGAAATTTAGCAGAACTCAACCCGCCCTGCACATCACAAGTTAAGAGGAGCAACTCTTGCCCCAGGTACAAGTGTGTTCCCTACTGGGGAAGCCATGTTAGGGATGTAATGAGCTAGAAGTTGCATATAGATGACAACAGGAAACAGCATATTTGATGGGTCTTTGGCTGGACTTTTCTGCAATCAGGTGAAGCCAAAATGATTCTCTAAGAACCAAGTATGGTATCACTCAAGCTTTGCTATCTTGTTCTCCTTTGCCTGTTTTCAGTACTTATTTTAATGTATGTTTCCTATAAAATTGTCCATCTATGTGGTTCTAGTTTTAGCATTTTATCTCCTCCTACTTGCTTATGGCTCAGCCCCAGCTCAGTCATTCCTTCTAATAGTGCCCTTATTATTCCTTCTTCCCCTGCTTCTTTTCCTACCTTGTTTCTCTCCTTGTTTCTTTCAAACAGGTCTAATCCTGAGCAAACTTGTGAAATTTCAACCTGTCAGCCCTTCAGACCTGAATTGTTTCCTCTCCTCAATGGTTCCACTTTTCTTTTCTTTCTTCTTCTTCTTTTTTTTTTTTTTTGACAGAGTCTTGCTCTGTCATCCAGGCTGGAGTGCAATGGCATGATCTTGGTTCACTGCAACCTCTGCCTCCCAAGTTCAAGTGATTCTCCTGCCTCAGCCTCCCAAGTAGCTGGGACTACAGGCACCCGTCACCACGCTGGCTAGTTTTTGTATTTTTAGTAGAGATGGAGGTTCACCATGTAGGCCAGGATGGTCTCAACCTCTTGACATTGAGATCCGCCGGCCTCGGCCTCCCGAAGTGCTGGGATTACAGGCGTGAGCCACCACGCCCGTCCTGGTTCCACTTTTCTATCCCTTAGTGTTATTGCTTTCTTTCCACCAAAATAAAACCTTTTTTTTTTTTTGCAATCTATTTGCTCCAAATATTATTTTCCTGGGACAAATTTCAGTTTAACAGCTACCCAAGTGTTTAGATAAAGGTATGAAACACTGAAGTGAAATCCCTGGACTGGCTAAAGTTCCGGAGACTTCCATGTGTCTTCCTCTATCCTTCATATAATTTCTTGAAACAGTGGGGATGTAGCTGTGAGAAGCACTTTAGTTCCTCTTTCAGGGCCTTGAAGAGGTCAGACCCTTCTGAGAGGAAGAAAGCATCTGGGTGACAAATATTGGAACTGGGTTTCGGGAAGCAACAAAGCTGGACCAGAAGTCCAGGCAGACCCAAAGAGCAGGGGAGGGCTGGCTGCTGGAACAAGGTGCCTTGTTTAGCTCTGCAGAGACCTGGGACCAAAGATAGAGTTCTCAAACTGGGGAAATGGCTTATAACAGCCAATATCTGCTGGGATTCAGGTGCCGTTGCCTAAAAAGTCAAGATTTAGGATGTTAATCCAGAAAATTGACAGATGTTGGCCAGGTACTGTGAATATCTCAGCAGTTTTGGGGCTGTGATCAGAGAAAGATTGTTCTGGCCACACTCAGTGCCCCTAGATATTCTACAGATACCCTAGCTCATAGTTCGCCTTCAAAACTCACCTCGACATCCCCATTCCAGAAAGCTGTCCCTGACCACTCAATCAGGAGTGCAGTGCCTATCCTAATGCGTCCATGGAAACTTGTCTGTGAGAGCTTCCATCAAACCGACTTGTGGTGGCCTTTTTATCTGACTTTCTTCCTAGATCATTCCAGCACAAGGGCACAGACTGTGCACTTACACTGTGTCCACTGTGCTGATCACATGCCTGGCCCAGCGTGGATACTTAGCAAATGTTTGCTGAATGAGTGAATACAAGAATGATGTCCTTTAGGATGGCAGACAAAGGAAAACTTGAGCCACTGCAACACTAGACCTCAGAAGAAAGTTCTGCTACCAAAACGGAAAAATGTGTTTTTGAACTCAAATTGTGTTTGATGGCCTTCTTACTATTAATGGAGATCAACAGGTTGTAGAGAGCTGCATTATCAGTAGATGGGAAGCAAAGGAGGAGCGAGAAGCTGACTCATTCCCTTGAGCTTGCAAAGTATACAATACACCCCAGACAATGGGGAGAAACATCCATCCGCCCATGGAAATCAGTGAAACAAAAGGGGCCTGGGTGGACACCCTTGCTTCCCTCCCGTGCCTACTCTGGCTCTCAATCTATTTGTTTTCACCAAGGCTCTATATTTTGGGACTTTTGTGTTGGGCTCCTCCCCATCTCTCTGGGATAATAAAACCAGAAAAGAAATACTGGGACAGGTTCTGGCATGTGCAATTCTGTGTGAGCCATGGGAGTGGATGGGGCATTTGGAAATTTATGGAAGTTGAATGCAAAGTATGAAGAGTTGGACTGGAAAAGGAGTAGGTTGGGACAGGTGACTTCTGCTTTTCTTTTAAGCCTTTCTATATTTGAATTTCTAAAATTACCTGCATAAATTACTTCCATAAAATAACAAAAATACTTATTTTTCAAGACAACTAAGAGTCAGATGGAGATAGCAGTCTTGGGGCATGCAGGGCAGTGGGAGGGAGTGAGTGAAGAGAGGCTGTTTTCATGTCTGGTTTGGCTCCTTTATGAGGCTACTGCTGCTCTGGCAAGATGAACTGGGCCCTGTGTGAAAGGAACACTTGCTCAGGATTCCTGGATTTAGTTCTTCACAGGCCAACCTCTCTCCACACTTCAGTCATTGCCCCAGTTTCTTAACTCTATTAGCTGCCAGTCCTGTGGCCCATTTACCTTCTTCATGATTTGTGCACTTAGTTTCTGATCTCAACTTCCTTTCTAGTGACATTTCATTTCTTGTCCTAGATCCTAAAGTATTCATGGTCAGTTTCTAAAGTAATAGTCTTCCTGACTTGACTTGTCCCCAGGTTACCTCTTCCAGATGCTTCCCTGAGAGGATGCTCTCTCCTGTTTTGTCTCAGTTCTTGCAGAAGTACCTATACAGCCAAAAGGACCTAGAAAAGGCCTGAAAAGGGTTGATAACAAGCAGTAAAACCAGGGCGGAACGCTTGCAGACATACCAACATTCCTTTCAAGACCTGACTCATCCTCTTCCTGGTTGGGTCATCTTGTATAAGTTACAGAGACTTTCTGAGGCTTGATTTCTTTATCTGCAAATGGAAGATACTAATAGTATTTATCCCTTAATAAAAGTTCACTATCTCTTTGGCTAGAGTCACAGAAAGAGAAAAAAGTTCAAAATCACCACTGTAGCAGAAGTGTAAAGTTATTTACGCTGTTTTCAAATACGCAACAACAACAAAGTATGGCTCCTTTTTTATATACTAGGTCTGTTGTCAGCAAAGATCATCCTCACTCAACCACCCCCAACCCAAAGGGTGACAAGTGCAGTTTTAGTCTCACCAGAATTTTATTCAATTTTATAAAGAAAATCATGACTTTAGGTAAATTCTTTATCTCTTTTAGATAAAGTGCTCAGTCTCTCAGGTTTCTGCTCACTCTGTTTCTCTTCAAGATGACATCTGAATGTGAGGCTTAAGCGACTTCAGCAGGACAGAGGACATTGGGAGTTCTTGGCATCCTTTTGACATTGTTGGTCTCTGCTGTGTCATGGCTGGTCCGCGCTGCTCCCTGGACTCATGACCACTGGGAGGGACTGGTGCAATTTTGGGGTGTTCTGCTGGCATATGAACTGAAGCCTGTAACTGGTGTAATGCATGGACCATTCTTATCCTTGCTGACATGACCTTACCTTGTTAGTGCTGCAGAGGTCCAGTGTGACTTTCCTAGCTCTTTTTTTTTGAGGCAGAGTCTCACTTCGTCGCACAGGCTGGAGTGCAGTGGTGCCATTTACTTTGACCTCCACTTTCTGGGTTCAAGCAATTCTCGTGTGTCAGCCTCCTAAGTAGCTGGGATTACAGGCATGTGCCACCATGCCTGGCTAATTTTTTTTTTTTTAATTTTTAATAGAGATGGGGTTTCACTATGTTGGCCAGGCTGGCCTCGAACTCCTGACCTCAAGTGGTCCACCCCAGTTGGCCTCTCAAAGTGCTGAGATTACAGGCATGAGTCACTGTGCTAACCTCTCCTAGCTCTTCAAACAGGAAGTCTGCCCTGCAGTGTAGACCGCAGTATGATTAGCAGTTGGTTCTGAGTCACTTGAGCCCTGATTTGTGGTATTTGCAGACTTTTGTGGTGCAAACATTTCTGCCTTGGCATTTCAAGGTACCAGTGTGGTGTCACCAAATGTGAAGTTGGAAAAAGATCTGCCTTACAGATACAATAGATACATATAAGCTCAAGAACATAGATAATATGTAAAATGTAGTCTAATAACTATGGAGTGACAATTTTGAATATTTCTTGTCTTTATTTTTAATAGAATTAATTTAAATGTAAGTTGAAATATCTTTGTTTTTAAGTATTGCTGTGTTTAACAACTGGCTTGCAAAGTTTCTTATAATTTAATAGGCAGGTCTCTGACCCGGTGAACCATCTCTGGCTCACCACTAACAGGTCATCTCATCTTTTTTGTCAAGACATCTTCTATCAAGCTCCTAATCAGGCCCTCAATCAAGTTCCATGTTCTCTTTGGCGGCGTATTGGAAGCGTGAAGTTTAGGCCCACACTTTGCTATCCACAAGCTGACAGAGAGGCAACAAGAGACACAGTATGCTCTCAGCTACTAAAAAGGAAGTGGGACAGAAGCTCCTCTGCCCATGCCATTAATCTTGACTCATATAACTCACTTCCCCCTGGTGGAGTCTGTCAAATAGTCAGAATGTCAAATTCCCCTAGACTCTTGAAGAAAACTCACTCAATGGCCAATTCACAAAAGCCCATTTCACCAAATGAGAAATTCATGAAATTTAGTTTCTTTTTGTTTTAGTTGACCAGTTTTCCTAATAGCATTTTAAAGAAGAATGTCAAATTTGGTCTCCTGCAGCAGTCAACTGTGTGGCCTTTTCTTTCTCCAGAGTTTCAGCCACTTTCTTCTCCACTTTGCAGGTTCCACAGCCTAACCTGTTTCTTAGAACTACTTAGTAGTCATAGGAGAGAATGCAATTGCTCTAGGTCCTCCATTGGATGCTCTTCATTCTTCATTTGGTTTTGTTTTGTTAAAGAAGACAAATCAAAATAGAGAATGGCTGTCAAAAATAACAAGCCCAGGGGAGTTCTGGAGATTAACATCAGCACCAAACATTGCTCACAGCACTGGTCTCTGTTTATAGAGCAATCTCTAGTCTGTTTACTCATCTAGGTGTTTTAAAATGTTGGGCTCAAGTATCTGGGCTTGCAGGTATTGAGAAACTACTGAAGGCACAAATAGAGGAATGACAAGTTTGGATCTGCTTTAGACACTGAACTATGGTAGTAATACGTGAAAAGGACCAAAAAAGGGAATTTGTAAGCAGAGAATCCAGTTAAGAATTCATTAGAACCCAGGTGAGAGATAACAGTCTGCACTCCAGTAATGGAAGTGATGGAATGATAAGAGCTTTTTCCTGGCTACCCTAACTTAGAGGACTCCCTGTTTACTCTCTAGCACTGTGCCCTATTTGTGGAAATTTATAAATTTATATTTAGATGCCTACTTATCATCTGCTCTCTCACTAGACTGTAAGCTCCCTGAAGCCAGGGTTTGGATGTTTCATTTCCCAAAGTATTCTCATCACCCAGCACAGTGTCTGGCACATAGCACACGCTCCACAGACACCTGGGAAATAAAGTGGAATTAAGAAGAAAGAAAAGATATTCATCAGTGGGAGCAAGTTAGTTATGTTTTATAGTAAGGGAAAGATGCTCATGGAGAAGGAGGAGTGAAAAGGCAGAGGAGAGACAATAAAAGACGGCACAGACTCCAGGATAAGCAGGAGTAAACAGGATAAGGACAAAAGCAGCAGAATTAGCTTTGCCTAGAAGGGCTCCTCTTCTTCTGTCATGGGAGGAACGGAAGAATGGATGTGTATGGAGGTTGATTGGATTTTAGGTTATAAAATTGATGGTTTATGTTTCCTGGAGGTGTGGTAGGCACAGTTATCAACTGAGAGAAAGAGAGAAAAGGAAGAGAAAGAGAAAGAGGAAGAGGAAAGAAAGGGAGGAGGAGGAGGAAAAGAGGAAGAGGAATTAAAAGTTAAGAGGGTGGTGAGAATTTAACAAAAATTACTTTAAGGAAGGGAATAAGTTGGTGACCAAAATACCTAAAAAGATTTCTCCAAAAGGGACCAGCTGAGGAATAATGTGACCAAATTAGCCTATCTCCAAATCTCATAGGTGAGTGACAGGGAAGTGGAACAAGAAGATGGGAGGGTTGACTGTGATGGAGATTTGCAGGAGGCCATCTCTCCTCCAGTTAATGTGTCTCACTGCAACAAAGGGGAAGATTTCAGGACTCCTGGGATGGGTTTAGATGAATCATTCATCTCTCCAGCTGTTAAGAGTTTTGTATATGTTAGATAGGACACAGACATCAAAAACTGTCCCTCAGCGGTCTGCTTCTCTGGAGAAGGTCTCACCAAGGGGTTGGAGCTTGACTTATCCTGCTGTGTCCTAGATCTGTAAGGTAACCCTGTCCTTTACTACAACTTTGTCTAGCAAGAGAGCAGTGTCTATCTTAAAAATCTTGCTGATATCCAAATATCTTTAGCACTTAGATGACTGCCTTCTATATGAGGAAGTACATAAATTAAGACTTTGATAGACCTGGGTTTGATTCCTTCCTCTGGCATGGAGAAGTTTTGTGCTCTTGAATAAATTAGCTAACCTTTTCAAGCCTTCATTGTTCAGAGTAAAAGGGGGGGGAGTCACTGCAACAGTAGAAGGATTAAATGAGATGATGTATGTGATTTATCCAGCAAAATGCATAGCACAAAGTAGACATTCAATAAAGATTTTGTCACCTCCCTACTTCTTTCTCTCCTTTCATCCCCCTTTTATAACCAGTTTTCTGTACAGATTACAAGATTCCTCATGACAGAAATGGCATCTTAGTCATTACAAGATAACTTTCATCTTTTTTTTTTTTTTTTTTTTTTTTTTTTAAGGCAGAGTCTCACTCTGTCGCCCAGGCTGGAGTGCAATGGTGCAATCTCGGCTCACTGCAACCTCCGCCTGCTGTGTTGAAGCAATTCTCCTGCCTCAGCCTTCTGAGTAGCTGGGATTACAGGCGCCTGCCACCGCACCTGGCTCATTTTTGTATTTTTAGTAGAGAAGGGGTATTACCATGTTGGCCAGGCTGGTCTTGAACTCCTGACTTCAGGTGATCCACCCGCCTTGGCCTCCCAAAGTGCTGAGATTACAGGCTTAAGCCACTGTGCCCAGCCAACTTTTATCTTTTTATCTATTTTTTTTAGATGGACTCTCGCTCTGTCATCCAGGCTGGAGTGCAGTGGCACAATCTTGGCTCACTGCAACCTCTGCCTCCCGAGCTCAAGCACTTCTCCTGCCTCAGCCTCCTGAGTAGCTGGGATTATAGGCAGCTGCCACCACACTCAGCTAATTTTGTATTTTTAGTAGAGACGGGGTTTCTCCATGTTGGTCAGGCTGACCTCGAACTCCTGACATCAGGTGATCCACCTGCCTTGGCCTCCCAATGTGCTGGGATTACAGGCGTGAGCCACCGCGCCCGGCCACTTTTATCTTTTTAAAAGTAATACATACCCTTGTTAGTTAAAGATTTCAAATGGTAAAAAATAAGCAGCTGCCTCATTCCTCCCCACATGGAGAAAATTATGTCTAATTCTTAATAGCTTGGGATTTTAATTATTTTGGTGTCATTATCTAAATTTGTCTAAAAGTGTATGATATAATTTGGATATTTGTCCCCATCCAAATCTCATGTTTAAATGTAACCCCCAATACTGGAGAGGGGGCCTGGTGGGAGGTGTTTGGGTCATGAGGGCAGATTCCTCACAGCTCGGTGGTGTCTTGGTGACCGTGAGTTCTCATGATATCTGGTCATTTAAAAGTGTGTGGCACTTCCCCTTCCCCCTCATACTTAGGTGGGGAGTTATGCTCTACCTCTTTATCTGCATAAATTATTTGAAATTCTCCTGCATGGGAGATTTTTCTCTTTTCTCTTCCTTATTTATTTATTCAATTATTTATTTATAACAGCATGTATCATAAATATTTATTTTATACTCTGGGTTATAATCTAATACTACTTCATTTATTTTGTTGCTGGAATTATTCCAGCTTTGACCATTAGGGGTTTTTTAAGTCAGATCCTTTGATCTTTTTGAATACCTTCAACATTATGGGTTTATTTATTTATTTATTTATTTATTTGGGGGCATTATTTTTTACTTTCTGGCACTATAAAATACTTCAGGCTTACCTTGTATGTTTCCTTTCCCAATCCTAGAATCGGACATTTCTCCAAGAAGACCCAGTTACTTTTACTAGAAAGTGGTATTAGAAACCAAGATCTGAGCACTAGATGTGTTTGTCGCTAACAGAATATTGTTGCATCTAGGGCCTCTCGGCTGGCAGAGCAAACAATAGATGTGTATATACCAACTCATATATACATATATCTCTTAATATTTGTATATGTAACATTGGTATCCATATTAAGCAAAACCTGAGTTCAGATGGATGTTTTCAGCTCTAATATATTACACAAATTATTCTAGCTGCTTCTTTTTCTTATATGTAAACTCACACTCCAAGAGTGAGAATCCTGGCTCATAGCATCCCACATCCACTTACTTGATTGTTCATTTCCAATATACATGTATCATGACATTGAAATTGTTAACTGGTGCCCTCATGAGAATAACTTTATCAACTAGAGTTCAGTGCTTGTGTAGTTTCTTTTACCTTTAGTCTTACAGACTCCAGGCTGGGCGCGGTGGCTCACCCCTGTAATCCCAGCACTGTGGGAGCCTGAAGTGGGCAGATCATGGGGTCAGGAGTTCGAGATCAGCCTGGCCAATATGGTGAAACCCCGTCTCTACTAAAAAATACAAAAATTAGCCAAGTGTGGTGGCGCATTCCTGTAATCCCAGCTACTTGGGAGGCTGAGGCAGGAGAATCGCTGGAACCAGGAGGCAGAGGTTGCAGTGAGCTGAGATTGCACCACTGCACACTCCAACCTGGGCGACAGAGTGAGATTCCATCTCGGAAAAAAAAAAAAAAAAAAAAAAGTCTTATAGACTCCATACATTTCCAATACAATTTCGGTCAGTATCCCACCCCTTCTTTCAGTGAGGTTGTTTCACACATTTATAATAGATTGTTTTGTCACATTCCACATTCATTCTGGGATCCCTCAATCTTATAATTGTTTTTGAAGATTTCATTATCATCCTTTCTGACAACATCTACTGACTTTCTTTCCTCTCTGCTATCAAATTTTATTTTCCAAGAGTTACTTTGCTCTCTGAATGTCTTATATTTTATACCATCTTGTTCTTTTTTCATAAATGCTACTTAGTTGTTAGCAATCTGTATGAATGAAAATCCTCTCTCTGGGGATATTAATGAGAATTTTTGTGAAGCCTTCTCTCTGTTTAGTCATTTTTCTCTAAGTATTTTGTATAGTTTTTTCTTGCCTGTATGTTCCACATTAGAAATTTTCCTCAGATTCTGGTAATCTTTGTCTGACTGTCCATGATTCAGGGTGTGGGAATCCAATTTCTGATTGGAATCTTTGAGGGTATGAGTAGGTCTTGTTAAGGCTGAGTTTCCTTGTAGGACAATTTGGCTGGGCGACTCTCGGGGGAACCCCAAATATTACATTAAGTCTTTCCACTTCTGCTGATTCTCTAGAGAGATATCTTCTAATCTTATGTCTGAAGAGTAGGGCCTATCTGCTAGGAATCAGGTAGCCCACACATTTTCAGGCTGGCACTCACACCCTCAATTATGACATGGCTTCCCTCTCAGTTGAGTCTCTGTTTAAACTTTCTAGACTTATGCCGTTGTGTTGAAAGGGAATTGACTCAGTGACACGAATAGAATCTAGGGAGGGGGATACAATTGTTTTTTAGTTTTATTTTATTTATTACTTTACTTTTATATAGAGATGGGATCTCGCTATGTTGCCCAGGCTGATCTCAAACTCATGAGCCTAAGCAACCTCCTGCTTCAGCCTCCCAAAGCACTGGAATTTACGATGTGAGCCACCATTCCCAGCTTCCAATTGCTTTTTTTAAATCTTCCAGTCAATTTTTCTTATTTTGGCTCCCCATCCCCCTTAATCTCCTGTTCCAGAGGTATCTGAAACTGCTGATTTCTGAGACTTTTGGCAATTTAGAAGTGAAGATGTGGTCAGTTTTCAGCTTTCCTCATTTCTTTCTTGGGTCTGCAAGGCTCTTTAGTTAACACTCATATGACTGCTTTCCTGACTTCCCAAATTTTGTGCTGTTATATTATCTTCATTTCTTTTTGGGTATATATCTTTAAAAGCATATCTATATCTGTCTGTCTATCTGTCCCTTTACAGTGATTTTATAGTGGTTTCTGATGGGAGCAAAGTTAGATTGTTCCATTGAACCCACTGTTCATCTTTTTCCAAATCTTGTTTATAAATTTTTATCTCCCTGATATAATTTTAGTGACTTTGGGAGGAAGAAGATAGAGATATATATATGTATATATATATACACACACACACACATCTTTATATTGGAATCTCTGAAGGCATGAGTGCGTCTTGCTAAGGCTGGGTGGGTCTTGTTAAGGCATACATATATATATATATATATATACACACACACACATATATGTAGCTGGTATATAGACATATATTTTTATGCCAGATCTAGGTTGTCATATTATTCATTTTCACAGTCTTTTTTTTTTTTTTTTTGAGATGGAGTCTCACTCTGTTGCCCAGTCTGGAGTGCAGTGGCATGATCTCGGCTCACTGCAAACTCTGCCTCCTGGATTCAAGCAATTCTCCTGCCTCAGCCTCCCGAGCAGCTGGGACTACAGGTGCATGTCACCACGCCCAACTAATTTTTATATTTTAGTAGAGACTGAGTTTTACCATATTGGTTAGACTGGTCTCAAACTCCTGACCTCAGGTGATCCATCCGCCTCAGTCTCTCAAAGTGCTGGGATTATAGGCATGAGCCACCATGCCTGGACCATTTTCAAAGTCTTAAAATGCATTCTGGATACCAACTACTCAATAAATATTAGTTAAATTAAAATATATAGAAATCAGAAAATCTTCATTTTGTTGTGCCTTAAGGGTGATTGAACACTCATAGTATACCAAAGATATTATGCACCATGACCCAAATGTAACTCTCTCTCTGGTGACTTTCCGCTTTTCCAACTAAGTTAAGAATGTAGAGAATCTTCATAAATAGTGCCTTTGTCAAGAAATAACTAAAATCATAGCAGAACTGAAGGAAATAGAGACACAAAAAACCCTTCAAAAAATTAATGAATCCAGGAGCTGGTTTTTTGAAAGGATCAACAAAATTGATAGACCACTAGCAAGATTAATAAAGAAGAAAAGAGAGAAGAATCAAATAGACGCAATAAAAAATGATAAAGGGGATATCACCACCGATCCCACAGAAATACAAACTACCATCAGAGAATACTACAAACACCTCTACATAAATAAACTAGAAAATCTAGAAGAAATGGATAAATTCCTCGACACATACACCCTCCCAAGACTAAACCAGGAAGAAGTTGAATCTCTGAATAGACCAATAACAGGCTCTGAAATTGTGGCAATAGTCAATAGCTTACCAACCAAAAAGAGTCCAGGACCAGATGGATTCACAGCCGAATTCTACCAGAGGTACAAGGAGGAATTGGTACCATTCCTTCTGAAACTATTCCAATCAATAGAAAAAGAGGGAATCCTCCCTAACTCATTTTATGAGGCCAGCATCAACCTGATACCAAAGCCGGGCAGAGACACAACCAAAAAAGAGAATTTTAGACCAATATCCCTGATGAACATTGATGCAAAAATCCTCAATAAAATACTGGCAAACCGAATCCAGCAGCACATCAAAAAGCTTATCCACCATGATCAAGTGGGCTTCATCCCTGGGATGCAAGGCTGGTTCAATATACGCAAATCAATAAATGTAATCCAGCATATAAACAGAACCAAAGACAAAAAACACATGATTATCTCAACAGATGCAGAAAAGGCCTTTGACAAAATTCAACAACCCTTCATGCTAAAAACTCTCAATAAATTAGGTATTGATGGGACGTATCTCAAAATAATAAGAGCTATCTATGACAAACCCACAGCCAATATCATACTGAATGGGCAAAAACTGGAAGCATTCCCTTTGAAAACTGGCACAAGACAGGGATGCCCTCTCTCACCACTCCTATTCAACATAGTGTTGGAAGTTCTGGCCAGGGCAATCAGGCAGAAGAAGGAAATAAAGGGTATTCAATTAGGAAAAGAGGAAGTCAAATTGTCCCTGTTTGCAGATGACATGATTGTATATCTAGAAAACCCCATTGTCTCAGCCCAAAATCTCCTTAAGCTGATAAGCAACTTCAGCAAAGTCTCAGGATACAAAATCAATGTGCAAAAATAACAAGCATTCTTATACACCAATAACAGACAAACAGAGACCCAAATCATGAGTGAACTCCCATTCACAATTGCTACAAAGAGAATAAAATACCTAGGAATCCAACTTACAAGGGATGTGAAGGACCTCTTTAAGGAGAACTACAAACCACTGCTCAAGGAAATAAAAGAGGATACAAACAAATGGAAGAACATTCCATGCCCATGGGTAGGAAGAATCAATATCGTGAAAATGGCCATACTGCCCAAGGTAATTTATAGATTCAATGCCATCCCCATCAAGCTACCAATGACTTTCTTCACAGAATTGGAAAAAGCTACTTTAAAGTTCATACGGAACCAAAAAAGAGCCCGCATTGCCAAGTCAATCCTAAGCCAAAAGAACAAAGCTGGAGGCATCACGCTACCTGACTTCAAACTATACTACAAGGCTACAGTAACCAAAACAGCATGGTACTGGTACCAAAACAGAGATATAGATCAATGGAACAGAACAGAGCCCTCAAAAATAATGCCGCATATCTACAACAATCTGATCTTTGACAAACCTGAGAAAAACAAGCAATGGGGAAAGGATTCCCTATTTAATAAATGGTGCTGGGAAAACTGGCTAGTCATATGTAGAAAGCTGAAACTGGATCCCTTCCTTACACCTTATACAAAAATCAATTCAAGATGGATTAAAGACTTAAACGTTAGACCTAAAACCATAAAAACCCTAGAAGAAAACCTAGGCATTACCATTCAGGACATAGGCATGGGCAAGGACTTCATGTCTAAAACACCAAAAGCAATGGCAACAAAAGCCAAAATTGACAAATGGGATCTAATTAAACTAAAGAGCTTCTGCACAGCAAAAGAAACTACCATCAGAGTGAACAGGCAACTTACAAAATGGGAGAAAATTTTCTCAACCTACTCATCTGACAAAGGGCTAATATCCAGAATCTACAATTAACTCAAATAAATTTACAAGAAAAAAACAAACAACCCCATCAAAAAGTGGGCGAAGGACATGAACAGACACTTCTCAAAAGAAGACATTTATGCAGCCAAAAAACACATGAAAAAATGCTCACCATCACTGGCCATCAGAGAAATGCAAATCAAAACCACAATGAGATACCATCTCACACCAGTTAGAATGGCAATCATTAAAAAGTCAGGAAACAAAAGGTGCTGGAGAGGATGTGGAGAAATAGGAACACTTTTACACTGTTGGTGGGACTGTAAATTAGTTCAACTATTGTGGAAGTCAGTGTGGCGATTCCTCAGGGATCTAGAACTAGAAATACCATTTGACCCAGCCATCCCATTACTGGGTATATACCCAAAGGACTATAAATCATGCTGCTATAAAGACACATGCACACGTATGTTTATTGCAGCTCTATTCACAATAGCAAAGACTTGGAACCAACCCAAATGTCCAACAATGATAGACTGGATTAAGAAAAAGTGGCACATATACACCATGGAATACTATGCAGCCGTAAAAAATGATGAGTTCATGTCCTTTGTAGGGACATGGATGAAATTGGAAATCATCATTCTCAGTAAACTATTGCAAGAACAAAAAACCAAACACCGCATATTCTCACTCATAGGTGGGAATTGAACAATGAGAACACATGGACACAGGAAGGGGAACATCACACTCTGGGGACTGTTGTGGGGTGGGCGGAGCGGGGAGGGATAGCATATAGGAGATATACCTAGTGCTAAATGACGAGTTAATGGGTGCAGCACACCAGCATGGCACATGTATACATATGTAACTAACCTGCACATTGTGCACATATACTCTAAAACTTAAAGTATAAAAATAATTAAAAATAAAATAAAAATAAATAAATAAATAAATAAATAAATAAATAAATAAATAGTGCCTTTGTTTTCACTTCTAAATAAGCCTCCAGGGAAGTACAGCCAGACGCATTTATCATGACATGTAAATCAGCAATATTAAAATTGGTGTTGTTGTTACCAATTAAAATTGGTGGTGCTGTTACCACTTGAAGTATTAGAAGAGCGGGGTTCAGCTGGGGTCCCTGCTGGTGCCAGTATGGTTCTGCTTTAACAGATGAAGATGTTAATAATTAACTTCATCAATGAGTACACATTCATGCAGCATTGGTCCTTCATTCTAAATGCATTTGGCTAATGTTGATTATGAGGCTGAATGTTCTTAGACAAATGCTTTTGCTTTGGTATATGATGAGTTAAACAGGATTAAAACTGTCTGCTTGTCTCTTATAAAAGGTAGCTTTCTACGTTATTTAAATATAATTTGTTCATGTGGTAACATAATGCTAGATGAACAACTAGGTTTCATTTCTGGGCTTTATTACTTCCAAAGTATAAGACTCTTGTCTAATCCTTGTAGCTTCTCCAATGCTCTGACTCCTCATTTATATAATTGAGTTGCTATCACTCATACTGGCTCACTAATAGTGGAGATAATACCTACCTGTGTTGAAGTCAGGATAAAGCGAGTTTATGAAGAATACATCCTGTTAGGCCCCTTCCTTTTTCAGTTTGTAAAGTATTATAAAATATAAAGGAACACTATTTTGAAA
The DNA here is from genome assembly GCF_000001405.40 of Homo sapiens. Classification (NCBI taxonomy): domain Eukaryota; kingdom Metazoa; phylum Chordata; class Mammalia; order Primates; family Hominidae; genus Homo; species Homo sapiens. The sequence continues at coordinate 72,454,497 of NC_000009.12, forward strand.
TAATTTTTAACACTATATTAAGGCAGGACATATTGGACTAAAAGGTCTACTGTTGACAATCTATTAAAAAAAAAAAAGCAGAAGCAGCGACTCCTGTGTCCTTTGCCTCTTGAGTAGTTTGTGGATTACAAACAATGTACTGATTAGATCTTATGGATGTACTGGTTCTACTTCTAAACATTCTGGCTTTTCTTTTGCTTTCTACTGAAGAAAAGGAAATAGTTGAGATCTAGACATAATATAGGTTCTGATCTTCCAAAGCTCTCTATTTTACTTGGCTTCCTTCTTGACTCTGAAGTTAAATATAAGTTTCAAGATCTCACTCTTCATCTTATTGAATTATTTTGTAAACAATACAATCAAGTTTAGGAGGTTCATCTACACTTGTCTGTCTAAACATTCAAACCGCTCCATGGTGCCAGCATTTTTTCTTATAGACTTCTCTATAATGCCAAGGGCTCTTGGTCATCCTAGCAAAATGTCATTCATTGCTTTGTAGAAGACAACCTGAGTCTGTGCTTTGGTTGTTTGTTCTGGGCTTGGATTCCTGACACTGAAAAGGTTTAACACATACCATCGGTGGCAGTCAATTGGAAGACAGACAAACACAAAGCCATTCTCAAGGATTCTTCCTTTATTTCTGAAATACCTTTTGACTAGTGGAAAGGGGGTTGATCCTTTCCTTTTGTTTCTTTTAGTATGCTCACAGTGATGTAGAAAAGGAAAGAGAGACCATTGCCTCCAGAGGGTTTTTTTCTTTTCTCTCTCTTTTCTTCCACATGAAAGACTTCATTGTTCTACCTCAAATTTACTGCAAGCCCTGGGGAAAGTTGCAAAAGATCAAGAAAGAGAGAATGATTACTGGGGCACTTGGCAGAGTGGCAGGCTCTTGCTACACAGAAATACAATGATCTGTGAAAGTGGATCCCTGTTATATTTTAACAGTCTAATGGGGCTTGCTTTATCATTAGTGCCATTAGGACTGCTTGTACTGATTTAATCAGGAATGAAGGCTTTAAGCTGACTTTATATACCCACAATGCAACAGTTAGTTGGCAGCTGTGATTAGATTTAATTAGTCTAAGTGGAAAATGCGGCACTTTTTTCACCTCTTTTCCTACCCGATCTCCTACCTACAGTTTTATTTCTGGAACTTTTTCTCAAAGAATTGTTTTTGCTCCCCACTCCCCTTCCTCATTTCTTAGTTCTGGGGAATAAAGATGCAAATAAACACGTGAAGTCAAATGAGACTATGCACTTGGATACTCAGTATTGGTTCTTGCATTTTTTTTTGTTTTGATTTTTTTTCTTGGTTTTTGTTTTTGTATTCCTAAAGCACATGTAATCTGTGGTGCCTTTGTGGAGTTGTATGTTGACAATATTTCCCAAGTTAGGAATTTCAACATATGAGATTGTGACTATAAATCTGCAAAGAGGCTTAGGAGAAAAAAGGTATGATAGAGCCAGGGCTGCTGGTGGTAGTGGTGGTGGTGGTGGTTGTGTAGTGACCAGGAAAAGCTATTAGTTAATTAATTTGTTAGCATGCTATTATGAAGAACAGTGAATTATTAATTTGAGTAAGACTGCATTGTTTTTTTTTTTTTTTTGAGACAGAGTCTTGCTCTGCAGCCCAGGCTGGAGTGCAATGGCATGATCTCGGCTCACTGTGACATCTGCCTCCTGGGTTCAAGCGATTCTCCTGCCTCAGCCTCCCGAGTAGCTGGGATTACAGGCACCTGCCACCACACCCGGCTAAATTTTCTATTTTTAGTAGAGACGGGGTTTCATCATGTTGGCCAGGCTGGTCTCGAACTCCCGACCTCAGGTGATCCACCTGCCTCGGCCTCCCAAAGTGCTGGGATTACAAGCGTGAGCTACCGTGTATAGCTGCATTGTCTTAAGACTCTGTAATTACACACATGATAAACATCCAAATTGAATGGTAAAAATCTAGAGCTGTTTTGTGGGGATTTGACATGACTCTCATTTACTGGTGAGAGGCTGTGCTGGATTCATAGATTTGGGAACCCCTAGCAAGTGCTAGCAAAAATTCTGAGAGGGAATGAAGTCATGTAGAATAGGTGATGAGGAAGAACAATGGGTCAGGTCTGGAACTCTGTGGGATCCCAATATTTAATGATAAAATGAAGGAAAAGTATATGTGAGGAAACAAAATCAAAAAGGTTTGAAAATAAACCAATGGAATATATGGAAGTTTTGGAGTAAATATTTAAAAGTTCACGTAGACCAATTACCCAAGTGATTCCCCAAGGCAGTACCAGTCTGATCCTTCTGGGGTGGGGTGAAGATTTCCAGCAAGAAGGGAGCAGTGATGCTCCTCCTCAGGGGATGTTAAGCACCCACCACTCCTCTTTGGTGGAAGTAATCATGACATGTAGGGCTTAAAAGTAGTTCATTATTGGCCAGGAGCAGTGGCTCACGCCTGTAATCCCAGCACTTTGGGAGGCTGATGTGGGCAATCACAAGGTCAATAGATCGAGACCATCCTGGCCAGCGCAGTGAAACCCAGTCTCTACTAAAAATACAAAAATTTGGTAGGTGTGGTGGGGCATGCCTGTAGTCCCAGCCACTTGGGAGGCTGAGGCAGGAGAATTGCTTGAACCTGGGAGGCGGAGGTTGCAGTGAGCCATGATCACACTACTGCACTCCAGCCTGGCGACAGAGCTAGACTCCCTCTCAAAAAAAAAAAAAAGTAGTTCATTATTGTCAGAAGGCTGAGGCCCAAGTTGAAAGTGGAGTTAATACTGGTACACATTACTGATGCCAAATTAATTTTTTAGTAGATATGTTTCCAGTAGAAAGAAAATAGATAAGAAAAATAAACCAATAGGAGAATATGGAATCTGGTTCTAATTCTCCAGTTCCATTTTTAGACTTTTATTACATTATATTTTGACCCATTTTTATAAATATACACGAGTACACACCACACAAGCCTTGTACTTTTTGCAAAGTAAATATTACAATTTCTGATCTATTTCTATGGCAGATATTTTTGATGGTGTTACATGAGAATAGAGTAGTTACCAATGACCTTAGCCATCTTGGCAAAATATCTGGAAAAGTCAGCTGCAAGTTTGGTTTCTTGTTTATTTTTTCAGTCTTTATAGTATTTCAGTCATTTTTTTTTCTCTCAAGCTATTTTCTAGTTTCTGACCAATGCCCAAATGTGAGTCCCTGTGAATTCAATGGGCCATGTTTATAGAAAAATATTAGTTCTAAGTTTTCATTTTTCGGAAGAGACTTATATAAAATTGACATTGAAATGAAAAACAAACTAGTCTTTTTTTTTGTATGAAAACTTCAAAGTAAAACATTTCTAATTTTTTTATTTAGGTAATAAAAACGTTAGTCTCAGATAAGAGAAATTCTTTGCACTGCACTTGAAAACAGGTGAGGGAAAAGAGAAAATTAGGTCCTTCAAGGCACTTTATCCAATAGTGGCAGAATGGAATTCGCCAGTATAGGACGGAACATTGAACAGAGAGCATGAAATCTGTTCCTTTCCTTACTAATGAAGTAATCTTGGGAAGATATTCTAACTCTAGAGGGCTGCATTTTCTCATTTGTTAAATGATTGGGTTATACTAGCTACTTTTGTTATTGTTCACTCCAGTTCCTATGTCGTACAATTCCAGATAAGATTCATTACTTGGCATCCAATAATCTATACCATAGGTGCTCAGTTAATCAACATCCATTTAACCAATCCACTAGAGTAATCCATGCTCTCCATTGTCTCTGTAAAACTTGGACAATGCTTTTTGCAGAAAGCTAGCAGCCAGATGATTATTCTAGTACATTCATCCATTCCTTCCCCTATTGGTTGAGTTTTATGTTTACCAAGAGTCAGCTGAGTTTGTTCCCAGATCTGTTTATCTCAGTTATATTTATTATTGAAATTACATCATTTGTTAAATAGTGTAAAAGCCAAAGTAATATAAGTGTGAGAAAAAAAAAAGAGCTGTTTCTATGAGAAACTAATGCTTGGGATGAGTCTATAAGCATGTAATATAATCAGGTGTGAAGAAGACATCATAAAAAGCTAGAAAATACTGATAAATATCTAGAGAAGTCTATTTTTATATTTCTTCACAGCTGACCTTATTTTCTTATTCCACTTTAAAGAAACTGAAACTGGAGATCAAAGATGACGCTTTTATGTGAGAAAGCAATAGAACTCCAATCAAACTGTAAGAAAATGTTCTACAACGAAAGATTGATGAATGAATGCAGAGAGAAATAATTGATGCCAAAATATACTATTCAGCTATACTTGTATAATTTCTTAACTTTTCTCACTTTAACTTTTTTTTTGGATTAACCAACTAACTACCAATCCTGACTGTATTTGATTACAGGGAATTTAATTTGTCATATTGAAGTCAGGGCCAGGCTAACATTTCCTTTGTTCTCTTAATACAGTTTTAACAGGATAAACTATACTAATGAAGAGTGTGGAAAACAGTTTTTTAAAACCAGGCATTTGAGGTATAAACATTTCAAAGCTGATTGCGTATTATAGGGTAGTAGTATCATTTTCTGGGTTTGAATTTTGCCTTCTCTTCTTACAAATTACTTTGTATCTTCAAGATATGGTTTCTAGCATTGAGACATTACCATAATAATACTAGCTCTCTGAGTTAAGAGGATTAACTGTTAATATACATAAAGTACAGCACCTGGCATATTGTAGAAACTAAAAATATGATATGATACTTATTCTTATCTCTTAAAGTAGGTTTCAAGTGCTTCTATTTTCCAACTAATTTTTAATATAGTGATGGGCTCTGGAATTTGCTGGATGAAAAAGAGTGAACTTTGTGCACCTTTTGAGGGTAGCTAATGCAAACTTGAGAGAACAACAGGATGGCTGGGACCATGTAATTAGATTTCATGGTGGCCAGAGGTCAAAACTGAGCAGCAAGCAGAACCTTCAGTTAAGGGTCAGCAATCAAGCACAGGCAGAGATCAGTATTTTCAGTGGAGCTCCCAAGTGCCCCTATGTATAAAGCACTGTTGCTGAGGTCAATAAGCTATGCAGCCTGATTACCGCAGGCATGATCTACACTTGTTCTTCTATAGCTTACTGTCCACACAGCAGCAAGATTGAGCTAATTAAAGCCTAAAGTAGCCATGTCACTCCTGTACTCAAAACCATATAAAGTCTTCTCATTTCACTCAGAGTAAAAGCCAAAGTTCTTACAGTGAATGGCCTGTAAGGCCCTACAATGATCTGGGGCCCTGAGTTACTTCTCTGCTCTCATTTCTTATTATTCACTCTCCTCCAGCTGCACTAGTCTCCTTAATATTCTCTTTTTTTTTTTTTTTTTGAGACAGAGTCTTGCTCTGTTGCCCAGACTGGAGTGCAGTGGCACCCTCTCAGCTCACTGCAACCTCCGTCTCCCGGGTTCAAGTGATTCTCCTGCCTCAGCCTCCCATGTAGCTGGAATTACAGGCACCTGCCACCATGCCCGACTAATTTTTTGTATTTTTAGTAGAGATGGGGTTTTACCATGTTAGCCAGGCTGGTCTCAAACTCCTGACCTTGCCCGCCTCAGCCTCCCAAAGCGCTGGGATTATAGGTGTGAGCCACCATGCCTGGCCTTCTTAATATTCTTTAAAAATAAGTCCTGGCTCACGCCTGTAATCCCAGCACTCTAGGAGGCTGAGGCGGCAGATCACCTGAGGTCAGGTGTTCGAGACCAGCCTGGCTAACACAGTGAAACCCCATCTCTACTAAAAATACAAAAATTAGCCAAATATGGTGGCACAAGCCTGTAATCTCAGCTACTTGGGAGGCTGAGACAGGAGAATCACTTGAACCCAGGAGGTGGAGGTTGCAGTGAGCCTAGATCGCACCACTGCACTCCAGCCTGGATGACAGTGAGACTGTATATAGCTCTCTTTATGTAAAAATAATAAGAATAAGAATAAGTATAAGTCCTGCACTCTCTGGTCCTGTGACCTTGGTTGTTCCTTTTGCCGGGAAGTCTCCGTTGCCCACAGCTGCTTGCCTGGCTTCTGCTCCCTCACCCTCTCAGGTCTTTGCTAAAATCTCACTTTCCCACGGAGGGCTGCCTTGACCACGACTTACACTCCCACATTCTCCTATACTCTGCTCCTTTTTCTTTTTATATTATATAGCTTATTTATTCATTGTGTTTATTTTTTCTTATCTGCCTTTCTTTGTAATTTCTTTGAGGGCAGGGATCTTTATCTATTTTGTTCACTTATGCATCCCAAGTGCTTAGAACAGTATTTGGCACGTCATTAAATATTGATTTAATGAACGAATGAACAAGTGAATGCATTTCAGGCCTGGCCTGAAAACAGTTCAAGATATTCTTTGCCAGGGGCTAAGCAAAACCATCAATCTCTGGGGATTTATTGAGAAGAGCAATGATCTTGTTAGACTGAAATGGCTCTTTGACTTCAATCACAGTTTGAAAATCTCCCTTTTCCCTAAGTCCCATTACTTTCTCAATTTTATAGCCTCAGATTCAGGTTTACTCAGGCAAAGAGAATCAGAGAACTGTGGATAAGGCCCAGATGATCCAGATAATAAACATATCTTTGCTTCAATTTTGTGACATATGGGCAAATAGCTATTAAGGAGTTTTCCCCCTTTCCTTCATTACTTGTCTCTAGTTTGGTTTAATGATTACCTAATGATTCAGCAGTTTATGACCTTTCATTTTAACTCTTGTAGTTTCTGACCCTCTTATAGTGCATTCATTTTTGGTATTGAAGATTTATTAATTTCCTTCCTTCCCCTTTTTACCTAATTGCAATTTAAATGATTCCCATTTTCATAGGACGGAATATATAGTTCTCTTTATGTATAACATAATAATTATACAATAATATTAATTATAAAATCATTTAGATCTAATGAGCATGTACTATCTGCCAAGTTCTGATTTAGGAGCTTCAGACATATTTTCATCAATCTTCAGTTCTGCCTTACAGAGATTTTGAACTCAGGAAATTTACTTTGTTCTTTTCAGCAAGTATGTGTTCTATTGGCTGGCCCCACCAGAATCCCCAGAAGTGTTTGGTGACAGATCCCTGAATCCCAATCCCAGAAAACCTACAAACAATCAGCATTTTAACTTACTTCCAAAGTAAAGCCTATAGGCACTCAAGTTTGAGAAACACTGGATAAGAATTGAGGTAGACTATATCTTAGAACACACCGACAAGGGAATGATACAATGTGCCAGTAGCACATTGTAGTCATTAGTAGGTAGCTTTTTACCTATTACAGTTGAAGTTAACTCTCTTTCTGAAAGCCATATTCTGCTTCTCCTGCCCCTGTAGTATTTGACATACATGTTATCACCTACAAAAACAAACAAGATTCATCCTGAAGTTTCCAGCCAGAAGATATTGGTCAAGGAGACTTTTGTTCTTTCACAGGCCACGTTATGTCTTTAAGTTATTCCTTTGACTCTATGTCAAATTAATTTTGTAAGGAATAAAGGATTAGGCCGGGGACAGAGGCTCATTCCTGTAATCCCAGCACTTTGGGAGGCCAAGGCAGGTGGATCACCTGAGGTCAGGAGCTTGAGACCAGCCTGACCAACATGGAGAAACCCCATCTCTACTAAAAATACAAAATTAGCTGGGTGTGGTGGCACATGCCTATAATCCCAACTACTCGGGAGGCTGAGGGAGGAGAATTGCTTGAACTCGGGAGGCAGAGGTTGCAGTGAGCCGAGAACATGCCATTGCACTCCAGCCCGGGCAACAAGAGTGAAACTCTGTCTCAAAAAAGAAAAAGAAATAAGGGATTAACTCATTTTGTCAGTGCATCTGGGGACAGAAGGTAAAGTGAGTATCTGAAAAAGTAAAGTATAAAAATATGCATCAGGAAACGGACTAGCTTTTCTGAATTTTCTTACTTATTCAAGTAAAAGAAAACAGTATGACTCAAGAGTCAGATAAGTAAAATTCCATAGACCCATATCACCATAGTCAAATCAGATAGGGGAAGTAAACCAATTGTCTAGACGAGGAATTGGCAAACTCTGGGTCACAAGTCAAATCCTTCTGACTACCTATTTTCATAAATAAAGTTTTATTGAAACACAGCCATGCACATTACCTATGGAATGAATGAATGATGATATTTCTTGGTTGGACTCTCCACAGAAGAAATTAATTCAGAATCCAAAATCATGGGAAATGTTAAGCAATTGTTAACCTGTAACTCCACCCCCAGAACTAATCCATGGGCCATAAAACACGCATTCACCTACTCTGCAGGGAGAAAGAAGACAGGCTTTTTATGGAGAGACATTCAAGTGGAGGACATGCTCACCAGGGTGTGAAGAAGACCATTCGTTGATGTGTGGAGAAAGATATTATAATTTATGGTTTTACATTAATATGTAGAGAGAAGAAATTAAGCTTTACTAATATTTAATACACAGATTGGCAGTAGTCTGTGAATCCAACCCCAAAGAATTGGCTATAGAGTTCTCTTTTGCTTGATTTCATTGTGTTAACACATACTGAAGTTTGCATATACCTGGCTAAGTGGATTTAGGGATTTCATTACTGACTTCACAAAATAGACAAATAGATATAAAAGATTCCTGCAAAAGTGTCTAAGATTGAAGATAATAATTAATGCACTGCTTGATAATGGAAAAAAGTGGCAGAGTTGAAAGTTCCCTTAATCCTATGGAACTAGTTATTCAGCAGCCAAAGAAGAGGTAAAAGATGAATTTATACATTCTAATGAATTTTGAAATGATCAAGAGAATTATGAAATATGGATTTACTACCTCTATCATTGTAGGCCTCACCCTAGTTGAATACTGTGTCAACTTTAAACAAAAACTTTTGCATAATTGGAGGATTACATTAAAAAATAAGTACCATGATTTAGTAGGCAAGATAATGAGGTCTTTTTTTTTTATCACATCCTTGTATCATTAGGAATTAACTTTTTTGTTATGACAATCATTAAGATTAAATCCAGAAATAATAAACATAATGCCAGACTGAATCACAAAGATTTTAAAACATAATTAAGTATATTAAATCACACTGTTTACACATTTTAGTAGTCTTAATGATTTTTAAAAGTGAAAACAGAAAGATGTCTTTGTAAATTAATAAGATAGAAGTAAAACAAACCACTGGGTTATCTTGATTTCATCCTTTAAAAATGTCTATTTTGGAACAGAAAACCAAATATCACATGTTCTCACTTATAAATGGGAGCTAAATGATAAAAACCTATGAACACAAAGAAGGAAACAACAGACACTGGGGTGTACTTGAGAGGGAGGGTGGGAGGAAGGAGAGGAGCAGAAACGACAACTACTGGGTACTGGACTTAATATCTGGGTCATGAAATAATGTGTACAATAAACCCCCATGACATGTGTTTATATATGTAACAAGCCTTTATATGTATCCTCAAACCTGAAATAAAAATTTAAAAATTGTCTCTTTGTATATTTTTATCTATATTATATGCTAGTATAATAGTACATGCATATACTATCACATAATACTACACACATGTATATACTATGTATAGTACATGTGTGTGCATATATATACACACACACACACACACAAATTGAAAGTGTATGCTTAAATTTTGTTTTACTTATAGGTGGATAGGTCAAAAAATTTAGAAGCCACTGATTTAGACAATGATGTATGGATGCAACCTTCCTACTGGGATATCTTGGATTTATTGCTGCCTGACCTTTCCTTTGACTGAACTCCCCTTGACCTGCTGAAGGCCTGGGCAGAGTGACACAAATCACCATTACTCCTCTACATGCACTTCTGTAGCCATGCGTATTTCATATTGGCACATGCTTGCTTGTATATTTACATTTTCCACATTCATATTGTTTATCCTTATTTCTGGCTATTTAAATACTAGAGCTATTATTGATTAAATTTGCTTTGTGCAGTACCTTCCATAGCCATCTAGCTAACTAACACCCTTGCTACTGTCTATTTGCTTTTGTTCTGGGGAAATCATTGTATGATTACAGATTTCACAGATGCTGGGTATGTTTGGGGATGGCACAGTTTTCCTGGTGTCAAGGGAGGACTGACTTTAATGATATTGACTTTGTTTACTTTATGTCAGGGCAAGAAGTGAATTCTTTTAAGAAAAAATTCTATTCTGCCCCAACAATGTAAATGTATTTGGTATTTGTTGAGCTGCAAAGAGGCAACTTTCATACTACAAGTTTTGCTAAATCAGATGCCTCCTCTATGTCTTTTCTGGCCAAAAGAGATACGTAATTTCACATCTCAAAGGTCACATCTCTTCAAGATTTTTCCTGTCTGGGAACAACCATAGTCTCTAACAGTACCACTGGCATTGGCGAAAGCTCTCTTCAATTCTTCTTCATTACGTCATAGGATTTCTTCATTAGATCAAGTTCATATCTGATTCTAGCAGTTCTCTTTTTTCTCCGTCAATTTCAGCATACTGCAGAAGTTATGCCTTTTGTATTTGTCCATCGAGAAAACCTCAGAGGTTGATGTCTGCTACTAGACCGGCCAGAAAGTCTGGTCTCTCACTAGCTTCCTCCTTGCATTCAGGAAGCCAATCTCAAGTGCAAACCTCACAGCTTATCCGGAGTTCGGCAGATGTCAAAATGCTTCCATTCCCTCCCAGTCCAACCCTTATCCCCAGCAGCAATCTGGTGCCAGTTTTAATTAAAATTCATGAAAACAGACTGGCACTTCAGACACGGATGGAAACAATTTGTAGGGGAGGCAAAAAATAGCAGGGGTATACTTCTCATGTTTACTCTCTATCGTCCTGTAAGGATTTCATTTTTGAGTGAAAGCAGTTTGAATTGGACATATGCTCAGTTTGAATAATTTAGGGAGGAATTCACAATAACTGCCTCTGATGTGGACTGAGCTCTGTTCTCATGACTAAAGAGGTTTATTTCTTCTTTAAGAAAAAGTTTAATTATGGCAACTTCATATTGAAAATTAATAGCTTGGGGGAATTTAGAAGGAAAAAATAGAGGAAAATTAACTTTTTGAGATGTACAAGACTTGGAACAGTTTTATAAATGAGAAATCATTAACTGGTATTGTAGTAAAGTGTTTTTGCATAAGGATGAAGAAGACATGAGTCTTAAATGTGTGTAACTAGTATAACATGTGTACGACACTCATACTAGCCAGTAAATCCCAGACAGGAAAAAGCAGCTACACACCCACATTTTCTATTTATATTTCCTTTACCTAAAGCAGTCATTTGTTTATACTTACAATGTGCCAGGCATGTATTGGGCCTTTTAGGTGAATCATCTTAGCAGTTCTTAATATATTTTTTCACTGTTAGGAGTATGCTACATTCTCATTAGAAGTAGCAGCTCCTAAACAGTGGTGTAGTGACCCATCCTTCTTGGTTTGGAGGAAGGAGGTTGGCGGGAAACGTGAGAGTCTCTGGGTTGGATAATCTAGAATTTAAACCTAAACCTGGCTTCAGAGCCTATGTTCTAAGCCACTATACTCTAATAGCTCCCAGCTTTCTCATCTTTCACTGCCCAAAGTATCTACCAGGAATATTCAATGAATATGGGTTGAGTTAAATTGTGACTGTTTAGCAGTCATAATAAAAAAGGGTAGAATGAATGGGTTCCAGGAATGTGACAGACCTACAAGTATTTCCTATCAGATCCCTTTCTCTACCTACAAATGTTTGATTCTTCTGTTTCGCTCAAGAGACCCATCACTGTGGATCTGGCTGGTTAACTCTGTGGGAGGTGGGGGCAGGTACATGAAATTGGGAAGAGATAGAAGAACTAAAGGTGATGAATGGGTTGCTACCTTGAGTAAGAAATTCCAGTCCCAGCTGAAACTCTTACCTTAATGTGGCACTTGAAATAAATGGGGTCAAAAGAGTTTTGAAGAGCTAGGAAAGATGAGATTGAGATGGTGCCTGTCTGAATAAGGGGAAGGGGAATTCACAGATATGCTTCTGGTAGAGACTTGCATTGGCTGGTGGTGTCTTCACTGAAAGAATGGATATGAAAGAAAGAGTAAACTCTTTCCCATGCAACAGGATTCAAGTCAAATGTTACCTCTTTTAGGAAGCTCCTGCCTGGGTTAGGCCTTCACTATGCTGTATTGCCACAGCTCACTGTTAATGTCTTAAATGCAGAATTTAACTGACTTCATTATGTTAAGTACCTACTCCAGGGTAGGTGGGCCCCAGTAGTTTGTCTGTTTCTCTTTATCAGATGCTGACTGAATAAATAATTGATGAAAAAAATGCCAACATATTTGTGAAACCCCAATTATGAACATTATGGTTTATATAATAAATATGTGTGCTTAGTGTGTTAGAAGCCAAAAAAGAAAAACAAGAGGGGGAGAACCAACTATTTAACAAGTAGGAGGTGTTTTGCACTCTGTGATGAACTGCATGGCATATTTCTTACTTTCAGATTAAAATGGAAATGGCTCTAGGCTCTACCTGCAGAATTAAGGAAATTCCATGATCACACTCCTGACCTCCCAACCCCTTCGCCTGGGTTATTTGGATTCCTAGGGACTTGTGCACCCACACATAGTGTGCCAGGTTCCATTCTCAAGTGACTAAGGGCCCTGGTGAATCCCTGTTCACTGCTGCTTTCACTGGGATCTGCTGGGGTCACAAATTTTCTATTGTACCTCTGGCCCTGTGGCATCAGGGATTAGCAACATGTCAACTTATACAGTTTGCTGCTGAGTAGCATGGACTTTGAAGGAGAGTGGCATAAAAGCATAATACAACTTGCTCTCTGACAGTTCAGAACCCTCTGCACAGCCATGCCCCTCTACTGTCATTCACCAAACCAAAGCACGTCCAGGTATCTCCCTGTCTCAGAAAGGACAATCACTATTCCTTTTTTGAATTCTAGAATTTCCTCAAGGTCTGGGTTTCTTTCCTTCTTCATCCTTCTAAAATAGAAATGGTACCCTCTGTTCTTTCTTCCCACAGTGAAACTTAAAGGGCCATTAGAAGGGCTTGGGCTTTAGAAACACAAGACTCGGTCCACTGCCCTTTCCTGGGGTTGGGGGTAGAATAGCTTTTATTCCTTTTTAACAAGTTATCCACTCCATGGATAGGAGACTTTTTAATATATAGCAAAAATTCCAATACAAGTTAAATTATCACCTGCAGGTCACTCTGCTACTCAAAGATGCATAGAATAAGAATTTGTGCTATTGTTAATTGCTCTTTTGCAAAGTGTAGAGTTTCCTTTCTAGTTATGACCTAAACATAAAGAAAACCTATGTCACAATGTTTAACCTTTATAAATTTTTTTTAGCTCTTCTTAAAAAAAAAGTCCTGGTAGACAGTCCAGAGAGGAAACATTGCCAAGTTTGCTGCCAAGGGCCTCACAGAGAGAAAACTGAAGAAGCCAAACTCACAGGGCTTTACAGCCTCCTGATATCCTGTCACTGCGATGGTTTGGCAGTAATTCCTCAGGATCAGTGTGGAGGGGAGGGAGGTAGAGAAATCTCCCCATAGGGTTATACTTGGCTATGATTGCTCCTATCATTTTATGCCTGGAACTCAATAAGATTGTTTGTCATATTAACAGGCATAGCTCCTCATCAAAGCATATCCATAGTGCCGGAGAACCTAGGCCAGCTTATCTCAGCTACACACTGTGTCCAGAACTCTCCTGGGAATTATTTAGGTAATTGTGGCGAGACCAGACTACTGACTCATTGACCCCTCTCTTACGATGGGTTGGTTCCTCCTTCGGAAGCATATCCTTGGGGCCCTTCCCTGTCCACTGATCTCAGTCGAGACCATTTAAAATGGTGAAACTCATTAGAGTTGGGGGTTGAGCATTTTATTTTCCTAGAGACTCCTTGGTTTCTAGACAAATGTGTTCATTCCCTACTTAGCATCCTTTGAGTTGAACACACAGAGATGATAGGGGTGTGGGGTACATTGTCAAGCCACAAACATAACCTGCTCTGTAATAATACCCTCCTACATTGTTATCTTGCTTTGGCACAGTATGATTCAAGTCTTAATCTTAACACTAAAATTAAGTGGTTTCACTCTATTAAAGGCATCATCCTCAACTGAAACTCACTAAAGCATATACACGTCACGTGGAACAGCTGAACACAAAGCTCTTAATCTGAAGTTGACCTATTTAGTAAACCTATAGCTCAGAATTTGACCTCATCACCTCAGAAAATCAGGGATAAAATCTGTCTTTATATTGTTTCAGGTACTTGGGTATCAGAGACATTATTTGTTTATCAAGACCTAACAAAACACTTTCTTATTTTTTAAAATTTCTGTGTGTGTGTGTGTGTGTGTGTGTGTGTGTGTGTGTGTATTTTACCTTTCACATTGTTCTTTTTTAAACCTTGCTTTGGAAGGAACCCAGTGTGAAACCATGGGTGTGGGCCTCCACATGCCAAAGCCTTAAGGAATTCACTTACAGTGTATTTAAGGCTCAGTTGAGGCTTCTGAATTCCACTCAGTACAGGTGGTAGTGTGTGTGGAGTACATGTGATCAGCACTGAACAGTAAGAGGTTCAGTGCTGGGTTAGGGAGGGAGGAAGAGAGAATATAAACAACCTGGAAACCTGTTTAGATCATGACAGGTGGCTGTTGATTAGGACAGGCACATAACTCACCTGGGTGCCTTAGTGGAAATGTCATGCCTTATTTTAGAAGGAAATTAGTCAGTGATAAGAGATACAACTCTAAGGAATAAATAACATTCTAATAACATATTTAAGTGTGTCATTTACCAACAAGATCAGTTTTCAAATTTTCTTTTGACAAAGACTAAAATAAAAACAAAACATGATGCTGAAATGATGGATCTGTGAACAGAGATTTGTTAAAAACACACAAAAACTGACAGGAGATTATAAGACATACTTTTCCCCCTATAATTCTATGAAATACTAGTTTTTTAAAAAGATAGTTTAAAAATAACTTGTAAAATTTGATCGAGTGCAGGCAAATCTATAGAGAAGTAGACAGATCAGTTATGACCTGGGGCTGGGGATGGTAGCAAGGGATGACCATAAACTGACAAAGTTATATTTTTGAGGTGATGAACATGTTCTAAAACTGGATTGTGGGGCCAGGCACAGTGGCTCACGCCTGTAATCCCAGCACTGTGGGAGGCCGAAGCGGGTGGATCACCTGAGGTCAGGAGTTCAAGACCAGCCTGGCCAACATGGCGAAACCTCGTCTCTATTAAAAATACAAAAAGTCAGCCAGGCATGGTGGCACACGCCTGTAATCCCAGCTATTTGGGAGGCTGAGGCAGGACAATTGCTTGAACCCAGGAGGCAGAGGTTGCAGTGAGCCATGATCGAGCCACTGCACTCCAGCATGGGCGATAGAGGGAATCTCCATCTCAAAAAAAAAAAAAAAAGAAAGAAAGAGAAAGAAAGAAAAAATAGAATGGGGGTTGCTATGGATGGAGGGATGTGAGGAAGGAATGGAGAGTTATTTAATTGGTATAGAGTTTCAATTTTGCAAGATGAATTGCCTCCCGGAGATGGATGTTGGTGATGTTTGTATGTACTTTATACCACTGAAGTGTGCACTTAAAAATGGTTAAGATGGCAAATTTTATATGTGCATTTTACCACAATTAATAATTTTTTTAACTTTTTAAAAAAATAACCAAGTGTGCTTGTCTGTTCTAGAAATGAAAACATTAATTTTATCTACTCTGATCTCTGGAATATATAAATCATCAATAAATAATCATGGCTTCTTACCTTGCCACTGAGTCACATGGAGGTGGAGGCTGCAGTGCATTCAAGATTTGACTTCACCTGTAATCCACCGCCATAGCTGTGGATTGCTGGAGGTGTAATGGACATTAATACTGCTTTTCAAGAGGTGCTGAAAACCGCCCTCATCCATGGTGGCCTAGCATGTGGAATTCATGAAGCTGCCAAAGCCTTACACAAGTGCCAAGCCCATCTTTGTCTGCTTACATCCAACTGTGATGAGTCTGTGCATGTCAAGTTGGTGGATGCCCTTTGTGCTGAACAGCAAATGAACCCAATTAAGGCTGATGACAATAAGAAACTAGGGGAATGCCGGGCGCAGTGGCTCACGCCTGTAATCCCAGCACTTTGGGAGGCTGAGGCAGGCGGATCATGAGGTCAGGAGATTGAGACCAACCTGGCCAACATGGTGAAACCCCGTCTTTACTAAAATACAAAAAATTAGCCAGGCGTGGTCATGCATGCCTGTAGTGCCAGCTACTCAGGAGGCTAAGGCAGCGGAATCACTTGAACCCGGAAGGCGGAGGTTGCAGTGAACCGAGATTGTGCCACTGCACTCCGGCCTGGCAACAGAGCAAGATGCTGTCTCAAAAAAAAAAAAAAAAGAAAGAAAGAAAAGATAAGAAACTAGGGGAATGGGTAGGCCTCTGTAAAATTGACAGAGAGAAGAAGCCCCTTAAAGTGGTTGGTTGCAATTGTGTAGTAGTTAAGGACTATGGCAAGGAGTCTCAGCCAAGGATGTTATCGAAGGGTCCTTCAAATGCAATAAATGAACACATAAAACTTTGGCTCTCACACATACACACACACAAATTGTTGTGGCTATAAATGCAGCCATAGTTGTGTTGATAAATTCTGATCTTGTCTTTGCTATTCCTTTGGGTAGTTCATCTGTTTTTATGGAAATAAAGCTCGCCTTTGTATGGATAATTTCACCTAGACCAATTTTACCAATTCTGGTCATGCAGTTCTAACTTCTTGCATGGTGGTTTCACTGGAACATTACCAAATTACCCCAGGCACATCATGGCTAAATGAAAAGTCATGTTCTTTGTCTGTAACCAGTGTCTGCCTCTTGAATTTCCTGTGTCTTTTAGTGGTTATTGTCATTGTCTTAGTTATTATAGCTTAGATCCACGGGGTCATTTTGGATCCTGTCTATTTTGCAGTGACAATTATTATTATTATTATTTTTTGCCTTCATTCTTTTCTATTCCTAAACATACTATACAACATTTGAGGTAAATTTAACTTTTAAAACATTCAAGCCCCAGGAGGCTGAGGTTGCAGTGAGCCAAGATCACGCCGTTGCACTCCAGCCCAGGCGGCAGTTGGAGACTCTGTCTCAAAAAAAAAAAAAAAAAAAAAAAAAAAATCAAGCCATCCACTAACTTTTCCAAAGTAATCTCCTGCTATAATCAAGATCAATTATCTTCTTCTCCCAGTGTAGACTACTTAATGTCTGCATTTTTATTTTCCAGTGTTTTTCACCCACTTCTTTCCAAAAATAATGGTCTTCTTCCTCTTTTCCACTTAATCTAATGATCTCTTCCCATCAAACTTCCTTCTCCAGAAACTTTCCCAGGTTACTGCAGCCTGTAGCCATCTTAATCTCTGAATGGCTGCCTCGACACTTACTATTTCCTTTGAGTCACACAGTGGCCCT
The DNA here is from genome assembly GCF_000001405.40 of Homo sapiens. Taxonomy (NCBI): domain Eukaryota; kingdom Metazoa; phylum Chordata; class Mammalia; order Primates; family Hominidae; genus Homo; species Homo sapiens. The sequence goes on from NC_000009.12 coordinate 72,471,970, forward strand.
ATCAACTCAGTGTCAGACAGGCATAACAAAAGCAGACCCAGGATGGTCAGAGTAGGGGATGGGGATGGATGAGGATGAGGGATGTGAAGATGGGGGTGTCAAATGATAGAAGTGTGTTGACAGGAGGCCAAGAGCTGAAAGGGGATTGTGGCCAAGGTTAGATAGTGAATTTGCTCAATAGGAGACACAAATGTGAATAAAAGGTGCATGAAAGTCAATCTTTGGGAAAGCCAGGAGAACAATGAGAATAAGTATTGAGTTAAACCGAAATATCCCAACTTCCGATAAGATTTCTAGTCACTGTGTCTTGACTAGTGCACAGTCCCAGGCCACAGGGCAGATTAGGAGACAGAACATAGGTGTGGCATTTGACACATGGTTCCTAATCCCGGTTCTGCCACTTACTTTCTGTGTAATCTTGGGCAAATTACTTGAACTTTCTGAGCCCGTTGTTTTCATCTCTAGAATAAAGATAACAAAACCAAGATTATAAAGTCATCGTGATGATGAGATAAAATAAAATAATGTAGATAGGCTGGGCGCGGTGGCTCACGCCTGTAATCCCAGCACTTTGGGAGGCTGAAGCAGGCAGATCACGAGGTCAGGAGATCGAGACTATCCTGGCTAACATGGTGAAACCCCATCTCTACTAAAAATACAAAAAAATTAGCTGGGCATGGTGGCAGGCGCCTGTAGTCCCAGCTACTTGGGAGGCTGAGGCAGGAGAATGGCGTGAACCCGGGAGCTGGAGGTTGCAGTGAGCTGACATCGTGCCACTGTGCTCCAGCCTGGGCTACAGAGTGAGACTCCATCTCAAAAAAAAAAAAAAAAAAAAAAAATATATATATATATATATATAGATAGATAGATAGATAGATAGACAGATATAGATATAGATAAAGTTCCTAGTGGATGCTCAGTAATGGTAGCTATCAAATTTTTACTTGGTCTGAGAATAATTACTCTGATTACTCTGTAGCTATGAATGAAAACTATCTTTCTTATGATGTATAAAGAAAATATCATTACTACATCACTGTGTCAATAAAGCTTAGTGTTCATGAATGTCAGCCCATAGCTTAAGTATGTAAGAAATATTGCCTTCCTTTATTCCTTTTTTCCTTCCTACCTTCCCCTCTATTTTTTTCTTTCTATTTAATTTTGACTCCAATATAGACTGTTGGGAGTTTCAATCTCAATGATTCTTGGGATTCCCCACCTTCTTCAGTTTTACACCAAGGGTGCAGAATCTTTAACTGAGGCACTAGGCAAATCCTGCTACTCACTGGTCTCTGTCTACATCAAGTCCTGCTGAGATGCCTACCATGCCTAGAACTCCTTCCGACGTTTTCCACAATTGGACACCAGGGATCTTTGGTCAATCTAGGAATACTAGGTCTAAGTCTAGTGTCTTAGGAAACCACATGGAAATACGGAAGGAAGAAGGACAGAAGGAAGAAAGGGTGGAAGAAAGGAAGGAAAGAAAAAAGCCACTGGCTCAGGGTCAACTGGGTTTGTTTATTAGGCAATAGATTAACAGGTGAAGAAAGCCATGTAGTCTAGGTAGAAATGAAAACCTCTGGAGGAAAAAATAGAGTGGAAAAGAGCAGAAGGAAAAAGGCCATGGAAAAGCCTAAAGCCCAAACTATTGTAGAGATTTTTCATTTGCAATTTGCAAGTTTTCTTCTGGTAGAAGAGACATGCAATGTATAAAGGGTATTTCCAGTTGACTCAGAGAAAGAGAACTCATGGGTCATGTGAAGCAGGAAGAACATAATAAATGACTTCATGGTTTGGTCTTACTCTAACTTGATTACTTGACTTCATCTTGTTTCTTCACCTGTAAAATGTAGAAGTTCTAAACACAAACTCTTAAAAATATATTTGAATTCTAAAATTCTCTAAATCATGTGAATTGAGAAAGATAATTTTATAGGATGGGCTTTGCTATGGTTTTCAGAGTCATGACTATGAAAGAAAAATGAAGTCAGAGGCAAAATAATCTCTTCTTCTTCCCAGGTGCCATTCCTCTTTGACTGCATCTCTGTTACAGCAGGTATAACTTTCAGTTCTGATTTATGGCCTTTTACTGGCAAGTCTTATCTTCTTGTTTACTACCAGTTTAAATTCTTTAAGGAACTAATTCAGCTACCCAGACCTATCTTCCTTCTCTTTTCCCTCCCTGCTCATACATATTCTCCTTGAACCTAGTAAGCACAAACAATTTTTTCATAAGCAAATGGAAATGACCAGCTTTAAAAACTCAATAATTTCCTCTGAAGGTTACTCGTTGACTTCTCTTGGAAAGTTGTTTCTGTGGCTTACATCCTGACAAACTGAAACTGCTTTTGTCCTAACATATTTATTATTAAATTTTCACCACTGTGCTTAATGCTTTACAGTAATTTTCTCTTTTAATCTCACAACAACCCTGAAGAGCAGATCTGAATGCCATTTTGAAGACAGGAAAACAAAGGCCCACAGAGGTTATAGGATTTGCTAAAGATCATTCAGCTACTAAGGAGCAGAAGCAGGACATGATTCCAAGTCTTTCAGATTCCAAAGCCCACCTCCATATAGTAGAGGTGCGTTCTCAATTCTCTAAATACAGCTAATAGTAACTACTTCACAATTGGAAAGGCCAACTGATTTGTGGATATGCATAGAATAATAATAACGGTAAATTTGGAAACAAAACGACCTCTCCCCAAATCACTCTGAACAGAGTCTGATTTTTAGCAGCTATTTTGTGATATAACATACAGCATTGAAGTCTAGCCTTGAGTTTGTAATCATGGTGCTTACACAGGGTCATCAGGAGTTTGCAAACACAGTTACTCTGCTCTTAAGCAACAGAAGTTTTCAGTGAGAGAAAAAGGAAAACATTTTAAATATAAACATTTTGGAAAGAAACTGATGACCCATCCCATTAGAACGATTCAGACGGGAAATAATAGCCCTTTACTTTCAGCTTATTCTGAATAAGCAAGTATTTTCAGTGTGCATTCCATAATGACTCCCAATTCTCAGAACACTGAAAAACCTTTCAACAAACTCCAGAGGAAAATAAAGTCTGCTGTTGGTGAGACAGGGAACAAGATACCATCATCGCACAGTGACTGCCCAACTCTACAATAAACACATCAGGGAATATCTCCTGTATGTGTATGACACATTCTTAATCCACAATAAATATGTATTTGAACAGTAGATGTATTTTTCTTTCTAAAGAACAATTTTCTGTAGATATTTATGTCTGATTAAACATCAGAACAGAATCTACTTGCCTGTTCTCAGAAGTCCCTGTTTTACCTTAAGTATCCCTTTTTCATAATCTGGTTCAGTAACAGCTTTTTTGATTGAAAACTTCTTTTGGTTTGACAGTTTTTTTAATGTATGACATAAAAGTTTTAATTTAATATGCCAACTCATCTACTCTTTCCTCATTTATACTTTTTTTTTTCCCTCCAGTGGCACGATCTCAGCTCACTGCAACCTCTGCCTCCTGGGTTCAAGAGATTCTCCTGCTTCAGCCTCCCGAGTAGCTGGGATTACAGGCGCCCGTCATCATGCTCGGCTAATTTTTGTGTTATTAGTAGAGACGAGGTTTCACCATGTTGGCCAGGCTGGTCTCAAACTCTTGACCTCAGGTGATCCACCCGCCTCGACCTCCCAAAGTGCTGGGATTACAGGCATAAGCTACCACACCTGGCCTATACCTTTAAAAAATAAATAAATAAATAACTAGGCCGGCCAGGTGCAGTGGCTCACGTCTGTAATCCCAGCACTTTGGAGGCCAAGGCGTGTGGATCACGAGGTCAGGAGTTTGAGACCAGCCTGGCCAACATGGCGAAATCCCATCTCTACTAATAACACAAAAATTAGCTGAGCATGGTGGCGGGTGCCTGTAATCCCAGCTACATGGGAGGCTGAGGCAGGAGAATCTCTTGAACCCGGGAGGCAGAGGTTGCAGTGAGCCGGGATTGCGCCACTGCACTCCGTCCTGGGTGAAAAGAGCGAGACTCTGTCTCAAAAAAAAAACAAAAAACAAAAAAAAAAAACCAAACTGGACTGGGTGTGGTGGCTTTAACTGGACTGGGTGTGGTGGCTTACACCTGTAATCCCAACACTTCGGGAGGCTAAGGCAGGTGGACTGCTTGAGCTCAGCAGTTTGAGAGCAGCCTGGGCAATATAGCAAGACCCTGTCTCTACTAAAATCAAAAACAAATTAGCTGGGTTTGGTGGCACATGCCTGTAGTTCCAGATACTTATGAGGCTGAGGCAGGAGGATCACTTGAGCCCAGGAGATTGTGGCTGCAGTGAGCTATGATAACACACCCTGGCAACTGTTTGCTGCTACTGCTTATCTCACACAGGTGAGGAAAATGACCTCTCTGCGTGTCATTTCTGGCTCTATTACTCAAACTCTCTGACTCTAGCAATTATGGAGAATAAACAAAATTTTGGAGGAGAAAACATTAATTATTCACTTTTTGGTGAAATATGTCGATTTTTTGGTATATGTATGATTTTTAGTCTTTACATAGAATTTTCTCTATTGGATTTTATATTTTAGTAAATGAAAGAAAAATCTCATTTAAAAATGTGTGTCCTATATTCCTATTACCATGAGTTTCTACAAATTATAATAAAATCTTTTTACTGGAAAATATCTACAAAATAGCAAATTGATAAAGGAATGAGGAATATTTCAAGCTACTTCCAAGGATGATTGAAGTTTGACAAATTCAACTCCCAGAATCCATCATTTTTGAGGCTGATGGTTGTTTGTGTGTGGGTGGGTATGCACACATGTGTGTTTATGTGTGCAGAGATGATACTAAAAACCACAGATGACAAATTGGTGATTATTCTCACAGATATGTTTTGACCTCCTAGCATAGTATGTTGCAAAATCAAATTTATTGCAAACATTTATAAATCAGCAAACAACAAGAAAGCAGAATTCTGTAATCTCTTAGAAATGAGAAAATGTGGCAAAATGGGACCCTTAAACTCTCAATGCAAAGATTGGCTGGAGTTACGGAGAGACTGCAGAAGTAACCAGTGTTCATGATTTCCAATTATCTCATTCATCCTCATTGCTATGCATTACCTACCTGGCCCCTGTAGATATTTGAGTTTGAGGCCCTTGCTTTGAAGAAAACTCTGTGGGATTTCTTTCTAAAGTGGTCGATGACTCACTGATTTTATGGATAGTGACTCACAGTAGAGACATATTGGAGGTGTCTCAGGCCAGCTCACCAGCCAGGTGTAAAAGAAGGCTGCCTGTTAAGGAGCTCTAATAGCCCCACCCCTTCAGGCTCATGTGGATGAAGAGTCATATTGGAAGAGGCAAGAACAGCTTCACAAATCCTGAGGGAATGTGCCAAACTTCCATCCTCCTTGGAAGCAGCTTGAAATTGTACAACTGTCTTAACTTTCACTCATCAATGTACTGTTTTGTTATTTGACAATAAATGGGTTTTATTATAATTTCTAGAAACTCACTGAAGGTAGGCACAAAAAGGACATAGATTTTTAAATTAGGTTTCCATTCATTTATACAAAATCCATGGCCTGGATTGAGAACACAGCCTTTGCTTTCTTTCCTATTCTTACTTCTGGGAGGGAAGTTTCTGACTGTGAATATTGTCCTCAGAGGACTCTCATTTATTAATACAAAGGCATGTGTATATGTAAAAGTGTATGTAAACCAGCAGGCTTGGCTTGGCTTTCATGGAGCAAAACTAAGAGGTCTGGCAATTGTCCTGGTAATCACCTTGATAAAAACAGCAGATCTATTTCTGTTCCATGATGGATATTCTGGCTTTAAATTAGTTCAATTATTATGGTGCCTGAATTAATTAACCAGGTAATTCTGCAACTGGGAAAAGTCTCCTTCGAGATGGAGTGGGTATCTCCTGCTTATGCCTCTATTGCTATGTAGCTTTTAAGTGGATTAATTTTAGAAAGTTCAGCTCACAAAGTTCCTTTTCCCTTACTGACAGCCCTGTAAACTTGACTTTAGATCTGTAACGGATGTCACTACTTCAAAGAACTGTAATCCTGTGTTTGATACACTCCTCCTGCCCCCAGGACATTATCTGTGCGAGAGAAGGGAAGCCAGGAACCCAGAAATGGTCTGCAGGGAGGTGAACTGGAATGGCAATACATGGTACACGGAAGAGCTTTGCCTCTGACGATGACCCTCAGCTTTCCTGCTGCTCTCTTCCTAGGTTTTGTTTCTAAGTATCTGGGCTTTGAAGAATGGGGGTGGAGGGATTCAAAGAAGACTTTTAGGAGGAGCCAGTCCCACTAGCAGATATTGTTGCTCTAACTCTGCCTAAGGAGCAATTTCTGGCCCTGAGTCATGATCCCAAACAGGAAGTGCTTCTGAGTTCCTCCAAACAAGGTATGTGGATGAGGGGGTGGAGTTTAGTACACAAATACCTAGCTGCCAGCCTTTCATGTTTACCAGGGATCAAGAATAGGTCATTTAAGGTCAAAGATATATCCTTTCTTGTCACTCCAAAGAATAAATAGTGTTGTCTTACACTCTAGGTGAAATGCTGACTTGAACTCCAGAGATATATTTGCTTTGGAGTTTTTCTTTCTTTTTTTTTTTTGAGACTGAGTCTCGCTCTGTCGCCCAGGGTGGAGTGCAGTGGCGCGATCTCAGCTCACTGCAAGCTCTGCCTCCAGGGTTCACACCTTTCTCCTGCCTCAGCCTCCCGAGTAGCTGGGATTACAGGCACCCGCCACCACGTCCGGCTAATTTTTTTTTGTATTATTAGTAGAGACGGGGTTTTACTGTGTTAGCCAGGATGGTCTCGATCTCCTGACCTTGTGATCCACCAAACCTCGGCCGCCCAAAGTGCTGTGATTACAGGCGTGAGCCACCGCACCCAGCCGGAGGAGTTTTTCTTTAATGCTACCCAAACGCACTCTATAACTGTTATGGGCTTCAAAGAATTACATGAATAAAGTGGCTTAAATTTAACTTGTGTTCATGTTTGATCAGTTTTCTAGAGGAAAGTTTAAAGCCAAAACACTGGGGAATTGTGGGGGCAGGAGAGGGTAAAACAACTTGTTTCTTTCTGAGGTGCAACTAATATTTGAGTATAAATTGGTGTTTGAGTAGAATTGTAGAAAAACAAAATACAGGGTTGAAAGATGTTTAAGAGGTCCTGTCCAACTCTCTTCCTGAGGATGCATGAATCACCAGCCCACTCCGATTCATTCTCTCTGAAATGCTTCATCTTTTTTTTTTTTGTTTTTCAGGTTTTTGCTACTTCAGGAAACCATAGTTGTTGGCTGATTTAGAAAAATTACAGCAGCATTATACAATAAGAGCTATTTCTGCCCTCTTGTCACTAAAGTATAACAATATTGCGTCCGGAATTGGTGGGTTCTTGGTCTCACTGACTTCAAGAATGAAGCCGCGGACCCTTGCGGTGAGTGTTACAGTTCTTAAAAGCGGCACGTCCGGAGTTTGTTCCTTCTGATGTTCGGATGTGTTCGGAGTTTCTTCCTTCTGGTGGGGTTCGTGGTCTCGCTGGCTCAGGAGTGAAGCTGTGGACTTTCGCCCTGAGTGTTACAGCTCTTAAGGCGGCGCGTCTGGAGTTGTTCGTTCCTCCCGGTGGGTTCATGGTCTCGCTGGCTTCAGGAGTGAAGCTGCAGACCTTCCTGGTGAGTGTTACAGCTCATAAAGGCAGTGTGGATCCAACGAGTGAGCAGCAGCAAGATTTATTGCAAAGAGCAAAAGAACAAAGCTTCCACCTTGTGGAAGGGGACCCGAGTGGGTTGCCACGTTGGCTGGGCGGCCTGCTTTTATTCTTTTATCTGCCCCCACCCACACCCTGCTGATTGGTCCATTTTACAGAGAGCCAAGTGGTCTGTTTTGACAGGGTGCTGATTGGTGCGTTTACAATCCCTGAGCTAGACACAAAGGTTCTCCACGTCCCAGCTAGATTAGCTAGATGCAGAGTGTCCACACAAAGGTTCTCCAAGTCCCCACCAGAGTAGCTAGATACAGAGTGTCGATTGGTGCATTCACAAACCCTGAGCTAGACACAGGGTGCTGATTGGTGTGTTTACAAACCTTGAGCTAGATACAGAGTGCCGACTGGTGTATTTACAATCCCTTAGCTAGACATAAAGTTTCTCCAAGTGCCCACCAGAGTCAGGAGCCCAGCTGGTTTCACCCAGTGGATCCCGCACCAGGGCTGCAGGTGGAGCTGCCTGCCAGTCCCGCGCCCTGCGCCCGCACTCCTCAGCCCTTGGGTGGTCGATGGGACTGGGCGCCGTGGAGCAGGGGGCGGCACTCATCAGGGAGGCTCAGGCTGCACAGGAGCCCATGGAGTAGGGGGCGGGGAAGGCTCAGGCATGGCGGGCTGCAGGTCCCGAGCCCTGCCCCTCGGGGAGGCAGCTAAGGCCCGGGGAGAAGTTGAGCACAGCAGCTGCTGGCCCAGGTGCTAAGCCCCTCACTGCCCGGGGCCAGCGGGGCCGGCTGGCCACTCCCAGTGTGGGGCCTGCCGAGCCCACGCCCACCCGGAACTCGCGCTGGCCCGCAAGTTCCACGCACAGCCCCAGTTCCCGCCCGCGCCTTTCCCTCCACACCTCCCGGCAAGCTGAGGGAGCCGGCTCCGGCCTTGGCCAGCCCAGAAAGGGGCTCCCACAGTGCAGTGGTGGGCTGAAGGGCTCTTCCAGCGTGGCAGAGTGGGCACTGAGGCCAAAGAGGCGCCAAGAGCGAGGGAGGGCTGCGAGGGCTGCCAGCACGCTGTCACTTCGTAGTATCTAGTATGTAATAGACCTTACACTGTAAGAAAACTCTGTTCTTAGCTGAGTAAGGAAATTCCGAAAACAAGGCCTCTACCTGTGATTTTTGAACTGGGAACCGTCAGGTCAGTTTCCTGCATATCTAGGAATACAAATAATGTTGCCTTGGGGAATAGACTTGGAAACACAGGAAAACACTTTCTGTACATTATCATTTCCATTAATTTGAGCAAGTGTTGATCAGAATAAATTATTTATGTGAGCACTGGGAGCTGCCTCCCTATGCGCAAGGCAATCTGTTAAAGATTTGCTATCATGCTAGTGAATGGGGGGAATGGAGTAGTACATTTTATGAGTCATAAATGGAGCATTAGTCCTCATGTTTGCATTTGGAAGTGAACTCTTGGTGAAATGTACTGTAAAACAAAACAGAGCATGGAAAACCAGATTCACTAATGGCATAAATCAAAATAATGGAAAAAAGAAACCTCTGGTAATATGCCAAATATGATAATCACACTGCAGATTAGCCATGATCATTAAGGCAGAGAGGGATTTGAACTGTGGAAGGATCGGCTGACCCATGTTTTCATTTGATTTCTAACAGAATGTGTCTCTTTGCCATAGCTTTTCAGAGAGGGCATGTGAACGTCAGTAGAGAAGAGCATGAACAGAGTTCATGTGGTTTTCCTACATTTATTAGAGTCATTGCATTTTGCTATAGTGTCTACAGGCAAGGTATAGCTTCCAGGGATAACCAGGTAGTTCCCCTACAGCAAATAAGTGACAGTAAGAACAATTAGAACAATTTTTAGTCTAACTGTTTCACAGACATTATTGTATTTAACGCATGCAGTAAACCTGTGAGGCAGGTGCACTATCATTAACCCCATTCTACATTTGGAGAAACTGAGGCACAGTAAAGGTAAGTGCCGCGCTCAAGGTCACACAGCTAGCAAGTAGAAGAGTCAAGAATCAAACCCAGGCAATAAAGTTCTAGGCATTATACTCTAAATCATTGAGCTAAACAATTTTGAAAGATTTTGTTTTGCATTTTACAAAGTTATCTAAAATTCACCTGCATTGGATTTCTTAGGGGTGCTTCTTAAAATGAAATTTCGCAGCCCAGTACATCAGATAACACAGTCTCTGGAAGCTGGGCATAGTTGGAAGATTAACAGCTCTCTTGTATAGCAAAGTTTGAGAATCTCTGTTCTAGTGAGTGTGGGAGGGAGATAGAAATTCTTTTTGGTTTTCTGGGCCCAAAAGATGCCTTGCAAAACTCTCTGAATTTTATATGTAAGTTTATGTCATCTGCAAATAGAGATAGTTTTACTTTCTTTCCAATCTGAATGCTTTTTATTTCTTTTTCTTGCCTAACTGCCCTGGCTCGACCATCCAGTACCTTGTAGAAATGATGAGAGTGAACAACCTTGTCTTGTTACCGGCTCTCCAGATTTTGAAGGGAAAACTTAAATGGGTTTTTCTTAATATATTGAGAATTCACTGTTGAAGATCATAGCTTGGTGTCTGCCATTCCTAACCTGGATTCCATCAGAAGATGCCTACACACCAGAAATACCAAATATCCTTCTAATTCATTCACAGACAGGAAGTATGGTCTTCCCAAAAGGACACCTGGCAGGAAAGCCAGGCATACATAGATTCTTATAGAGCACTAATGAATGTGAATGAAAGTCATCAGCTCTTGCCCTCCAAATTCAGCGTAAGGACTAGGTATGTAAATGATCTCTCCCAGTGAAGATTTGTTGAAGTTAAATAATGAACATTTTCAAATTATACATGTATAAGTCCCATAGAATTGGTGCTAAGCCAGCATGTCTGGGGGCTATGCATTTTTAAAAGTCCTGGGCATTATAATCCACTCCCTAGTTGATATAGATTGTATATCTGTCCCTATCTGAATCTCAAATCGAAATGTAATCGCCAGCGTTGGAGGTGGGGCCTGGTGGGAGGTATTTGGGTCATAGGGGCAGATTTCTTGTGAATGGTTTAGCAACATCCCGTTGGTATTGTCGTCATGATAGTGAGTGAATTCTCCCAAGATCTGCTTGTTTAAAAGTGTGTGGCACCTTGTTCTCTCCCTCCCTTGCTCCTGCCTTCGCCATGCGATGTGTCTTGCTCCCTCTTTGACTTCCACCATGATTGGAAGCTTCCTGAGGCCTTCCCAGAAGCAGATGTCACTATGCCTCCTGTACAGCCTGCCAAACCATGAGTCAATTAAACCTCTTTTGTTATAAATTGCCTAGTCTTAGGTATTTCTCTATAGCAATGCAAGAACGGCCTAACACACTAGTGAAGAAACACTGCAGTGTAGAAGCCAAGCTTTAGAGAAAATCTGATGTTTCCTGAATCCTGTCAAGGTCCCCACAAACAGTACTCTCATACGGATGAAGAAATAAAAGGCCATGGCTGCCTAAATTCCCCCCAAATTAAATGGTGTAAATCAACCGTCAGTAATTGTTCACAGATCCTGTGGGTCAGGATTTCAAACAAAGTTTGGAGTGGGTCTGCACCATGACATCTGGAACGTCAGTTGGAAAACTTGAAGCCTGGGGCTGGGATTATCTGAAGGCTCATTGCTTCATAGCTAGTGATTGATGCTGGTTGTTGGCTGAGACCTTAGCTAGGGCTGTTGGTCAGAACACCTATATGTGGCCTCTCCATGGGTTTTGAGCTTCCTCACATCATGGTGTCTGGGTTCCAAAGGCAAGAATCCCAACAATGCAGAAGCAATATCATCTTGTCTGACCTAGCCTTAAAAGTCATACAGCATAACTTTTGTTGTATTTTGCTTGTAAGAAGCAAGTCACTAATGTGGGCCATACTCAAAGCAGGAGAATTAGACTGCATCGTTTATGGGAAAAATATCAAAGAATTTTTAGACATACTTTAAAATCATCACAGGTGCTGTGCAAAGAAAACAATATAATAAAACATCTAACATTTATGGGGTACTTATGGGTCAGATACTCTCCTAAACACTTTATGTAAATAATCCCAGTCCTCCCTTACTCTATACGACAGGTGATATGATAATCTATGTTATAGATAAGGAATGTTCAGTTGTATAACTTGCTATCTCAGAGCATAATCTAAAGCATAACTTGCTAGAAGTAATGGTCATATGATTAAAACCCAGTCATTTGTGCTTCAGAAATATTTTCTTACTCACTACTGTATGCTATACTAGAACTGAGGAGATGTGGGATCTAGTCCAAAGTACTAATCTGGGGAGAAATCTATTATGCTTAACGTGGTTTCCATGCTCAAAGCCCCATTCTGAGGAAAGATGACATTCAACTTTATCTGTCTGTCCTATTCTGTTTGACCAGGGATAGACACCTCCCTGAATAAAGCCATCATCTGTAATAACGCTGAGATCTGGAGGAAGAGCTCTGTAGCACTACTGCAGAGTTGCTACATGAACCCATCAGATCCTCCCTCCAGGAACTCGAATGTAAATCCATTCAAGAGAAGTCAACCCTTGGAAGATGGACAGAAGGGAAAAGACACACAGAAAATAAGCCAGAAAGCATCCACAGGAAGCAGAAGCTCTGGCAAGCAGGAATTAAGAAACAGAGAAAAGGAAAGTGGAAACATATGAATGCATGTAAACAATAGCAGTAAAAGCAAGGCAGAAAGTAGTTAGTGCCCATAACAGCAAAGGACTGAAGCAGGCAGACAGATACCTACATTTAAGGAGTATCTGCCAGAGCAAAAGAAGTAGATTGGGTATAAATTCACCTTATGTGCCTGCAGTGTTTAGTGCTTGGTGAGGTTTGGTCATGTTACCGCTGACATCTGCTACCCCTGTGTGTCCTTAAAATCAATCCTTATTATCTGATGTAACCATGAACTTCTCTTTCATTCCTTATGGCTTAAAATACCTTACCCACCAACTGTGCTATTAATGACTTGTGTGGCCCGAGATAGGTCACTTCCCTTGTCTACCTCGGTTTTCTTGGTGACAAGATGAGGGTTTGACCAGGTGATATCTAAGTTCACTTCCAGCTCCAATGCATATTATTTTGAACTTTAGCATGAAAGGGTTTGGTCACAGTTCTATTGCAAAATCCTGGAAATATCACCACCTTCTTTATTTCCAGCCCCTTCTCCAGCCACAGAGCGCTTTAAACTTGAGACTCGCCTCATAAGGAATCTAAATGCAGTGCCACTGTGCAAATTAGCTGTGCAGCATCCCAGGGGCACCCCAAGCAGGCTTGCCCAGCCTCATGCAATGCTTTCTGTTGAGCTATCAGGAGAGTGTATGCTCTGGCCCCATCTCTCCATTCTCAAGATACTTTTTCAACCCCTACTAGAAAGAGATGAAAACAAACTATGGGAAGTTGCAAACATGTTGATGGGAATTGAGGTAAAATGCAGAAAGGTTGCTGGGTCTGGTGTGGTTGGAGGTGACTATACCACTGTCCGAAGGAAATCTGGAAGGGATGATTTTACAGGTTTTACTTAAAATTTCATTTCTGGCCGGGCGCGGTGGCTCGCGCCTGTAATCTTAGCATTTTGGGAGACCAAAGTAGGCAGATCACTTGAGGTCAGGAGTTCGAGACCAGCCTGGCCAACATAGTGAAAACCCGTCTCTACTAAAAATACAAACATTAACCAGGACTGGTGGTGCGTGCCTGTGGTCCTAGCTACTCGGAAGGCTGAGGCAGGAGAATCGCTTGAACCTGGGAGGCAGAGGTTATAGTGAGCTGAGATTGTGCTACTGCACTCCAGCCTGGGCAACAGAGTAATAATAATAATAATAATAAATTTCCTCCCAAGAAGGATTTATAACAGAATAATCCAGCATTTGCGTTTGTAAGACATGGGCCCACAGGACTCTTGTGTTAACCTCTGCCCTCTCACACACTTTCATCTGCTCCATCCCTGCATGAGTTTGGGTTTAAAGGAAACCTAGGCAGAGCTCCAGGCAGAACATTTGGAGACCTGGAAATGGTCTTGCCTGTGAGACCAGCTTATTGTGTGACTGTAGGCAAAAACTTCTTGGGGTTCTCAGTTTTTCCACTTGTATTAAAGATGATATTGTCTATTTCTTCTTATGTCAATGGAATTCTATGCCAGTTAATGAGACACTGGGCTCTATTGTCCCCAGTTTCTCAGTCAATCCCTTGCACTAAGCCAAATGTTCAGAGAGAGATGTAGGTTAACTCTTTCAGGCCTTCAGGGAATTGCTTTATGTATCACGAGTGCATTGAACTAAATAGCATTCTTGCATGGTATGCTTAGTGCAGTACCGGAATGCACTGAATGGTATGAATAGTACTCTAGAGGCTTGAAAGAGTTAATGGGCCTGCCTCTGGGAGTGCTGACTGAATGCCAAGACATGACATAAGATACAAGAAAGAGAGGCTAAAAAATCTTTACATGGGGGAAAAATTTAGTGATCCATTAGTAACCACTGAACTGTACTTTCTTCTCACCCTGCCCCTTTCCCAATCTCTCTCTCTCTCTCTGTCTCAAACACACACACACACACACACACACACACAAACACCTTGATATCATGTTACTGACCAGACTGGGAAAACTAAACTGAGCTGAGGGCTGAAAATGTGCCTTGAGTTCTTGGAAAAGGAAATAAATACACATTACCCTGGACTGCCCCTTTGTATTCATTGGATGGGGGATTTTTTTTCCCCTCCTATTCACAGAAGCACCATTACTAACCTGAGAGTTATGGTTGGTTTATTTCAAACCTGGGAGCCAATGAATAAATACCCCTCTGTGAGTCTACTAAGAAACTTCGAGTAACATGTAGTAAAACACTGCTGATTGCTCATTAGCCAGAATATAATGTCAAAATTTCTAAGCTTGAAATTCAAGGAACTTCCCTGCCTGATTTTGACCTACATTTTCTACCACTAGAATGGAAGCTTCTTAGGAGCAATGACTGCTCACATTGTTCATTATGGCATTATGTGTCTGTCTTTTTGACCCTGAAGATTTGTGAGCCCAAGGGCAGTCTGATGTCCTGGTGTATTTGGGAACTTTTCTGTTAATATGCCAGAACAGCTGCAGCCTCTTTCTCTATGTCTCTTCGTTTTTTTTTTTTTTTCTGTGTCCTCATTCTTTGTGCTCACTCTTCTCTTACCTCCACCCCCTTAAATTGGCTGAATGAAGATTGTTTGGGTTTTTTTTTGGCTCATGTTCATGGAATTCACTGATCTTACCATGTTCCCCATCATCCTGAAGCAGCTGGATTGATAGAATGGTGGAATGGCTTTTTGAAGTCACCATTACAATGCCAACTAGGTGACAATACTTTGCAGAGTGGGGGCAAAGTTATCCAGAAGGCCATGTATGCTCTGAATTAGTGTCCAATATATGGTACTGTTTCTCCCATAGCCAGGATTCACAGGTCCAGGAATCAGGGGATGGAAGTGGAGGTGGCACCACTCAACATCACCCCTAGTTATCCACCAGCAAAATTTTTGCTACCTGTTCCCATGACATTATGTTCTGCTGGCCTAGAGGTCTTAGTTCCAGAGGAAAGAACGCTGCCACCAGGAGACACAACAACGATTCCATTAAACCAGAAGTTAAGATTGCCACCTGGACACTTTGGGCTCCTCCTACCTTTAAGTCAACAGGCTAAGAAGGGAGTTACAGTGTTGGCTGGGGTGATTGACCCTTACTACCAAGATGAAATCAGTCTACTACTCCACAACAGAGGTAAAGAAGAGTACACATGGAATACAAAAGATCCATTATGGCATCTCTTAGTATTGCTATGCCTTGTGATTAATGTCAATGAGACACTACAACAGTCCAATCCAGGCAGGACTACAAATGACCTAGACCCCTCAGGAATGAAGGTTCGGGTCACTCCACCAGGAAAAAAGCCACTACCTGCTGAGGTGCTTGCTGAAGGCAAAGGGAATACAGGATGGGTAGTAGAAGAAGGTAGGCATCAATACTAGCTATGACCATGTGACCAGCTGCAGAAACGAGGACGGTAATTGTCATGAGTATTTCCTCCTTCTTTTGTTAAAAACATGTTTGTGCATGTACACACTTGCACTAAGAAAATATCTTCATTTTATTTCCTTTTCCTTTATCACGTGACATAAGACTTATTGACTTCATATCAGCATTTAAGTATTGCTAACTTTATGTAATAGTATTTTGGGTTTGGGATTGGTGCATTTCTGGTTGTACAAAGGACAGTTGTATTATGTTAGGTGTAATTATGAGCTCGCTCATTATTGTCTTTATTTGAAGATTATGTATGATCTCAGGAGATTTGTATGGGTTCAAGTTGACAAGGGGTAGACTTGTGTTGTTTAATACTAAGTGTCAACTTGATTGAAGGATACAAAGTATTGATCCTGGGTGTGTCTGTGAGGGTGTTGCCAAGAGATTAACATTTGAGTCAGTGAGCTGGGGAAGGCAGACCCATCCTTAATCTGGTGGACACAATCTAATCAGCTGCCAGTGAATATAAAGCAGGCAGAAAAATGTGAAAAGGAGAGATGGGTCTAGCTTCCCAGGCTACATCGTTCCCCTGTGCTGGATGCTTCCTGCCCTCGAACATTGGATGCCAAGTTCTTCAGTTTTGAGACTTGGACTGGCTCTCCTTGCTCCTCAGCTTGCAGACAGCCTATTGTGGGACCTTGTGATCATGTAAATTAATACTTAATAAACTCCTCTTTTTATATATATATATCTCATATATATATATATATCTCATATATATATATATCTCATATATATATATATATATATGTATCTATAGCCTATTAGTTCTGACTCTCTAAGAGAATCCTGACTAATACAGTTAACCATTTTTATTATTTAGTAAAACAATAAAAAATTGACATTCTTTGTTTTGTCTGTCCCTCCCATTCTTCCTTTCCCAAAAAACTATTGGTCCATGAGATCCAAAATATTCAGATCTATTCAACTAAATGTTATGGTTTCTAGGAGCATGGCCCATGCTTTAATGTTTCTTTTAAGCATATAATATTATGTAAACAGCTGCTCAAATGTTCTGATAAAGTGCTTGTTTCAATTTATTGTCCCAGTTTCTTCTAAGCCTGTTGGTATACCTGCATGGCTAAATGCAATATGTCTCTACAGTGACATGAATAACATATTTATGCATATATATTTACTTAATACCATTTGGTAAGTGTTAATTAAATATCAACTCTCTCAAAATTTAAAATTTCCATTGTAAATTTTTTTTAAAAAATATTTTCTTTAACAAATGATCAAGAGTAATGCTATAAGAACAACAACAAAAATGCAAACTGGGAAAAATCTCCCCTGAGGCTCAGACAATCTGCTGCCTTTTGGTATAATTCACTCAGGGATAAGAAGATCTTAGAAAATGCATGATAAAGAATAGACAACAAACAGTAAATACTCTGGTTGAATTTAATTAGCAGTGATCTTCATGATACTAAAGTGATTGTTTTTTAAACATCTCTGTCCCTGACAATTAGCCACGGTGAAGAAGGCGGCAATAACTGTCTAAAAGGTAAGCACTGTGGCTTCAAGGTAACACAGCAGAAGCTAAGAAAGGTGCTTTCCGCAACATTTAGGCTGTTCTACAAAGAAGTATGGGAGCATGGAAATGGAAAGGTAGAAACAAAGGAATCAGAGTTGTAAGTGTAGAAATGCACCTTTGGAGAGAAGGAGGATATTTCCTTCTCCTTTTCCACTTTTATAATCCTCAGTTTTGTTTTGTTGTTGTTGTTTTTGAGACAGTCTCACTCTGTCACCCAGGCTGGAATGCGGTGGTGCAGTCTCAGCTCACTGCAACCTCCACCTTCTGGGTTCAAGCGATTCTCCTGCCTCAGCCTCCCATGTATCTGGGTTTACAAGCGCACGCCACCACGCGTGGCTAACTTTTGTATTTTTAGTAGAGATAGGGTTTCACCATGTTAGTCAGGCTGGTCTCGAACTCCTGACCTCCTGATCTGCCTGCCTCGGCCTCCCAAAGTGCTGTGATTACAGGCGTGAGCCACTGCGCTTGGCCTTTTTTTTTTTTTTTTTTAAATGCCTGTTTTCTATACAAAATCTACATCCAAAACTCCTTTAGGCTATATTTTTTTCAAGGCTGAAGTAAGGGAGTAATCCTAATTTCTTTCACAGATTTCAATTTCAGCTACTATATGAATCACAGGCTGGGCAGATTAGAAATTTATGAGGAATAATCCAAATGGCAGAATCTTGAGAGTAATTCTTGTTTGAAGCACAGATCTTTTTCTTTTACATTTTCCTTATATGAGTTTTAAATTTCTTGAGTAAGGTAGTGAGAAATTTCTTGAGTAAGGTAGTGTGGGGAAAATGGGGACATTATTTCTGAGATTTTATTAGGATAGCAGAGAGGCACAGGTGCATAGCATAATTATCCTATCTACACTCAATTTCATTGCCAAGTAGGGCCAGTTGGTGCTTCTAAGGATTCCTCTTGACTGACAGATCACAGAAACTTGACCACTGAGGCATGAGGCATGATAGGGCGACCACTCTTGTTTCCAAAATGTGAAAGAAGCCCTAAAATTTCAAGGGGAGCAGCTGAATTAATATTACTAGGGAGGTACAAAACTTCCTAATGAAAGTGTTTTCAAGGCTCCTCTTCAGCTGACATATGTCACAGCCTGACAGGTTCTTTTTGCCTGCTTCCCAGAAATACCAATGCACTAAGAACGGCAGGTATTGCAGCAAAGAGAGTTTAATTTGCAGGGCCAGCCAAGTGGAAGGACAGGAGGTATTTCTCAAATCTGCTTCCCTGAGAATTAAAAAGCTAGTTTTTTTCTTTTCAGAGTCTAGCTCTATTGCCTAGGCTGCAGTACAGTGGTGTGATCTTGGCTCACTGCAACCTCTGCTTCCTGGGTTCAAGTGATTCTCCTGCCTGAGCCTCCCATGTAGCTGGGATTACAGGCACCTGCCACCATTGGCTAATTTTTTAATTTTTTTGAGTAGAGACAGGGTTTCAACATGTTGGCCAGGCTGGTCTTGAACTCCAGACCTCAAGTGATCCACCCACCTTGGCCTCCCAAAGTGTTGGGATTACAGGCATGAGCCACCATGCCCAGCCAAGGCTAGGGTTTTTTTTTAAAGGGTACTTTGGTAAGCAGGGGCTGGGAAACTGAAACAATTGATTATCTGGGGAAGAAATCACGGGGGTGTTTAAAACTGCCTTTGTGTAGTTGAGTTAGTTCCCAAGAGGGGGTCTGAGGACCAGATGGCATCACTTGGTCTACCAAAATGCTAAATTTGGAAAAGATCTCAAAGACCAGTTCTGTAGGTTTCACAATATTGATGTTATCTATAGGAGTAGTTGGGGAAATTATAAATCTTACAACCCCTGATTACGTGACTCTGGAGTGGTAAGCAACTAATAGAAAAGCAAGCTAAGCAATGGCAGGTCATTGTTTATGCCTATTCTTTAGCAAAGTTCAAGTTCTTCCCATAATTCTAAACTTGTCTTACAAATGCAGCTTCAATCTGTGAACAAGGAGATGTTCAGTTTCCTATGTCTCTAAGTTTAAGTTTAATAAACTAAATTTATCTTGGCTTCAGTGCTAGAATAAGCAAAAAAAAAAAAAAAAAGATTAGTCTGTGAGGTTACAAATAAGATGGAGTCAGTCTAGAAGCAAGATGGAGTCAGTCATGTTAGATCTCTCTCATTACTTATAATTCTTCAAAAATGATTTCACTTCAACTTCAGGACCTTCACCATGATCCATAAACATTATCATTCTATCAGTAGGCTTTACCTATATTTCATCTTAAAAATAAGAAAGTTGAAAAAGACGATTATGGCAACTTTAGCAATAGTTCGCTATGAAAGCTACTTTTCAGGAAGAGAAAATAACACTACTTCATACCAGAATAACTCTTGTTTATATGGTGCAAATATGGTGCACGATGTGTGGATTTTGATCAAATGCATCTTTGTGTATGCTTTCTACCCTCCCTTAATTTTGTATTAGTTGGGGTTGGGAAGGTAATATTCACCTGACCTTGGGTGAATATCTGGGCTATTCTCATGTCTTTTCTGTTTAGTCAGGTAAAAAGCAGTCCTACAATCATTTTAAGTCACAGACACAGACCTAATTCAGTCTTAACACTGTCCAGCTCCATGCAAGGTCAGAACTCCAAATACAACTTGATATCAATTCTCCCCGCCTAGCTATGTCCTGTTTTAGTCTGAAGCCTGCAGTAGAAGAAGAGGTGAGTTTGTCTCTTCTTCCTCCTTCTCGCTTCCTGCTCACCACTTTCCTAGGCTCAAAAGCAGGGTTGGGAGAGGAGAAATAAAGGGATAGAACCATTGTCACTTGGTGAGGTAACTTTGGCTCTCTGACCTGGCAGATGGTTAAAGACAGTCCCCCTTAGAGATCCTGGCTGCAAAGACATGGAAGAAAAATGGACTCTCTCCTATGTGGCAGTTTCAGGGGCTCTTCCCTTGCTGGACTTCTCTCTCCCGTAGTTCATTTTTACCTCCAGGGAAAATTTTTCCCTTCCCTTCCCTTCCCTTCCGTTCCCTCCCCTCCCCTTCCCTCCCCTCCCTTCCCCTCCCCTCCTTCTTTGCTTTCTGTCTCTCCTTCCTTCCTTCTTTCGTTTCTTTTCTTTCTTTCTTTTTTTTTTTTTGTTTGTTTTTTTTGAGACGGAGTCTCGCTCTGTCACCCAGGCTGGAGTGCAGTGGCGCGATCTCGGCTCACTGCAAGCTCCGCCTCCTGGGATCACTCCATTCTCCTGTCTCAGCCTCCCGAGTAGCTGGGACTACAGGCGCCCGCTATCACGCCAGGCTAATTTTTTGTATTTTTAGTAGAGACGGGGTTTCACCGTGTTAGGCAGGATGGTCTCGATCTTCTGACCTCGTGATCCACCCGCCTCGGCCTCCCAAAGTGCTAGGATTACAGGCGTGAGCCATCGCACCCGGCTTCTTTCTTTCCTTCCTTCTTTCTTTCTTTCCCTTTCTCTTTCTTTCTTTCTTTCTTTCTTTCTTTCTTTCTTTCTTTCTTTCTTTCTTTCTTTCTTTCTTTCCTTCTTTCTTTCTTTTCTTTCTTTTTCTTTCTTTTCTTTCTTTCCTTCCTTCCTTCCTTCCTCCCTCCCTACCTTCCTTTCCTTCCTCCCTCCCTCCCTCCCTCCTTCCTTCCTTCCTTCCTTTTTTCTTTTTGATGGAGTCTCACTCTGTCACCCAGGCTGGAGTGCAGTGGCATGATCTAGGCTCACTGCAACCTCCACCTCCTGGGTTCAAGCAATTTTCCTGCCTCAGCCTCCTGAGTAGCTGGGATTATAGGTGCGAGCCACCACACCCAACTAATTTTTGTGTTTTTAGTAGAGACGGGGTTTCACCAGGTTGGTCAGGCTGGTCTCGAACTCCTGACCTCGTGATCTGCCCACCTCAGCCTCCTAAAGTGCTGGGACTGCAGGCATGAGCTACTGAGTCTGGCTGGAACCCAGCCTCTTTCTACTGAGGTCACCTCACACCTCCATGTGGCCCGAATTGATAGGACACAGGAGTAACAGAGGCCAATCTCTCTCTCAGGTAGCTTACTCTAGTCAACAGGAAACATCCCGTATCTCTTGTGCAGGCAAATTTGGAGTGAGCAATGTAGTCCCAATACAGTAGCTTCCCCTTAGATCTACCACGAAAGTGACTGCTCAGGCCATCTCTTACTTCCAGATTTCCCCAGGTGGACCATCCACTCTCTACCTTAAATGCCTCTGGTGGGAGTCAGGCAACGGTCTTGTGTTACTCCCAACTATAGGAAACATATTTGGAATTATGCTCACCTCTCTAAGCTTGAGGTGAGAAAAATATGGGAGAGATGGACAGGTGGGGGTTGGCGACCTTGAGCATGCCGGCACCTCTCTCCTCTTAACCCTGATTTAAAAAAAAAAATCATTTGTCTGCTTGAGGAACCCAACTGGCATGCAAAAGGTTCTCAGAGGTCATTTTTCTATAAAACTGCAACATTTTCTTTGTATTTGGGGCAGGTTGTGTCTCATGCTTACTTTTTTGACTGCAATATTAGCATCCTAAGAAACAAAAGCAGGAAGAATCCAGTTCTACCATCTTGTTGCCAATGTTTTACGGTTCACAAGGTTTACAATCCCATTGTTTCAGTTGTTTCTTACTGTATCATGAAGTAAGCCCCAACAAACAGATTTGCCACCCCCTTTTTTTTGCTAGTGAGTTTGAAAAGGTCAAATGACATGCATTCACATGGCTTTCATGGAAACTATGTATTTGATTTCTGAACTCCTTAAAGGACCTTGTTATGTTCATATTTCTATCCATAGCCCTTAGCACATAGTAGACAATAAATAGAATTTATTTATGTAATCAATGCATCCAGGACTCCTAATGCTGAGGCAAGTCCTTTCTTCACTGTAGACAAATTTGCTCCCAGAGAACTGGTCTGACTTTTGACCTTCACAGCAACACAACCTCTGTAATCCCCTTACATTCCAGGCCCTTTTCAATTTAAGGCTAATCCTGGATCCATGGATTTGGCTCTGAGTAAATCAAAGATGTCCAAAGCAGATTAGCTCTGTGAGTGTTATTATGGTCCATTCTCCCTTTAGTTTGTAACAATCAACATTTATTGAGTGCCTTTTATGTGACAGGTGCTGTATGAACTATGAGAGAGAAAAATATAAATAAGAAAAATTTCCATGTCTTGCAATCCACCCCAGAAAATACCTGAAAGAAAACTGTGGAATTTAAGGCATCTTTTGTAAATACATGAAGTTCCAGATAGTTTTATCTGAGGCTTTTATGCGATATAGTAATTTATGAGATTACCTGAGTGGTAAACCTGCATGCCTATAGGGTCTGGCAGGTAACAGACATGACTAAAGTGGATCAACTCAAGATTGTGGTGAACTAGAGAACAGCTGTCCTATTTATGGGTAGCAAGAGGTACTCAACTCTAGCTGAAGTGAGCAAAGGAATTTAGATATTCTGTTATTTTTATTTATTTATTTATTTATTTGAGACAGAGTCTTGTTCTGTCACCCAGGCTGGAGTACAATAGCACAGTCTCAGCTCACTGCAACCTCCACCTCCCAGGTTCAAGCGATTCTCCTGCCTCTGCCTCCCGAGTAGCTAGGATTACAGGCACCCGCTACCACGCCCAGCTAATTTTTGTATTTTTAGTAGAGACAGGGTATTGCCATGTTGGCCAGGCTGGTCTCGAACTCCTGACCTAAGGTGATCCACCCGCCTCGGCCTCCCAAAGTGCTGGGATTACAGGCGCGAGCCACTGCATCTGGCCAGAAATCTGGATATATTTAAATGTAAATTTTCTCCATCTGAAAACATAGGTGGGCCAAATAATATATCTGTGTGTTGCCAGGATCAACCTTTGCCCTAGAGTGATTCTGGACCTATTTTTTTTCTCCTCATTCCACCCCTACTTTCTCTTTTCTTGGGATGTGGCTTGGGACTGAAATATACTGGAGATAAGGAAGGAAGATCAGGGATTGCTGTTCAACCTCTTTCACTTTCATTGATATTTATCAAAAGAAGAGAGCTGTGTGCATTTCACAACCCTCAGAGAATAGAGAGAACTTGTGTTTAGAACTATGTTTAGCTTTTATACAACTGAAAAATAAAATTCTTCCTTTAAGCAAACCTGCAAAGGACTTTACACCACAGTCTTACGTTTACCATATATGTATATCCATTAAGTGCATATAAATCTGAAGGTACGTTCTTAGTGAGCAACTGCTACCTGGTTGTCATGCTAATGACTATTAGTATGTTATAAGCCATGATGATAAGCAATTTACACACAGGGTTTTTTTCTTTTAGGAGCCATTGTCCCTCTGTTTTAGATTCCCCTTCCCACATTGATCTTATGGATGTCAGTGGCTCTGGACTTGTATTTACTATTGCAGATAGTGTGATACTTCCACTTAACCAGTTGCTTATTTTAGAGCTATCTTGGGTCTGGATGCAAATATTTAGTACCTGTAAGTATTAACAACCTGTGTTTAATCTTTTAGCTTGCTTTGGGGGAAGGGAAGTTTTTTTGTTTTTGTTTTTTTTTGAGACGAAGTCTGGCTCTGTTGCTAGGCTGTAGTGCAGCGGCCCGATCTTGGCTCACTGCAACCTCCGCCTCCCGGGTTCAAGTGATTCTCCTGCCTCAGTCTCCTGAGTGGTTGGGACTACAGGCATGCACCACCATGCCCAGCTAATTTGGAAAGTTTTAATTTTCTACTTGGTACTAGGTGAGAAGGTACACATTTTCTGGAACACTGAGCCATAATTGTGTGTGTGTGTGTGTGTGTGTGTGTGTGTGTGTGTGTGTGATTAAATTATTTGAGCTATAGCTTCAAGATTCCAAGAAATTCTGATATCAGATATTAACAATAAACAAATTGCAAGCCAGGTTTTTTAGTGACATTGTGGTTATTAAATGTTTAAATTAATTTGATACATATGACAGCTTAAGTCACTTATTTGGTATGAATAGACACATGCATACACATATCTTTTCGCTATAAAATTTTTAAATGGCACTCTAAAAGATCAACATTAACTGGCTAATGCAGTCCATAGATTGTAAAGGAATGAAGCTTTCATTAACTGCTTGCATTTACAATTCAGTTGGTACTGAGAGGTTTTAATTTCTGACCTAGATATTTCAAGTAGCTTGCTTCTGGGAAAAATAATAGGTAGTTAGACAACAACCACAGCCCTTGTCCTAATTAAAACCCCTTAATGTTTCATTTTCATATCCATTGTCTTGAAATTGTATCACTAGGTTAAGAAAATAGTTTTCTGGGTTAAATCAGAATTTAATTGCATAGTTAGGAAATGCCCAGCATAAATTAATTGCATTTCACATCAACCAAAATATTTTAGATTTCATTGCAACCCTAATAAATTGGGGTCCCAAAGGTTTCAGTTTGGCATTCAAGAAGCACAGTGAAATAGCCAATCTCATTTCTTCCCCTAAATTAAAAGAGAAATCTGTTCTTTACTTGTATCTCTCAAAGGACGTTAGCAGGGATCCAAATCATAACCATCATGTCCTTTTCTCCCCTTTCCCCAATACTTCCACACTCTTTTTTTTTTGGGTCTCGCCCTGTCACTCAGGCTGGAGTGCAGTGGCACGATCTTGGCTCACTGCAACCTCTGCCTCCCGGGTTCAAGTGATTCTCCTGCTTCAGTCTCCCATGTAGCTGGGACTACAGGCACCCGCCACCATGCCCAGCTAATTTTTGTACTTTTAGTACAGATGGGGTTTCACCATATTGGCCAGGCTGGTCTTGAATTCCTGACCTTAGGTGATCCGCCTGCCTCGGCCTCCCAAAGTGCTGGGATTACAGTCGTGAGCCACTGTGCCCAACTTCCATACTTTCTTATGCACAACTGTCCCCTACTTCATACCAATCCACTCACCTCCCAAACCCTCCCTCCCCTAAGCCTGTGTGGCTTCTACTTTCTCTCTTTCCTCCTCTCTCTCTCACAGCTCTTTGTGAGTCACTTTAACTCTTTTCATTTGATTTTTTCCCCCTCTTTTTGTGTCAGTCTAAGAGATGAAAGGGAGAAGTGAGTTGGCCTTGGAATTACAGAATGGTGGCCTTAGGGGGATTATGTAACTATTTCAACTTTCATAATTTTTATCTTGTTGCCTGTGGCATCAAAGAGTTTTAAATCTGGCTTGTTTCAATTATATTTTGATTAAAATACAAAGTAATTGGTGTATAACTGTTCATAACTGAATGTTCTGGAGAGAGTAAGGTTGGGCATTTTATCACGAACATGGTGTTATTCCTGGAAGTGGTGTCAGTTCTATCAAGCTACTCCATGCTGTGCCCATTAGGGTAATGAGGCCGTTCAGGCTTTGTGTCTCCATATTTTTCCAACCTTTACGAATGGCGACAGAAGGATTTATCAGTGGCGATTAGGGTGGTGCCCAGCCTTCAAACTGCTCCACAATCTGGCACTAGTTTCAGTTTCCTGCCTTGTCTCTGCCATGTTCCACATCCCAGTACATTATTTATTTCTCTATTAATAGAGAAAATTGCCTTGAATTATGGATATTTATGTACACACTCTGTCTGCCTTAATGGATGAGCAGCCCTGCAGCGCTTTACACATAGTGTAGGCTGAATAAATGACTGTCAGATTTACTTGAACTGCTTACACCGTGTTACAGACTCTCAGTCTTCAGGTACATACACGTTGTGAGTTTGTTTTGTTCGATGGCTGGCAGGGTAGCTGAACTTGATACATATATTTGAATGAGAAACAGAGCAGCAGTGCAGCTAGTATCGTCAGAATTTGGGGAATCTGCCCTTTACTAAACTCAGCAAATATTTCCTGAACAAAGATGATGTAAAAGGCACTGAAAAAGGCACAGTGAGAACCACAAATTTAAGAATGACTCCGCCACCATCTTTGGGAATTTCATTGTCTTTGTACACTTTAACTTGCATGGAATATAAAAAGAAACTGAGAAAAGCCATCATTTGCTGGCCTGTTAATCCCTATGAGTATAAATGTGTATGTATGTGTAGAGTATTTTCCACTCATTCACCACTTAGTCCTTCATTGGCAATATTTCTCAATTATTGTCTGGGGATTACCATAAAATTGATAAATAAAAGTATATAATTAATGCTTGGAAGAGGAATAAAAGGTAAACATTCCTTAGGTTCTTACTATTGAGGAAAACCAGACCAGCCACTCAAGTGATGAACCCCTCGTGACATCTAACCAAAACTGCCGCTGAGTCTTTTGTTCCAGAATGTTTGAGCTCTATGGCCAAGAAAAGTCACTTATTGGTAACCATTTACAGATTGAAACTCCTCTTAGGTAGGTTGTCTTAGTTTTTCCATCCTCCTGGCCTAAGTTCTTTATAGTTGGGCATTTCCTCCTTGACCAAAATTCCTGTATCCTGAAATATTGTCCAATGGTGATCTAAATTGTGTTCCATGAACTAACTCTCTGGCTGAACCTGCATTCAATCTTGGTAGAAACTCCGAGCTTTGGACAGGCGAGGTGGCTCACGCCTGTAATCCCAGCACTTTGGGAGGCTGAGGTAGGTGGTTCACCTGAGGTCAGGAGTTGGAGACCAGCCTGACCAACATGGTGAAACCCCGTCTCTACTAAAAATACAAAAAATTAGCTAGATGTGGTGGTGGGTGCCTGTAATCCCAGCTACTCGGGAGTCTGAGGCAGGAGAATTGCTTGAACCTGAGAGGCAGAGGTGGCAGTGAGCCAAGTTCACGCCATTGCACTCCAGCCTAGGCAAGAAGAACGAAACTCTGTCTTAACAAAAATAAATAAATAAATAAATATTTTAAAAATAATAAAAGAAATAAAAAAAGAAACTCCGAGCTTTATGGTGCCAACTGTATACAATCTATTTTGTAGAAACACAGGAAATTGCAACTTGAAGGAACTTTATGGAAGTATTAGTAATAGAAAGATGATGAGTAGTAGTAGTAACGGTAGTACAGTGCAATGGTAGTAGTGAGAAAGTAGTGCTAGTAGAGTGTAGTAGAAGTCAGTGTTATGGGTTCCATTATTTCCTCCCAAAATTCATATGTTGTAGCCCTAATGCCTCAGTATGTGATTGTATTTGGAGAAAAGGCCTTTAAGGGTGACTAAGTTAAAATGAGGCCGTTAGAGTGGGCTCTAATCCAATCTGACTGGTTTCCTTATAAAAAGAGAAAATTTGGCCAGGTGCGGTGGCTCACGCCTGTAGTCCCAGCACTTTGGGAGGCTGAGGCCAGCAGATCACAAGGTCAGGAGTTTGAGACCAGTCTGGCCAACATGGTGAAACCCCGTCTCTACTAAAAATACAAAAATTAAATGGGCATGGTGGCGGGCACCTGTAATCCCAGCAACTCAGGAGGCTGAGGCAGGAGACTCTCTTGAAAACGGAAGGCAGAGGTTGCAGTGAGCTGAGATTGAGCCACTGCACTCCAGCCTGTGTGAAAGAGCGAAACTCCATCTCAAAAAAAAAGAAAAAAAGAAAATGTGGACACACAGAGAGACACCAGGATGCAGGTGTACAGAGGAAAGACCATGTGTGATGGCTAATTTTATCAGTCAATTTGGCTGAGCCATGATGCCCAGATATTTGGTGAAATATTCATCTGGGTTTTTCTGTGAGAATATTTTTAGATGAGATTTACATTCAAATGGGTGAATTTTGAGTTAAGCAGATTACCCTCCATAACATGGGTGGGCCTCATTCAATCAGTTGAAGGCCTGAATAGAACAAAATGCTGGCCGGGCACAGTGGCTCATGCCTGTAATCCCAGCACTTTGGGAGGCTGAGGCAGGTGGATCACCTGAGGTCGGGAGTTCGAGACCATCCTGGCCAACACGGTGAAACCCCATCTCTACTAAAAATACAAAGGTTAGCCCTGTGTGGTGGCACATGCCTGTAATCCCAGCTACTTGGGAGGTGGAGGCAGGATACTGGCATGAACCCGGGAGGTGAAGGTTGCAGTGAGCTCAGATTGTGACTGCACTCTAGCCTGGGTGACAGAGCGAGACTTGGTCTCAAAAAAATAAAAATAAAAATAAAAGGAACAAAAAGCTGACTTTTCCCAAGCAAGAAGAAATTCTGCCAGCCAACTGCCTTTGGATTTCAACTGCAACATTAACTCTTCTTGGTTCATCAGCAGACTGCCTTTGGACTAGAAATGCAACTCTTTCCTGAGTCTCCAGGCTGCTGGCCTTCACCATTAGATTTTGGACTTGCCAAGCCTCCACAACTGCATGAGCCAATTCCTTTAAATAAATCTCTTTCTGTATATATGCTCATCCTATTGGCTCTATTTCTCTGGAGGATCCTGACCAAGTGAGGACACAGTGAGAAGACAACCATCATCAAGCCAAGGAGATGGGAGAAGAAACCAAACCTGCTTATACCTTGATCTCAGGCAGCTTCCAGAACTGTGAGAAAATAAACTTCTGTTGTTTAAGCCACCCAATCTGTGATATTTTGTTGCGGCAGCCCTGGAAAACTAATACACATTTTGCATAATACGGTGGTTACAGTAGGTAGCACTGTAGCTATGGCTGTAGTATCTTAAGGTAGTAATGTAGTAAGGTAGCAGTGGAAGTCTGGTAAAACAGTAATAAAGATGTAGTGAGGTAGTAGCAGTGTGGTATGGTAGTAGTAGTGTTACAGGATAATAGCAATAGGGTAGTTAGGTAGTAGTAGAAGTGTATTAAGAATAGTAAAAATGGGACTGGCGCGGTGGCTCACACCTGTAATCCCAGCCGAGGTGGGTGGATTGCTTGAGGTCAGGAGTTCAAGACCAGCCTGGCCAACATGGTGAAACCCCGTCTCTACTAAAAATATGAAAATTAGCTGGGCATGGTGGGGCGTACCTCTAATATCAGCTACTCGGGAGGCTGAGGCAGGAGAATCACTTGAACCCAGGAGATGGAGGTTGCTGAAATAATGCCAGTGTACTCCAGCCTGAGCGACAGAGCGAGACTCTGTCTCAAAAAAAAAAAAAAAGTAAAAATGTAGCATGGTAGTAGTCATGTGGTATGATAGTAGTAGTGTGATAAGGAAGTAATAGT
This sequence comes from Homo sapiens, assembly GCF_000001405.40. Classification (NCBI taxonomy): domain Eukaryota; kingdom Metazoa; phylum Chordata; class Mammalia; order Primates; family Hominidae; genus Homo; species Homo sapiens. The sequence continues at coordinate 72,501,329 of NC_000009.12, forward strand.
CATGAAGTAAGCTAGTAGAAGTGTAGTAAGGGAGTATTAGTGTAGTAAGGTAGTAGTAGTGGGCATGACAGTAGTTATGTCATAAGATAATAGTAGTGGTATAGTAGGAGGTAGTGTAAGTATAGTAAGAGTAGTAGAGGTGTAGTAAGGTAGCAGTAGTGTAGTATGGTAATATTAGTGTGAGAAGGTGGTAGTAGTGACGTAAGGTAGGAGTAGAAGTGTAGTAAGATAGCAGTAGTGTTGTGGGAGCAGGAAGGATAATTATCTTGCTGATTCTTATTTTTTTTTTGAGACAGGGTCTCTCTGTGTTGTCCAGGCTGGAGTGCAATGGTGCGATCTCAGCTCACTGCAACCTCAACCTCCCAGGTTCAAGCAATTCTCCTGCCTCAGCTTCCCAAGTAGCTGGGATTACAGGCACCTGCCACCGCGCCCGGCTAATTTTTGTGTTTTTCGTAGAGAGGGGGTTTCACCTTGCTGGCCAGGCTGGTTTTGAACTCCCGACCTCAGGTGATCCACCCACCTTGGCCTCCCAAACTGCTGGGATTACAGGCGCGAGCCACCACACCTGGCCTATCTTGCTGATTCTGAGCCTGGCGCTATACTAAGCGTCATATGTAGATTTATAATGCTTAATGCTTACAATAGTAATCTATCTTTCATTCTTTCTTTCTTTCTCTCTCTCTCTCTTTCTTTCTTTCTTTTTTGAGACAGTTTCACTCTTGTTGCCCATGCTGGAGTGCAGTGGCGCGATCTCAGCTTACTGCAACCTCCGTCTCCTGGTTCAAGCAATTCTTCTGCCTCAGCCTCCCAAGTAGCTGGTATTACAGGCATGTGCCACCATACCCAGATAATTTTTTGTATTTTTAGTAGAGACAGGGTTGTGCCATGTTGGCCAGGTTGGTCTCGAACTTCTGACCTCACGTGATCCACCCGCCTTGGCCTCCCAAATTCCTGGGATTACAGGTGTGAGCCACCGTGCCCAGCCAATAATGCCTTTCTTATTGAAAGATACTTTGAAGAGGGTGCTTTAATTTTTGTCCCTATGATACATATCAGTAAAATAAGACTCAGGGAGGTTAAATAACTCATCCAAGAATATCCGACTAGCAAGTGGCAGAACCAGGGCTAGGACCTAGATCTGTCTGACTCCACAGCTAAACATCTTTATTATTCTGTTATTTAAATGCCTTCTTACAGAGAGGAGGAAACTGAGGCTCAGAGAAGTAAAGGAGATTATTTGTATTCTCCCAGCTATGTCAGACTTGATATTAACTAAGTATCATCTGACTTCATCCCAGGAGCTCTTCATGAATCTACCCCCTTAACAGAGTACCCATAAACTCTGAGATATTATTTCTGACTATAAAATAGTCACATCCCTTCTTGCTGACAGCAAAATTAGACTTCAAGTGTAGAAATACTACTCTCTTCAACAAAAAACAAGAGGTTGATTCTTTCTCCAGACAGGGAAAACTGGGACAAGTGATTGGGAAGTACCCATTGCACCTGTTATGGCTGCAGCTTTTGCTTTGCTGATGGAAAGGTAAGGCGAGTCCTTTTACTTTTGGTCAGACTTCGTGTTACGAATCAGGCCTTTTCTGTGGTGTTTACCCTCTCATCATCTTAGGGATGTAGCTTCTTAGGCTACTAGCACCTGCCTATCCTTTCTTTCTTTCTGTCTTTTTTTTTTTTTGAGATGGAGTCTCACTCTGTCACCCAGGCTGGAGTAGAGTGACACAATCTTGATCTCGGCTCACTGCAATCTCTGTCTCCTGGGTTCAAGCAATTCTCGTGCCTCAACTTCCTGAGTAGCTGGGACCACAGGTGCATGCCACCAGGCCCTGTTAAGTTTTGTACTTTTAGTAGAGATGTGGTTAAACCATGTTGGCCAGCCTGGTCTCGAACTCTTGACCTCAAGTGATCCGCCAGCTTTGGCCTCCCAAAGTCATGGGATTACAGGCATGAGCCACTGTACCTGGCTTATCCCATCTTAATTTATCCAGATGGAATAGTTCTTCTGTTTGCTTCACTCAGTTTACAGTATGTGCACCACCATGTGTATGTATCCTAAAAACTGAGCAGAAACCTCCATTAAAAATATTAAATATTTTAGCTGGGCGTGGTGGCTCGTGCCTGTAATCCCAGCACTTTGGGAGGCTGAGGCAGGTGGATCACGAGGTCAGGATGGTGAAACCCCATCCCTACTAAAAATACAAAAATTAGCTGGGTGCGGTGGCGGGCGCCTGTAATCCCAGCTACTTGGGAGGCTGAGGCAGAAGAATTGCTTGAATTCGGGAGGCAGAGGTTGCAGTGAGCTGAGATTGTGCTACGGCACTCTAGCCTGGGCAACAGAGCAAGACTCCGTCTCAAAAAAAAAAAAAAATTAAATCATCCCTCACTTTTGTCAATGCCTTGGTAAACATGGATTCAGGTTGAACCCGAGTCCAAGAGAAGAGCTGATTTCCCTACTTCTCTGAGTGATTGTTTCTCTAATGCCAATCATCAATGTGATTCATAATGCTTATTTTAAAATTGAGCTCTGATTTTGCATGGCAGTTTTTAGATATTATGTAATTAAGTCTGCGGTCATTACTGATAGTTATTTAATTAGTTATTCCTTCTCTTTGAAGCAACTTGTTTTTTTTTTCTTGGAACTTGGAAATAACAAATTAGTATCAAATATATACCTGAGGTGTTGAGAACATGCTTGCTAAGTCCATGAATGAATAAATAGAAGGTTCCTGGGAACATATTTTGTATTGGACAAATATGCATAGACCTCTTTTCTGCCCTTGGGTAACGAAGCACCTAGTGTGACAGATTTAATTTTTCCCTGCTTGTAATAATCAGAGAAAAACAGCATGGAAGGAATATATGTAAAACACATCTAGCAGTGCGCTATTTCCCACTCTCATTCTCAGTGGCCTGCCTTCCCCAATGCTTTTTTGTAATTTAACTACCCAAATTTATGCACAAAAAAGTCTGTAAGTAGTCAACATGTCTATGTTGCCCAGAAACTGTGCAGGATACTGTTTGTCTGCATAAATCAATAAGAAACATTTTAAGGGAGGTACTACATCCAAGATATTGTTCTCAGCATAGGGGTTTGCCTATAAGCCTGTTTTAAATTTTCTTCCTTTGAAATACCTTGGTAGATAACAACTTGTTGTTATGTTCCTATGCACACAGAAGTATTTGAGAAATTGATGCATTTCTCAAGTGTGAGATTGTGAGTAAAATGCCCAGTTACACATGATCTGTGGCCACTTGGCATCAGCTGGGATCTGATGTCCCGAGGTGGCCTTGTGGGGCCTGTGAGCAGGAGTGGGGTAAGGGTGAGATGGGAGAAGCTGGGCAGCACTCTTTTGTCCTGTGCTCCTAGTGTGTGAGTGATCAAGGAAGAAATGGAGTAGCCTGAATCATGTGGGTATGGGCTAATCCATGACTGGAGCATAAAGCTGAAGAGGGAACCCAAGATTTGATGTAGCACCCCAAAAGCTCAACAGGGCTATATGTACCTGTGAGGAAATCAGAGGGGGACAAGAGCTCCATGTTTTGCATACAGAAAAAAAACAAAGGGGTGGAGAAGCAGACCTTCGACTGACGAAGAGCTGTGTACCCAAAAAGTCCCCTCTCACCTCCTGTTGCCACAGCACCTCCTTGCCAGCACCTTTGCAAACCCTCTCTGGACATGTTTTAAAGTGATATTGAATAAACTGGCGTTATTGAGTTGATGTATGTTTAATCAAATAGCTTAACATCAATAAACTTGGTTCTATTCCCAGGGTACCTATTGAATGAAAAATACCTAGCATTTGTCTTGCTGGTGTGTTTTGTTTTTGCTTCTGTAGTGATTTTGGGTTTTGAGATGTGGGCACTCTCCTTTGATGCTGCATATGGTCAGAAATCAATCCTGCTTCTGGCTTTATCAGTGAATCTGTTAGAAGCCTTTTCTAAGCCCTGTGCCCCAAACCTACCAACTTGCCTTTTCACTGGGTCCCCATAACACTCTGCTTATCCTCATCATAATCTGAATATATTATATTAAAGTCATTTGTTTATTTATTCATTTCCTACTCTGGACTGAGTTCTTTGAAAGTAGAAATGATGTTACTGTATCCTCTAGTTTCAAGCACAGGGTATGGCAGTAATTAGTGCTTCATAAATGTTTGTTGACTATAAATTGGGTCTAAGTATAAATGGGGAAATCTTAAAAATCTAGGAATTTTGTTTAGTTATGAGTGATCAAAATTTCTCATATCAGGAATCTCTCTAGCCCAGGAAGTAACATCAGACGACATTGATATTTTTATGAGTTTGAACCCAAAGAGACTGAACTTCTCATAAAGTATGTCAACATTTGCAGAGTACTGCCAGCTCTTTCTTTCAAGACATTGGTATACCTGAAATCTGTAGGAAATTAATACATTCTGAGGGAATTGTCCCCCTGACGTATCCCCTAAAAGTATAGGTTAATGAATGTAAAGGGTATTTTTACTTTATTCACCTCCCTTCCTGTATCATACAGCTGTATATTTCTTTTTCTTTTATTTGTTTTGAGACAGGGTCTGGCTCTTGCCCAGGCTGGAGTGCAGTGGCACGATCTTGGTTCGGTGCAACCTCCATGTCTTATGTTCAAGCGATCCTCTCACCTCAGCCTCCTGAGTAGCTGGGACTACAGGTGCATGCCATCACGGCCAGCTAATTTTTGTGTGTGTGTGTGTTTTTTTTTTTTTGTAGAGAGGGGGTTTCGCCATGCTGCTTGCTGGTTTCAAACTCCTGAGCTCAAGCGATCCACCTGCCTTGGCCTTCCAAAGTGCTGGGATTGCAGGCATGTGCCTGGCCTTAAATTTCTTGATATATGTTTATTTATAATTGTAATGATCCCCCCCATTATTATATGAAGAGTGTTCTGATGACATATTAGTTTGCTAGGGTTGTCATAACAAAGTACTATAAATGAGGTGGCTTAAACAACAGAAATTTATTATCCTCACAGTTCCGGAGGCTATAAATTCAAAATCAAGGTATTGGAGGGTTGGTTTGTTCTGAGGACTGTGATGAAAAATCTGTCACAGGCCTCTTTTTTTGGCTTGTAGATGGTTATTTCTCCCTATGATTCTTCACATTGTCTTACCTCTCTCTGTGTGTGTCTTTGAGCCCAAACTTCCCCCTTTTATAAGGATACTAGTGATACTGGATTAGGGCCCACCCTAGTGACCTCACTTTAACTTGATTACCTCTGTAAAGACTCTGTCATCAAATAAGGTCATGTTCTGAATTACTAGGGGTTAGAACTTCAGTATATGAATTTTGAGGGGGCACAATTCAACCCATACTCAGTTTAACCATAACTTACTATACGTTAAGGTAGAATCATGATGAAACTAGAGGGGAAATTGATGTCTCGCAGGAGATCCTGTACTTGGAAAAAAAAGTGCATGAAGTAATAGCAATTTAGATGATCTGCTTTTGAGGAAGTGATGAGTGAGCATTCAGCAAAGGAGTTCCATTGTGTTATATGGGGGCATTTTAGAAAAAGGTACATGCATGTAAAAAACCTGTAAGGGTAGCACAAGGGGATGGGTGATCCTAGCTATGTGAAGAGGTATGGCCACCCAGGAGCCTTCAGTCCAGTCCCAGGCATAGTCCTCACTCTCATTTCGGACTCCACCCATTCCTCAACCTCATATCATTTGATTGACGCTGCATAATTTCCTCAATCCCAAACTTAAGGTGTGAACCTGTGGCCAATGCTAAGCCAGTTGTGTTCTCTTTCTCTGAACATCAAGTGAAGTGACTTGTGGAAAAAACAGCGACATTCAATGGTCGATGGTCATTTATTTATTCCAGTTGCAGCAGACTGAAAAGGTCAAGTAAACCGGTGGCCTGGGATTCTGCCTTGTTTTAGTTCTGAGTTTGGTTCTCTAGGCTACCTGTAGATTCTGTGTACTATCTGACATCTTCATAACAAACTCCACCCCCACATCTTTTTTTTTTTTCTTTAGATGGAGTTTAGTTCTTGTTGCCTAGACTGGAGTGCAATGGTGCTTTCTCGGCTCACTGCAGCCTCTGCCTCCCTGGTTCAAGCGATTCTCCTGCCTCAGCCTCCTGAGTAGCTGGGATTACAGACACGTACCACCACGCTTAGCTAATTTTTGTATTTTTAGTAGAGATGGGGTTTTGCCATATTGGCCAGGATGGTCTTGAACTCCTGACCTTAGGTGATCCACCCACCTCGGCCTCCCAAAGTGTTGGGATTACAGGCGTGAACCACCGCGCCCGGCCACCAAAACCCCTTTTGCTTAGCCAGGGTTGATTCGTGATGCTTTGGGTGGAAAAAATCTTAATTGCTATAGTGTTTTCTGAGGGATAATACTTGTTCTCTTTCATATTTACAGATGTTGTCTATACATGTTTATGAGCCTTGAGATGAAAATGAACAGTACAAATAGATTCCCCAAATAGGCCCTTTTAAGATTTCTTTTGGAAAGTGTGTGTGTGTGTATATATATGTGTGTGTGTGTGTGTGTGTGTGTATGTGTGTATATATATGTGTGTATATATGTGTGTATATATATGTATGTATATACACACACATGCACACATGCATACGTATGTATATATGTATGCAGACATGTGCTGTATACGTAAGATATATTATGTAATATATAAATATATGTTAAATATTTTTATATGTAATATATTATAAATATTTAAATATATAATATAGTCTTTTTCCTTTTTTAATCTTAACTTAAAGCAAACCTATTTGGCCGAGAACTGTTTTGTAGAAAAATAATGAAAAATGTTTTTCTACAAATTGTTTTGCAGAAAAATAATGAAGAAAAATTTGCCATTCTAGCAAATAGCACAGAAAAACACACATGCCTATTTCTAGTTTTCTCCATCCTTTCACACACACACACACAGACACACACAGACAAACACACACACAGAGGTTCATTATCAAGTTATAGTGATCGATAAGTTAAAGACTCAGTTTAATGCTTTGGTTAGAAATAGGATTGCAAACATAACCTTTATTATGTGAATCTACCAAAGAATAATTGTGTCTAGGTGCAAAATAGGATCAACAATGGAGTTTTGTTCAGGGTCCTGTCGAGATCCATAGTGACTAGTCAGCTTAAGTTAGAAACTATGGTGCCTTACAGGTATCTGTCAAGTGCTTAACAACAAATCAAACAGGTACAGAATATTTATTATGCTCAAGGCACTGAGGTTATCTGCAATGATATAAGGGCAAATAAGAACTGGGCTTAGGCGTTAAGGAGTTCATGAAATGCAAAAACATATGAAATCTGAAAATATTTGTGGAATTACCAACATATTTTTATTGACGCTGAAGCACTAGTACCATCAATAAAGTTAAGAGTTTTTACCTTGACTCAGACTGACAGGTCTGAAGCATAGAATCCAAGAACAATTTCTTGGGCTACTAACTTTTCCTGCTCTGAATATTAATTGATATTTGAATTTTAGTTGTGAGATATGTATGATATTTTATGTAAAGGCTTATGTGCAATCTTTATGAAGATCAAAATGGGTACTTCTATCCAGGGCAATAGGCAACCTATCTAGAGAATTCTCTAAATTCTCTCTTCTATTTTGCTTATTGTTTTCCTACTTATGTTTCATGAGAGAAACATAAATGCTGAATATGTTGAAAACATGCTAGATGGAAAGTCACATAACAACTAGTTGGAAAGAGGCAAAGTAGTATAGTCAAAGTAGGCAAACCAGCCCTTCCACTTACTAGCTGATTTTGGGCCATCATCGGGCCCTATGAGGCACAATTTTCTCCATTGTGTAACAGAAATATTAGCAATTCCTTCTTTATCTTTCTCATTGTGCTGTGCAAGTCTCAAATAAGAAAATATTGTAATGTCTGAAGTACTACACAAATGTGAGTCACTACAGTTAAATGATGTCACAGGTTAGATTAATTATACTGGAAGATTTTCAAAGCTATTACTGTTACTCTGTAAAAGTCTGAGTAGAAAAAGACAGCACTCACATATTTTTATCTTTCAGATGAGTGTGGGAGGGAGGTGGGACAGAGGAGCTAGAGGAGAGTCCAAGCTGAATATATGAAATTTATAACACAATAAAATGCAGCGAACTGAAGGACTTGGAACAAACTGACTGCATTTTCTTTATCCTCTTCATGATCTGCTTGCAATAGATTTTCTAAAATTATCCCCAAAGCAAGAAAAGGCACTGAATGATCCAGGTGGATTTGAAAAATAAGCTCTAAAAAAATAAGAAATGCATTAATGGCTTTTCCCTGGGAAGGAAATTAAATAAAACAATCAAAGTATATCTTCCACTGCCTAAAATAAAGAGAATTCAACCATTTTATAATTGTGACCTTCATTGTAATCTTAGCTGATAAGTAGGTTTGGAGAGAAACTAAACTAAAAGGTATTGCTCTCCTTCCATTCCTCTGACAGGAACAGAAAGTCTGAGTCATAAAATAGAGGCCTTAGCCACTAGTTAGATTTTCGGATTTGTCATTTCTGTGGAGCCATTTTAAGAACTGATATATATTTAAAACCCTAGACATTTAATGTCTGATGTTTTTGAGGAATATGTGTGTGTGTACCTTTGTGGATTCTTACATGAGTTGAATCTGTGTTTTTGGTGGTTCATACTCTTCAAACACTTCAATCTGAAGCAAATTCACCCCCTGTAACATATCCTGGCCTCACTAAGAAAGGCAAAATCACTGGATAAATTATTTTTGTTTTTCTGTGTCCTGTCTCAGTGCTCAAGTTTTCTACTTAATTAGTCAGCGGCTGGATTTTATTTATCTGGCAAGGAAAAGTCAAACATCAAACATTTAATTAAAAGTTTATCTAAGCAGATACTTATACTTTGAATTCAAATGTACATGTGGCCCTTTTGCAAACTATGGCCATCTGAGTACTTGACCTTAAGTGTGAAATACTTAAGCTTTCCTATGCATAACCACAAATTTATACATACCTGCAGAGTCAGAGAGATGCTTTTAATACATAGAAAGTCAACCAATAAAGCTGCCTATTTATCTCTGTTTTTGCTATTGTCCCTCCCTTTTTTTAGTAAAAAAATTTTCTTCATCAAAATGTTTGAGTAGGTTTTTTAAAAAAAAAAAAAAAAGCAGAGTTGCCAATTACCAATTATCTTTCCTCAGAGCATTAAAAAGCTAACACTGGTAAATAGATGCTCTCTACCTTCTATTTAGAACTTCATAAATTCTTCCCTGATAATAATGCAACTATTTGTTTAGTATAAATGATCCAATTAGCCTGTAGAAAAGGAAAAAAACAAGATAACTATAAATAACAGATTATTTGGAACTATATAAACAGTAGGTCCTGATGTACAAACTTAGGGTATAAATATGTTCATATATTTTTAAAAAATTATTTGAATTGACCATTCTAGCCCCCATAAGACTTACTAGCAAGAATCTAGTATTTCTTGTTGTGATTCCACTCCTCCAAATAGTGTAAAAATCCCAGTTCAAAGATGGTGATGGTGATGGTGGTGTTAGGTCTGAGCTGTTGCTTCTTGCTACTTGATATCATAAATGAAGATTGGTTCCATGCAGTCTACACTGCTACTAGAATGGGCTGGTTGGCCTGGGTCCTTGACCAGGCCTTGGGTTGGGTCCCAGGGGAACAACACATTTTAGTTTACACTTTTATTTTTTTATTTATATTTATTTATTTACTTATTTATTTGAGACAGAGTTTCACTCTGTTGCCCAGGCTGGAGTGCAGTGGTGGGATCCAGCTTACTGCAACCTCTGCCCGTCCTTGGTTTTGAGTGATTCTCATGCCTCAGCCTCCTGAGTAACTGGGACCACAGGTGCGTGCCACCACACCTGGCTAATTTGTGAATTTTTAGTAGAGATGAGATTTCGCCATGTTGGCCAGGTTGGTCTCAAACTCCTGACCTTAGGTGATCTGCCCGCCTCAGCCTCCCAAAGTGTTGGGATTACAGGCTTGAGCCACCATGCCAGGCTTAGTTTACACTTTTGTGCTATCAAGTCCACCTACTATGCTAAGGTGCCTAGGGTGGGGGAGCTTCCAGCATTAGTCACCTGCTCAAACAAGCCCTCTCTCAAACATTTAAACCCAGGTGGTAGCCCTGCATCACCTGTCCTCAAAGACACTGCCAATTTTGTACTTTAGTTTCCATGATTATAATTTTTCATTTTGAATATTGTCCGGAGTTCAGGGACTGGGATCTTTAGGCAGATTGGCCCACCTCCATCCCAAGAAAAACCTCTGCTTATCAGGATATGGGCAGATTTACTCAGCTCCTGGAAAAAAACCAAAGGCCTATGCTCTTTTCTCAGGACAATGGGTGAATACTTGCTCTACCTTGTTCCTTAACTTAAACAAACAAACAAACAAACAAAACCCTCAACTGGCTCTACCCTCAACAACTGTAATATTTGGAAGCATTTAGAGCAGAAAGATAAATACACATGTACTTTGAGCAAATGGCCTTCTGTTGCTCTTGTGTGTCATTTTGATCTGACCTATAATGTCAAAGTGTAACCACACAAAATAAATGGTTTAGTAAATTCAATCACTGTGGATACCCAAACTGTATAATGAATAATATTTCAGATACATTTGCTAGAAAATTGCTTTAGTGCTTTTTTCCATTTGGTCATCTGAAATATCTGACCTTTATCCCAATACTTTGTCCAAAGAGGAGCTATTGTAACATTGGAAGACTGGAGAATTCAAAGTGGAGGGATTAAAAAACCTCTTTCTGGCTGGGTGCGGTGGCTCACGCCTGTAATTCCAGCATTCTGGGAGGCCAAGGTGGACATATCACTTGAGGCCAGGAGTTTGAGACCAGCCTGGCCATCAGGGAAAAACCCCATCTCTACTAAAAATACCAGGAAAAAAAAAAAAAAAAGCCAGGCCTGTAATCCCAGCTACTCGGGAGGCTGAGACATGAAAATTGCTTGAACCCACAAGGCAGAGGCTGCAGTGAGCCGAGATCATGCCATTGCCCTCCTGGGCGACAGAGCAAGACACTGTCTCAAAAACAAAAACAAAAACAAAGCAAAACCCAAAAACAAACAAACAAACAAACAAATAAATAAAATTTCTTTCTAATTTGGTAACTGCATATATACTCTACTGTTTTCACTCTATTGACATAAAAATTCAGCAGGCTATGTTTATCTTCAATGAAATCTCATTGACATAACCAGGATTAAAATTAGCTCTTGAATTTAAAACCTCAGTTTATAGAGTAGGTTACATCACAGTTAATATTTACATGTGGCACAGTGGCAGAAGGAAAACTGCTCAAACCAAAGCCGTCCATCAAAAGAAGAAGGTTCCTGTAACAACTATATCAATAAAATTTGCCAATGTTAAGAGAAAAGGAGAATTATGTTTCACTAGACAGAGAAAACCAAACGCATACGGTTTCATGACTTTCTTGTCATTTAATTTTACAATGAATGTCTAATTCAAATTCTGGCCTTTTTAATGGGAATGCTCTTTAGCAAAGCTACAAATGCTAATAATTAACATATTTCTTACAGTGGCAATTACTGTTGTGAAGGGATTCACCTCTGATTCATGGCTGAATTTTGGATAGTTTGGTGGCCTAGAGTTAGATGATACTCCACTTCCCTAGGAGTCTATCTTTGTAATTACTGATCTTAAGAAGATATTTATGCAGCCAACAAACACATGAAAAAATGCTCATCATCACTGGCCATCAGAGAAATGCAAATCAAAACCACAATGAGATACCATCTCACACCAGTTAGAATGGCGATCATTAAAAAGTCAGGAAACAACAGGTGCTGGAGAGGATGTGGAGAAATAGGAACACTTTTACACTGTTGGGACTGTAAACTAGTTCAACCATTGTGGAAGTCAGTGTGGCGATTCCTCAGGGATCTAGAACTAGAGATACCATTTGACCCAGCCATCCCATTACTGGGTATATACCCAAAGGACTATAAATCATGCTGCTATAAAGACACATGCACACGTATGTTTATTGCAGCACTATTCACAATAGCAAAGACTTGGAACCAACCAAAATGTCCAACAACGATAGACTGGATTAAGAAAATGTGGCACATATACACCATGGAATACTATGCAGCTGTAAAAAATGATGAGTTCATGTCCTTTGTAGGACATGGATGAAACTGGAAACCATCATTCTCAGCAAACTATCTCAAGGACAAAAAACCAAACACCGCATATTCTCACTCATAGGTGGGAATTGAATAATGAGAACACATGGACACAGCAAGGGGAACATCACACTCCGGGGACTGTTGTGGGGTGTGGGGAGGGGGGGAGGGATAGCATTAGGAGATATACCTAATACTAAATGACGAGTTAATGGGTGCAGCACACCAACATGGCACATGTATACATATGTAACAAACCTGCACATTGTGCACATGTACCCGAAAACTTAAAGTATAATAATAATAAAATTTAAAAAAAAGAGGATATTGAGAAACTTCCTGAAAGAAAAAGTGAACAACTTAAGGATAGTTCACAACTGGGGTTCAGATGTACACAGGTTTGTCTGGTGGATTTGGGGCTGGGGTGTATATGTTTTGGAGGTGGGAGCACAAGCTGACCGATTTTATTAAGTCTTAGAGGGAGTACCTGATAAGAGAATTCACCACGAGGACAATGTGCTGCTGGACAAGTCAGACTCCAGTACAGGCCAAAGGACAGAGGGTCTGTGAAAGTGAGAGAAATATTAAAGTGTGGCAGCTAATACTTGAAATTAACCCTGATAAATTCACCCTGTATGTCACTCTAAGAAGAGAGAAAAAAAAATGTGTTTTTCACTGTCTTTGTAACCCTACGTCCCAGGCCCCTGATTTTTTTTTTTTTTTTTTTTGCATTCTTCTCACTGCTGTCCACCATTTCTGAGAACCCCCAAGGAGAGCATAACACACCGAGCAGATTCTTTCACTTGTCTCTCTTTGTGAACATTATTGACTGGAAACAATCTTGGGAGGGCAAAAACAAAACAAAACAAAAACAAAATAAAAGACAAAAGCGAGGTAGGTGCAGTGTCTGCACAGTTCTGGCACTGTTAACAGCAGCACCAATGTAGGTGTCGGTGTGTGATGACCACGAATGATTTGTAAGACATTCCTTAGTGATTCTGCCACACTGGGCAACTCAGGGAAGAAAGAACAGTCTGAAAGGATCTGGAATCCTTCAAGAGCAAGTCCAAATTTATTTATTTTTTATTATTTTTTTAAGATGGGGTCTCGCTTTGTGGCCCAGGCTGAAGCACAGTGGCACAGTCTCGGCTCACTGCAACCTCTGCCTCCCAGGTTCAAGCAATTCTCTTGCCTCAGCCTCCCAAGTAGCTGGGACCACAGGTGTGTGCTGCCATGCCTGGCTAATTTTTTTTGTATTTTTAATAGAGATGGGGTTTCAGCATCTCTCAAACTCCTGAACTCAGGTGATCTGCCTGCCTCGGCCTCCCAAAGTGCTGGGATTATAGGTGTGAGACACTGTGCCCATCCACAAGTCCAAATTTAACTGAAAATTTGACATTATTTGTATCCACAAACTAATGAAGGTAATAGACATTTGGGTGAATATTCATTATCATTTTACTGGTAGTTTTGTGATAACCTTTGTGGGACAGATCTTGATTCATGACTGAAACATAACTTTAGCTCACTCCTCCATTCCAAATTATGTAATAATAGTTGTACTCAAACATACACGCATACACGTATTTAATAATTTTAAAATTTTGGACAACTTTACTTCTTAAGAAGTGAGCTGGCCAGGTGCGATGGCTCACACCTGTGATCCCAGCACTTTGGGAGGCTAAGGTGGATGGATCATTTGAGGTCAGGAGTTTGAGACGAGCGTGGCCAACATGGTGAAACCTCGTCTCTACTAAAAATACAAAAATTAGCTGGGCATGGTGGCAGGCACCTGTAATCCCAGATACTCAGGAGGCTGAGGCACGAGAATCGCTTGAACCTGGGAAGGGGAGGTTGCAGTGAGCCAAGATAGCACCACTGCACTCCAGCCTGAGCAATAGAGTGAGACTGTCTCAAAAAAAAAAAAAAAAAAAAAAGAGGTGAGCTTAACTGTTTCCACAGATTGTGTTCTTTTGCTAGCTGTTATAATGCTGTACAATGAAGCCAGCTGAATATACCCATTAGAAAAGCAAAAAGTTTTGATATGAGAGAAGGTGGAACAGAGGGAAAATATATATAGATATTGTAGGGAGATAAAAATAAAAATGATAACTATTGAAATACAGAGGTTTTTTTTTTAGGTGGTATCTTGCTGTGTCACCCAGCCTGAAGTGCCATGGTGGATCTTGGCTCACTGCAACCTCCACATCCTGGGTTCAAGCGATTCTCCTGCCTCTGCCTCCTGAGTAGCTGGGATTACAGGGGACCGCCACCACGCCCAGCTAATTTTTGTATTTTTAGTAGAGACTGGGTTTCACCATGTTGGTCAGGCTGGTCTCGAACTCCTGACCTTGTGATCCGCCCACCTCAGCCTCCCAAAGTGCTGGGATTACAGGCGTGAGCCACTGCACCTGACCGAGATGATTTTCAAATGTACGTTTTATGTCTACATAAGATTCAACATCAGTACAACACTGAAGTTTTATCAAACTTCTATGATATGTCTGAAACTGTGCTAGAGCCTGAGATGCAAAGATAATTAAGTCACAGACTCTGGCATGACGACTTCTCCAACTTAAAAGGGAATTAAGTGGGTAATAAGCACAATAAATAATGTAAAAGGAATACTGTCTGACACAAAGGAAAGAGTGTAGCGGCTTTTGGGAAAGTGGTTCGAGATGGCTTCACAGAAGACTCTCTTAGCCTTGGTTGTGAGGGTGCAATAGTTAAAGAAGGCTGTTTCAGTTAGGAAAAATTGTGTGTAAAAACAAGGAGCATAAACCAGATTTTTATTCGCTAGATGAAAGTCCTTGCAGTTTTTCCCATGGTCTATTTGGAGAACCACTACATACTAGAAAGCTAGTATGACAAAATTTCAGGGAGTATTTCGGAGAATGCTAGGGAATGAAGTTGGAGAGGGGAATTCCATTCAGGACACTGAGAGCTATGGTAAGGGATTGGATTTTATAATGCGGGCAATGAGAAACCATTGAGGTGTTTTAAGTAAAGAGCAATATATTTAGTCATGAGCTAAAAAAGAAATAGCACTACCAGGCATCCACAAAAATGACCTTCTTTTCCTACCTCTGTCCCACTTGTTTGTAGAACCCTTTCTCATACGCACATTTGCATGGTGCATAACCATCTTTTCTAAAATTTGTGCTTATCTTAGCCCTTTGATGTTATAGGTATTGATTGTTGAAAACCAGATTTCATTTCATGAGTCCATTCTTTTATGATATTGTTGATTTCTGCCAAGATAAAAATGTTTTCAGGTTGAGAAACAGTGTATGGGTTCTTTATTATTATTATCATTTATTGAGATGGAGTTTCTCTCTGTCACCTAGGCTGGAGTGCAGTGGTGCGACTTCGGCTCACTGCAACCTCTCTCTCCTGGGTTCAAGCGATTCTCCTGCCTAAGCCTCCAAGTAGTGGGGATTACAGGCATGCACCACCATGCCTGGCTAATTTTTGTGTTTTTAGTAGAGAAGGGGTTTCACCATGTTGGCCAGGCTGGTCTCAAACTCCTGACCCCAAGTGATCTGCCCCCCTCCCCCAAGTGATCTCCCTCCCAAAATGCTGGGATTACAGGCATGAGTCACTGTGCCTGGCCTAGGTTCTCTATTTTTAAGATCATTTTATTAATAAACATTGTGAAAAATGGCTTGTCAGTAGAATCAAGTGCTTCGTATTTATGATGATGAAATGTGATCTCTTAAACTTTCAAATATAGTGAAGACTATTTAAAAGGAGAGAGTTTTATAGTTTTCCACTGTAGGAAGAAGATTCTAGGTTCGAATGAGTTAACTGTGACATATGGGAATTCATAGCCCATTTTGGTTTTTCACATATTTTTAAACATACTAAATTCAGAAAACAATGTTAAAGACTATGTTTTTGAAGAAGACATAGCTTGCTTTAAATTTAAAACACTAAATAGCAGAAATAAATGGGTACTTTATTTCACAAATTCTTACCCTAATTCAAAATGTTTCCAATTTAGAGAAATAAGCTTAGAAATGTGTTTTCATGGACTACCGTTTTTATACTGACTACAGTGTGAATAGTTATTTAGGAATTTCTGCCAATATTGTGAACAAATTAAGGCTTCAAAATATCTGCTGTGCAGTGCATACATATAGTGCGCATTCAATAAACATTTAGTTGAATTATGACAGTTCTCACTGTAATAAATTGGTTTCTTAAGCTGGATCCTTTATTTAATATTCACAATTTTCACATGACCTTTGGAACTTTTGGATGATGGGGGAAGTAGTGTGGAGAGTTACAGTTTACTACTGTAAAGAAGAAATCCATATTTTCTTAACAAACTTTTCACAAATGCTGTTCATGTCCATAATTAGACCCCCTTAGTGCTTCTAGATCTTATTTGATCTCACATTTAGTTCCACAGACATTTACCTAGAACCTATGGCACTGGTTTTATTGTTCTGATGTGTGGGTTTCAGTTGCTTAACATGTGTGTCCAGTTTTCCATTATTTCAGGGCAGAGCTCATGTTTTTCTTATCCTCCTCCTTCCTTTTATCCTTTTGTCTCTGTACCATCTTTTGACAGATTATAGGATATGGAATTCCAATTCCATATCAGCAAATTGCAGGTCACTTTTATTGAGAACACTTGGAAAAAAAGAAGTAAGGAGAATGGTGGCCCAGCTTGGTGCCTAAGGGCTCTGGCTCGGGTGTCAAAAGTGGGTTCCAATCCTCCCCTGATCACTCATTAATTGTGCAACCTTGGGCAAGGTACTAAACTTCTACAAACCTCCATTTCCTCATACATAAAATGAGGATGGCACTAATAACTAGCTCATAAGGTAGTTTTAACATAGGCCAGGTGCAGTGGCTCACGCCTGTAATCCCAGCATTTTGGGAGGCCGAGGCGCGCGGATCACAAGGTCAGGTGTTTGAGACCACCCTGACCAACATGGTGAAACCCCGTCTCTACAAAAAATACAAAAATTAGCCAGGTGTGGTGGTGTGCCCCTGTAATCCCAGCTACTCAGGAGGCAGAGGCAGGAGAATCGCTTGAACCCTGGAGGTGGAGGTTGCAGTGAGCTGAGATCACGCCACTGCACTCCAAGCTAGGTGGCAGAGCGAGACTCCATCTCAAAATAAATAAATAAATAAATAAATAAATGGAATAATGCTTACAAAACCTAGCACATGGTTATCACCAGATAGATGTCATGATTGGTATATAAATATAAATAAATGAGGAGGTTTTTCCAGTAAAACATTGGAGGAGGTAAAGACAGCTGAGAAAGCAACTACTGCCTTGGTACTACATTCTTTTCTTTATTAGAATGAGAACTCAGATGTGCTTCCGATGTCCTTTAGCCAGAATAACTTCTGGAAAGAGCCCAAGATATATTAACATGTATACTACAGAAAAGATTTGAACAATAGCCCCTCAGTTGTGCAAAGTAGGCCAGCATTCCAGAGAGCCTTCCGGACATTCGCTTTTAAATTTCTGTGTCCCTAAAACTATGGTGTAAACTGAAATGACAGGACTTACAGCTCTAAGTTATAAAAATCAGAAAGGACCAGACACATTTAAACAATGCCTCAGCATGCAAGCCATTTGTGATAAAGCAAATTAATTTCTAATTTTCTTATTGTAACTTAGGGGAAGTGGTCTTTTGAAAAATTCATATTAAGCAGGGGATGAAAACAGGAAATGGATTTTGCAGTCTTCAGTCTTAATTTAAGATGCCAAATGGCACTGACAATTGCATGTGCTGCCTTTGTTTTAGTGACGGTAAAAAGAAAAAACAGGTTGGGCGCGGTGGCTCACGCCTGTAATCCCAGCACTTTGGGAGGCTGAGGTGGGTGGCTCACTTGAGGTCAGGAGTTCAAGACCAGTCTGGCTAACATGGTGAAACCCCATCTCTAATAAAAATACAAAAATTAGCTGGGCGGTAGTGGTGTGTACTTGTAATCCCAGCTACTCGTGAGACTGAGGCAGGAGAATCGCTTGAACCCAGGAGGCGGAGGTTGCGGTGAGCTGAGATCACACCACTGCACTCCAATCTGAGTGACAGAGTGAGACCCTGTCCCCCAAAAAATAAAAAATGAAATTAAAATTAAAAAATAAAAAAACAGCTGGGAGTCTGAGGCAGGCAGATCACGTGAGGTCAGGAGTTGAAGACCAGCCTGGTCAACATGGTGAAACCCCGTCTCTACAAAAATACAAAAATTAGCTGGGCATGATGGCAGGTGCCTGTAATCCCAGCTACTCAGGAGGCTGGGGCAGGAGAATCACTTGAACCTGGGAGGCAAAGACTGCAGTGACCCACGACAGTGCTACTGCATTCTGGCCTGGGTGACAGAGCGAGACTCTGCCTCAAAAAATAAAAATAAAATAAAAAATAAAAATAAAAAACAAATGAAAACCAACCAAACAACAACAACAAAAGCCAAAAATAAAAATGCCTGTGAGAGATTTCTTAGAGTCACTCATTATTAGTTCATGCTCCCAGTAGAGATATTTCTTCAATCAAGTCCCAGTTTCCTCCTCTTTTATTGCATTCTTTCGTGAAGAAAGCTTAAAGAAATGAATTCTTGTCCTTGGAAATGAGGGAGGACTATACTATGCTTTCTCTAGAAGGCACTACTGTGTGTTTGAGCATGTTTTTCAAATAATTAGTAGGTGTGAGTGGTTCTGCCAATAGACATACTACATTTATTTTCAGTGATCACTTGAAAAACACACCTATAAGCTTATAATTGCTGACATTAACAAACAACAGGTATGAAGATGCTGTTCACAAAAAGTGCATGTAGTTCCATGTGTTTTATTTAGTCTGTTTGAAATGAAGTTTAGCATATCTATAGCACACAGCATGAAACATGTCAGTCATTTTGAATTTAACATTGTGCATAATGTATTCATAAGAATTATATTTATTTATTAGCATTTATCTTCAAATCAAAGGTTAAAAGTTTCAAGATGCACAAAAATGGTTAACTTTCTGTGAGAAGTCTGAGAAATCACTGAAGACATGAAAATGACAGGCTGGAGGAAGAAGTAAAGAACCTAGAAGGCCAAAATGGAATTCTAAGATAACATGAATATAGAACATAGAAAAGAGAAAGGATTGATTGAAAAAAGGAAAGGGGAAAAAAAAGGAATTATTAAATGGAAACATTAGATTCAAGTAAACCCAAAACAATCATCAAAGTAGATGTTAACAGCATTTTGAGTACATGTTGTGAGTATGAGAAGTGCAATTCTAAATGTTAGGCCCTTATGTTTTAACATATCAGCAAATACAATATTTTGTTTCTAATTTAACAAATTTTTAAGACTTATGTTAGTTGTGACATATTTCCAATAAATAATTATGTTTCCCAAGGACACTGGGTACAATAAAGTGGGTCTGACAATTAACTTACCTTTGAAACCTGAGCCCTTCATTAGTTACAGGAATAGACTGGAACATGATTTTTCCTCTCCTGCTTGGAGAACCCACAAGTTGTGTTTTCTTTATGAATATTGGAAATTCTTTCTTTTAGCCAAATGAAGGGTGTGCATTTCTTCGGCCAGGAGTTACCAGGCTGATAATCCTGATGCAGCGGTTCTCAAAGTCTCCTCAGAAGGCCCGCAGTAGCACCAGCAGCACCAAAGGACTTGTTGGAAACACCAGTTTTCTAGGCCGGGCACAGTGGCTCATGCCTGTAATCCCAGCACTTTCGGAGGCCGAACTCCTGAGGTCAGGAGTTTTGAGACCAGCCTGGCCAACATGGCAAAACCCCGCCTCTACTAAAAATACAAAAATTAGCCGGGTGTAGTGGCGGGCACCTGAAATCACAGTTACTTGGGAGGCTGAGGCAGGAGAATCACTTGAACCTGGGAGGCAGAAGTTGCAGTGAGACAAGATCACACCATTGCACTCCAGCCTGGGCGACAAGAGCAAAACCTCTGATTAGAAAAAAAAAAACAAACAGGCGCCGTGGCTCACGCCTATAACCCCAGCACTTCAGGAGGTTGAGGTGGGCGGATCACCTGAGGTCAGGAGTTCAAGATCAGCCTGGCCAATAGAGTGAAACCCCGCCTCTACAAAAACATGATGGCGCGCGACTGTTTCCCATCTACTCAGAGGCTGAGGCGGGAGAATCGCTTGAACCCGGAAGGCGGAGGTTGCAGTGAGCTGAAATCACGCCATTGCGCTCCAGCCTGGGTGACAGAGCAAGACTCCGTCACAAAAAAAAAAAGAAAAAAGAAACACCAGTTTTCTGATTTCACCGAAGACCTACTGCCTCAGAAACTATGAGGGCAGAACCCAGCAATCTGTGCTTTCTTTCACAAGCCCTCCAGGAGTTGCTGAAATTTAGGAATCATTGCCCCAAAAAGTGGCCCTCATAATGATGCCAGGTAAGGAAAGACAACATTATTACCTATGTGTGGTGTGTTAACATTCTTTATGAAACATGTGTGAAGACCTAAATCGAAGACTTTCTCCATGAGATATTCCCTAATCACATTAGTGAAATAAAACTATATTTCCTCTACTTTTCTACTGCTACAGAAATCTCCCCCAGTTAGGATAGTCCCAGTTTCCTATTTATCTTTGTTTTTCTTGCAGTGCACAGCATGTCACCCAGTAATTGATAAGTTTTTTTTTTTTTGAGACGGAGTCTTGCTCTGTCTCCCAGGCTGGAGTGCAGTGGCGCGATCTCGGCTCCCCAAGTAGCTGGGACTACAGGCGCCCGCCATCACGCCCGGCTAATTTTTTGTATTTTTAGTAGAGACGGGGTTTCGCCGTGTTAGCCAGGATGGTCTCGATTTCCTGACCTCGTGATCCGCCCGCCTCAGCCTCCCAAAGTGCTGGGATTACAGGCGTGAGCCACCGCACCTGGCCTAATTGATATGTTTAAATGTTAAAATTAAATGCAATGATTTCCTAAAATAAACAAATGTGGGACAATTTATTGCACTCTGTTCAAATTCCCATTTTGAAGTGGAATTCAAACAAACATGACAGTAAAGGGGGACAGTGAGCACAGGGACAAGAGAAAAGGAGAAAGGGAAGAAATACAGAGAACTAGATAGGAGGAAGTGTCAAAGACTGATGGGTGTAAGCCACCTTTACCTCTGGATATTGGTTTTCCTTTGAATTGTGGTATGTGGTCATATTGCTTATTAGTTATAACATACAGCTGTCAGAAGAGTTTTTCAATTAAAATTTCAAATGTAATATTAAAACTGTTTGGATTCCTTCCTACTGGGCACTGGACACTGTCTGTGGAGCTGCTGGAACAGCGCTGAATAGGGTCATATTTTAAAGGAACTCAGCCTAGTGCAGTTTCTCAACCTTAGCACTATTGGCCTTTGGGGCCTGATAATCCTTTTTTGTGAGGGGCTGTCCTGTGCACTGTAGGATGTTTAGCAGCATCCTTGGCTTCTACTCAGTAGATGACAGTATCAACCCCCTTCCCCAGAAGTGACAATTAAAAATGTCTCCAGACTTTTCCAAATGTCCCCTGAGGAGCAAAATTGTCTCCAGTTGAAAACCACTGGGTTAGTGGGAGAAACAGATAAGACAGAAGTTCTCCATACACCATGATAATGCCATGATGCCATAGGGCTGGCAGGAGTGAAGGGAAGAGCATCTCACAAAGACTCGGGGGGATGCAGGGAGGAGGAAAAATTAGGAAATGAAGTGGGCTGAGTTGCAGTTAGCCTGTGGGGAAAATGAAGGAGAAGGGATAAGGAAGAAGAGGAGGAAGGAGGGAGGAAGAGTGAGGAGTAATAGGGAATTATAGTTGACCTTGAACAACTTGGGGTTTAGGGATGCCGACCCTTGCGTAGTCAAAAATCTGAGCTTAACTTTTGACTACCCTCACACTTTCCTAACAGCCTACTGTTGACCAGATGCTTTACCAATAACATAAACAGTTTATTAACACATATTTTGTATGTTTTATGTATTATACACTGTATTCTTACAATAAGGTAAGCTAGAGAAAAGAAAATGCTATTAAGAAAATTGTAAGGAAGAAAAAATATATTTACTGTTCATTAAGGGGAAGTAGATCATCATAAAGCTCTTCATCCTTGTCATCTTCAAGTTGAATAGGCTGAAGGAGGAGGGGGAGAGAGAAGAGACTGGCCTTGCTGTCTTAGGGGTGGCAGGGATGGTAGAGGTGCAGGAGGTGGAAGGGGAGGCAGGAAAGGCAGGCACACTCGGGGTAGCTTTCGTTGAAAGAAATCTTCATATGAGTGGACCCATGCAGTTCAAACCTGACTTGTTCAGAGTCAACTGTACTTGTTCCAGGCTAAGAACAGAGAATAAAAAAAAAATGTATAGAGGCCTGAAACAGCATATTATATTAAAAGAACTCAAAGCCGGTAAATGCTTTGCTACTGAAGCATAAAGTGAGAAAGGGGCATCATGGGCTCTGAAATTGCAGCCACAAGTCTACAGAACACATTTTTCATAGCCCAAGGTCAGTCTTCTATTACCCTTTGCAGTGAGGTTATCATCATCCATTTTCACTCGTCAGTGCTGGGGAGCCCATTAAATACTTGCCACTATACTTGGTCCCAACAGTTAATAGACTGTAGCATCTTTTATTTCTTCACCTAGCCTGAAATCAGTTGAGCTTTTGCAGAATCTTAGATATGTCGTTTTTTTCTTCAGGTTTAGAATGGGGCACTTAAAAAGATGCATAGTACTTGAAAATAGAGAAAGAAAATAGCATGTAGAAATTTGTGCCTTTATTCTGCCCAAACGTCTCAAAAAGGAAAAAAATAATTTTAAGGGTAAATATTGTCATCAATTTATCTGAGCTCTTTTGACTTCCTTTGAGCCTGAAAAACAGGATCAGTGTCTTTTTAGTATTTACCATAGTGCCTGATATGTAGAAGGTGTTTGACCAATGTTTATTAGATAAATGTTCACTTTTATTACTAGTAATATTAACCACATTTTAATAGAGACTAATAATACATGATAAACTTCTCAAGGATGCGATCTCATTTGATCACTATAACAACCCAATGAGGTAAGCGAGGAATAGTTGTTAACTCTAATACATGTTATATCTTATCCTTGACCCAGTATTACCCCAGTCATGCCTTCCTTTCCCTGCAATGAAAGAAAACCGATAAACACAAAATGTTGTATCCCATATAAGCATTCATTCTTATGGTAGATAAGTAAATGGAAAAGATAGGTATGCATTCTCAATTTTTTTAAGTCCTAGAATTATAAAACAGTAAAGAAGTGAGAAGAGAGAGAAATCTTAAGGGACCAACCTCTTGATTTTACAGGTGAGAAAACTGAGGCCACATAGCCATTTAGTGCAGAGCCAGGATTATAAACCAGATGTTTGGAATCCTATGTGGTGGTGGACACGAGGATATACTAATTAGCGTCGTTACCGGAAAATTCCACATATCTCTAAGGAGCAGATCACCACACACCTGCACAGCCCAAGCCTGGATTGTGGAGGTTTTTCTTGTAGAGTTTGTCTTTGATAGAAAGATACGGTCCAGAAGGCCGGCTTCAAGGACATAAGAAAGGGCATATTCAAAACAAATACATGTATGCCTATTCTTTTAAACCGGTACTTAACAATAGTATCCAGGTGTCCAAATATAATAGCTTATCTGTTTTATTTTTTCCAGAAAAGGAAACAAGGTCTTAGAGAGGTTACATTTTGCATAGGATTTTGTTAGCCAAGTCAGCATCTGTTTGCATCTTAAAAATGAGTCATACCTATTCCTTGTAAGTAGGACAGGAGGGCAGCTGGAATTTCCCAGCTCACTCCTTGTCACTGCTTCCTGCCTCTGCTGCTCTTTGTCCTCCACAGCACGCTTCATTGGCTAAAAAGTGAACCAGATACTACATTACCTCAGGGCAGTTGTAAGTACTGAGTCAGATGCCTTAGGCTTGTGTGATGGGAAGTTTAGGGCGAGACCAATGTCTTGCTTTAACAACAGTGTGAATAAGTTAATTTCTTTTGAGATTTTATTACTCAATATTCCACCCAGAAAGAAACACAGATGACACTCAGCCAATCAAAGGCCATCTGGGACTGACAAACGCAGAGCTTGTTGTAGATGACAAGGCTCAGTGGATGGATCATCACTGAAAGAAAGGGAAACAGTTTGAACTGTTGTATCTCTCTCCTTGCTCACATGAAAAACAAAAAAATCCTTGGCCAGTTGCGGTGGCTCACGCCTGTAATCCCAGCACTTTGGGAGGCCCAGGCGGGCAGATCACTTGAGGTCAGAAGTTCTGGACCAGCCTGGCCAACATGGCAAAACCCCGTCTCTACTAAAAATACAAAAATTAGCCGGGCGTGGTGGCACACACCTGTATTCCCAGCTACTTGGGAGGCTGAGGCATGAGAATTGCTTGAACCTGGGAGGTGGAGGTTGCAGTGAGCCAAGGTCGTGCCACTGCACTCCAGCCTGGATGACAGAGTGAGACTCCGTCTCAAAAAAAAAAAAAAATTCCTTAACCACAGACTAAGTAAGCATTATTGCACAGAGTGTCATTCGCTAATCTTGCTTGTGCCTGAACTTTGAAAGCACCAGCCCCTTGCTTTGGGGGCTGGGGGCGTGGGGTGTAAGTGTGTGTGTCCTCTAGAAGAAGACAACACTGAGAACAGAAGGAGAGGATCTTGGAGATTTGTTAATTTCCTATTGCAGTTAGCCTTGTCTGGGGCTCTCACTTTAGCACTTAAAATAACATACTCCTTTGCACAGATGTTATTTTTTTCTCTTCATGTGTACAACTTGAATTATCCAATGGCCTTGCTTTGAGGATATTCATCCTATCTTATTGATCCTGTCACTGTGTAGGACAATGGAGAACACAGTAAAAAACCCTCAATGGATACTACTTACACTAAATTAACTCTATGAATTCAAAATTTGAAGATGCTACTTAATCATGTAAGCCTGGTTCTCCAAAACTTCATCTGCCATGGGAAAAATCAAAGCTTGTAAAATGATTAAACTTGTAAAGGAATTAAACTCTAGGATTCACTCATTTTATAATTGGTATTTTCACCCTAAGAGCTTTCTTTTTCCTCTCTGGTGTTTAAAAACAAAGTAAAACCAGACAAAACAAGATTAACTAAATTAAAACCCCTGTGACTTTAAAAAATGTAGCCAAGAATAATGTGCAAGTGTCTAGTTAGGCCAATAGATATCCTTAACATACGTGAGCTGGGAACACAAATGAGCATGAAGGGCAAGGAAGAGCACCACCCCCTGCTTCTTTTCCTGCTCCTGTTCTTGCAGAGGGTCAGGCTTGGAGACCACATATGGTCAGCTCAACACTCAAGTCCACCAAGCAGCCCATGAGGAACTCTTCCTTCCAGAGTTGTGCACACCATGCAGTGTGGTCCACCTGCAGAAGCACACAACAGGCGCTGCCTGGGCCAGAGGTCCATTCAGGCCATGGAATTGGTCTCAATGCCATTTAGGCATGAATCCAGGGTCCTGGGTACCAGACGCATGGTCTAGGTAGGGGGTGTCATGTACTAGGTGAGCATGGGGTTCCGCTGGGCATGTTCCCTTGTCTTGTAGGATGTTAGCTCTGAGGGGCGTGGCTGGAAGAAGGCTAGCCTTGAGCCCTCTAAAAGGCAGGGCTCAGGGCAAAGCTCCCAGTTGCTCAGGCCTGTGGGTAATACTGCTTAAAAATCCCCTTGAGAACTTCTTTAAAATGCAAATATCTCGATTCTTTTGTAGTTCAAAAGCATGATGATTGGGTGTTCACAGGCATGTGTAAGACGTGACACCCTCTGAACCTCCTTATGACCCGGTACATTACCTGTCTGACCTGAAAAAAAAATGCAAATTTCTGGATTCTACCCGCCTCCCCGCACTCCGACATTACGATGTAGCAGCTCTGTGGTAGGATCCAGGAATCTGCCTGTGTAATCACAGGTTGATATTCTGGTGTTTCCTGGTTTTGCTCTGCTGATTTGGGGGATGTTTACCAGCAGGAGAGCAGCCTCTTTCCTCTGCCCTCCTCCCTTGCTGCCCTCCCCAGACCCCAGTGACTCACGCTCCTCCTGCTCCTCCTGTTGCTGGCCTCTCTGTTGTGGTTGCCAGCGCTACTTTGCAGACGCTGCCTGCTCCCTGCACGCCAACACAGATTCTGTTTCCCTGCGACCGCTGCTGCTGTTGTTTGTTCCGTCCCTGGTTTATTGTAGGAGAGCTGATTGTTCTGTTGCCACTGCTACCAAGCTGCAAACACCAGGCTCACGGTGCAAGGGGAAGGGGCTTCTCCTCTGGGTGTTCTGCCTCTATCGCCTAGGCTCTCAGGCTTTGTTGCCAATGGCACTGCGAGACCCTAAACTATGGCCTTGTGATTCCCACATCTCCATTTAGTTCTTTCTTTTGTTCTCTAAGATCTGAGAAGGAGCCCATGTCTTTCAGTGTTCCTGTTTTCTTGCGATACTTCCCCCCTCCCCGACTCCAGAATTTAGGGCAACCTTCTGCTGTGGTCTGAATGTTTATTTCTCTCCACCCCGCCAAACTTATATGTTGAAATCTTAACCCCTAAGGTGGTGGTATTAGAAACTGAAGCCTCTGGGAGGTAATTAAGTTATAAGGACAAAGCCCTCATGAATGGGATTACTGTTCTTATAAAAAAAAGGCCCCAGAGAGCTAGCTAGCTCCTTCCACCATGTGAGGACACAACGTGAAGGTGCTGTCTATGAGGAAGGGTCCCTCACCAGACACCAATCATCTGGCACATTGATCTTGAACTTCCTATCCTCCAGAACTGTAAACAAATAAATTTCTCTTGCTTATAAACCATAAGTTCATGATTTTTTTTTTTTTTTTGAGACGGAGTTTCGCTCTTGTTGCCCAGGCTGGAGTGCAATGGTGTGATCTCGGCTCACAACAAACTCCGCCTCCCGGGTTCAAGCGATTCTCCTGCCTCAGCTTCCCAAGTAGCTGGGATTATAGGCATGCGCCACCATGCCTGGCGAATTTTGTATTTTTGGTAGAGACAGGGTTTCTCCATGTTGGTCAGGCTGGTCTCGAACTCCTGACCTCAGGTGATCCACCCGCCTCGGCCTCCCAAAGTGCTAGGGTTACAGATGTGAGCCACTGCACCTGGCCAAGTTCATGATTTTTGTAATTAGCATCCAAAATGGACTAAAACCCCCATCCTCCTGAAGGTTCTGAATCTGAGGACCCAAGACTTGGCTCTCAGCCTTAATGTCCTGCTCCCACTATTTTCAGGGGGCCCAATATAAATTTCCTGAGTTTTTGAGGTGGTTGGGCTTGCAGACTGACCTTTAGTATGCCCTTTGTTACATTTACAAAATAGATTGCTTACAGGGTTAGACAAATACAGTTGACCCTCTGTATCCCTGCCTTCCATATCCATGGGTCAAAATTATTTGGAAAAAAAAATGTGTCTGTATTGAACATGTATAGATTTTTTTTTTGTATATTTCCTAAACTATATCGTATAATAACTACTTACAGAGCATTCATATTGTATTAGGCATTATAAGTAGTGTAGTTATGATTTAAAGTATGTGAGAGAATGTGCACAGGTTATACAGAAATACTACACCATTTTTTTTTTTTTAATCAGGGACTGAAGCATCTTTTCAGCTATGACTTTGGTATCCGGTGGCGGGTGGGGCGGTGGGTGGGTCCTGGAACCATTCCTCCATGAATACCAAGGGATAACTCTAATTGCTAAATCGTTTCCTATTTTTGTGAACTGGTAAAGGACTGCATGAGAAAGGCCAAAAATTAAAGAATAATATGCTTATTCAAGCCCGGTGTGGTGGCGGGCACTTGTAGTCCTAGCTACTTGGAAGGCCGAGATGGGCCCAGGAGTTTGAGGCTATAGAGGGCTATGGTTGCACCTGTGAATAGTCACTGCACACTAGCTCGGGCAACATAGCTAGACCCTGTCTCTAAAAAAGAAAAATTCTGCTGTAATAAACCTGCACGCATAAAATGATGTCTATGTGTCTATATAGTGTGTATATACATATGTGTTTAGGAAATGTGTATATATGTGTGTGTGTTTGTGTGTGTGGATACTGTATTAGTTAAGACAAAAAAATCTGGCTTCATATGTTATAAAATAATGTCTGGAGCTATCCACTCAAGTGTGCTTTCTTGTTTCTCTGTTTTTTTTTTTTTCCTATTTCATTCAGTGGTTTTCACTGCCTTTGGGAAAAAGTGACACAGCAAAACACTTAGAAGAATCAAATGTTTATCCTTTGAGAATGTGGTCTGTACATAAGAGAAAACATTTAGAATCAAATTATGAGACTAAACCAGTTTCCCTCACCTGCAGCTAGATAAAAATTTCTAAGAGGAAGGAGAGAATCAGGAAAGATTGAAGACTTGACTCCCTGATAAGGGTTCTGCCCGAGTTCTGAGAATGGAGAATAAAAGACACCCTCCCCCTCTCTAATAGATTTTGTCAGTGAAGGTCAGAGAGGCCCACGAAATCAGGTCTGGGGAGCAAGGTAAAACCCAGAATTTCTACATGATCATGTTAAAGAGGGAATAAAGGAATATCATTATAGTGTATCTGGGCAGGTGGGCATGAGACAGCCTGATTGAGTTCCTGAAATCCCAGGTCGGTGTGGGAGCAGCAGAATATTTTAGGTGGCTGAGAGCTCCATAGTTTCTTTCTTTCTTTCTTTCTTTGAGATGGAGTCTCACTCTGTTGCCCAGGCTGGAGTGTAGTGACGCGATCTCTACTCACTGCAACCTGTCTCCCTGGTTCAAGTAATTATGTCTCAGCTTCCTGAGTAGCTGGGATTACAGATGTGTGCCACCACACCTGGCTAATTTTTTTTTATTTTTAGTAGAGATGGGATTTTATCATGTTGCCCAGGCTGGTCTCAAACTCCTGACCTCAAGTGATCCACCTGCCTCAGCCTCACAAAGTGCTGGGATTACAGGTGTGAGCCACCAGCAGTCCCAGCTACTCAGGAGGCTGAGGCAGAAGAATCGCTTGAACCCGGGAGGTGGAGGTTGCAGTGGACCGAGATTGTGCCACTGCACTCCAGCCTGGTGACAGAGCAAGACTCCATCTTAAAAAAAAAAAAACCTTCTCAAGGTATTTTCTGTGCTTCTTGTTTTCTCTTTTGTATTTTTCATCTTTATATCTTTGTGTTTCATTCTGGATAACTTTTAGTGACCTGTCTCCTAGTTCACTAATTCTCTTTTTAGCTATGTCTAGTATTATAATTTGTTTATTGAATTATTAAGTTTAGGTATCAAATTTTCAGCTTTAGGATATCTAATTTGCCACTTGTTTTCTGCCATGATTTTTTTTTTTTTTTTGAGGTGGAGTCTTACTCTGTCACCCAGGCTGGAGTGCACTGGTGTGATCTTGACTCACTGCAAGATCTGCATCCCGAGTTCACATCATTCTCCTGCCTCAGCCTCTCAAGTAGCTGGGACTACAGGCGCCTGCCACCACGCCCAGCTAATTATTATTATTATTATTATTATTTGTATTTTTAGTAGAGACAGGGTTTCACCATGTTAGCCAGGATGGTCTCCATCTCCTGACCCCATGATCCACCCACCTTGGCCTTCCAAAGTGCTGGGATTACTGGCATGAGCCACTGCACCTGGCTTCTGCCATAATTTTTAACCTTGAGTTTTACCTACTTAAACATAGCAAACACAGTTGTTTATATATTTATCTAATAATTCCAGTATCAGGAGCCTCTGGAGTCTACTTTTGTCTACTTTCATTGTTTTTTGTTTTTTAAATTTACATTAACAGTGTCTAGTCTGTATTTATGCCTGGTTACTTTTGATTGTGTGCTAGACATTGTTTTTGGCAAATAATTTTTTAAACACAATATGTACAAATCATATGAAGCCTAGACTGGTGTTTTGTTCACCAAAAAAGATTTTAAATTACTTCAGTTACGTTCCTAGGGACACTATTAACTCAGGATGATGTTAATTGAAGTTTCAGATTTGATATTTTCCAGGTCAACTGGACCAACTGTCCCTGCTATATGATTTATTTCCTAAAGCAATATCAAGTTCAGCTCTGCACCTCTCTTATATACTATGGAGCTCTCAGTCACATAAAATATTCTGCTGCTCTCACACTGCCCTGTAGTTCATAAGAGGAACAGTTTACTGTTAATCCGTATTACTCTTACATCTAGGGTGTAGCTCTTTGAGCTACCAGTCCAAAGTGAAGAATAATTTACTGAATTCCTACTTTGTCTGGCTCTAGGCACTGATTTTTTTTACCCTCTTGGCCACCTATCTTCAATTGGAAAATGCCCTCAATTCAAAAATGCTCCAAGTGCCAAGCTTTCCTATCTGAATTCCCATTTTTTCCTGTATCTGGCTGGCAATTCATTAGAATCCTGCTAGCCCTCTGATGCTTCTAAGATTTTCATCTTTTATTTTTATTTATTTATTCGAGATGGAGTCTTGCTCTGCTGCCCAGGCTGGAGTGCAGTGGTGTGATCTTGGCTCACTGCAACCTCCATCTCCTAGGGTTAAGTGATTCTCCTGCCTCAGCCTCCCAAGCAGCTGGGACTACAGGCATCCACCAGCATGCCCGGCTAATTTTGTATTTTTAGTAGAGATGGAGTTTCACCATGTTGGCCAGGCTGATCTTGAACTCCTAACCTCAGGTTATCTGCCTGCCTTGGCCTTCCAAAGTGTTGGGTTTATAGGCATTAGCCACCATACCCAGCCTGAAGTTTTGATTAAAAATGCTTTACTGGGCTGGGCATGGCAGCTCACGCCTGTAATCCCAGCACTTTGGGAGGTTGAGGCGGGCAGATCACTTGAGGTCAGGAGTTCGAGACCAGCCTGACCAACATGGTGAAACCCCATCTCTACTAAAAATACAAAAATTAGCCAGGTATGGTGGTGCATGCCTGCAATCCCAGCTACTCAGGAGGCTGAGGCAGGAGAATCGCTTGAATCTGGGAGGCAGAGGTTGCAGTGAGCCGAGATCGTGCCACTGTACTCCAGCCTGGACAACAAGAGCGAGACTCCGTCTCAAAAAAAAAAAAAAAAAAAAAAAAAAAAAAAAAAAAAAAAAAAAAACTTTACCGGAATTAAAGCCCAGTCATCTTGAAGCCATGATCATGACGCTGTGGAAGAACCGGTGAGGTAGGATGAGACATATTCTCAGATGCTATGCTGATTTGGGGCTGTGATGATTTTGGACCATAGACTATGATGAGGCTTCAAAAAGAGTGCAATAGTGTATTTTAATTTCTTTGGTTAGATTCAAATTAATCTTCAGAAAGACAAAATGCAGATGTAGTCTTGTTAGAGCTTGCTGATGAGACTAAATTTTCCAAGTGTTTGAGGAATGCCTAACAGGGGAAAGGCAAAGCAAACTATTTTTAATGACCTTATGGCTCTGAATTGCTAAAAGGGAGTCAGTCCACCAGGCTCAGGCTACTTGGAGTAGAGGATCCTGTTTCAGTGACAAACTGGCTCATCCCTTAATCTGCCATAAAATGATGGCTTAGCATACATGTAGGAGCTGGGGCTAAGGGAGAAGGAGGTGCTGTGTTTTGCAGAAGAAGCTACATTCTGTAGTAAGGCCTGACTCTTCCCTGGCCTTGGAGGGGAAATACTTGTGAGACAGTGGCCAGGATCAGCTGAAGTGCCCTCTCTTCTTGCTTTGCCTATGGGACACTGAGCCCCTTTTTGTGGAATATATTCATCCAGAGAACCCTCACACCTTATAATGCATAAAGTGATAAAGGCTTGGAGATCTGGAGAAACCCAAGGTGCGATCCCTGGCTCTAGAAGAAACTCTGGGCAGCCAGCATGATTTACTTTTCTCTGCTCCAAAGACTGGAGGATAAATTAAAGGAAAAGAGGGTATGACCCAGCAATCCACTGGTGCGAGTTGTTGCTTTAAGCAAAGACTACTGCTTCTCTTCCTGATTTTCCCCTGACCATACTCTCCCAGAGGTGTCTCCCAGCAACCACCAGAGTTGTGGTTAAGTACACCTAGCCAATCCAATAAATCTAAAGGAGATGCAGTCCACACAACCTTGCATGACTTGTCATGTGAGTTACTGTTCTGGAGAGACAAACTCAGGCTGGAAACTTATTTGAGATAGCTTATGAAAACAAAGATAATTTATGATAAGGATACAGGCACTCTCATACAATCTAAGGTAGAAAAACAGCTAAGCATCAGAACAAACTGGACCAAAGACTTAAACACTTCTGCTCCTTTGTGTAATTGGTTTCATGCGTTTCTCTCTCTCCCTTCCTCTCTCTCTTTTCTCTCTGTGGACTAGGTTTTTCTACTTTTCATATACAAATTTTAAAAATACAATTTCTGGCCAGGTGCAGTGACTCACGCTTGTAATCCCAGCACTTTGGGAGGCCGAGGGAGGTGGATCACTTGAGGCCAGGACTTTAAGACCAGCCTGGCCATCATGGTGAAACTCCATCTCTATTGCAAATACAAAAATTAGCCGGGTGTGATGGTGCACGCCTGTAATCTCAGCTACTTGGGAGGCTGAGGCAGGAGAATCGCTTAAACCTGGGAGGCAGAGGTTGCAGTGAGCTGAGATTGTGTCACTGCACTCCAGCCTGGGTAACAGAGTGAGAATCTGTCTCGAAATAAATGAATAAATAAGTAAAATAAACAATAAAAATAAATAAAGACAATTTTAAAAATTTCCCAACATTAAGTGTCAGCAATTTGGAGAGGGACAGCTGTCTCTTGTTCTCTCTCTTCTCCAATTCTCAATTCCTAGGTCTGATGCTTTCCCTGGCTCAACTGACTATGGTTGTGGGGTAGGGCCATGAAACAGAAATATCACATTAGGATCCAACCTTTAATTATGTAGATGGACAGCAGTTTACAGAAAAAGTGGTGGGGAGGTGGAGGGAGGTGCTGAACAGACATTCTAAAAGGGCTCCACCAAAGAAAGCTATTTGTTATATTTATGAACATTCTGGAAAATTCTTTCAATTGTGTTCATGAATAAATTATGATTGGTTAAAAGCTAACACACATGTAGATTATATAACTTCTAAAATTTGTATTTGGTATCTGAATCTATATATTATTTTGGCATGTATAGAAAAATCCCAGATATTTCAAAGGCTATCATTAGAAAAACGTTAATGAAAAGGTTAATGGAATTCTATATATTTAGTTCCTGTGAGAATGTCCAGTTTAACTTTCTTAATCAACTGATGAAGAAACAGAACTGAAATCACAAGATTATAAAGATATTTTAACGATGCATTTAGGTTTTCATTCTAAATGCTGAAAAAAGGTATCCCTGCAAATACTGGTTAAGAAATTAAGAAGTCCAAAACCCAATAATGTAGTTGGCAGCCTGTTATAAAGATTTAGAGTATTCAAAGATAAAGGCAAATAAAAAGACTACTTTTTATACCAGAGTAGAAACAGTTTATTTTCATGATCACTACTCTTACTTCAAATATATCTATTATCTAAGTTGATGCTTGCAAAAAGTCCTGATTCTTACACAAAGGCAGTCGATTCATGGATCTCTTAGAGAGAGAGAAAAAAAAAAAGCTAGTTGGGTGTGTTACAGTTATATGAATCATGTAGGATGCTGCTTAACGCTATATTTATCATGGATGAAGGCATGTTTTCAGGGGAAACTATGAGTCTACCTAAAGTTACCCAGTTCACCTCTGTTCCAAGGGACTCATCTTTTCAGCATTTTGTTTAGCATGTTACAAAGTACCCCGATGTCTTCTAAACTATTAGGATTGCAGGAGGAAACTCTCCCAGAGCTGCTAGAAGTCATCCTTGAAAGTTTGGATTTCTCCCGAAAACTTGTATTTCTATCATTGTTTTAACTATCTTCTTGAATCCTCTTGATCCTGACCTACATGTCCTCTTCCCTTGATTGCATTTAAATTTAGCTGCATATAACCTTGCTCTTTTCCTTCTAATCCAACCTATAAACCATATCAGGGGAGGATATGTGATTTGTCAATTTTGTTGCCTCACTTCCTCCTCAAGAACTTTCAGTGGCTCCATTTTACCTCTGAGATTAAATTGCAGCCACTCATCCTGAGTTTTGGTGTTCCACAATCTGACATATCTAGTCAGCTTTGTGTTCTAGTGTGTTTGTGTTGCTATAAAGGAAGACTGAGACTAGATAGTTTAATAAGAAAAGAGGTTGATTTGGCTCACAATTCTGCTTGCTGGAAGATTGGGCATTTGGTAAAAGCCTTAGGCTGCTTCTATTCATGGCAGAAGAGTAAGCGGAGCCTTCATGTGTGGAAATCATAGGGCAAGGGAGGCAGCAAGGGAGGTGTGGAGAGGTGCCAGGCTCTTTTTAACAACCACTTCTCATGGGAACTAATACAGTGAGAACTCACTGACTCTTTCTACAGGGAGGGCATTAATTTATTCGTGAATGATTCTCCCCCATGACCAAAATACCTCTCATTAGGCCCCACCTCCAACATTGGGATAAAATTTCAACATGAGGTTTGAAGGGGGGACAAACATCCAAACTATAGCATTCTGCTTTGGCCCCCTAAAACTTATGTCCTTCTCACATTCAAATACAATCATTTCTTCCTAATAGTCCCTAAAAGTCTTAACTTGTTCCAGCATAAACTCAAAAGTCCAAAGTCCAAAGTATCACCTGCGACTCAAGGCAACTTCTTTACAGCTGTGAGCTTGCAAAAATAAAAAATGAATTATATTCTTCCATGATACAATGGTTGTACAGGCATTGAGTAAACATTCCCATTTCCCTAAGGGAGAAACTGGCCAAAAGAAAGTGGTAACAGGTCCCATCCAAGTCTGAAACCCAGTGCGGCAGACATTCTTTTTTTTGAGGCAGAGTCTCGCTCCGTCACCCAGGCTGGAGTGCAGTGGTGCGATCTCGGCTCACTGCAAGCTCTGCCTCCTGGGATCACGCCATTCTCCTGCCTCAGCCTCCTGAGTAGCTGGGACTACAGGCAGCTGCCACCATGCCTGGCTAATTTTTTGTATTTTTAGTAGAGACGGGGTTTCACTGTGTTAGCCAGGATGGTCTTGATCTCCTGACCTCGTGATCCGCCTGCCTCAGCCTCCCAAAGTGCTGGGATTACAGACGTGAGCCACCGCGCCTGGCCAGACATTAATTCTTAAAACTCCAAAATAATTTCCTTTGATTCCATATACCACATCCTGGGCATAGTAGTGTGAGGGGTGGGTCCTAAGGCCTTAGGCAGCCCCACTCTTTGGCTTTGCTGGGTGCAGCCCACGTGACTGCTCTCACAGATTGAAGCCCAATGCCTGTGCCTTTTTCAGGCTGCAGTTGTATGTTGCTGGTGGCTCTATAATTCTGGGGTCTGGAGGGTGGTAGCCCTGCTCCCACACCTCCAATAGATAATGCCCAAGTAGAGGCTGTGTGTGGTTGATCTGACCCTATGGCAGACTTCTGCCTGCCTTCCCAGGTGTTCCAATAAATCCTCTGAAATCTAGGTGGAAGCTGCCAAGCCTCCAACATTCTTGCATTATGGGCACCTGCAGATTTCACACCATGAAGCCACCAAGGCTTACCACTTACACCCACCTAAGCAGTGGCTCAAACAGTACCTGGGGCCATTGGAGCCATGGATGGAGCCAGAGTGGCCAGGATGCAGACAGCAGCATCCTGAGGCAGCACAGGGCAGTGGTACCCCAGGCTTGTCCTGCAAAATTATTTTGTCCTCCTAGGCCTCTAGGCTTGTGATGGGAGGAGCAGCCTCAAAGGTTTCTGAAATGCCTTTGGGGCCTTTTTTTTCCAAAGTCTTGGCTATTAGAACCTAGCTCCCACTTAGTCATGCTAATATCTCTCTAGCAAGTGTTTGGCTGCATCCTTGAATTCCTCTCCTGAAAACACTCTTTCTTCATCTACCACAGGGCCAGGCTGTAAATCTTCCAAATTTTTATGCTTTACTTGGTTTTTAGTTACAATTTACAACTTTAGGTCACTCATTTGCTGCCATATCTAGTTTACAATCATATTTACAATTAAAAGCAGTGTAAACCAAAAAGTATCTGAGACAGGTCTCAATCAATGTAAGGGTTTATTTTGCGATGGTTAAGGACCATGGCCCATGACACAGCCTCAGGAAGTCCTGAGAACATGTGCCCAAGGTAGTTTTGTGTAGCTTGGTTTTATACATTTTAGGGAGACAGAAGTTACAGACAAAAACATAAATCAATACATGCAAGGTATACATTGGTTTGGCCCAGAAAGGCAAGACATCTACAAGTGGGGGCTTCCAGGTCATAGGTATATTCAAAAATTTCCTGATTGGCAATGGTTGAATGAGTTAAGCTCTGCCTGAACAGTTGAAGTCAGCTTGAGTTAAGATAAAGAGGTTGGCTGGGCACTGTGGCTCATGCCTGTAATCCTAGCACTTTTAGGAGGCTGAGGTGGTCAGATTGCCACCTGGGCAATCTGTTTGAGATCAGCCTGGGCAACATGATGAGACCCTGTCTTTCCAAAAAATAAAAAAATTAGATGGGCATGGTGGAGCACACCTGTAGTCCTTGCTACTCGAGAGACTGGGGCAGGAGGATTACTTGAGCCCAGGAGGCAGAGGTTGCAGTGAGCTGAGATTGCACCATTGCATTCCAGCCTGGGTGACAGAGCCAGACCCTGTCTGAAAAAAAAAAAAAAAAAAGTGAAAGTCAAGGTTCTTGTCATGTGGATGAAGCCTCCAGGTAGCAGGCTTCAGAGTGAATAGATGATGAATGTCTCTTATTAGAACTTAAAAGGTGTCAGACTCTCTGGAAAAAACTTGGTAAGGGAGAGATTCTCTACAGAACACTAACTTCCTCCACAAGAGACAACATTGCAGGGCCTTTTCAAAATGTCAAATAAATATATTTTGGGATAAAATACTTGTATTGTATTGTATTGTATTGTATTGTATTGTATTGTATTGTATTGTATCGTATTTTTGAGACAGAGCCTTGCTCTGTCATCCAGGCTGGAGTGCAGTGGCACGATCTCGGCTCACTGTAACCTCCGTCTCCCCAGCTCAAGCGATTCTCCTGCATCAGCCTCCTATGTAGCTGGGATTACAGGTGTCCACCACCATGCCTGGCTAATTTTTTTGTATTTTTAGTAGAGATGGGGTTTCACCATGTTGGCCAGGCTGGTCTTGAACTCTTGACCTCAAGTGATCTGCCTGCCTTGGCCTCCCAAAGTGCTGGGATTACTGGGATTACAGGCATGAGCCACCACACCTGGACAATAAAATACTTTTATTTCCTTTAGGTCTTGCTATGTCATGTGATGCTATATCAGAGTCGGGTTCAAATTTGGTATCTTATTGCTACAAAGAGTCTGTCTTGTCAGTCATATGATCTCTGTTTTAATGTTAATGCTGGTCATTTGTGTCTAAACTCCAAAGGGGGAGGGTGTAATAAGGCATGTTGGGTACCCTCTCATCTTGCTATGGCATGAGCTAGTTTTTCAGGTTTCTTTGGGATCTCCTTGACCAAGGGGTCCATTCAGTTGATTGGGGGAGTTTGAATTTTAATTTTGATTTCCAGCAGCCACGCCACTTCTTGAATGCTGTGTTGCTTAGAAATTTCTTCTGCTGCTGGGCATGGTGACTCATGCCTGTGAGAGGCAGGCACTTTGGAAGGCTGAGGTGGGCAGATCAATTGGGCTCAGGAGTTTGAGACCAGCCTGGGCAACATGGCAAAACCCCATCTCTACAAAAAATACAAAAAAAAAACAACAACAAAAAAACAAATCAGCCAGGTGTGGTGGCATGTGCTTGTAGTCCCAGTTACTCGGGAGGCTGAGGTGGGAGAATGACCTCAGCCTAGGAGATGGAGGTTTCAATGATCCTAGATCGTGCCACTGCATTCCAGCCTGAGTGACAGAGCAAGATCCTGTCTCAAAAACAAAACAAAACAAAACAAAATTTCCGCCAGATATCCTAGGTCATCACTCTTAACTGCAGCCTTCCACAAATCCATAGGGCATGGACACAACACAGCCAAGTTTTTTTTTCTAAAGCATAACATGGAACCCTTTGCTCTAGTTCCCAGTAAGTTTCTCATTTCCTTCTGAGACCTGCTCAGCCTTGCCTTTACTATCTATATTTCTATCAGCATTTTGGTCAAAACCACTTAACTAATCTCTAAGAAGTTCCAAACTTTCCCTCATCTGCCTGTCTTCTTCTGAGCCCTCCAGGTTCTTCCAACCTCTGTCCAATGCCCTGTTCCAAAGTTGCTTCCACATTTTCAGTTGTCTTTACAGCAACATTTCACTACTTGGTACCAGTATTCTGACTTTGTCCATTTTGCATTGCTTTAAACGAATACCGGAGGATGGGTCATTTACAAAGAAAGGGGTTTATTTGGCTCACAGTTCTGCAAGCCTGTACAAGAAGCATGGTGCCAGGATTTGCTTTTGGTGAAGGCAAGGAAGCTTCCATTCATGGCAGAAAGTGAAGGGGAGCCTCCATGTGCAGAGATCACATGGCGAGAGAGGAAGAGCGTGAGAGGAGGGGAAGGTACCATGGTCTTTTTAACAGAGGTACAGGCTTTTGAGGGAACTAACAGATTGAGAACTCGCTCACTCCCACCCCTGCCAGGGAGGTCATTAATCTATTCATGAGGGATCCACCCACATAACACACACATCTCACTAGGCCCCACCTCCAACATTGGGATCAAATTTCAACATGAAGTTTGGGAGGGCGAACATCCAAAGTACAGCACCTTGTTTCTTGTTGTTTTCTAATATTTGTTCTTTATCCCAGGAAATGGGGGGTAGGAAGGTGAGTTCTTGGTGTACTCTAAGCAGTCATGCTCAGCCTGTACTATCAAATTTTATTCCATTTATTCTTCTGTTGAGGCTTGCATGACTTCCCTAAGGTACAATGGCAGAGATAGCCACATGGGTAGTAAAATCAGGGGCAGACAGACCAGCTTTCTGCCAGGAATTTACCTCAGGGAAATTCCTCATCTTTGACTTTCCTCGTTCTGACTTTTTTTTCTTTTAATTCCACCTCCTCTCCAAACCTGGCACTATTCCTTTCCGATCTTTATCCTTGTCCTTACTGTTTTGAAGTTGGCTCTTATGCCTGTTTGTCTTTGCAATCTGTCTCTGCGTCGCGTGTTGGTAGTCATTTATTTTTGTCCCTAGTCATGATTCCCAGAACCTTGCTGTGGTCATTTTGATGCCCCACCCTTTGACTATTACAAACCAGGAGAGCTCATGCAAGTGGCCACATGCTGTAGTGGTTAAGAGCACAGGCCCCGTAGCTGAACTTGAAACTCAGCATGACAACATGCTGGCTGTGTGACTAAGGCAAATTAAATGACCACTCTGTGTCCTTATTTTCTTATACATAAAATGGAGCTACAATAGTACCTCCTCATAGGGATGTTGTGAAGCTTCAGTGAGTTAATACAGATATAATGATTAGTTATCTGCCTCCATTAAATCCAATCATCAATACTACCCAGCTTTATTAAAACTTCTGACTTTTGTTTTGGATGTGGCCAGGTCCTGAACTGAATTGTTTTTTCCAGGTCAAATTTAAATCTACCCTCCTTTCCTTTTTCTCAATGCCAAATTGTTCTTCAGTTTCCATCTCTAGCCCCATAATCTTTGATTTCTCTTGCCCACATGGATGGTTACCTTTTCTGAAATGTCATAGCTCTTACAGTGCTAGCCACCTATTTTGATGCCAAATCTTTACACCAACCAGTGTTATCACTTAATCAATTCTTACATCTATGTCTTAACTTCTCCAACCAAACTTAAGACTTGTTGGTGCCAAGAATCAAATCTCATACTTTTGAGTTATTCAAACCATACAGAACAGTAGATACTGAATAAGTATTTGTCTGAATGAATTGTTTGAATAACTTAAAGAGCCTAGAAGCGGCTGGGTGCGATGGCTCATGCCTATAATCCGAGCACTTTGGGAGGCTGAGGCGGGCCGATCACCTGAGGTCAGGAGTTCGAGACCAGCCTGACAAATATGATGAAACCCCGTCTGTACTAAAAATACAAAAATTAGCCGGGCATGGTGGCATGCACCTGTAATCCCAGCTACTCAGGAGGCTGAGACAGGAGAATCTCTTGAACCCAGGAGGTGGAGGTTGCAGTGAGCCAAGATCACACCATTGCACTCCAGCCTGGGCAATAAAAGCAAAACTCCATCTCAAAAAAAAAAAAAGAGCCTAGAAGCTTTCCAGGGTGGTCTTGGGGGTATTGGCTTTAGAAGAGGAAGCTTGATAGATGAAAATTTCCAGATCAACGGCATTTTATGTACTTCTCAGAAACAAGGTATGACTAGACTGAAAGATCTGAAGTCAGGAAGAAACTTCTTGGTATCAGTCTGTGCCCTTAGGAAGAAGTGAGGTCATAAGCTCTATTAGCACACATAGCTGAAAAACTGAAAGAGGATGTAAGAG
The DNA here is from genome assembly GCF_000001405.40 of Homo sapiens. NCBI lineage: Eukaryota > Metazoa > Chordata > Mammalia > Primates > Hominidae > Homo > Homo sapiens. Next base: position 72,541,940 of record NC_000009.12, read on the forward strand.
AAAGGATTGTTAAAAAACAAAAACAAAAAAACACAAAAAACCAAAAATAAAAAATCTGGGTGAGGTATTTGCAATACTAGAGCCAAAGAATTTGACCTAAGAGGCCGGGCGTGGTGGTTCACATCTGTAATCCCAGTACTTTGGGAGGCCGAGGTGGGTGGATCACTTGAGGCCAGAAGTTTGAAACTAACCTGGCCAACTTGTTGAAACCCCATGTCTACTAAATACACACAAAAAAGGGCCCGGCGCGGTGGCTCGTGCCTGTAATTCCAGTACTTTGGGAGGCTGAGGTGGGAGGATCACCTGAGGTCAGGAGATGGAGACCATCCTGGCTAACATGGTGAAACCCCGTCTCTGCTAAAAATACACAAATTAGCCGGGTGTGGTGGCATGTGCCTGAAGTCCCAGCTACTTGGAGGGTGAGGCAGGAGAATCACTTCAACCTAGGAGGTGGAGGTTGCAGTGAGCTGAGGTAGCGCCACTGCACTCCAGCCTGGGCGACAGAGCAAGACTCTGTCTCAAAATAAACAATTAACTGGGTGTGGTGGCACACACCTGTAATCTCAGCTGCTCCTGAGCCTGAGGTGGGAGAATCACTTGAACCCGGGAGGCAGAGGTTGCAGTGAGCTGACATTGTGCCACTGCGCTCCAGCCTAGGGGGGAGAAAAAGAAAAAAAAGAATTCTGATCCAGGCACTGACTCATTGAGCAAGTCATCTTTACTGTTCAGGCCTCAGCTTTCTTCCTTTGTTTTTTTTTGAGACAGAGTCTCATTCTATTGCCCAGGCTGGAGTGCAATGGCATGATTTCAGCTCACTGCAACCTCTGCCGCCCGGGTTCAAGCAATTCTTCTGCCTCAGCCTCCCGAGTAGGTGGGATTACAGGTGCCTGCCACCGCGCCCAGCTAATTTTTGTACTTTTAGTAGAGATGGGGGTTTCACTATCTTGGCCAGGCTGGTCTCGAACTCCTGACCTCATGATCCACCCACCTTGGCCTCCCAAAGTGCTGGGATTACAGATATGAGCCACCGCACCCAGCTAGGCCTCAGTTTTCTAATGTGTAAAATGAAAATATGCACTAGACCTTCACTTGTTTTTTTCTATGTGATAATTTTTTTTAAAAAAAGAAGGTGTCATGTTACATTTTATCTTTATGTTTACATTTCATCTTGTAAGGTTGCCTTTGAGCCTTGACACAGTGATTTTTCTCATTCAACTAGTTTCTCTCCCATCTCAACTAGTGACCTCACCATCCACTAATTGTTTAAGCCAGAAATTGGGAACTTTTCCTTGGTTCCTCTTCCTTGTTTACTTCTTCCATCTACCCCATGAGCAAATCCTATCTGTTCTTCCTTAAATTTAGTTCCCAGATCTATCTCCTGCATCTCAGGTCTATGTACTTCTTCCCATCTCCCCTGCTACTAGTCTGTCCAGAGCTACAACCACTTCCCTTATAGATTATTGGAATAACCTTCTTATTGGTCTTCATATTTTCACTCTGACTCCCCTCTGATCAATTTTCTGCAATGCAGCCAGAATTATCTTTTAAAAATGTAAGTTTGAGCCAGGCACAGTGGCTCACGCCTGTAATCCCAGCACTTTGGGAGGCCAAGGTGGGAGGATCACCTGAGGTCAGGAGTTTGAGATCAGCCTGGCCAACATGGTGAAACTCTGTCTCTACTAAAAATACAAAAATTAGCTGGGCATGGTGGTGGGTGCCTGTAATCCCAGCTACTTGGGAGGCTGAGGCAGAACTGCTTGAACCTGGGAGGCCATATATATATAAAGTTTGATCACACCACTGTCCTGCTTAATCTTTTTTTATTTTTTAACTTTTAAATTTTTTAAGAGAAGGGTCTCTCTGTGTTGCCCAGACTGGTCTCTAATTCGTGGGCTCAAGAGATCCTCTCATCTTAGCCTCCCAAGTAGCTGGGAATACAGGCATGTGCCACCACACCCAGTGACTTTCCTTCCTAAAATGCTTCAATAGTTTCTTTTTCTTTTTCTTTCTTTCTTTTTTTTTTTTTTTTTGAGATGGAGTCTCGTTCTTTCACCCAGGCTGGAGTGCAGTGGCGTGATCTTGGCTCACTGCAACCTCTGCCTCCCGGGTTAAAGTGATTCTTCTGCCTCAGTCTTCCAAGTAGCTGGGACTACAGCATGTGCCACCACACCTCAATAATTTTTTGTATTTTTAGTAGAAATGGGTTTCACCATGTTGGTCAGGCTGGTCTCGAACAGCTGAGCTTGTGATCCACCCGCCTCGGCCTCCCAAAGTGCTGGGATTACAGGTGTGAGCCACTGCACCCAGCCACTTCAATAGTTTCTTTTTGTGCTTAACATAAAGTTTAAATTCATGTCCAGAGCCTATAAGGTGTCATATGACCAGGCCCCTCAAGGTATATCCACTTCACTCAAGCCATGTTTGTCTCATCTTAATTCTTCAAACACCCCACATTCTTTCCTAACTCAAGGTCTTTGAGCTTGCTGCTTCTTCCAGGTGGACTGATCTTAGCCCTTCCCTTTGTTGTTGATTTTTTAACTTTTTTTTTTTTTTTTTTGTGAGAAAGTCTTGCTCTTGTTTTCCAGGCTGGAGTGCAGTGGTGCAATCTCGGCTCACTGCAACCTCCACCTCCTGGGTTCAAGTGAGTCTCCTGACTCAGCGTCCTGAGTAACTGGGATTACAGGCACCTGCCACCACACCCGGCTAATTTTTGTATTTTTAGTAGAAATGGGGTTTTGCCGTGTTGGCCAGGCTGATCTTGAACTCCTGACCTCAGGTGATCCTCCCACCTCGGCCTCCCAAAGTGCTGGGATTACAGGCATGAGCCAGCGCTCCCAGCCTTTTTACCTTTTTTTTTTTTAATTTCAATAGGTTTTTGGGGAACAGGTAGTTTTTGGTTACGTGAAAAGTTCTTTAGTTGTGATTTCTGAGATTTTAGCACACCCATCACCTGAGCAGCGTACACTCTACCCAATGTGTAGCTTTTTATCCTTCACCCCCCCAAGTCTTTCCCTGAGTTCCCAAAGTTCATTGTATCATTCTTATGCCTTTGCATTCTCGTAGCTTAGCTCCCACTTACGAGTGAGAACATACAATATTTGGTTTTCCATTCCTGAGTCTCCAATTCCACCCAGGTTGCTGTGAATGCCATTAATATGTTCCTTTTTATGGCTGAGTAGTATTTCATGATATATATATACACACACACACACACACACACACATATATACACACACACATTTATATGTGTATATATACACATATATATATATGTCACATTTCTTTATCCACTCATTGATTGATGGGCATTTGTAGCCCTGCCCTTTGAATGGCTGACTTCTTCTTATGCTTCAGAATTAATACTTTGTAATTACATTAATATGTTTTTTTTAAAAAAAAACCTTTTACATATATATTGGTCTGTCACAATAATGTATAACAATATTATAGTTTCTGTTTTAATGACTTAACTTTGGCAAACTGGTCAATGATTTCATTAAAACTGATCTTTTTAAAAATAATCAGCTTCAATAGACAGTTTAACCAGATTTGTCAACTTTTTGTTTTTGGCACAGTCTCACTCTGTTGCCCAGGATGGAGTGCAGTGGTGCCATCTTGGCTCACTGCAACCTCTGCCTCCTGGGTTCAAGTGATTCTCATGCCTCAGCCTCCCGAGTAGCTGGGATTAGAGGCACCTGCCACCATGCCCAGCTAAGTTTTGAATTTTTAGTAGAGATAGGGTTTCACCATGTTCGCCAGGCTGGTCTCGAATGCCTGACCTCAAGTGATCTGGCTCCCTCGAACTCCCAGAGTGCTGGGATTACAGGCGTGAGCCACCACACCCGGTCTCCATAAAAAAATCTTAAACAAAAGGATATGGTTGGTGAAATACAAATCCTATTGCGCAGTAATTTTCACAAATTTTAAAATTGACAATACCTTCGCTTCTTTCAGATCAATTATAGTGGCTTTCAAATGTCATCGCTCAAAAAAGTTCAAATGTCATCGCTCAAAAAAAAAACAAACCTTCACTAGAAAATTAATCATAAATTGATGGTACAGACTGGGTGCAGTGGCTCACAACTGTAATCCCACCACTTTGGGAGGCCGAGGTGGATGGATCACCTGAGGTCAGGAGTTCAAGACCAGCATGGCCAACATGGTGACACCCCAGCTCTACTAAAAAAAAAAAAAAATGAAAAAATTAGCCCGGCGTGGTGGTGCATGTCTGTAATCCCAGCTACTTGAGAGGCTGAGACAGGAGAATCGCTTGAATGCAGAAGGCGGAGGTTGCAGTGAGTCGAGATCATAACACTGTAATCCAGCCTGGGCAACAGAGGGAGACTCCTCAAAAAATATAAAAATAAATAAATTGATGTTACATTTGGAAAAACTGCTGAAATTTTCTTCTTCTGCAAAAAGTTAGAAAAAACCACTGAATGATTGAAAACATTGACATTATTTAATTCTTTGCTTTAGAGCAAGTACTCAGTTCTTGATTGAAGTGATTGAGGGATTCAAACATTGTCCTTTTGTTTTCTTCCGGTAACGTCAGACCAGCATATTTTGTTATTGCTGCTGGCTGTTTTCTTCAAAATTTGCTTTGAAAAAGATGTAAATGGCCATTTCCTTATACTTGTGATTAAATATTTGTTGGCCTTTCCACCAGTTCTCTGCACTGATCTTCAAGAAAAAATTTTAAAACCTGCACACAAAATTTTAAAGACTGAACACAGAATTTTAAAGCATGCACATTTTTCAAAGCTGTTTCTATCTCTTTGGAAGTTTGTGTCTGATTAAGTTCATCTAAGACTTCACTCCAGGAAAAAAGTTAACCCAGAAAAGATAAATAGCCTCAGCAGAGAGAAAAATCTACTGATTTTCTTGTGTCTACATTTTGTTTTAGATAGCATAATACTTCAAAAGTTGGTACTCATTTCTTAAACTTTACTGTGTGCATAGCTTCAAAATGAATACTTTGTTGTGTGTGGGAAAGCCTTTTCATTGTTATACTTACAATCTTCAGCATGGTCCATCCGTGAATCTTTTTTAAAATTGATAAAAAGGCCAGGCGCGATGGCTCATGCCCGTAATCCCAGCACCTTGGGAGGCCAAGGCAAGTGGATCACCTGAGGTCAGGAGTTTGAGACCAGCCTGGCCAACATGGTGAAACCTCGTCTCTACTGAAAATACAAAAATCAGCTGGGTGCGTTGGCGTGCGCCTGTAATCCCAGCTACTCAGGAGGATGAGGCAGGAGAGTGGTTTAAACCTGGGAGGCGGAGGTTGCAGTGAGCCGAGATTGTGTCACTGCACTCCAGCCTGGGCAACAGAGCGAGACTCCTTCTCAAAAAAAAAAAAAAAAATGGTTAAAAAGATGAAATAAAAATTTTCCAAGTTCCCCTCAACCCCCCTAAAAAAAAATCATACATGAAGAAACATTTCCAAAACAGTGGAGTTTGGAGATTGATTTGCACAAGCACAAATGAGGATTTAGGATAAATTTCTTTGACTTTTACCTGAACACTACAGTCAGTCTTGGCCATAGTTTCAGCATTGCCATGTCCTTGGTCATGATAGAGGTTCATGTCCAGCATATCACAATTCAGTCATATGGTGACTATTATGTGAGTTCAGGAGTGTTTATCCTAGAAATAGAAAGACACCCAGGAATGACTCCTTTCTTTCAAATTTGCTGTTCTCAAAATGAACATACTTAAGGACTTTACATTTGATCAGGGTATAAACCACTGGGAAGACTAAGTGCTCAGAAAAAGAACCAAAGACTTGGAGATAGGAACAGAGCCTGAAATGAACAGAAACTATTCTATACCCCCCATGAACCTAGAAACAAATGTGTATAGCTAAGCGTATTAGTCCACTCGGGATGCTTTAACAGAATATCAATAAACTGGAATGCTTCACAGTAAACATTTATTTCTCACAGTTCTGGAGGCTGGGAAGTCCAAGATCTGGTATCTGCTGAGGTTCCTCTTACTGGTTTGCAGATGGCCGTCTTCTTGTTCTATCCTCACATGGCAGAGAGCAGAGAACAGACCATCTCTTGTGTCTGTTCTTAGAAGAACATTAATCCTATTTATGAGCACTCTACCTTCGCAACCAAAAGGCTTCATCTCCAAATACCATCACTTGGAGATTTAGCCTTCAACACAGGAATTTTGGGGGTACACAAACATTCAATCCATAGCACTGAGTCTGTATGTGTTGGGAACTGATTGATAAATTGGAATTCTTCAAATTAACTTACATGTAGAATACAGTATTTATTAAAGGATAAGTAAAAAGAAATGTGTTAATTTATAGTGTATTTATTATTATTAAAAGTCTATAGGGCTGGGCACAGTGGCTCATGCCTGTAATCCCAGCACTTTGGGAGGCCAAGGTGGGGTGGATCACGAGGCCAGGAGTTTCAAGATCAGCCTGGCCAAGATGGTAAAATTCCATCTCTACTAAAAATACAAAAATTAATTGGGCATGGTCAGGCGCACGCCTGTAATCCCAGCTACTTGGGAGGCTGAGGCAGGAGAACTGCTTCAATGAACCCGGGAGGTTCATTCAAGATCACGCCACTGCACTTCAGCCTGGGTGACAGAGTGAGACTCTGTCTTAAAAAAAAAAAAAAAAAAGTCTACAGTAACTGCAATTGTTTAGAATTTAAGCCAACAAGATATGTTTTCTTTTCCGGGAGTTGTATTTTTTATCACTGATTGTCTACAATTGACAGTGCATGTCAAAAAGCAGACTTGTCGTGCTGCAGTGGCTCACGCCTGTAATCCCAGAACTTTGAGAGGGCGAGGCAGGAGGATTGCTTGAGCCCAGGAGTTGGAGACCAACCTGGGCAACATAGTGAGATCCCATCTCTAAAAAAATAAAAATAAAACCACTCATTTTTGTCAATTTTATTACTGCTTTTAATTTTTCTAAAGACGATGTGCTGCTCCAGCTCTGGGTACACACATGCCCACGAGAGCAAGCTCATGAGAGAAGAAACTACATCCCCTCTATCCACCTATATTTCTAACGCCTTGCACAGTAGCTGGCACATAGTGGACATGAAATAAATATTTGTGGAATAAATAAGTGAAGAAGAATTTTAGAATACTTTATAAGAAACAATAAATCTTCAGAGATCAACATTTCAAATTAGTAACTTTATTTACAAACCTCTCTTCTGGGTTTTATTATTTACTACAAGTGCTTGCAAGACCTGTTATTGTACACTCATGTATTCCTATCAAAGGTAATCATCAGACATTATATTTCATTAAATAATTTAATGGTGCTTTCTGTTCTTTATTCATTAATTTTTTTGTGTGTGTGTGAGAATGGAGTTTCACTATGTTGCCCAGGCTGGCCTTGAACTCCAGGGTTCAAGTGGATCCTCCTGCCTTGGCCTCCCAAAGTGCTGGGATTACAGGCATGAACCACCATGTCCAACAATGTTTTCTGCTCTTTAGTAAGTCTAGCCATATTAAATTTTATGTGTTTTTTTTTTCTTTTTTGAGACTGAGTCTCACTCTGTCACCCAGGCTGGAGTGCATTGGCGCGATCTCCACTCAGTGCAACCTCCGCCTCCCAGTTTCAAGCAATTCTCTTACTTCAGCCTCCTGAGTAGCTAGGATTACAGGCACGTACCACCACATCTGGCTATTTTTTTTTTTTTTTTTTTTGAGACGAAGTCTCACTCTGTTGCCCGAGCTGGATTGCAGTGGCATGATCTTGGCTCACTGCAACCTCCACCTCCTGGGTTCAAGTGATTCTCCTGCCTCAGCCTCCTGAGTAGCTGGGACTACAGGCATGTGCCACCATGCCCGGCTGATTTTTGTATATTTTTTAACAGAGATGGGGTTTCATTATGTTGGCCAGGTTGGTCTCGAACTCCTGACCTCGTGATCCACCCACCTTGGCCTCCCGAAGTGCTGGGATTACAGATGTGAGCCACCGAGCCCGGCCTAATTTTTGTGTTTTTGGTGGAGATGGGGTTTTACCATGTTGGCCAGGCTGGTCTCGAGCTCCGGACCTCAGGCCATCCACCTACCTCGGCTTCCCAAAGTGCTAGGATTACAGGCGTGAGCCACTGTGCCCAGCTCATATTACATTTTAAATGGAGGTAGAATATCAACCTGAATTCACTAAGAGAATGCAGGACAAATTGCCCTGATATCCTGACACAAAGGTGAAGCAGGACTTTTTTGTAATTTGAGGATTTAAAAGCATGGTTGCTCCAGGCCAGGCGTGGTGGCTCCTGCCTGTAATCCCAGCACTTTGGGAAGCCGAGGCAGGCGGATCATTTGAGGTCAGGAGTTGGAGACCAGCCTGGCCAAAATGGTGAAACCCTGTCTCTACTAAAAATACAAAAATTAGCTGGGCGTGGTCAGGCGCCTGTAATCCCAGCTACTTGGGAGGCTGAGGCAGGAGAATTGCTTCAAGGAACCCAGGAAGCAGAGGTTGCAGAGCCCATATCGTGCCACTGCACTCTAGCCTAGGTGACAGAGCGAGACCAGCCTGGCCAACATGGTAAAACCCCGTTTCTACTAAAAATACAAAAAATTAGCAGGGCAAGCTGGCGGGCGCCTGTAATCCCAGCTACACGGGAGGCTGAGGCAGGAGAATGGCGTGAACCCAGGAGGCGGAGCTTGCAGTGAGCTGAGATGGCGCCACTGCACTCCAGCCTGGGCGACAGAGGGAGACTCCATCTCAAAAAAAAAAAAAAAAAAAAAAGTATGGTTGTTCCAGTCCTGGGAAATTGAAATAGGGGGTAAAAAGGCTGGTGGGTGTGGTAGGCAGAATAATTACTTCTTCCCTCTCCCAAGATGTTCAGGTCCTATTCCCCATCCTATTCCCTGGAACCTATAGCTAGATTGCCTTATGGGGCAAAAGGAATTTTTCAAGTGTGACTAAATTTAGAATCATGAGTTAGAGAGATTATCCTGGATTATCTGTGTGGGTTTAATGTAATCACAGGGGTCCCTAGAAAGAAAAGAGGGAAGCAGAAAAGCCAAAGGAGATGGAATGATGGGAGTTGAGATCAGTCAGATTTACAGATGCAATATTGTTTCCTATAAATTCTGTGGTGAAAGAAATGCTATATTGTTGCTGGCTTTGAAGATGGAGGAAGGGGCTGAGAGTGAAGGAATGCAAGTGACCTTAAATTGGAAAAGACAAGAAAATAATTGGCCCTGTAGAGGTTATAAAAGAAGGGTGGTCCTTCTGACACACTGATTTTAGTCCGATGAGATTGATTTTGAACTTCTGACTTCCAAAAACTGTAAGACAATACATTAGTGTTATTGTAAACCACTACATTTTTGGTAATTTGTTACAGCAATAGGAAACTTATATAGTGGGCCCTGGGATCCATCTGCCCTAGCCGTTTATCTAAAACAAAAGATCTTATAGGGAAAGCAAACAAACAAACAAAAAATACAGAAACAAAGCAAAACAAAGCACCCCTATGCTCTGAGCTTGGGCCTGGTAAGGGCACTATGAGCCCATGATTTAGCATGTTGCTGGGAAATCTCCTTCCCCCTGTTGAGTTGCCAGAATCGTGGAAGCAGATGGTGTGGGGGATTCAGGCTCCTCCACTGCTTTTCTCAGCCAGACCTTTGAGGAGAGCTTGGCTGAAGTCTTCCAAGCTTTATCCCCTTGTAGCCATTGTTTTGAGCCATCTCAAACATTAAGTAGCTCTTGAGGGTTGAATTGAGTCCTTCCTAAAGACAGACTAAAGTCCTAGTCTCCAGGACCTGTAAATGTTCCCTTATTTGTAATTAGGATGTTTACAGATGTAATCAAATTAAAATGAGGTCATACCGGACTAGGGTGGGCTCTGATCCAATATGGCCGGCATCCTCATAAGAAGAGGAGAAGAGACATAGACACATAGGGAAAAGACCGTGTGATGATGGCAGAGATTAGAGTGATGTGTTTACAAGCCAAGGAATGTCAAATATTGCCGGCAATATCAGAAACTAAGAAAAAGGCATGGCACAGATTGTCTCTGAGAGCCTCTCAGAGAGTATGGCCCTGCTGACACCTTAGTTTCAGAGGTCTAGCATCCAGAACTCTGAGAGAACAGATTTGTGTTGTTTTAAGACACCCACCATGTGGTAATTTATTACAGTAGCCCTTAAACTAACACAGTGACCTTGTGTCTTCTGCCAGAGGGATTTGATCACACTGGTGAGGAAGGGTCCTGGTCCATAATAACCCAAATTTCTGCCAGGGAAGAGGAGATTGAAAGGTCCCAGTGATCTTGGCCTATTTACTTGGGAGCTCTTCCACAGAACAAATGAACTCCTGAAGATGAGCTGCTACAAGGATTCTGTGCTTTGGACAGAATTGCACTTGTCTCTTCCCCCTGCTGTCACTCCCTGACTAGGAAAGGTCCAAGCTGTGAAGGAATCCCCCCCAGAAGAGACTTGTAAGCATTAAAGACCTGTGGAAAACTAAGAGGGAGGGTGGATAGAGGAGTCTGGAGACCGACTAACCTTCTGAGCTGCTTATTGCCTGAAGTGGGGGTGGAGTGGGCTGCAAACACTGTTGTATTTGGGGGACACATCACAGATGCTTATTTGCACCTTGGACTTTGTCAGGACACTCTGGTTACAGCACAACTTTGTGAACATGGATCACAAGATACTTGGAAAAGCAGTGTTTGCATTAATCAGATTAGGATTAGCTAAAATTTTAATTAAAGAACCAGAGAGTACTTCAGAGGCAAGGAGATGATAGTTACCTGGGATTACTTGCTATTTGTGAAACCAACCAGCTGACCACTTGTGTTGTTTGTCCCAAGGTATAATAATAACTAGATGTTTGCATATTGTGATTGTTTCTGTTCGGATTTAATGGCTGATCTATTTATCATATTAAAAGAGGGATCAAGTTCAAAGATTTCAATGCTCTTTATCTTCTTTCTATATATGATATTTATTTTTAAATGTCCATATTAAATATACATATATACACACGATTCTCAGAATTACGAAGAATGTGCTGTGTAGCATTCAATTATATATATAATTTTTTTTTTGAGATGGAGTTTCCCTCTTGTTGCCCAGGCTGGAGTGCAACGGCATGATCTCGGGTCACAGCAACCTCTGCCTCCCAGGTTCAAGTGATTCTCCTACCTCAGCCTCCTGAGTAGCTGGGATTACAGGCATGTGCCACCATGCTGGGCTAATTTTGTATTTTTAGTAGAGACGGGGTTTCTCCATGTTGGTCAGGCTGGTCTCGAACTCCCAACCTCAGGTGATCCACCGGCCTCTGCTTCACAAAGTGCTGGGATTATAGGCGTGAGTCACCAAGCCTGGCTCCAATTCTGTATATTTTTAAATGTAAGTATAAAGATCAAAGATACAAAGTATATTCACATATCAGTTTCCATGTTGTTATTATTATTATTATTTGCCATTTTAACCATCTCCAGATGAAGAAAACTGAATGTAAAGTTAAATATCTCCTTAACTTTTACTCTATTTAAAAAGAGACTGAATTATTTGTGAGGTAACCCAGTTGTAGCTGTTCTACTCTTCTCTACTGCTAGATTTTGGAAGAACCAAAAAGGAATAAAGCAAAGCATGACACAGAAGAGAAAGCAGAATTATACTGTAGTAGTATGCTCATATTTTATCAGAGTTTGCCTGTACTTTTGCTGATTTTTTTTTCTCCTAGCTTGGACATTTTAAAGGCTTATTTTAAATTTATCTCTTCTGTATTAACAGGTGAGAAGTGGACAAATCAATGTATAAAAACTACTATGGCTATCATCATTTAGAATTTTGTCTTAAAAGTAATTGGATTTCTGGGGTCCTAGACACATAATGATTAGAGATCATGCCACCAGTTCTATATGGAGCCATCTCAATTCATCCTTTCTCAATTTATCCTTTCCAGGCATTTTTCTTGAAACTGCCTAAGTACTGGCGTCTCCCTACGACTATTATATCTGAAAACACATTCAGTTTTCAAACCAGCTGAATTTTATGCCTGACTATTCCTTTTAACTTATACCAATGAAAATCCTTTAATAAATTCACTCACAATTGCTCCACTTTCTCAAACAGAGCACAAAGCATCTAACAATATTTCTTCATGATTGATAGCATACACACTCTTGACTTCATATTCTTCAAAATCTTGGTATTTTTATAAGCATTAGTGCCTTTTTTTTCCCCAGTCAGAAGCACTGACGGATTTATTCTATTGGGTGTTGTCTTCTGTTTGGTCTTTAGCTTTTCTTAGCTGTGATCGTTTATTGCTGAATAATTAAGGGCAATTCTTTCCCACTGAAATACTTTTCAAGTTAAACATTTTTTCCTTAAATTTTTGCCCCAGGCTACTTCTAGATCCAGCGTTGTTCCAGCTTACTGAGCATTCCAGAGGGCTAAGGTCCAAGTTAGCCAAGGTTTTAAAATGTTGACCATGTGGACCTGAATTCTTTCCAGTTACATATTTGCATACTTTTAACAGGAGTGGTTATTTCTCGTCAAAAGACAGAACGCTGGAAATACCAGGGCAAAACTATGTGTTTTTTTCTTGGTGATATCTTGATCTTAGCATTTTACTCTCTCTTCCTGGTTTCTAGCTTGACCTTTGTATTTTAGAGGAGAGTAATAGAGTAACAGTGCACTGAGAAGCAATGGGACATGACAGAATAGTTTCAGCAGTGAAAGTCAGGGAAGCTGGTTTCAACCATTCATTCACAAGCTTAAAGGACTTTGGTATCTGACTTTGTGGATGCCACTTTCTCATCTGTAAAATAAGGGGGTTGGATCGTGTGATTTATAAGGGGCTTTCTTACTTTCTAACATTCCATATTCTATAAAGACAGTTAAAGTCTCCAGAGAGTAAAGAATGTAGAAAATTCCTGAAATTTACTCAGCTCCTTTATTCCTAAATATTTTTGAATTCTGAAATTATTATTATTATTATTTTTTGAGATGGAGTCTCACTCTGCTGCCCAGGCCAAAGTGCGATGGCACAATCTCAGCTCACTGCAATCTCTGCTGCCCAGGTTCAAGTGATTCTCCTGCCTCAGTCTTCTGAGTAGCTGGGATTACAGGCATGTGCCACCATGCCTGGCTAACTTTTGTATTTTCAGTAGAGAAGGGGTTTCACCATGTTGGACAGGGTAGTATCAAATTTCTGACCTCAAGTGATCCACCCGCCTCGGCCTCCCAAAGTGCTGGAGTTACAGCCAAAGCACCTGACCTGAATTCTGAGTTTTGATTCTGTTTTTTTTTTTTTTTTTTTGAGACAGAGTTTTGCTCTTGTCACCCAGGCTGGAGTGCAATTGCACGTTCTCCGCTCACAGCAACCTCCATCTCCCGGGTTCAAGTGATTCTCCTGCCTCAGCCTCCCAAGTAGATGGGACTACCACCGTGCCTAGCTAATAATTTTGTGTATTTTAGTAGAGATGGGATTTCACTGTGTTAGCCAGGATGGTCTTGATCTCTTGACCTCGTGACCCTCCCTCCTTGGCCTCCCAAAGTGCTGGGATTACAGGCGTGAGATACTGCGCCCGGCCCATACTCACAGATTTCTTTGTGATATTATCTCATTTGTTTTCACCACACCCAGATGATGTGGATGGTAGGAGAAATCCCATGCGAATAAGTGGAATATGTTAGTAACTGCTTCCTTGGGTCCTTTTGCCTCTGGACTTAACTCTTTTTTTTTGAGACGGAGTCTTGCTCTGTCACCCATGCTGGAGTGCAGTGGCGCAATCTTGGCTCACTGCAACCTCTGCCTCCCAGATTCAAGCAATTCTCCTGCCTCAGCCTCCCGAGTAGCTGGGATTACAGGCATGTGCTGCCACGCCTGGCTAATTTTTTTGTATTTTTAGTAGAGATGGGGTTTCACCATATTCCCCAGGCTGGTCTCAAACTCCTGACCTTGTGATCCACCCACCTTGACCACCCAAAGTGCTGGGATTAGAGGCATGAGCCACTGCACCTGGCCTGGACTTAACTCTTAAATGATGTTACCCAGGAAAACCAATCTATGACTAAGGCAAAAAAAAAAAAAAAAAAAAAAAAAAAAAAAGTTGCACAGAGAAGAGTGGAAATATCAGTAAATCAGAAGCTAGGCAGGCCTAATCCCTAATCCACTTGGTGACCTTCTGCAAAACACCTTTCTGTTAGCCTTTTCACCCGTGAATTTTTTTTTTTTTTTGAGACGGAGTTTCGCTTTGGTTAGCCAGACTGGAGTACAATGGTGCGATCTCAGCTCACTGCAACCTTCGCCTTCTGGGTTCAAGGGATTCTCCTGCCTCAGCCTCCTGAGTAGCTGGGATTACAGGAACCTGCCATCACACCCAGATAATTTTTGTATTTTTAGTAGAGATGGGGTTTCACCGTGTTGGCCAGGCTGGTCTTGAACTCCTGACCTCAGGTGATCCACCTTCCTCGGCTGCCCAAAGTGCTGGGATTACAGGCGTGAGTCACTGTGCCTGGCTTACTTGTGAAATTAAAGCTTCAACTTTTACTCCTTAGGAACGTCTCACAAATTTCCACACATAAATCTAAAGTAGACACTCCTGCTTGCCAAAAGCATACTCTCTAAAACATTGGTTCTCAGACGGACATAGTGGCTCATGCCTGTAATCCCAGCACTTTGGGAGGCCGAGACGGGTGGATCACTTGAGATCAGGAGTTTGAAACCAGCATGGCCAACATCGTGAAACCCCATTTCTACTGAAAATACAAAAAAAATTAGCCAGGTATGGTGGTGCGTGCCTGTAATCCCAGCTACTCGGGAGGCCGAAGCAGGAGAATCACTTGAACCTGGGAGGCGGAGGTTGCAGTGAGCCAGATCCCGCCACTGCACTCTAGCCTGGGAGATAGAGCGAGACTCTGTCTTGGAAACAAACAAACAAACAAACAAACAAAAAAATTGGTTCTTGAGCAGGGCAATTTCACCTCCAAGGGGACATTTGACAATGGCTGGGGACATTTTTGGTTGTCACATCTGGGGTTGGGGAGTGAAGTGCTATTGGCATCTAATACGTAGAGGCCAGGGATGCTGCTGAACATCCTGCAGTGCACAGGACAGCCCCTGACAGCATTAAACAGTCCAAAATGTCAATTGTTTTTTGAGGTTGAGAAACGCTGGTCTAAAAGAAATGACAGGACAGGTGGCTTGGCTCATGCCTATCATCCCAGCACTTTGGGAGGCTGAGGCGAGTGGATCACCTGAGGCCAGTAGCTTGAGACCAGCCTGGCCAACATGGTGAAACCTCTTCTCTACTAAAAATACAAACAATAGCCGGGCGTGGTGGCCCACACCTGTAATCCCAGCTATTCAGAAGGCCAAGGCAGGAGAATCGCTTGAACCCGGGGGGCAAAGATTGCAGTGAGCTAAGATCATGCCACTGCACTCCAGCCTGGGTGACAGAGTGAGACTCTCAAAAAAACAAACAAACAAAAAAACAGAAATGACTCAAATGTTTACAGTGATTACTTCTGGATGGGATTATGATAATTGTTTCTCTACTGTTCTAAAAAACTTTCTGTTCTTTCCAAATGTTTAATATTGAGCACTTATTTTACAATCATTAAACAAAGAAATGACAACAACTGTTAAAAAAAAATTCTTAAGAACTGAAAGGCAAACACCACCACCACTAAAGCCATGTCCCCCAGATCTAGGTTGTGAGTCACATGATACCGACTTCAGAGGCAGCATGTCTCAAGGCCTCTCCAATGTGTGTCAGGGACAGCAGTGGGAGTAGGGCCCTCTGAGTCAGCCTCTTTGACCTGGGATGCTGCAGGAGATCTTAGCAAACATTCAAGATTTTCACTGAGTCATTTGCCTGTGGCATTGATCTGCTCACTCAAGTCTTCCGGTGTTTTGGTGTGAGGGAGGCTAAAGAGGAAAAACAGCTGTTTAGTTTCTCATTGATTTGTATTGTCATTGAGCAATACCTGGAGCCCAAGTGGATGTCTTTTATTCTGTGGCCTCCACAGCTGGGTCAGTGTGGAAGGCTTCAGACCATGAGAAATTGTTCCTGGGAGTCAATTATTTTAATAAGTGAGATATCAGAGTATATTCACAGAAAGAGGCTTCCCTGGCACTGTAAGGGCAGCCAGGAATAAAATAAAAATGCTTCTTCAGTGAAGATAATTGTCCAAATTGAAGACATAGGAAATATTTCTAATTTGCCTGTGTATTTGGTGAACATTTCTCTCTCTCTCTCTCTTTCTCTCTTTCTCTCTCTCTCTCTCTTTCTGTCTCCATAAATGAAGACATGGGAAAATCTATTAAAAATTAAATTAAAATGCAACACTTTTACATAAACAAAATTCCCAATCACTCTCCTTACTTTACCTCAGCCCAACCAAATGTGAGTTAAATCTCTTCCCTTTCCCATGGGACACTAGCATCTTGGTGGCCCAGCTCAGTAGCTAAGCATAGAGTAATGAGTTTGTTAAATAATTTCAATTACATTGTTTTTGAGATTCCAGGGTCACAGGGAAATTCTGACCTGAATTATCTGGATGAACTCTCACAATTGTGCACTGCCTTGTTCAAATTTGGGAAGTGCTGAGAAGCACTCATCCAAGGGGTAGATCTGGACTTCAGCTCATGCAGCATAATAGAATTTCAGGCTCAGTGATTTCTAATCTGTTACCACTTGCCATTTTCTACTTGAAGAGGGCAGACACCTTCACTGATCTCTGTTTCTATTTCATCTTTTGAAAAATCGGGATGATAATGGTTATCTGGTTTACATGCTTTTACATGCTTGTCAGGAGTTATTTTAAAGCACTTTACAAATATAAAAATGTACAATAAAATTGCAGAGTCGGATGCAGCAACCCCTGTATCCTTTGAGGAATCTATCACAATTCATACCCCTCCCAAGCCAACTTTTCTGGTACTACTCTGGAAAATTGTGCTTATACAGTTAAAATTTTTATTTTCAAAAAGTTGTGTAATTCCCTTTTTCAACCATTTTTTTTTGTTATAAGAAATGCAATTAAAAACATACTTTTCTTTCCAAATAGAAGAGCCTATTCTGCCTTATAAGAATTGTTTGAAAGATTGAAGGACAAATGAAGTCATACAACTTCTCTGATACCATATTGAACTCAAATGAACACATTTTGAGGTAAGAAATGAGCCTGGAAGATTTTTCTTTTTTTTTTTTTTGAGATGGAGTCTTGCTTCGTCGCCCAGGCTGGAGTGCAATGGCGCAATCTTGGCTCACTGCAACCTCCGCCTCCTGGGTTCAAGTGATTCTCCTGCCTCAGCCTCCTGAGTAGCTGGGATTACAGGAGTGCTCCACCAGGCCTCACTAATTTTTTGTATTTTTAGTACAGATGGGTTTTCACCATGTTGGCCAGGTTGGTCTCAGACTCCTGACCTCATGATCCACCCGCCTTGGCTTCCCAAAGTGCTGGGATTACAGGCGTGAGCCACTGTGCCTGGCAAGAGATAGAATTTTTCACAAAAATAACTCATACCAGAAACTTTGTAGGCCCCCACCGATGCCCATAATCTTTAGGAAACAAACTCTAGTGTCACCTATTTCCTGATACCTTCTGTAACGACCAGGTCATATTCTGAGTTCCTACAGCACTCAGTGTTTCTCATCGGAGCTGTAGCAATGGAGTAATAAATGGCACTGCTCAGGAAGAGAGAATTCAGAAAGAAAAGAGCAGGGCCTAGAAAAGGAACAAACTTATCGGATGTGTAGAGAAAGAATCTGCAAAGCAAGTAATAAAATCCAGAAAAACGTGGTATCATGGTGGTCACAAAAAAAAGAGTGGTTAAATTTTCGAAAATGGAGACAAACCACTCACCATGATCGTGCCATCTGAATAGAAACACAGAAATGATGACAAAAAAATGGCTAAAGAAAGAAGGTCAACAACCATGTCCAATGCTTTGGATATTAAGAAGTGTTCAGATGGATTTAGCAAGTAGAAAGTCACTGACACTTGGTGCACAACCAGACCTCAATGTATTTAGGAGGAAACTGTTATTTTGGAACAATTGAAAGCTTTCATTTGGCTGAGAAATATCAACTCATTCTTAAATAGGTATGTTAGAAGGAGCCTCTGGGCCTGATATCTCCTTGATTACAAGGAAAATGAATAATAGTTGCGTCTGATAACCATGACATATCACCCCTATGTTTGCTTGTAGCTTTCAGCAGCTCAGAACATTGTTGAAAACACTCATTATCCCAATATCCCCAACAGGGAAGTGTTAAAACCTGCCTTGTGCAACTGTCAATCTCTGATGATTAGATAAAAACAATTATGTCATGAGTTGTAGCTATTGTTATTTACTTCCCAAGAGCCAGATTACACAGGTATCTGATTGCTGAAGCAATGTCTGGATGTACCACGAAATTCCACATGCATGTACAGTATAAACACCTCTGGCTATCACCTTATCTAATTTTGATCAGATACAGGTTAATCCCCTCCTGTATCTTTATATGTCCTGAATTTGCCTCATCCACCTGAACTTTGCCATAATTTACTCTCAATTTGTATGTGTCTGTGATGGAGTTGTTGTCATTTTCCTTTTCTTTTTCTTTTTTTTGAGGCCAAGTCTCTTTCTGTCACCCAGACTGGAGTGCAATGACGCGATCTCAGCTCACTGCAACCTCTGCCTCCCGGGTTCAAGTAATTCCCCTGCCTCAGCCTCCTAAATAGCTGGGACTACAGGTGCATGCCACCATGCCTGGCTAACTTTTTGTATTTTTAGTAGAGACGGGGTTTTACCGTGTTAGCCAGGATGGTCTCTTGATCCGCCCGCCTCCGCCTCCCAAAGTGCTGGGATTACAGGCATGAGCCACCGCGCCCGGCCTCATTTTCTCTATCTGTCTGCTTAATCAGGTTTTGCAAGTTTCACATTTCCTCAACTAAACTTCATTTTACCACCCAAGCAAACTTCATTATAATTATTTTATTTTTCTGATGACATCAGATTTCTGTAGGGGTACCTATTAGCTAGAGATACTTAGATTTTATTTTCCCAGCATGTGACTATTTCCCATTCTATACAACACAATGGCAAGAGCAGGAGTATGTTTTTGGACAATTAAAGAGAGAAAAGGCCGGGCGCGGTGGCCCATGCCTGTAATCCCAGCACTTTGGGAGGCTGAGGTGGGCAGATCATGAGGTCAGGAGATCAGGAGATTGAGACCATCCTGGCTAACACGGTGAAACCCCATCTCTACTAAAAATGCAAAAAATTAGCCGGGCGTGGTGGTGGGCACCTGTAGTCCCAGCTACTCTGGAGGGTGAGGCAGAATGGCGTGAACCCGGGAGGCACAGCTTGCAGTGAGCCGAGATCGTGCCACTGCACTCCAGCCTGGGCGGCAGAGCGAGACTCCGTCTCAAAAAAAAAAAAAAAAAAAAAAAGAGAGAGAGAAAATAACTCAGCTTCATTTAGATTTCTATTATTCTTCTCTGATCCATATAGTGGATGTTCACAGAAGTGTAGGAACCAAAACTATGCAAGTTAAACTGTTAATTTTAGAAGTTTATAGCAGTGATGTGGAAGGCTGACCAAAGTTGGCGCTTTGGTCTCACTATAAGCCATAGTAATAAATACATTAACAATGTCCACAAACAACAGTAGACACCATTTAGTAAGGGCTTGCTCCAAGCCAGGCACTGTTTTCAGCTTAAGTCTCACAGCCTTGTGAAGTAGATTCTGTCCCATCTTAGAGCAAGTTGGTCTGAGGATCCTCAAGGGTAAGGTCTCTTGCCAAAGGTCAGCAGAGGTAGTGAGTTCAGAACTGGGATTTAAATCCAGGCTGTTCTATTTCTATTCCACAATTCTGCCTCAACTGCTTCTCTACATTTTAGGCACACGTTTGAATACTGAAAATTTGGGTCACAGAGTTGGAGATGTTTCTTCTTCTAGGCCCCAAACCGGAGCGGGGTGCAGTGGCTCAAGCCTGTAATCCGCACTACTTGGGAAGCTGAGGCGGGAGGATCGCTTGAGCTCAGGAGTTTGAAGATACAGTCAGCTATGATCCTGCCACTGCACTCTAGCCTGGGCAACAGAACAAGATCCTATCTCTAAAAAAAAAAAAAAATTAAAATTTTAACACAAGGGCCCAAACAAGTCAACAGTAATTACAACATGATCTTTACTACTGTCTAATAACATCTCACAGTGCTTTAAACATACGTAGTTACCATTCTGTCCACTTGGTTGCCTGTAATATTAACTCAGTAAGTAGGAATACTTCCTGCCCTGACTAATATACTCATAAATATATGCTCTAAGTCAAGGGTCTTGCAGGTTCTGATTTAAAAAACACAATTTTTTTGAGGGTCACTGGCTTTACATTATCTCATTCTTTTCAAGTTCCTTTGTACGTAAAACATCCTATGCTCAGTTATATGATCTGTTCAACCTCCTGCTTGACAGATATGAAAACAGTGCTCTCATGTAATTTATGTAATTTACATTTTTACATATTTAGCAGTACACCTTTGTGCTATGTTATATTGTTTGAGAACTAATCTGTTTTTCTGATGGCTGGAAGTCTAAGTGAAAAGATTATACATGAAAATAATTCATGTTTATTATCACTAGGAGAAAGTAAGACAATTTAGTTTGATTCACAAGCATTTGAATCCCTATTGTGTCAGACATTGTATTGGAAACTGGGGATACAAGGAAGATATAACCTCATCTCTCAGAGTTCCCTAGTTATCCCATACATATATACAATTATTATTTGTCAATTAAATTTTTTTTAAAAATTTAGAAAGGAGTTTCCAAGTAAGAAAAATCATAGCGAAATGGTATAATTGGTATAATAACAGTTAATTAGCTATAGTATGAAAATACAGAGGAAGATCTAACTAAGTTGGGGATTATTAAAGAAAATTTAAATTAGCTGGGTGTGGCGGCAGACGCCTGTAACCCCAGCTACTTGGGAGGCTGAGGCAGGAGAATTGCTTGAACTCAGGTGGTGGAGGTTGCAGTGAGATGAGATCACTGGGTAACAGAACAAGACTCCGTCTCAAATAAAATAAAATAAAAAATAAAGAAAATTGGACAGAGATGTGGCATTTGAACTGTCTTTCAGATTAAGAAGAAAGTTACTAGTTAGCCAATTCAAATATAAGATTTACAAACATAGAGTACAGCATGAGCAAAGGTGTGGAGGTACAAAAAGAATAATGTTTTTGAGGGGAGAATAGCAAGTACTCTGGGGGTGGCCAAAGTTTGAGTTGTGTGGTTTTGGTGGTGGATGGAGATGCAGGAAGATTAGGAAGTAGATTGAGATCAGATTGAGAAAGGTCTTCCAGACCAGATGAAAAATTTTGCCATATTTAGGCAATAGGGAGCCCCAGAAATTGTTCAACCATCATCAGCTTTACATTTCACTATGGTAATTTGGCTTCATAAGAAGCATGGGTTGGAGATTGATAAGAGCAGACTCCAAGGGGCCAATTCATTAAACTCAACTGCCAATAATGCAAGAGACAATGAAAGCCAGAATGAACACAGTGACCATGGATGCCAGAGGCATTTCTAGGATTTTTGTAGAGGACTTAAGAGACCATTTGGGAGGGGAGGAAGGCAGAAGATAAGGGGAAAGAAGGAGTTGATATCTTTGATGACTGATGGCACTTTTGCTAAGATGAAGAATAAATGGTAGCAAGAATAAATTGACTGGGCGCAGTGGCTCATGCCTGTAATCCAACCATTTTGGGAGGCTGAGATGGGTGGATCACCTGAGGCCAGGAGCTCGAGACCAGCCTGGCCAACATGGTGAAACCCCATCTCTACTAAAAATAAAAAAAATTAGCTGGGCATGGTGGCGGGTGCCTGTAATCCCAGCTATTCGGGAGGCTGAGGCAGGAGAATCGCTTGAACCTCGAAGGTGGAGGCTGCAGTGAACGAGATCAAGTTATTGCATTCCAGCCTGGACAACAGGAGCAAAACTCTGGCTCAAAAAAAAAAAAAAAAAAAAAAAAGTATAAATTGGGGGAGGGGAGGAGATATAGGATTCCTATTGGAATGTATTGAGTTTGAGATTCCAGCCTGGACATATGGCACTCTTGAATTGTTTCCTAGGCGATCATATCACTGTCTTGATGATATCTTTAATCACACATATCACTTGTGGGGAAAGAAGAAACTTCAAGAGTTTTACACACCAATCCTTTACTTTGCCATCTAGACAAATTATATTTTTACCAATGCCATTTTTTGTTGTTATTTTGTGGGTTCTGCTTAAAACTTCCCCTATATTTTTCTAATTATGGTAACCTAGGGAAAACATCAAATTATGTTGATAAAATTGGCTACAATCTGGCTCTAATGATAATAGCTTAGAATCATGAAGCAGCAATATTTTATCCTGAGAGCAAACAAACTTTATCCTGAACACATGTGTTCTTTTGCCTTATTCATCTAATATTACTTGAAACTTTTATTTTTCCACTTTGAATAGTAGATTCTGCCAAGTGTTTTAAAAGCTTTTCTCTTTTTAGGGGAGGAGGGGAACAGCTTTTCTCCCTTTTGTCTGATAACTGAGGAGTGAAGATTTAATTGGTGAGAAAAATATACACACTATAAACCTCAGAATGTTCCCACTGCTTTTAATGTTTGATGTGCCTGACAGATTACCCTTTCAAAACAGATAATAGGATAGGTGGTGCTGGAAAAAAACTTTTCCATCCAAGACAAAACCACATGGACATTGAAAAGAACTGGCATTTGCCTAGACATTTAGTGGGGGACATGTCCTTAGGGCACAGATTCCATAGTGAAAGGCTCTTCTCCCCCTTCCACACACTCCAGCTCTCTCTAGAAGGTATAATGGAAAGAACTCTGAGCAAGAATCAGGAAGTTGGCCTTTGTTCCTGACTGTGCCACTTTGTGGAACTGGGCAGAACTTACCTCATTCTGTGCTTTAGCAGCTTCATTTGCAAAAATTAATGATTACCTCAAATGATTTCTGATTTTAGCCAAAATTAAATACAGTAGTTTTAAAACAACTGCTACATATTAACTACTTACGTATGTAATTTTGCACTCAAAATAAATTATATTATGGAAAAGAAACTCAACCTATGTTAACCATCCCTGTACTGATGAGGAAACTAAGACTTAGGAAAAAGAAGTGATTTACTCAGTATTGGGCAGTTAGTGAGCATTTTTGAGCCAAGGTCTTACTTTAACCAGAGACCTTTGCATAATATTGTACTGTTACTAAACACTTTCTATTATTTGACTAGAGGAACACAACATATTGATGCATTTGAAACAATAAAATAATAAATATTTTTCCTTACCCTCGGCAGAAACAGGATGATGAGAAACATTGACTAAAAATTTAATCAAGCCTTAAGGACAAATAGTATCACAGTTTTGAATAGGAGATTGGGTACCTTGGAAGTAATTATGAAGAGGTGTTTTAACTCAGCAGTAGGCTCTTTCTTATTCCTGCTAGGAATGAAGAAGCACAAATTGAAAGTGAAGAAGGAGGAAATAAAACACTGACTCTATGTGTAAGAAAGGTGACTTGCAAATTATGAGGCAGTTAGGAAAATGTTTATTTTTTCTTATTTTATAGGCTGTATATATTTGAGAATTAATAATTGTCCTTTGGAGGGTGTGTGTGTATGTGTATGTTGGAGCTTTGTGTGTGTTTTAGTCCATTTTCCTACTGCTATGTGAAGAAATGCCCGAGACGGTAATTTATAAAGAAAAAGAGGTTTAACGGACTCACCGTTCCACATGGCTGTGGAGGCCTCACAATCATGGTGGAAGGTGAAGGAGGAGCAAAGGCACATCTTACATGGTGGCAGGCAAGAGCGTGTGTGCAGGGGAATTGCCCTTTATAAAACCATCGGATCTCACGAGACTTATTCACTATCACAAGGACAGCATGGGAAAAACTTATCCCCATGATTCAATTACCTCCCACCAGCTCCCCTCAAGACACATGGGGATTATGGGAGCTACAATTCAAGATGAGATTTGGGTGGGGACACAGCCAAACTGTATCAGTATGCCTGTGTGTATGCATGTGCACGTATATAAATTTTTTCACTAGTGACTGATGGACCATCTATAAAATAAACAAAAGAGAAGAGACAGGGTCTCACTTTGCCTCCTAGGCTGGAATACAATGGCATGACCATAGCTCATTGCAGCCTCTAATTCCTGGGCTCAAGTGATCCTCCCTTCTGAGTAGCTGGGATTACAGGCACGTGCCATTATGCCCAACTAATGTTTTGTTTGTTTGTTGTGGAGATGGGAGATGGGAGTACTGCTATGTTACTCAGGCTGGTCTTGAACTCACTCCTGGCCTTAAGTGATCCTCTGGCTTTAGCATCCTAAACCACTACAATCTTAAAAAGGACCAGTTTCCTGGATTACCTCTCTCCCTCCATCATCCACTATCTGCCGTCAACTCTATAGAGTCAAGGGCTATCCCTGCCTTTTCAATAGAAGCCCTCAAGAAGTCACTCCATAGGGACTATCTTGGGCTTTGGGAAGTGTACAGGGTTGGGGTGGGTGGGAAGGTGAGGAGGAAAGGCCACTGTTTCAGGTGGGGTTGGAGGGAGATGGAAAATGGACCACAGAGGTTCAGAGAACAGGCCCTTTGTGGAAAGGGGGAGACCAAATAATGCTGCGTTGTGAAAGGTGAAACAGGCTGCAAACAGAAGGAGCCCACAGGAAGCCCTGCTCTGAGCAGCTGAACATTCTGGGGTCCTCAGACTCCGATAAAAAAGCACATTTAGCCTACAGCTTTATGCCCTTCCTCCTACCCTTGTGGACTCTGCCACAGACATGCCCTCCAGATTGATTCTATCCACTTGTCTCTAGTCTACTGCTACTATTTTAGTCTAAGGCCTTCTCCCCGCTTTCCTGGGTTATGGTCACAGACTCCTATCTGAGTTCCCAGCACCAGGTGCCCAGTTGTTTTCATCTCTTAACACATTCCACATATTATAGCAAGAGAGATCTTTCTCAAATGCAAATCAGACCTTGTTGCATCCCAATCTCAACCCCTTTAGTTGCTCTTCTCTTTGCCCTCATGGTCAAGTTCAAGCTCTCTAGTGTGGGGGCAGATGTTCCTTTATAATTTTTCTGCTTATGTCTCCTGCCTCAGGCCTCACAATTCTCCACCTCACAGATGATGTCTCAGCCATGATGAGTTCCTCTCAAATCCTTTAGGTTTCAGAGATGTCATTTCCCCTGGGAACATTTTCCTGACTCCTCGTTCCAAGCATATGTCTGTCTTTATGTTCCCATAGCACCTGATCATTGGATCATGGTAGGGTTTATCACGGTCTCGTATTTGTCTGCTTACTTGTCTGTATTCTTCACTTCTCAAATATGTCTTCTTTGTTCATCACTGTAACTCCTTTCCCCAGAATGTTCTCAGATATTTACACCCATCTTCCCCCTCTGTGAAGGGAATAAATGGATATATAACACTGTATTAGTCCATTCTCATGCCACTATGAAGAAATATCCAAGACTGGGTAATTTATAAAGAAAAGAGGTTTAAATGATTACAGTTCTGCATGGTTGGGGAGAACTCAGGAAACTTACAATTATGGCAGAGGCACCTCTTCACGGGGTGGCGGGAGAGAGAATAAGTGCAAGTAGGAGAAATGCCAGATGCTTCTAAAACTATCAGATCTCATGAGACTCACTCACTATCACAAGAACAGCACGGGGGAAACCGCCCCCCATGATCCGATTGCCTCTACCTGGTTCCACCCTAGACATGGTGATTATGGGAATTAAAATCCAAGGTGAAATTTTGGTGGGGATACAGAGCCAAACCATATTAAGCACCATCCTCAAAATAGCCTTCCAGCTGAAGACAGCTAAGGCACTCATGTAGTCTTATTTTGTCTCAGACAAATAATTTTACCTTTGAATCATTGTTCATTAATCTAGATTTTAACCTGAGGCCCTAAAAATTGTTTATCATCTTCTGGGAGATCTTACTCCTAGATGGTGTTTTATTCCACAGGTTAAATTTAAACTTGGGCCAAATCTCCATCCTTGTGGCCTGTGAGTACTGAATTTGGGACTGAAAGCCTGGGACTAACTGGAAGTGTGGAAAAGGAGGAGGGTGTGGCGCTGCCCTCAATGATTTTTTTTTTTTTTTAGGATTTCTGGTGGAAAAGGAGAGACACTCAGGAATCCCCAGATAAACATGGTTTAGCTTTTGTAGTCAGATCCTTTCCCCAAATTTACTGCTTCTTTCTCCACCACTTCTCAACCCCCCAAACTGAACTTGCCTCTTCAACACACTCCCTTGTGCCCTATAGACAGTCACAAGCTTGACCTATAGAGAGCATGTATTTCTTGAGGCAACGAAGGTAGGAAACCCTATTCTAAAATGTTTCTTACACTTTTGGCTCTGTCTAAATTCTCCATTTTTCAATTAAAATGGAAACGAGATTAGAATTCTATTCTAGTTATGAATATAATCAGAACACAATAAAGCAGAAAGATTGCTTCAGGCTCTTCTGTTAACGTTACATTTATTCAACAACTCTTTATGGGGACTTGCTATGAGTGAGGCACCAGGCTAGGCACCGCAGCTACAAAGGTGAAGAGAACATAGGCTCTTCTTCAAAGAAACTTACACTGTAAGCTTTATAGTTATGAAATCATGATTGCTTACCTTAAATGTTCTTGACCTACATTCTTAGATATTTTGAGTCTTGAGAAATTTGTTTATTTTTTTCATTATTATACAATGTCAATTAGCTCAGTGGAATCCAAGATGTTCGGCTAGCCTTCTGATCCAAGATAGTGGACCAAACATTTGTATTTACTCATTGTGCCCCTCCATACTTCTCTGAAATAAAAGTGTAGATCTTCAAAATTAAACATATCTATAAAGCAAAGGGAACAGAAGGGGACATTATCAGCAGATTAGACATTCCAAAAATTTTTTAGAAAATAAAAGCTAAATTGAATAGTAAGACACGGAATTATTAGATGTGTTTGGAAAACCAACAGCATGAACAAGATAATCCAAGAAAAACAAGTTGTCCCTTGGTGAAAATGGAAGGAATTTGAGAAATATAGAAGTGAACTAAACAATAAATACAGTCATCCCTTGGTATCTGTTGGGGACTGATTCCAGGACCTCCCTCAGATACCAAAATTTGGATGCCCAAGTCTCTGATATAAAATGGTACAGTATTTGCATACAGCCTATGCACATCCTACTGTATACTTTAAATCATCTTTAGATTACTTATAATACCTAATACAATGTAAATGCTTTGTAAATACTTGTTATATTGTATTGTTTAGGGAATAATGAGAGGAAAAAAAGTCTGTTCATGTTCAGTACAGATGCAACTTTTTTTTTTTCCAGAATCTTTTTAACCTATGGTTGGTTGGAATCCACAAATGTAGAACCCGGCTACAGAGAGCTGACTGTAATTAAAACCAACAGCTTCTATTTGGTATACTGAAAGAGAATTGGGAAATCATTAAATCCATAAAATAAGAACAGGATGGAGTGAAAAAAGCTGGACTCTGTGACGAAATGGACATATGTATGGATAAGAATCAGGAAAGTTTTCATAAAGGAAGTGCCAAACTGAGCTAGTTGGCCAAATGAACTATTCTCCAGGTGGATGGGGCAGGGCATTTAGGCAGAGGAAGCAACAAAGCACAGAGTGAAGCCCAGGAAACTACAGGTAGCTGCAGGGAGATGACGGGGCTACAGTGTGCATGGAGAGAGGCCAACATGGTGAGGTAGGCAGGAGGAGCTCCTGAAGGGCTCCAACCTGGGAAGCCAGGCTAAAGAGATGGCATTCTATCTTGTCAGTAATAAGAAGCATTGACATTTTGTAGAGATGATGAATTGAGGAAGGGATTTATGTGGTCATTTGTGGTTCTGGCTGATCCCCCTGAGTGCTGTCTGCTAGAAGGATTCCAAGGGTTAAGTCCTGAGGCGTGAAGAAGAACCGATCTGTAAGATAGCTTAACTAAGGTGGTAGCATTGGGATAAGGGTGTGGGGTGTGTGTGTGAGGGGGATACAAAGTTATTAAGGTGGTAGAATTGATGGCAACATTCATCTTGACAGAGAATACAGGATGAGGAGCAGATTTCAGAGGAATATAATGAGCCCTTTTTTAGATCTTTGTGAATGTTCAGAAATGGCAGCTGGTGTTGCATAATTGCAAAATTAGGGCTTAGTTAGTTATTGGCTTCTGAGAACGTAACTGCAGTTTTTTTCTTTCCCTCTGCCCCACTCTTTGAAAGGGGGTGGGGCTCAAAGAGTAGTGTGTGTGTGTGTGTGTGTGTGTGTGTGTGTGTGGTAAATACTTATATACAAATTTCTTTAGATTTTTCTTTATCTCCTTCACTCCTTTTCAACATTTTGGCTGGTTGTTCTGATATTACCAAGGTAATCCACAATTATGGCAAATATTCAAACAAAACAAATTATAGAAAGTCCAGAAAAAAAAACTCTGAAATACCTTTTCCAGAGACCACCATCATGAACAGTTTGGTCTACAGAATTACAAATCTTTTGAAGTATATAGTATATTCTTTTATGTGGCCATTCATTATATTTTATGGGATCTTAGTATTATTGCTTTTAAATTCATTTCTTATATTTTAAATTTGAAATACTTCAAAATATGCAGAAAAGTAGAGAAAATAACATTAACACCATATACTTACCATGTAGATTTAAGAGAAATCTACACTTTGCCAAATTTCCTTTTTTTTTTTTTTTTTTTTTTTTTTTTTTGAGACAGAGTCTTGCTCTGTCACCCAGGCTGGAGTGCAGTGGTGCGATCTCGGCTTACTGCAACCTCTGCCTCTTGGGTTCAAGCAATTCTCCTGCCTCAGCCTCCTGAGTAGCTGGGATTACAGGTACTCACCACCATGCTTGGCTAATTTTTGTATTTTTAGTAGAGATGGGGTTTTGCCATGTTGGCCAGGCTGGTCTCGAACTCCTGACCTCAAATGATCCACCTGCCTCGGCCTCCCAAAGTGCTGGGATTACAGGCATGAGCCACCGCACCCGACCAAATCTCCATTTTTGTAAATAATTTTTCAGATATAGAAAACTACCCAATTATGGCTGGGCATGGTGGCTCATGGCTATAATCCCAGCACATTGGGAGGCCAAGGCAGGCGGATCATTTGAGGTCAGGAGTTCGAGACCAGCCTGGCCAACATGGTGAAATCCCGCCTCTACAAAAAATATAAAAATTAGCCGGGCATGGTGGCAGGTGCCTGTAGTCCCAGCTACTTGGGAGGCTGAGGGAGGAAAATCACTTGAACCTGGGAGGCGGAGGTTGCAGTGAGCTGAGATAGCACCATTGCACTCCAGACTGGGTGACAGAACAAGACTCTGTCTCAAAAAAAAGAAAAGAAAAGTAAGAAAACTACCTGATTACTATTACTTCTCTCTTTCTCTCTCTCTCTCTGTGTTCTAGAGGTTTGCAGTATCCTGAAGCTGGTGTGAATCAACCTCACGCTTTTTTTTTTTTTCTTTTTTTTTGAGGTGGAGTCTCGCTCTGTCGCCCAGGCTGGAGTGCAATGGTGCAATCTTGGCTCACTGCACCTCCACCTCCTGGGTTCAAGTGATTCTCCTGCCTCAGCCTCCCGAGTGGCTGTGATTACAGGCATACACCGCCATGCCCAGCTAATTTTTTGTATTTTTAGTAAAGATGGGGTTTCACCATGTTGGCCAGGCTGGTCTACAAATGTATCTATCCATAAGCAATACCGTATATAGTAATATTTTTATTATTCTATTATTTCTATTGAATGTTTATATTCATAGTATCACACTGTACACATCCTTTTGCAATTTGCTTTCTTTAGAAGCAACAATATATTTTTGAGATTTATCATGTTGCTTTGTGTAGATTGCTTACTTTTTTTTTTTGATGGAGTTTCCCTCTTGTTGCTTAGGCTGGAGTGCAATGGCGTAATCTCGGCTCACCGCAACCTCTGCCTCCTGGATTCAAGAGATCCTCCTGCCTCAGCCTCTTGAGTAGCTGGGATTACAGGCATGTACTACCACACTCGGCTAATTTTGTATTTTTAGTAGAGATGGGCTTTCTCCATGTTGGTCAAGCTGGTCTCGAACTCCCAACCTCAGGTGATCTGCCCGCCTGGGCCTCCCAAAGTGCTGGGATTACAGGTGTGAGCCACTGTGCTTGGCCAATTATTTACTTTTTAATTTATTTTATGATACACAATTTGTCTCTTTATCTCACTTTATTTTTTGATTTTTTTTTTTTTAAACCAGGATCTCACTTGGTCACCCAGGCTGGAGTGCAGTGGCGTGATCTCGGCTCACTGCATCCCCTGCCTCCCAGGTGCAAGCAATTCTCCTGCCTTGGCCTCCTGAGTAGCTAGGACTATAGGGTGTACCACCACATCTGGTTAATTTTTGTATTTTAGTAGAGATGGTATTTTGTCATATTGGCCAGGCTGGTCTTGAACTGCTGGCTTCGAGCAATTTGCCCGCCTTGGCCTCCAAACTCTCTTTATTTTTTAGATATTGTTAACGGTACTATGGGCAGTATCCTTGAACATCTCTCTTTGTATAAATGTGAAAGACATTCATAGACATGGGACTAAAGGAGGTGCCCATAGTCAACCATGCTAGGCATTGACAAATGGCTTCCTAAAGGGGTAATACCTGTGTACATTGCCACTAGCAATTTGTACACTTTCTTGATTCCTTTCACTCTTGTCAAAACTTACTCTTTTTTAAATTTAAAATTATTGGCCAGGCCATGGTGGTTCATGACTGTAATCTCCCAGCACTTTGGGAGGCTGAGGCAGGTGGATCACCTGAAATCAGGAGTTTGAGACCAGCCTGGCCAAACATGGTGAAACCCTGTCTCTACTAAAAGTAGAAAAATTAACTGGGCATGGTGGTGGGTGCTTGTAATACCAGATACTCGGGAGGCTGAGGCAGGAGAATCGTTTGAACCTGGGAGGTGGAGGCTGTGGTAAGCCAAGATCACACCATTGCACTCCAACACAGGGGACAGAGTGAGACTCTGTCTCAAAAATAAAATAAAATAAAATAATTGTCAATATTGTTGGTTATGAAATGCTATCTCATTATTGTTTAAAGAGGCATTTCCCTTGATAACTAGTGAGGTTGAATTTTGTTTTCCAGATGTGCATGAGCCATTGGTTTTTTTCTGTTATGCATTTTCTATTCATATACTTTGACCACATGATATGTGCCTGGTCATAACCCATCAAACTCTTCTTTCTCTCAGATACTTCACTTTATGGAAATCTTTTTCACGTTTATCCCTCAAACCCAGAATTTTGAGTGTCATACCTGTTCTAACATAAATTTGAGGAAAATGAAGGCTAATTCAGAATAAAGAACTATATAAGCAGATGGACAGTGTGTTCTCCTCTAAATAGGGGTGCTAGGATAAGAGGCGGTAGGATAAATGCACAGCCTCAAAATCCACCACCCACTAAAGACCTCACAGTACATGATGACATTAGCATGCTGTGCCAGCATTTCTACCTACCACGATGACCTGGAATGAAGGACAAAAGGGGCAATTGTTAAGTCCTGTGCGTAAACTTTGGAAGAGAACATACCTTGCTTTAAACCATTAAGGGGGCAGGCAATAGATTCCTGTACAGGGTGGCTTAGCCAAAAGTGGCTGGTCTTGTTCTCATTTATATGGTTTATAATGATTCTAAATCATTCTCGGAGAAAAACAGACTCATTTCATCTCCCTTTAATTAGGATTTCTGTTACTGCAATATTTTAGTGGCATTTATGTCAAATGTTTTCTTTTGAGAACTTCTCCCTTTTACTGTCTTTTTTCTTTTATTTTAAACTTTTATTTTAGGTTAGGGGGTACATGTGAAAATTGGTTACATAGGTAAACTCATGTCAAGAGGGTTTGTTGTACGGATGATTCATCACCCAGGGATTAAGCTCAGTACTCAATAGTTATCTTTTCTGCTCCTCTCCCTCCTCCTACTTTCCACCCTCAAGTAGACCCCAGAGTCTGTTGTTTTCTTCTTTGTGTTCATAAGTTCTCATAATTTAGCTCCCACTTATATGTGAGAACACGCAGTATATGATTTTCTGTTCCTGCGTTAGTTTGCTGATGATAATAGCCTCCAGCTCCATCCATGTTCCTGCAAAAGCCATGATCTTGTTCCTTTTAATTTACTTTTTGCTATTCTGATTAGAGAGTGGCCATGCTCCATGCTCCATATGGATATTCTTTGGAAACAAAGCATTTTTGAAATGGTAGGATTGGGGCTAGTAAAAGAGAACAGAAAGAATTGTGAACAGGGTCTCCTCCAGTACAGATGGTTAAAGAACACAAATAGGGAAGTGTGATGAGTGACCTCCATTTAATTGGGCGCCCAAGCTCTTGGCTGCTCCAGCATGGGTTGCCATCCTGACTGATCCCTTGGCTCAGAAACAGATATGGTGCTATCAGGAAAGCAAGGCCAATATCTGAATATTGCAGCAGAGACTGCTCCCATTTCAGAAAGCAACCCAGATTAAAGTTGATGATTCAGTTTCAATAAATGCTTCCTTTTTTATAAAAGGCATTTAACATCACTCTTTCCCCTGGTAATATGGAATTAGCTTTTGGGATCAACTGGAAAATGTCAGAGGGCGATTGTAAAAGGCCACCTGCTAACCACAGGAAGCTGGGCTGATACAGAATGCCAGGTTAACTTAAGGTCGATAATGGTTACTTCCTTGTCACTTTTTACATGCATCCTTGCTCTGCAGTGGGGGTCATAAGAAGTAAGATGCATGCAAGGTGAATTTCTAGAAGTCAGCTTCTCTGAGAAGTATTCTCTGACCATACATTCCTACTAGTCCCCACATACGCTGCTGATCTCCCCATCTTCACCCCCATTGTTGAAATTGCTCCCTCATTGTAACTGTTCACTCATCTGTCTCCACCATAAAGCTTAGGCTCCTAGAAAGTCAGGACCAGAGCTAGTACAGTGCCCCATGTTCTTATGGAATGATTTTAGTGCCTTGAGTTTGGTGTGGTGACCAGAGCTGGTGGCCAACTGTCGTGAGGCCCCAGTCCTTCTTTTTGTCATGCTTTCCCTCCCAGCCCCTCCTTGACCACTCTTTCACCTCCATCTTTCTACTTATATAGAGACAAATAATAAGATGCTTGTACAAAGGGTGTACTTGTATTATCCCATTTGTGTTGATATTCCACAACAGCAAATTAGGTTTTTTTGTTTGTTTGTTTTTTGATGGAGTCTTGCTCTGTTGCCCAGGCTGGAGTGCAATGCGTGATCTCGGCTCACTGCAACCTCTGCCTCCCGGGTTCAAGTGATTCTCCTGCCTCAGCCTCCCGAGTAGCTAGGACTACAGGCACCCACCACCAAGCCCGGCTAATTTTTGTATTTTTAGTACTGACGGGGTTTCACCATATTGGCCAGGCTGGTCTTGAACTCCTGACCTCAGGTGATCTGCCCGCCTCGGCCTCCCAAAGTGCTGGGATTACACGTGTGAGCCACTGTGCCTGGCCTGATAAGGTTTAAAGATTAAATACCATGTCGTTAAATTTGCAAATCTCTCGAATAGGAAAATCAGGAACAATGACAACATTCGGAGCTTCCCAGAAGGTAACAACTATGGGGAGTTTTGTGGGCATCTGAGAGAAGCACACACACAGATGGTTTGCCTTTCATTGGTCCATTCTTGCCCAGAAGGCGACACTAACTGAAACAAAGAAGCCTCATATGAGAAGGACATGGGGTCACAGCAGCTTTTGGGGTGGCCCTGGGTCCTTGATCTGGTCTTTCTCTGGCTCATTTTGTATTGCTCACTTTGTTACTTCACAATCCAGGGCTTGTGACATTTTTCTTCTCTGGAGTGGAAATGACAGAGCTGCAGAACACAAGTTTCTGATTGGTTCCTATGAGTCAGGAAAGAGGGCCAGTTGAAACTGGGCTCACACACACACACACACACAAACTAGGCTCACATGTGTTTTCCCATCAGCTAAACAAGTTTTCAGAAGTACAGAAATAACTCGTTGGGGAAGGGGACCCAGGACAATGACAATGTTTTTGATGGTAATGTCTGCAGAAGTAAGGCAGGTTTCCTCTGTGCCTGAAAAGATGGCACCATTTGAGGAGATGGCATACTCGTGGTGGAATCTTCATTAAGATGTCAAACTAAGCTGTAGGAAATCAACTCTAGAAAACAGCTCTAATGTGAGAAAACATATATCCAGTTTTATAGAGCAAGAGCTGTGATCATGGTGACATTTAACAACTGTATTAGTTGGCCAAGAGGGTAAAAATATACTTGACCTCTTAGAGCACCATAAATACTCTCAGCTTGTGGGCCAACTGTGTCATGGTCTTTTTTCTAGCCCCTCCTCTTTCTCCCTTCCTTCTTGTCTCTCTCCTCCTCTCTCTTCCCTCCCCTTTCTCCTTTCTGACCCTCTTTTCTCTTCTCTATCTTCTCGAACCTTCCCTTCCTCCTCTCCTTTAGGTGCTCAG
This sequence comes from Homo sapiens, assembly GCF_000001405.40. Taxonomy (NCBI): domain Eukaryota; kingdom Metazoa; phylum Chordata; class Mammalia; order Primates; family Hominidae; genus Homo; species Homo sapiens. Next base: position 72,576,463 of record NC_000009.12, read on the forward strand.
CACCTCTTTGATTCAATAAACATTTACGGAGCTCCTTCTTGTGCCAACGACTGTACACAGAGCTGGGATGTCAAGATGAATCAGTTACATTTCCTGCCCAATGCCAAGGGATGGCTTGATGGGTTTTGACCAGCCCCTCCCTGGACTCCCAATTTCTTTTTTTTTTTTTTCTTTTTTTTTTTTAGACGGAGTCTTGCTCTGTTGCCAGGCTGGAGTGCAGTGGCACGATCTCGGCTCACTGCAGTCTCTGTCTCCCTCCCAACTTCAAGCGATTCTCCTGCTCAGCCTCTCGAGTATCTGGGATTGCAGGCATGCGCCACCACACCCAGCTAATTTTTTTGTATTTTTAGTAGAGACAGGGTTTCACCATGTTGGCCAGGGTGGTCTGGATCTCCTGACCTCGTGATCCACCCGCCTTGGCTTCCCAAAGTGCTGGGAATACAGTCATGAGCCACCGCGCCCGGTGCCCTGGACTCCCAATTTCTACCTCCTGGAACGTGCTTTACTCACCAGCCTTGGTGTTATTCTGCAATATGGCCAACTGGGATTTTTTTCAATCTTACAGAAATTATTCTCGGAAATGTTTGCTATTTTTTTTTAATGAAGCTACAGCATACAATTTAAGGATAAATAATGTACTTACTCTGCAGCTATTGTTTCAAGTCAAATCCGCTGATTACTCCTCCAAAATTCTTTTCTTAATAAAATCTCTGACCCTTTCCTCTTCCTGTTAGAACTTCTGGAGCTACCATTGTTCCTCCTCTTGGGCTGCTCATAACCTAGGGGAGTCACAGTGAAATTACTTGCTTTAAAATTCTTTAATCACTCTGCGAGTTGTTAGGAAAAGCTGACACATCTGATTTGGAAACTCCCACTCCAGTGGACTGTTGTGCCTCAGCACACAGGGACGGGTGGAGCAAAGGAACAAGAAGCCAAAAACTCTCAGGGCACTTACTATGATTGTGTAAAAGAGAGACTCATCAATTAACACAGGTACTGGCAAGTGCACTTCATAATGCCTCCATTTCTAGACAGATCAAAAACAGTGTGCCCTGTCAATAAATGCTGAGTTTCTGTAGCAGCCTGATTGAGATCAGCTAACCTTTAGGCCAAAAGCGGGATTCTTCCTTGCTGAAGCTTTTGGCAAAGCATATTGAGCTTCATGCCAGGGATTAGATTAACTCTTGCAAAACTGGTTCACCAGGAACAATGACTCAGTGTTTTTTTTTTAGTATCCGGCATATTGTGTGGAGCAGCTATAAATATATTTACAAGCTGGAGTTTCAAGGGAGGGGAGTAATAGCTTGCTGAAAAACATGCCAACTGAGTTATGGGTCTTCACGCAGCCAGCATGCTGTGTTTTGGGCTCTGCCTCTTGTAATTTTTAGAAATTAATTAGTTTATTCTTTATTTATATTTATTTATTTATTTATTTTCAGATGGGATCTTACTCTGTTGCCCAGGCTGGAGTGCAGTGGTGCGATCTCGGCTCTCTGCAACCTCCGCCTCCCAGGTTCAAGTGATTCTCCTGCCTCGGCCTCCTGAGTAGCTGGGATTTCAGGTATGCCTCACCATGCCTGGCTGATTTTTGTATTTTTAGTAGAGGCAGGGTTTCACCATGTTGGTCAGGCTGGACTTGAACTCCTGACCTCAAGTGATCCACCTAAGGGTACTGGGATTACAGGCATGAACCACTGCACCCGGCCTGTTGGTTGTAATTTTATTTTCCTCCTCAAGGACTTTGAGCACATTATCTTCTCTTTAATAACTTGTTTCCACCCTCCTTTGTGCACGCGCGCACGCGTGTGTGTGTGTGTGTGTGTGTGTGTGTGTGTGTGTGTGTATTTTCTGATCTCCCTACGGGGGCAGAGAGTCTCAAGCAGGTATGTCCATGTTATTAACATACTGTCTGCTTATTAACTAACTGCACCAATGATGAAAGCCAACTGACAAACAAGTGATGCTCTTATCCCTCCTTCGCAAGCAATGAATCTGAAAGCCAAGAGAAGTTTTCCTTTCAACAGGAAGTGTTTTGGAGTCCGAACAACTCTGCATTTAGACAGTGCAGCTTTTAGTTACAGATCTTGGCAATGGGGCAGGCAGAGGGAGCGGCAACTACAGACTTTGCCGTAGGACTGTTTTCTATGGAGTGTGTGTGCTCTGACGAGCTAGTGACAGGAGGGAGGTTACAAAAGCATTTACTGAAATAAGGATTTCTAATAGAGGAGCTTTTTAAAAGTATTAAATATGCTAATGTGCCTAGGGCATAGTCAACAAAGAGTTATAATACATGTCATTTTTCATATTTATCAAGGAAACCATGTCACCCGCAGCCTTTCTCAATTTCTGGCATTCTGAGAAACACACTGTAGTGGTGCCTGAGGGTCTGGGGAAAGAAGAATAGAATGAATGGGGCATCTCAGAATCGTAAACTCCCCCAGTTGTAGTTCCTTTCGATGTTGGTCGTTGGATGAATTTCCAGTTTCTACTATTGTGGTTGGATTGGGGAGAGTAGCTCAAATTGGGAATTGCTTTTTGAGGATCTAGGGCTTCTGGAATTCTCCCAGTTTCTTTTTACCTCTTTATGCTATCTTGTCTACTTTGAAAAATCAGTAGCATCCATTTGATTGCAGAGCTGAATCTTTCTATACAGTGAGGAGTTGTAATCACATTACTTATAACCTGCTTATTTAACTTTTTAAAGGTGCAAGTCATTGTAACCTAAGTATTTACTCACACTGATCCTTAATATACTCCCCTTTCTTATCTGCAAGCTTCTTTCTCTGGTTTCTCCTAACTCTGTTACTGCTCATGAGTTTAAAACTTTGTCTTCTCAGTTCCTGGCTTCACCTGTTTGGTCTCTGCTCTCCAGGACTCTGCCTTGGAAATCTGACTCACACTTCTATATGTCCCTGGGGCTCAACTTCGGGCCTGGCGCCAGAATCACCCAGGCTCCAAGCAAGCCTTGTAGACTCCACTCAGTCCTTTGACTCAAGGAAATCTCCACTTCTAAATGGCTCTCCGGTTGATTCTGATGCCAGTCCAGGGTTGAGAACCACCGCTTTAGCTTCTAGACACACAGCCCCCTCCCCTTTTTCCTGGAGCCCCTCTTGGGTCATGATTCTATTTTCCCTATTTCTGTACTCAGAAGGGATAAAAATGGAAGTGTATGTGAAGTTGCTACTACGTCCCAGGTGCTTTAAATATGTTATTTTATTCAATCTTCACAACAGTCTTATGCAGTCTCTATTTTTATTTTAAGAATGAGGAAAACAATACTTGGGTGCAGTGGCTTATGTTTGTAATCCCAGCACTTTGGGAGGCCAAGGTGGGTAGATCACTTGAGCCCAGGAGTTCAAGACCAGCCTGGGCAACATGGCATAACCCTGTCTCTACCAACAATACGAAAATTAGCCAGTCTCATAACCTGGTCTATAAATAAATAAATAGATAAAAATTTAAAAATAAAATAATTTAAAAAGAAAAGAATGAGGAAAACAAGATTCAGAGAGCCTTGGTCATCTTCCCAAAGGTGCACAATTAAGAAATGGCTAAGCAGGGGTTCTGACTCAGATCTGTCAGCATCTACAGCTTTGCTATTTAAAAGAGCGTGGTCCGTGGACTAGCAGAATCAGTGTCACCTGGGATCTTGGTAGAAACACAAATACTTGAGTGCCATCTCAGACGTACTGAATCAGTTTCTTCAGGGGTAGGGTCCAGGAATATGCATTTTATGAAGGCCTCTAAATGTTTCTCAAAGTTTAAGAAGCATGGGGAACTATATCTTTTCCTACTATATAGTCTTATCTCTTTCCTTGTTTCTTTACTCCAAAGTATTGCCTTATTTCTTTCCCAGAAACCTCACTATCAGCTCACTGTGCAGCCTTACTCATATCTTCCTCAACCAGCAGTTTTATTACACACACCCTTCTCATTTCCTCACATTGCTCATGGTATCTGACTGAGTACAGGGATCCAACCTGGCTTTGGGTTTTGCACTGTCTTGCCTCAGTCTCTTAATTTCTTCCTATGTACATTTTAAGATATTGAAGACACTAACTTCCAAACCTCTTCTCTAAATCTGACAGTGAAGCAGTGTGTGTGTGTGTGTGTGTGTGTGCATGCCAGTGCATACACCACACATACAAGCACATACACAGAGTTAAGTTTGGTCACATTTACTTCATTAATTGATATATACCACAACTGAGAAAAACTTACTGGCATTCTGCTCCAAGCTTGAATTCCCAGACGAAAAACAAACAAGCAAACAAACAACTCCTCCTTACACAAAAATATCTAGTGGCCTTGGAAAATTCCATTTAACATTAAATTGTGTCTCTTCAAAGTGAAGCAGGGTGGGCAGATTTTTGAACATGAATCTACTGATAACACAACACCTCTTCAAAACTAGAATCTCATTCAGGGTTAAATGATGTCCAAGTCAAACCTGAGATGCTAGCATGATGCCCCATCCTCAGTCAGAGGTTTCAGGGTGGCAAACAACTTTTGCTCACTCTCCTCTGCCTCTCTCTATATTTGCAGAAAGTCCAGCTTTCACTGCAAAAGTTCGATAACTCTGTAAAACAGTTTGATCCTAACTTCAAAAGAATTTTTATGCTATTTGGAATACATAAAAAATGAATTTATTCCAATACTTTAGCCCCATAAATAATGCATAATGATTGGTGAAAGATTAGCATTTTGGAGTTCAAGTACTTAAAGCTTTCTTGGATGGATAATGCATCACCCTTAACTAGCATAAGGGGAAATAGAAGGTTGACAAGGAAAACTTAATTTAGGGTTCTTTATTTATTTTTCTCTAGTTATGTTTACCTTCCCAGGTTGTTTTATTAATGCCACTTTTCACAAGGATATTTCATGAATAAATATCAGGTTGTATCTCTGGCCATCTGTGATGATCACGTTTTTATTTTTAATGAGTTGCTCATGGATTATATCCTAACTGGAATTGCAGTCAGTATATTGAGATGCATTGACTCCATTTCTGTCTTTCATTCTTCTTTCTCAATGTATTCTCACTGGATTAGCACTCTTAGCCCTGAGGACTCTTGGGCCAGTTTTATTACTAAAAGAAGAATTACAGTTTTGCTACACAGTGACCTTGCAAGAAGTATCAGCACAGCTCAATTTCAAATTCTCCTCAAATATCAAATATGTTCTTGGTATATTTTGCTTAGCAGTTTATTGCCTTCTCATCTCCACTGTTTTTCCTGAGTAACAGCTCAGAAATCTATAAATAAAACTTAATAATGGGGAGTGACTCAAAAGTCTGGTTATTTTTATTAGTAAACTATTTTAGGGGTGAACACTTCACATTTTACATTCTCATGCTCCACAGTGCTGAAAATAGTCTGAATTTTTTTTGTGTGTTAGGTTGATGAGAATATTTTTGAGATGACTAGCAGAAAACAGAATCATTAAAACAGTGCTATCAGTTTTCATGTTGAATAACTTTACAGGAAATGATAGCATCTTTTTTTCTTTTTTTGAGACGGAGTTTCGCTCTTGTTGCTCAGGATGAAGTGCAATGGCGCGATCTCGGCTCACCGCAACCTCCGCCTCCTGGGTTCAAGCGATTCTTCTGCTTCAGCCTCCCGAGTAGCTGGGATTACAGGCATGCGCCACCATGCCTGGCTAATTTTGTACTTTTAGTGGAGATGGGGTTTCTCCATCTTGGTCAGGCTGGTCTCTAATTCCCGACCTCAGGTGATCCACCCGCCTCAGTCTCCCAAAGTGCTGGGATTACAGGCGTGAGCCACTGTGCTCAGCCGATAGCATCTTAACAATAAACATGCAAAGATTTGTAAATGTTGGCAAACAGCAAGAAAAACATATTTAGAAAATTGTGCTATGCTTTAATGTCCTGTCTGTACGATAATTTACTTAGCTCCCTACCTTCCCCCCAGCCCACCAGAATGTTTAAACTGAAATTTAAAGCACAGTTGATCTTGGCTTGGATAGGCAGCCTGCATATTAACTGAGGATTTAGTTAGTATCCAGGAGCAGATCTACTTCTCAAAGTGAGATTCACATAGCCCCCTTGGAAGCTTTCAAATAGATTGACTAGCCTTTTAAAATTCCTCTTCTCCCCTTTCTTATTGCCCCCGCCTTGTCTAGCTGTATGCTAACTTGCTGCATAGAATCCTGAATTTCTGGATTTCTACATTTCTAGCTCAATGAATGGGGTAAATCAAAACTTAATAACACTCTTGATTTTGAAAAGCTTCAGTGCTTCATGTAAGACTTTTTGAGAAAAGATCATTTTCATTTATTTCTGTTTTATTTCTAGCTTAATGATTAAATGTAAGCTGTTCAATACCTTTTTCAATATCCCACTTGTTAAACCCACACTAAACCTCAGAAATATTGAGTCAGTGATCTAAATTTCCATTCAAAATTTCCACAAAGCAGAAGCATAAATGTTTTCATTGTCATTACAAATAAACAGACAGGGCTGGGCGCAGTGGTTCATGCCTGTAATCCCAGCAGTTTGGGAAGCTGAGGTAGGCGGATCACTTGAGGTCAGGAGTTTGAGACCAGCCTGGCCAACATGGTGAAACACTGTCTCTACTAAAAATACAAAAAAATTAGCTGGATTGGTGGTGTGTGCCTGTGATCCCAGCTACTCAGGAGGCTGAGGTAGGAGAATCACTTGAACCTGGGAGGCGGAGGTTGCAATGAGCTGAGATTGTGCCACTGCACTCCAGCCTGGGTGACAGAGTGAGACTTCATCTCAAAAAACAAAAACAAAAACAAAAACAACCCCTTCCCCTCCACGAAAGAAAACCCCAAATAAACAGACAAATGAAAGCAATGAAAACAGGAAAATAATTTTGACACCTACTTCTGGGATGTTATGTTATGCTTTGCATTGGTTCTATTTATTAGACATGTTCCCATCTTTATTATTTAAGAGCAGATAAAATAACCTCACTACATTAATCTCTTTTGCTCTGCCTCTTTCCATATGATTCTTCACTAGCAGTTCCCAAAACAAAAAAATTGTGCACCAAAATCCCAACTGAGACTCAATTGTTTGCTGACTCAACAACTCTAATGAGAAATCTTATACAAGAGCTTTTGTTTCAAAAGGAAGTGCCAGGAAAATTTTGCTTCCCTCAAGCAATGGCATGTTTTCTTTTTCTGGACAGTGAGAACCATGTAATTAAACATATTTTCCTTTGTGCTTTGGCTGTCAGGAAACTCAGAGCCAAACTTGTAGCCCAAGTTTTATGGCTATGTAAGACATTATGGCCCATATATCTGGACTCTTCCTTTCTCCTTGGTATTGATCTTCAGTCTTGGCTTTAGTTTACAAAATATGCCATTATAAAAAATAACAGTATCTGTAGGCTGTCTGAAATTATTATGGAAAAAGTAGTGTACAAATAAATGAATAAGTCAATTGTTTGAAAAACAATGCATTTGTATCAGAAATAACTTTGTGAGTGGTCTTCAGGTTCCTAGTCTATTTCATTTTGATATATATTTCTTGTGGGTTTACCACGTGCCAGACAAAGATGTTCCTGGCAGGGGGGTTAATAATGTTAACAGTACTCAGTCTTTCTAGTGCCTTACAGGCTATAGAAGGAGAAAGAAATACAAAACAAACTAAAATAGGTATTCAATTGCAACAAAAGCAACTTGATGTAGGGGTACAGGGGAAGGAATAATTCATTCTACAGGCCTTTAAAAGATAAAGAGGTATTTCAAAGGCAAACAATGGAGAGAAGATCATTCTAAGCTAAGGAGGTTGCATGAAGAAAGCATAATGTCACTACTTTTTTTTTTTTTTTTGAGACAGGGTCTGGCTCTGTTACCCAGGCTGTAGTGCAGTGATGAGATCACAGGTCACTGCAACCTCCACCTTCAGGGCTCAAACCATCCTTCCACATCAACCTCCCAAGTAGCTGGGACTACAGCTGCATGCCACCATACCCAGATAATTTCTTTTATTTTTTGTGGAAACAGGGTTTTGCCATGTTGCTCAGGCTGGTCTTGAACTCCTGAGCTCAAGTGATCTGCCCACCTTGGCCTCCCAAGGTGTTGAGATTACAGGCATGAGCCACCGCACCCAGCATAATGTCATCAAATTGAAGTGAGAAATGGGAATGTCACTACCAACCATAAGTAATAAACAATAGATTATCATTAACTTTGCTCCTAGAGAAAGACAAGTTTATTTAGAGGTGAGGCGAGTAGAATTTTTTTAAGGGAACTTCTGGGTAATTTAACACCATGATCCTTCTCGAATGCCTTACAACGTAAAAATGTAGTTCTCCTTTTTCTTTTCTTTTCTTTTTTTTTTTTTTTTTTGAGACAGGGTCTCGCTTCGTTGCCCAGGCTGGAGTGCAGTGACACAATCTTGGCTCACTGCATCCTCCGCCGCCTGGGTTCAAGTGATTCTCCTACGTCAGCCTCCTGAGTAGCTGGGATTACAGGCGTGCACTACCACGCCTGGCTAATTTTTGAATTTTTAGTAGAGATGAGGTTTTGCCATGTTGGCCAGGCTGGTCTTAAACTCCTGACCTCAAGTGATCTGCACACCTCGACCTCCCAAAGTGCTGGGATTACAGGTGTAAGCCACCATGCCTGGCCATTTTTCTTGATAAAGGGGTGTCATTGGGGCTTCTCTTACTCCTGTCACTCATCATGGGTGCCATGTCTTTTTTTTTTTTTTTTGAGATGGAGTCTTGCTCTGTCGCCCAGGCTGGAGTGCAGTGGCGCGATCTTGGCTCACTGCAAGCTCCACCTCCTGGGTTCACGCCATTCTCCGGCCGCAGCCTCCTGAGTAGCTGGGACCACAGGTGCCTGCCACCACGCCCTGCTAATTTTTTGTACTTTTAGTAGAGACGGGGTTTCAGCGTGTTAGCCAGGATGGTCTCAATCTCCTGACCTCGTGATCTGCCCGCCTCAGCCTCCCAAAGTGCTGGGATTACAGGCGGGAGCCACTGCGCCTGGCCTGGGTGCCATGTCTTAATTGACAACCACAATGAAGAGAGGAAGGAAAGAGGAAAGAATAAGACAATACAAGAAGAAAAGGGAAGGAAAAGCCAATGACAGACATTAACTGGATTTTCCCACAAAGAGAGGTCATGAGGATCAAGAGCATACAGAAGTTTGCAAAATAAAGAGTTTCTCTGGCTTGGAGTTGACCAAAATAAGAGAAAGGTGAAGCGAGTATAATGTACGGAGACTTCTCCTGGGAGAAGTTGTCAGTGGAGAAGTTATTGGGTCATATAGTGATGGTGTGCAGATAGGACCTGGTGGTGAGTTGACGAGGAGCCATTGCCATTCAGCCATCAAGAATCATGATGTGTGTTGTGTAGGAATGGAGAGGTGAGTGTGGAGTGGATGGGGCGTAGATGGAGAAGCAGGAGGATTCGTCATGCACCCTGAGGCTTGCCAGTATTGATGTCAGACTTCCTCCGACCGTGTTGCCACCCTGGACTGTTTGACTTTGGTAGCTATTTTAAAACAGCAAGAAGAGCTGCTTGAGAAGAACCTGGGGGAGATTTCACAACCAGCAGCTGCATCGAATCTCCCTGGATGTGTGCTTTTGGAAACAATTTACACAAGGGCTGATTTCAACATGCACTAATATATACAGTTTAGCTGGCATTTTATATGGAAACTTTAATAAAATGGTTCTAATTAGTGCTTAATTTACATAGATTAGAGAGTTCTACAGGCCCACACAGTAGGGCTTGGGGATTTTATGTCATTTGATGGAGATGCCAGTTTGATTCAGATAAAGAACCAATTTTAGGGAATACTGCTGAAGTTTGCCCGACACAAATGAAGGAGTTGTAGCTTGCATTTCTTTTACCCACTCTTGTTCAGTGGCTTGAACTAGCTTTCTGTCTCTTCCACAAGATTTAGGACAAGATGGATTTCTGTGTCAGCATGTAGTAGGAGAGCTTTGATTTTCTAGTTCTGTCCTGTGTGGATCTGTATGTAGCTCAGATTCCCCCACAATCTAGGTCAGAGAAGCTGCTAGCCTTGGTGCAAAGTTTTCAAAAAGGCTTCTATTCAGAGAGATGAATAAGGAAAAACTCACACCCTACGTGCGAAGGTTGCTTAATGAGAGGTGTGAGATGGAGCTCAGTTGCCACTTATCTCTGTAGTTGGGTACCGTTGTGCAGTCTGTGCACTGCCCAGCCATTTGCAGTGACCCCAAAGAGGATCATCTGGTCATCTTGCGGGGAGAGACTGTGAGTTCCTGCCATGTCACTTGGTATAACATGAGAAAACTCAAAACTCTAGGCAGATCTTTGCACCTGCCCTACTTTTCTACCTGCTCTCACAATCTTCTTGAGGGTGACCAGAGTCCAAGTAACTAAGTGTAATTCAATGTGGTGAATGATATGATTGCTACACAGGAGTATCTATTAAGGCTTTCAAAATGTAAAGAGGAAGTGACTCATTCTTCCTGGTGGTGGTGGTTGCATCAATTGGTGTAGTCTATTGCCTCTCTCCCATCAACAAGGGACATTTGGCAAAGTCTGGAGTGTGTCAACTGTGGGGTGGTGGTACTACCGGCATCTAGTGGATAGAGGTCAGGGATGCTGCTGAACATTTTACAATGCCCAGGACAGCCCTCCCACAATAAATTATCTGGCCCAAAATATCAGTAGTGCTGCCATTGAGAAATCTGGTTATGTAACAGATAACTTTTTTTTTTTTTTTGACATGGAGTTTCACTCTTGTTGCCCAGGCTGGAGTGCAATGGCTTGATCTCGACTCACTGCAACCTCTGCCTCCTGGGTTCAAGTGATTCTCCTGCCTCAGCCTCCTGAGTAGCTGGGATTACAGGCATGCGCCACCACGCCCAGCTAATTTTGTATTTTTAATAGAGACGAGGTTTTACCATGTTGGCCGGGCTGGTCTTGAACTCCTGACCTCAGATGATCCACCCACCTCGGTCTCCCAAAGTGCTGGGATTACAGGCATGAGCCACTGTGCCCAGCCAACAGATAACTTTTTAAATTCTCAGCTGTTTAACCCAACAAATAATTATTTTCTTCCTCAAGCTGTATGTCCAGCATGGGTTGGCAACATAGCCCTGTTTTTCCTAGTCCCTTCAAGAAGTCTATTGATGGAAGATGCATTTTTATGTGGGCTTCTACCACCACTATGAGAGGGGGAAGGAAATTTGTTGGATTGTACCCTGAATTTTAAAAAGCTTCTGCCCAGAATTGACATATATTCTTTCCAATTGCATTTTATTGGCCACAATCCATCATATGACCATGCCTGAATTCAGAGGGAGTAGGTGGAGAATACATTTTTAATTTTTAATTTTTTTTTTTTTTTTGAGACAGAGCCTCACTGTCTTGCCCAGGCTGGAGTGCAGTGGCGCCATCTCGGCTCACTGCAACCTTTGCTTCCCAGGTTTAAGTGATTCTCCTGCCTCAGCCTCACAAATAGCCGGAATTACAGGCATGCACCCCCATGCCTGGCTAAGGTTTTTCATATTTTTAGTAGAAATGGGGTGTCACCATGTTGGCCAGGCTGGTCTCAAACTCCTGGCCTCAAGTGACCCATCCTCCTCAGCCTTCCAAAGTGCTGGGATTACAGGTGTGAGCCATTGTGCCCAGAGAGAGTGCATTTTTGTCTTGTACCCAGAAAGAGGAGAGAGTGAGAATAATCATGAACTACCCTAATGACTATCATGCTGATGGTAATGGTGGTTGTAGGATGGTGTGAGAATTTAAAGACGGCTTCACTCCTGTCACTTTGCTTACTTACTGCTGTATAACAAACTGCCCCAAACTTCAGGGATGAAGCTAACAAAAAAATCATTTAATTTGCTCATGAAGTTGCAATTTGGATAGGGCTGTGTAGAACAGCTCCTCTCTATACCATGGGGCATCAGTTAGGACAGCTCAAAACCTGGGAGTAACTCAAAGGCTGGGGGCTATAATCATCTGAATGCTTGCTCACTCCTGTGCTCTCATGTCAGGCAGTGGATGCTGGCTGTAGACAGAGACCTCAGCTGTGGCTGTCAGCTTGACCACCTACTCCCAGCCTCTACATGTGGCTGTTTGGCTCCCTTACAGTATGGTGGCTGGGTTCCAAGGCAGAAAGTAAATGCTGCCAGTTTCTTAAAGTCTGTCTGCAAATTGGCACAGCATTCTTTCTACCATATTCTATTCATCAAGGAGTTGTAGAGGCCAATTTTAAGGGGAAGAAAAATAGACCCTATGTTTCAATAGCAGGAAGGTCAAAGAATGTGGAGGCCCCAGAAAACTGCTTCCCAGGTAAGTGACAGGATAGAAAAACAAGATTTTTTTTTTTTTTTTTGAGACAGGGTTTTGCTCTTGTTGCCCAGGCTGGAGTGCAATGGCGTGATCTCGGCTCACCACGACCTCTGCCTCCTGGGTTCAAGTGATTCTCCTGCCTCAGCCTCCCGAGTAGCTGGGATTACAGGCATGCGCCACCCAGTTAATTTTGTACTTTTAGTAGAGACAGGGTTTCTCCATGTTGGTCAGGCTGGTCTTGAACTCCCAACCTCAGGTGATCCGCCTGCCTTGGCTTCCCAAAGTGCTGGGATTACAGGTGTGAGCCACCATGCCAGGCCAGAAAAACAAGACTTCTTTAGGTGGAGTTTGGGGAATGAGCTTTCTGGACAAGTAAACGGCATGCATCAAGGCACAGAAACATCAGAGCTGCATTTGAATAAATTCTCCTAGCTGGTCTTACCTCCTAGCTACTTACTTCTACTGTTGACATCAACCTTATAAACTTGCTAGAGGCTCAGTGTGGGGAAACAAACAAACAAAGCCTCATGAAACGTTTTGATCCAATTAGAAAATGTCTATTAAATACATTGTGTTTCACAAATGTGAACTATTAATACAATCTGGGTTTGTTCCGATTTAATTGTCTAAAATTATACATAATTCATCTTGCCAACAAATGAAATTATTGAAAAATTAAAAATATCACCACCAATTTTTTCTATTAAATGTATATTTTTGTAATGATAGCTTAAGTTTCATCTCAGTTTGAGATTTAGTACACTGTGGCATTCACTCTGGTTGGGGTTCATTTGGCTCTGAGCTTCAAGGTTCAATTTAGACTTCAAAGCATGTCGGACTTGACCTGAGGCACGTTTTTAACAATCAGGTGCAGTTTGTAAGGTTATGGGTTGAGGAATAGCATAAATGGGCCATCCTTTTTCTGATTTTGAGAAGAGAATGACTACTAATACCCAGGTGTGTTCTTGTCTTTCTTGAGTCAATTCTAACAGCATTGGCTGTGGGTTATAAAACCATAAAATTTTACAGCCAAAAACAACTTTAAAGGTCGTTTAGATGGAACTTCTTCATTTTGCAGATGAGGAAACTGAGAATCAGAGACAAAGTGACCTCAGGGCATTACAACTTACTATTACTATATTGAAAGAGGAAGGGAAGCTGGTGCAAGTTGAGGGACCCACTGATGAACTGCAGGGTATCCAATGTTGCCCCTGTGTTTGGGCTGAGGGAGAAGCAGCTTCTTAGCTTCTGCTATGCTGACTTATCTTGTGATCTCTGTCCCAGCCCTTGGCTGCCTCTCCTCCTTGTCCCCAGGCCTGCACCATTCCATCTGCCTCCTGATTATTCACTGACAGCTGCCTTTTCCCTCACCCTTTGTTCTCAGTTTTTAAAAATCCAATGGGGAGAAGCTTGGATTCAAATGATAGCATTTTCAGCTCATGAAAAATTCTATAACAAGTGTATTTGACCGTTTGATCTCTGGCTTCTCCCACACACTTGCCCTTTATACTCTGACAGCCATAAGCTTCATTTCCTTGAAGCAGATTGCAATTTCAATGGAAAGGAAATAATTGTGTAGCTTTCAAGCTGAGTTCAGTTCTAAAAAGGACTGAGCAAAGCTCAATCCTGGGCTATTGTAGAATCTTAGTCACTGAATCAGGCAGTGAAAGAGCTCTCTCCAAGCTTCATGGTTATGATCTTGAAAAACACCAGAGCTAGGTTCAAATTCCAGCCATACCATTTCCTAACTGTGTGATTTTGGCAAATCACACAAATACTTAAAATTCTTTCGACTCGGTTTCCTCTTCTGTAAAATGGGAACACTAATTAATGCTCACCTCAAAAGGTTGTTCATTCATTCAACACATATTCGTTGGGTGCCTCCTGTGTGTCAAACTGTTTCAGTCCAGTGAGGAAGATGGACATGAATCCAAGAGTCACCAAAAAAATGTAAAGTGGCACCTGTGATGAGTCACAAAGGGGAGGTATATGAGAAAGTGTGTGACAGTATCTAACAGGTGAGGGCATTATATAATTTATTGTTGCAAACAGGACATTTTTGAGCATGTAAGAGGGTGTGTTAATTGTCCTGGAACAACAGGCATAAATCAGGACTTTCTGGGCAAACTCAGGCCCTACCCCACTCTTACCTACCCTTAGTATAAGAGGGAAGGTTGGGAAAGGCTTTCCTGGGGAAGGGAAGAAGAAACTGAGATCCGCGGAATAAGTGAGGATTCCTAGGCAAAAAGAGGAAGACAGAGTGGTTTAGGCCAAGAGAGCAAACAGTGGTGCAAGACTCTAAGGCAGGACAAAGCATGGAGCCTGCAGAGAACAGACAGAAGGTCAGTGTGATGAAGATGGGAGGGGTGCGTGGCTTTAAACACAGGCCCCTTGCTTGTTGGTTTGCCCTGTAGGTGTTAAGAAATGAGGCTATATCAAGGTGAATTTTAAGTAGAGGTGGCACCTCTACTTAAGACCAGACTTGCAGCTTTAAACATCAGTCTGGCTGCAAGGCAGAATGGATTAGCATTGAGTAGTAGTTCTGGCCTTGGCTTTCCAGAGGAAACTTCTAAACAATATCAAAGCCTTGGTGTCACCCACAGAGATCCTGATTTAATTAGTTTAGGTTGGCTCCCAGTAGGTTATAAAGTGTGTCAGGATTGAGATTCACTGTAGAAGGAAGTGTGAATATGGAGAAGAATAATTACAAGGCTATTGCAGTAGCCCGGGTAAGAAGTGATGGAATAGGTTCATGGCAGTGGGTTTCTGAAGCAGTGGTTCTCAAACTGTAGTGGATTTGAGTATCACCTGGAAGTCTTATTTATTTATTAGAGATGGTCTCACACTGTTGCGTAGGCTAGAGTGCAGTGGTATAATCATAGCTCACTGCAACCTTGATCAGCCTTCATCTCCTAGGCTCAAGCAATCCTGCCACTTCAGCTTCCTGAGTAGCTGGGACTACAGGCATGGACCACCATGGCTATTTGTTTGTTTGTTTTTAATAGAGACAGGGTCTCACTCTGTTGCCCAGGCTGGTCTCAAATTCCTGGGCTAAAGCAAGCCTCTCTCCTTGGCCTCCCAAAGTGCTGGGATTATAGCCACTGCACCTTGGCACGGAAACCTTGTTAAAATGCAGATATCTGGGTATCATTGATTTAGTAGGTCGTGGATGGGGCCTGAGAATTTGCATTTCTGACAAATTACCTGGAGGCGCTAGTTGCTAGTTTAGAGATCACACTTAGCATCTAGTGGGTAGTGGTCAGGGATGCTGGTGAATATCATACAATACACAGAACAGCCCTTTTGCTGATCACTGATCGAGCAAAAAAACCATCTGATGTGGTAGATAACATCAACAGGATTTGATCAGCAGGGTAAAGGACAACTCCAGGACTCTTACAGTTTTCTGAATTTCACAACTAAATGACGAGTTTCACTATTCATTGACATTCAGGAGACAGCCCTACAGACCTGAGAAGATGGTGAAGTCAAAGCTACACATATATTTGAGGGTTACCTTTGAAACAGCTAAGAGGATACATCAAGCAGGAACATATATGTGGAACCTGGAAGGGAAGATCATTACAGATATAAACTTGGGGATCATTAAAGCCAGGAACTTATCAATGGCATCAGTCAGTTCTCTTTTCTTTTACTCTTATCATTGGTGTCAAAGCTCTGGCCTCTTTTTGTTGGTTCCACTCAGGTGCCGTGATCCTCCAGCCTCAGCACCTTGCTGTGAGCTCTCCTTGGGAGGCTGCCTCTCCCTCCTCCTTCAGAATTTACCCCCTACTTCTCCTTTGGGTCCCACCTCTCAGGCTTGGTCATGTGTGGCATTAGCAAGCAGGTGTGCGTGTTTCCTTCTGAAGCACAAATCAAAGCCATGGTTATGTATCTGTGGGATTATTTGCTAAATGGCCACCTCTCCTGCTAGATTCTAAGTTGCCTGCAGTGACTGGAGAACATCCCTAGGTATCAGATGCTCAATGTCTTACACTTATGGAACCGTCAAAGACAGCTGTTAAATGTCCAATGGGTCAGTTAGGGAGATGGTGGTTGTTAAAACTGTGATGAGTTCTCAGGAAGAGGGAGAAGCAGTTACCTTTGTGAAGCAGTTGTTGGTATTTACTTAGTAATGAGATTAAATTTCCTAGGACAGTGGGTGTGTGAACCAGCAATAGCGCCATCTGCTGGAAGTAAGTGATACAACAACTATTATCTTGACTAGGCTCAGGGCTGTTAAAACAGTATTGCTCTGGGAGAAAAGAATCATTTTTTTTAAGGTTAAAAATGTGAGTAAAATTCTTTAGAGTGAAGATAGAATTTCTTTTGAAATGGTTGGAAAAATTGGATAATTATTGAAAATAGTGTTCAGTTTTCAAAGAGGAGAGAAACCTTCAAGTCACTGTAATTAAGAGAAGTTTTATTGAAAGAACACATGGAATAAGGAAGTTAGATATCTCCACCCAAAACCAGCATTTCAGAAAACAGAAACAGGCAAAAATCTGGCGGAGTGTGGTGGCTCATGCCTGCAATCCCAGCCCTTTGGGAGGCCATGGTGGAAGGATCGCTTGAAGCCAGGAGTTTAAGAATAGCCTGGGCAACATAGTAAGATCCCCATTTTCTTTTTTCTTTTCTTTTCTTTTCTTTTTTTCTTTTCTTTTCTGAGACAGAGTGTTGCTCCTTTTGCCCAGGCTGGAGCGCAATGGCATGATCTCAGCTCACCACAACCTCCCGGGTTCAAGAAATTCTCCTGCCTTGGCCTCCTGAGTAGCTGGGATTACAGGCATGCACCACCACACCTGGCTAATTTCGTATTTTTAGTAGAGACGTGGTTTCTCCATGTTGGTCAGGCTGGTCTTGAACGCCCGATCTCAGGTGATCTGCCCACCTCGGCCTCCCAAAGTGCTGGGATTACAGGCATGAGCCCCCGTGCCCAGCCCCAAGACCCCCATTTCTATTTTAAAAAAAAAAAAGAAGAAGAAGAAGGAAAAGAAAAGAAAAATGGAAACAGGCGAAAACCTAGGCTTCTCAAAGACTGAAGGGTATTTTGGAACTGACTGGATATTGCTCATCTCTGGCTGGTTGTGTTGCAGCCTCGTTGGTGGCAAGTGCAGACCCTCAGTCAGTGACCTCCTTTGTTGCTCTTCCATCAAAGGGCCCCCTTCTCCTGCCCAGGCATGGTGTTACTAATATGGCGATGGTAGGGGCAGGGGCTGCATCTATGACGGGGAGAGGTATGAGAGTATACTCATCATTCTGCTGTTGTCTTTGTTAGTTTGTTTCTAATTTCTATTGTTGGGGAGAAAGATAAATTCTTCCCTAACCTCTTGGGATCTTCACCTGGGTCTAAGAATTAAATCACTGTAAGACAGGTTAACAGGAGAAAAATATATGAGTTTTATTGATTTTTACATGTACGCGGAGACCCTCATGAGACAGCAGAAGACCTGAAGAAATGGACAAAGCAGAAAGCTCTAATACCTTTTAGACAGAGAAACCATAAATTCATGAAGAGCTGACAAGACAAAGGGGTTTGGGCCAGTGGCAGTAAATTGTGGGAATTCACTAGGGAGGTGTAAAGATAGAGGAAGATAAGGGATAGTTTAGAAAGTTTATTTGTACAGCTCCATTGCAGCATCAACTCCCAGTCAATGGTGATAAGAGTTATTTTCTTATTCTGGTACAGGGAGGGCAACTTTCTTAAATAAATCTTTTTGGCTTACGACAGGTAGAAGAGGGCAGATCACATAGCCCTTTCCGGCATCTGCTGTTTCTCAGGTGACTTTAGCTCAAAATAATCAACATGCCACATCAGCAAATTTTGGGGTGACATGGCCTGTTTCGCTATGATAATGGGAAAGAAATCAGACTTTTTAACTTTGAATTAGAAAACACAAACTTTGACTATGTCCCACAATTTATGTGACTGATTTCATATTCTATCACATCTATTTTATATTCTCTCATATTCTCCTCATGAATTTTCCCCTAGAATGTTGGGGGAATTTTGAAATGACTTGGGGGGCATGCTACAATTCGAAAAGGAGAGAGACATACTCTCCAATTCTCTCCCTGCCTGCCTCACAATGTGCAGCTCTCCTCTGCTTCTTCTTCTTCTTTTTTTTTTTTTTGAGACAGCGTCTCACTCTGTCACCCAGGCTTGAGTGCAGTGGCGCAATCTTGGCTCACTGCAAGCTCCGCCTCCCAGGTTCAAGTGATTCTTCTGCCTCAGCCTTCCGAGTAGGTGGTACTAGAGGTGTGTGCCACCACGCCCAGCTAATTTTTGTATTTTTAGTAGAGACGGGGTTTCTTTATGTTGACCAGGCTAGTCTCGAACTCCTGACCTCAGGTGATCTGCCCACCTCAGCCTCCCAAAATGCTGGAATTACAGGTGTGAGCCAACATGCCTGGCCTCCTCTGCTTCTGATTCAACTGCTGCTACCGATAGACTTACTGAAGGATTTGAAGCCAAATGGTATTAATTTTGGTCAGTTACTTCCCTGTATCTGGTGTCCTCACTAGACAGAACTTCTGTGTATGGCTACTTCATAGACCCCGACCAGCCTACATATTGTTTGCTCTAAGGTCTAGTGCCCTCTCTTATTTCACTAAGATACAGCCACTGTTGGTGGGGGAGTCACATAACATGGAACATAATCACTGTATCAGTTCAGGTGCTCTTGATTCAAGTGGATTTAATTATGAGGGAATTTATTCCTTACATAATTACTAAGTCTAGCATTAGAGTGGCCTGCAGATGAGGGTTGATCCAGTGGCTCAGTGAT
The DNA here is from genome assembly GCF_000001405.40 of Homo sapiens. Lineage (NCBI taxonomy): Eukaryota > Metazoa > Chordata > Mammalia > Primates > Hominidae > Homo > Homo sapiens. The sequence continues at coordinate 72,595,538 of NC_000009.12, forward strand.
GGCCAGAACGCTGTT